>NC_000004.12:105171381-105796381 GCF_000001405.40 Homo sapiens | reverse complement strand
ATCTCATCTTGAATTGTAACTTCCACAATTCCCACATGTCATGGGAGGAACCCAGTGGGAGGTAACTGAATCATGGGGTCAATTCTTTCCTGTGCTGTTCTCACAATGGTGAATAAATCTCACGAGATCTGATGGTTTTAAAAACAGGAGTTTCCCTGCACAAGCTCGCTCTCTCTCTCTTTGCCTGCTGCTATCCATGTAAGACACGACTTGCTCTCCCTTGTCTTTCGTCATTATTGTGAGGCCTCCCCAGCCATGTGGAACTATAAATCCATTAAACCTCTTTCCTGTATAAATTATCCAGTCTCGGGTATGTCTTTACCAGCAGTATGAAAACAGACTAATACACAGGTAAAGTTAACAAAAGGAAACAAAAGTTGCAATATTAATATCAGATGAAAGAACTCAAGGCTAAAATATTAAATAGCTAGTGAAAGCTCGATTCTACAGGGATGCAGCAGTTGTGAATTTTTATGGACAGAACAGCAAAGTATCAAAATATGTAAAACAAATAGTGTTAGAAAAAAAGACTCTGAAAAGCCATCATCGACAAGGGAAGCTAAAATACACATTTTGCAATTAAATCACAATCTATAGGTCAGAGGACTGAATGTTTAAATAATTAACAAGGTGATCTATAAATGTTTACATGTATGTGTACAACTGGCTGGAGCTGAGAAGGGATCAACCTCCCTAAATGTATGTGAAGGCAGGTTTCCTACTTGGATCTAGCCAATTGTTGCCAGGTGGATTACAGGCCTAATGATTTTAGATGCTTCAGCAGAATCTAAAGATGTTTTATTTATGAATAGATACACACATGCACACAGGTATGAACTTTGTGTCCAGCTTAGGCAGAATATACATTCTTAAATGCCCATGAACACTTATGAAATTGATCATACACTGGATTAGAGATTCTGCTCACAATGCAACAAAAACTGTCCTTAAACTCATCCCAACAATAAACACCTAAAAATAAAAAATACTTCATAAATACTCTAAAATATTAATCAGAACAAAAGCACTACTATTAAGAAATGAAGAACAAGGAGAACATGATATATCAATACTTATGAGATACAACCAAAGCAGGTCTCAGAAAAATGTCTACAGCTTTTATAAGATACATTCATTGGAAAACAAGAAGCATGGAAAAATAAACAACAAGTATTTGATCCAATATATCAAGTAAAACCCACAATATACAAGGAAGGGTGGCTCATGCCTGTAATCCCAGCTCTTTGGGAGGTCAACGTGGGTGGATCACCTGAGGTCAGGAGTTTGAGACCAGCCTGGCCAACATGGTGAAACCCTGACTCTACCAAAAATACAAAAAATTAGCTGGGTGTGGTGGCGGGTGCCTGTAATCCCAGCTACTCAGGAGGCTGAGGCAGGAAAATCACTTGAACCCGGGAGGCGGAGGTTGCAGTGAGCTGAGCCCGCCACTGCACTCCAGCCTGGGCGACAGAGTGAGACTCTGTCTCATAGATAGATAGATAGATAGATAGATAGATAGATAGATAGATAGATAGATAGATAAATAGATAGATAGATAAAAGCAGAAATAATAAAAAGTAAAAACAAACGTGGTAGAAATAAAAAGAAAAATCCAGCTCAAATTTTGGAAATGCAAAAGACTCCAGTAAGTTTATTTCATATATGAATATACTTTCTTGGTGAGGATATGTTGAATAGAAGACATTTTATAGGCCACAGAGTTGTTAAACCCTTGGGCAGTTCAGAAAAAAAAAACACCAAAAATATTAAAACATGTGAGTGTGTTATAGACTTTATTTTTTAGAGCAGTTTTAGGTTCATAATAAAATTAAGCAGAAGCTGTAGAAATTTGCTATATATCCACCTAACTCTTGCTCCCCTCCCCTTGACAGCCTTTCTCATTGTCAGCATCATGAACCACAGTGGTACCTTTGTTAATAGTGATGAACCTACATTGACACATCATAACTCAAAGTCCAGAGTTTATATTAGGGTTCATTCTTAGTGGTATACATTCTATGGGTTTGGACAAATATATAATGACATATATCTACCATTGTAGTATCGTACGGGGATGTTCATTGCCCTAAATATCCTCTGTGCTCCACCTGTTCATCTCTACCTCCTCCCAGTAGTCCGGCAACCACTGATCTTTTCACTGTCTCCATAGTTTTGCCTTTTTCAGACTTATACAGTTAAGATGTGCTTTTACTGTTATATTTCAAGTACATGAATAAGAAAACATTATTATGTAAGATTAATAAGGATCAAAATGCTTCATGAGATGCTCATTTTCTGTATATGTCTTATAATCTCCGGAGTATTAAAAACAAATAGTTTTTGGACACAGAGAGAAAAGCAGCTCATCTCTTTTCATACCAAATCAACCCACAGTTTCACAGGAATATAACATATGTTCTCAAATTATTTCATAGTAGGGATAATCCTATTAAAAACTAAAATGCCAGCAGTATGTGTTCCAGAATTCAAGCTTTACAACATTATAATTTAATGGGCATGCCCTGCTTAGTGAGCCCTTAATCTAACTTGAAAAGATCACAGCATAGCTCTGTCAGGGTGGGCTTCATGCTATACTAAAAGTAACCATAAATTCATTAATTTTTTTTACTGGCTTGTGGAAAAGGGACTTAGATCTTGGCTGCGGTGGGTGGGGGCAGGGAGTGAGAAGCAAGATTATGCAGTATGCGGAGATTTGAGGTAGAAACTGCACACTATAAAGAGCATTCCCTTAATAATGCATGTAAAAATATAGGTAGGGTGGTAGGGTAAATATGAAATAAAACTTGTAAGGCATATTTTTTTCAATTCAATTCAATTCAGTTAACACCAAAATAGGCATTTTTAAGAATGAACTCTGTTTTAATCTTAAAGAAAATTCCAGACAATCATATTATTTCACCTTGAAATATGTCAGTATGTATCTCTTATAAAGATTTTTTTTAAAAAAAAAAACATAATCATGATATCACACCCCAAAAAATTAGCAATAATTTCTTATTTGTAAGCTTGAAAACAGATTGATCAGAGATAGGGCTTAGGAAATAAGGTAACAGAATACAAGAAAACCTTACAAAGGTCTTGACAAAATTGCTGAAGTCTGGTGTCAGTATATATTAAATATACTAGTGCACATCTTGCTATAGGTTGTTATAGGTCAGAGATGTTTCAACTCCATTTAATTGCTAGCGGCTGATTAGAGAGTTAAGATTTAGATAACACTTATAAAGGCTAGCATATGGTCAAATGTAATGCAATTCAGTTAGTATTACTCTCATACTTTTATATGAGACTTTTATAAGCTTGACTATTTTTACAAATTCTAATTTAGATTTATATAAATATTAAGATTACAGATTTTATTACACAATTGAAATCAACACTAAAAAGCTTTAAGTCATAGAAACTGTAGGCTTTCCTTGTTCATTAAAAATAAGCTGTTTGAATTTCAGAATGATTGTTTCATATTTGCACATAAAAGCAATTGCTAGACTAAGCTTCATTATAACTAGAATGATGTAGCGGGAATTTAAGCAGAAAATGTCTAAGTTTCCTTCTGGCAGTAAAGATTCACAATTCTAAAAAATACTGCTCTTTTATGTAGATCATTTTACAAGAGATTTACCAGGGATCTTATAGGTCATCTAGCTCAATCTCATTTTCAATGCAGGGAAACCCTACTCAACATGATATTAATACTTTATAATTAACACTAAGTTTTGATACCAAAATCAACTCATGCTAGCCTTGTCTGTTCTAATTTAAAGGTTCTTGATTTGTTTAGCAGTCTAATTCGGCTCTAGTATTTTTTAATATGCCCGGATTCTGATTTCTTAAGTATTGACTACGACTGATTTCTCCAGGTCAATGTTTCTGACCCTGATCTGCTAATAGTGCCCTAATCCTAGGTTGCTTCTTGTAGCTCATGGCTTGTTTTTCTTCCTCCCAGCTTACAAAGAAGAATCTGAGCCTCTTCCCTGAACATTCAGGCTTTCAATGTACCATATAAAAAAATGAAGTAAACTTAACCCATTTAAATTATGGTTCTCAGGGTACTGTGGGATAGTTTAAATTTTCAAAGAAAATACAGCTTTGTTGAATATCTGTTGGATACCACACAGACTACTAGATGAGACAGTTCACAGTTTCAACAGTAGATCACACTACATTAATTTTATTGACATCATATTTTTTGCAAAGTTGGATTTTTAGTAGTTGCTGTAATAGAAAGCCATTCTTAGAATCACTGTGGAACAGAACATGAAGAGCAGTGTCCAATCTGATCCTATTGTTTGAGAAGTTATGAAGTCCACAACAGAAGCATATATTACATTTGTAAGTAACTGGTTAAGAATGACATAAAACATTATTTTCCTTAAATTTCTGTATATTTTTCCCTAAGGGCTCCTAAGTTTTTTAGATATAAATGCTTATTAAGTTGTTTGGACATAATTATCTAATAAATGAAAAAGTTATATATTTCCTTTGGTCTAGTAGTGCTACGAAAAAATTACCAACATGCTAAAAGTGAAAGTTTGTAAAGCTCTGACATATAGATTCTTCTATGCATTTGGAATACTGTATTTAATCATTCAACAAAAGTTTTAAGTACCTAGTGTGTTTTAGGAACTGTTTTAGGTTCTGGGAATCCAGTAGTGAATGAGATGGAAAAAGTGTCTGTTCTCATGGTGTATATGTTCTCAAGGAGAGAAAATAGACAATTTTTAAAATGTATAATTGCTATGAAATATTACACAGAATAACCTGATAATGACAGGAATGTGGAAGGACAAAGTTTAGTTACGATGCTGGAGGCACATTTCTCTGAAAAGGTAACTTTTGCACTGAGACACATCAATGACATTCAAAGCAATTTAAAAACAAACAAACAAACGTGTTTTACTCATCAACAACCAAATAGTTCTACATCTTATCATTCCTTGTTCCTTTTTTCTTTTTTTTTTTTTTTTTGAGACGGAGTCTCGCTCTGTTGCCCAGGCTGGAGTGCAGTGGCGCGATCTCGGCTCACTGCAAGCTCCGCCTCCCAGGTTCACGCCATTCTCCTGCCTCAGCCTCCCGAGTAGCTGGGACTACAGGCGCCCACCACCACGCCCGGCTAATTTTTTGTATTTTTAGTAGAGACGGGGTTTCACTGTGTTAGCCAGAATGGTCTCGATCTTCTGACCTCGTGATCCGCCCACCTCGGCCTCCCAAAGTGCTGGGATTACAGGCATGAACCACCGTGCCCGGCCAGCCCCTCTTTTTTCTTAATAGACTTCTCTATTATATCAGAGGAATGGCTGTCTTCTATTTCTGTTCTGGATTGTTTTTTTGGCCATGAGAAAAATCAGTTCACTTTTCCTAAATGAGAAAGTGGTTCTTAAGTAGAGGCGTTTAACAACTCATTGTTTGCTAGATATATATTAGCTGTCCATGCTTTAGTACAGTGATAAAACAATAAGGATGAGTGGATGTTGGTTATCACTTCCTTTTTAGCTAACAACTGCTCTGAAAACATAAAATTTTTAAAAAAAAGGCACTGAGGGCAATTTCTGTTACTTATATCCTTAATATCTTTCCTCAAATCACAAATTGGGTGTGTTCCCTTTTCTACCTTACCTCCATTGCTCTGTAAGGTTTATTCCCCAACATTTGATGGCAATAAGCACTCCTAGATCCAAGCACAGTGCTACTGCTGCCGTTTGCTTTTTCTTTTTTGTGGGAAGACAGGGTCTCCCTCTGTTGTCCAGACTGGAGTGCAATAGTGCAATCATAGCTCACTGGAGCCTCAAACTCCCAGGCTAAAGTGATCCTCCTGCCTCAGCCTCCTGAGTAGCTGGGGCTACAGGCATTACCACTACACCTGGCTAATTGTTTTAAAATTTTTTTACAGACAAAAATCTTACTATGTTGCCTAGGGTGGTCTTGAACTCCTGGCCTCAAGCGATCCTCCCTGGGAATACAGGCATAAGCCACCATGCCCAGCCTTGCCTTTCACATTTTTAAATCATATTAATGCTCTTAACTTGGCTTTAACCTATTTTATTTGAATCATAATGTAAATTATGTAAGGATTTGTAAAGCATACTAATGTCCATATCTATCATTTTCTTAAAAATATGAGTTTATTGTAGAAGCATCCAACTAACAAATCCAGATCAAGGTGTGTAGTTTGAAGTTTTAACTGGGAGGTCTCTAAGTTAGTTTGCTGTCAACATTCCTAGTTCTCCTTTACAACTTTGCTTCTATACTTGGCACGGATTTCCACTGAGTAGAAAAGCAAAACTAGTAATAATATCAAACTATTCTTTTTTTCTCTGCATCTTTCCCCTACTGCAATATTAAGAGTAATCTGGTGAGTTGCAGTGAATTAAAAGTAATTTATCCTCTCAAAAAGTAAGGGTTATTATGTCATTAACTTTTTTTTTTTAATGACTAGAGAAAATTCAAAAGAACAATGGGCTGACTGAGAATTGAGAGATCAGGAAGCTGGCCCTGCTTTGCCACTAACAAAATGTATGTATGACTGGGCATTTCACTTATTCGGGTCTCTGTGGTAGGCAGCATCTAAGGTACTTCCCAATGGTCCTCCCTCCTGTATTCACACCTTTGTGTAATCCTCTCCCCTTCATTATAGGCTGAACCTAGTGACTCACTTCAAATGAGCAGAATATAGTAAAGGGGATGGGATGTCACTTCCAAGTCTGTTTAAGTTATAAACAGACTGTGAATTCCCTCTTTGGCTTGCTTTCTCCATGGCACACTCTGAGGGAAGCCAACTGCGATGCTCTCAGCTGCCCTACAGAGAGGCCCGTAGCAACTAATGCTCCCAGTGAACAGCCAGTGAGGATCTGAGACCCTCATTCCAACAGTACTTGAACAGGATCCTGCTAACAGACATGTAAATGGACTTGGAAGTGGGTCCTCTCCAAGTTGAGCCTTGTGATGAGACCACAGCCCAGCCTACACACTGACTGTGTAGCCTTGTGAGAGGCTCTGAGCCAGAGGGCCCACCTAAGCCATCCCAGGATTGCTGGACCACAGAAACTGTGAGATAATAAATACTCGCTGTATAAACCACTAAGTTTTACAGTAATTTATTATGCAGCAATAGATAATCAGTACAGCCTGTGTTTCCTTTTCTGTTATATAAAGAGTTTGGTTTAAACGAGCTTTTGAGTCCCTTTCTAACTCCAACATTCAATGTGTACACTTACATTGGTTGCAAAGGCAAAAAAGAGAAAACACATATAGACACACAAACTACACTTTCATGTCTTAATAATAAAATTCACAGTTCAAAAATCTATGGTAGTTTTAAATAAGGTTCAAGATTTGGTCACTTCCCCTTGAAGACACGTCATCTCTATTAGCAGCACTGCAATTAAAAAGAAAACCTAGGAAAACAGTCTTCTTATAAATGTCTTGTTAATGGGGAGATCCGAAATTCACATTTGTCCACTATAAGAACTTGACATATTTGGGTTAAGGAATACAACATGCTTGGCAGTCTTTGCATTAAAAAAAAGTAGGGATAATATAAGAAATTTATTTAGTTATCATAAATGTCAATAATATACAAAATATCTTAATTTATACTACACAAACAAGATATATTTTGTTAAAACTATGTGTCAGTTAGGTACCTGCATTTACTTTATTCTAAAGCTCTTTCTGAAAACTTTATTCTAAAGCTCTTTAGACTGTGATAAAGATGTGTATCTTAAACCCTAAGGAAACTACTACTTTTTTTTAAGTGAGATATACTCAATAAGTCAATTGTGGAGATAAGACAGAATCATAAAAAATACTCAAACTGCCTCAAAGCAGGCAGAAAAAGAGGAAAAAAGAACAAAGAATAAATGGGTTAAGTAGGAAACAAAGTGGCACAAATCTAATGTTCTTTCCAGTAAATTTTAAATTATTAGAGAAAACAGAACAACATAGTGGAATAAACAGTACAAGAGTGAGAAAACGGGCTTTAGCTCTAACTTTGCCATTTTTTAACTTTGTGACTTTGGGAAAACTGGTTTAACTATTTGTAAAATGGACAAGTAGAAATCATCTTTGGTAACTTCCAATTATAAAACTCTATGAATCTAATGGAAAATGTAGGAAATATAACTTCTAAATATTTAAAAATGTAAAACAAATGGCGGTACACTATAATTCAATGGGCCATCCTTATAAAGTATTTATGAAACCACAGGGAAAATATTTATGACACAATTCAGGAGGAAAAAAGGAAACAAAACATCATATACACTATCATCACTAATACAAAGAAATCATGAAACTAAATAACAACAACACAACTCTGTACTAAAAGCAAAAACAAAAACCTGTAAAGAAATTCAGAAATTTTACAATGATTGTAAGACCAAAGGTGATTATTTTTCTTTCTTTTACTTTATCAATTTTGTAGTCAGTAAATGTATGTGAAGGTTATGATGTTCTAATGGAATAAAAGTTTTAAATGTTTAGTTTTAAAATAGTAATAATGATACCAAAAAATCGTGCTTTACATAATTTCTATATTCTTGAAAATTTGTTTGCAAACAAAAGTATAAATCTAGCTCCCAAGGGGGGAAAAAAGCTTTCAAACATTTCTATTTTATTGAATGCTTCTCATTAGCTCATGTCTTTTTTTTCCATCAGTATCCTTTAAGAGAGAATCCAAGGAGAATTTTCCTGACTCTGAATTTATTCTCAGACTCTGAGAATATTTGAAGAACGGTTTCCCAGTTTTCAAAAGGGACAATGCTGCTTCTCCCTGACTGACACCCACCATTTCATAACTCCACTCTCTAAGCTCCTAAGCAGCATTACTCAAAAAGTGATGATCCTTAGGCCCGCTGAGTCAGAATCACCTGTGGTCACTGTTAACGCAAATTCTGAAGCCAATTCTTGGCCTATTGATATATAATTTCTAGAGGTGGGGCCTTAAAATATGTATTTTAACAGGCATCCTCAGTAAGCTTTAGCATAACAGGGACAACAATCTAAGTACCCAAAGCATGTCCCCTGGACCAATGCACTGGCATCATCTGGAGACTGCTTAGAAAAGCAAACTTTTAGGCTCTACCTTAGATCTACTGAACTAGACACTCTGGGGTTAGGGCCTGGAAATCTTTAACAAACACCTTGTTGAACCTCATGCATGGAAAGTATGGGAACTATTGCTCTAAGACAGTGGTCTCCAAACTTTATTGAACACTTATCAGTAAAAAAAATATTTTGAGTATGTTCCCCATTCTCAGCATATGTAAATTACATAAATATATTACTGTTGATGGATACATCACATATAGCACATACATGACCATTCATTGCACAAGTTTTTGTTTGGGTGTATGTTTTCAATTCTCGTGGGTGTAAACATAGAGTAGACTTGCTGAGTCATATTATCATGTTTAAGCTTTAAGGGACTGTCAAAATGTTCTCCAAAGTGGCTGCAACATTTTACATTCCTAACGGCAGTATATGAGGATGCTAATTTATCCACATTCTGGCCAACATTTGTTATTATCTGGCTATTTTATTTGTAGCAATACTATCAGATGTGGAGTGGTATCTCATTACGGTTTTGATTTGCATTTCCCTAACAGCTAATGATGTTGAGCATATATTCATGTGCTTAGTATTTACCCATATCTCTTATTTGAAGAAATGTCTACTCAGATACTTTGCCCATTTTAAAATTGGGTTATTTGTCTTTTGTTATGGAAATAATATTGCTTTATATTTTTCAGATATAAGTTTCTTATCAGGCATATAATTTGCCATAATAGTCTCACATTATGTGGATTGTGGTCTTTTTTTTTTTTTTTTGGATGGTGTTTTTCTTTTGAGACCAAGTCTTGCTCTGTTGCCCAGGGCAGAGTGCAGTGGCGCGCAGTCTGCGGTTCACTGCAACCTTCGCCTCTGGCGTCCAAGCGATTCTCCTGACTCAGTCTCCTTAGTAGCTGGGACTACAAGTGCGAGCCACCACACTTGGCTAATTTTTTGTACTTTTAGTAGAGACAGGGTTTCTCCATGTTGACCAAGGTTGTCTCGAACTCCTGTCCTCAAGTGATCTGCCTGCCTCAGCCTCCGAAAGTGCTAGGATTTACAGGCATGAGCCACCATGCCCGGCCTTAAAAGTTTTAAAATGTTGATCATGTCCAATTTACATTTTTTATTTTATTGCTTGTATTTTTAGTGTCATTCTTAGAAGGCTTTGTATAATCCAGTATCACAAATAATTATGTCTATGTTTTCTTCCAAGAGTTTTATAGTTTTACATTTTACTTTATATCTTTGATCCATTTAGAGTTAAATTATGAGTATGATGTAATGTAAGGGTTATTGTAATCTTTATGATAGGGTTGTAAATGGGATTATTTTCTTCCTTTCACTTTCAGATTGTTCATTGCAGGTGCAAGTTCAACTAACTTGTATATTGCTTTTATATTCTGCAATATTGGTAAACTTGTTTAGTAATTGTAACAGTTTTTCAGTGGATGTCTTAGGATTTTCTGTATAGAAGATCATGTTATCTGCAAATAGAGATAGTTTTCTCCCTTCTCTTTTTCCAATGTAGAGGCCTTTTTTTTTCCTTTTTATTCCTAGTTGTCCTGGTAAGAGAAGACATTCTCATCATTACTGATTTTAGGGAGAATACATTTAGCCTTTACAATTAAGTATGATGTTAATTGTGGTTTTTGGTAGATGTCTTTTAACTGGTTGAGGATGTTCCCTTCTTTTCCTAGTTTGTTAAGTGTTTTAAGCATGAAAGTGTGCATTTTATCAAATGCCTTTTTTATGTAGGCATTAGGGAAATTGAGTGTCAAAATATTTCACAACTCATTGAACAAAATAAAAATCCATGAATCGATATTGATACAAATAAATGTGGTTGTTGCCCTGTATACTATTGATATGATGTATTATTTTAATTGACTTTTGGATGCTATATCAACCTTGCCTTTCTAGGGTAAATTGATTTGGTTATGGTGTATGATTTTTTTTTTAATCTGTTGCTGGATTTGGTTAACTAATACTTTGCTGAGAGTTTTCACATCTATATTCATAAGAGATGCTACTCTGTTTTCTTTTCCTGTGATGACTTTATATTAGTTTGTTTTAAAAATGTTATAAGTCAACAATTTTGAAAATACTTTCTGTGTATTCTACAAATGAGCAAATTTCTCAGGTTTCTTACTGTTCAACATGAGAAGACTAAAACAAACTCTCTGCTTCTGGATTAGAATTAGAAGTATCTGAGTATCTGTTTGATCTGATTACACACAAACATATACACAAACTGACACACATATGTCCTAGTTGTGTCCACTGAGAAGGCCTAAAAGCAGTAGCATACCAGTAGCTATTATTACACTGTACATCCAGATCTTGGAATAAAGGCTACTTTCAGCGCTAGGTCAGACAAAGGACAATATAATCTTGGAACATTTTGTGATGTCAGAAATCAAGGAAGTGCTCCAGGAGTGATGAGAACATGTCAAAACGATGCAGGAGTTAGTTTGAAGGGGCTTTTACTGGCCAAATGTGGGAAAATTTGAGTATCAAAATAAATAATGATAATAATAGAATGTAATCCATTGAAAAAATAAGAATCCACGAATTTATCCTGATACAGATAAAGAAAACAAATGATAAGTGGGGAAGAGAAAGGAAAGCTTTTCCTTAGTTTGCCAATTAATGAATGTAGAATAAATTATGGGTGCTAGAAAGTCACAATTTTGCAAACATTATAGTAATTAATGATAATTAATTCAGGCAACAATCATCAATGGATGCTATTTTGGGTTGTATGTGTTCCCCAAAAGTTCATGTGTTGTAAGTTTAATCCAATGCAACTTTGTTGGAAGGTAAGGCTTAATAACAGGTGATCAGGTTGTGAGGGCTCTGCCCTCATGAATGGGTTAATGTTATTATTTAGGGAATGGGTTAGTTATTGGGAGGGTGAATTGTTATAAAGCTAGTCTGGTCCCTGGTGTCTCTCTCTGTCTCATGTGCTCTCTTCTGCCTTCCACATTCTGCCATGGGATGACCCTCACCAGATGCTAGTGCCATGCTCTTCGACTTCTCCACCTCAAAAACCATGAGCCAAATAAATTTCTATTTTTATAATTTACCTAGTCTATGATATTCTGTTACAGCAACAAAAAACAAACTACGACAGATGCTAAATGAAAAGCAGGTGAGGAATAAGATATGTACATAGTCTCAGACTACCACAAATTACTTAATTGCAAAGTAAAAAACAGTAACATTACAGTACAGAAACCTGGCAGGTGCCATATTAACTAGGTACTTAACATCACCATTAACAATAACAGGATAAACTAACATCCCATGCCTTTTCTGTGGTGCATCACTTCTGTAGTATTCCTGCCCCAAATCCATAATATGAATCTAATCAGACAAACTCAAATTGATGGACATTCTTCAAACTAATTTGCTTGTACTCTCCAAAAATATGAAGATCATAAATGACAAAAGAGAAGCTAATTCTGTATTAAAGGAAACTAAGGAAACTTGAAAACTACATACAATATAATCTTGAACTGAATAAGATATAAGATAAATATAAAAGATATTGGGACAATTGATGACATTTGAATATAGGCTATGGAGATAGTAACATTGTATCCATATTAAAATTCCTGACTTTGATCATTCTATTCTGGTTATATAAAAGAATGTAAGGGTTAAACGGGTGCAGTGCCTACAACTCACTTTTAACTGGTTCAAGAAAAATATATACATACACATACACACATATACAGAGGGAGAGAGAAAGAAAAAGAACTGGAGCATGAATGATAAAAAAAAATTGGGCAAAATAAAAATGTAAACAGTGAATCTGGATTTTTTTGTACTATTTTTGTAATTTTCTGTAAATTTAGATTACATTAATATAAAAAAGTTTTAAGGCATATAGGTCAACACCAACTGCACACCACCCTGAATTTTACCAAGAATGTATCAGGAAGTTTAGTTTCAGAAAGTATAATATACCAACCTGCTAAAGCAACAGAAAGCTACTTTTTTGTAAAATGAAAAGATCCTATGTAGCAGAATGGAAACAAAAAAAGAAGCTAACACTGTCTCTAACATATTCATTTCAGAAAGCTGTTTGTTCTAAAGGGTAAACAGAAAAAGTTCAATTTCCTGAAGATGTAATCTAGTACTATCCACACCAGGTGCAATATCCAATCTTATCCAAATAAATCAGCCCAAATTTATGCCTCTAGGAGGAAGAAAGGTCAAATTCGAACAAATTGTCCATCTCAGACAGAGGGAAAGAATGTGAGATGTGCTTTGTAGAAATAAAATGAACTTGTGTTCCAGCATAGTTATTATCAATGAGATGACTTTGACATTACAGAAAAAAATTACTTGAGTTTAGCCCAAATTGGTAGTTATTTTTAAAAATACATTATATGTACACAAACACAATAATTCTTTTCATAAAACTTAAAGTGAAAGTCCTGAAATAAACTATCTACATATGAATTAAGACAAAAAATCAGAAGCGATTATTAAGAATTCTCAAGTAAGCCCGAGCAACATGGTGAAACCCCGTCTCTATTATAAATACAAAAATTAGCTGGGCATGATGGTGCATGCCTGTAATCCCAGCTACTAGGGGACCTGAGGCATGAGAATCGTTTGAACCCAGGAGGAGGTAGCAGTGAGCCAAGATCACAGCATTGTACTCCAGCCTGAGTGACAGAGCAAGACTCTGTCTCAAAAAAAAAAGGATTCTCAAGTAATCATAATTCCTATATATTATGAAGCCATGAATGATGTTTTTATCTTTCTCCTGTTTTTTGGTGGTTGTTTTGTTTTGTTTTGTTTTTTGAGATAGGGTCTCACTCTGTTGCCCAGGCTGGACTGCAGTGGCATGAACATGGCTCACTGCAGCCACAACCTCTTGGGCTCAACAGATCCTTCTGCCTCAGCCTGTCACATAGCTGGGAGGTGCGCACACCATGCTTGGCTAATTTTTAAATTTTTTGTAGAAATGAGATCTTGCTATGTTGCCCAGGCTGGTCTTGAACTCCTGAGCTCAAGTGATCCTCCCACCTTGGCCTTCCAAAGTGCTGGGATTACAGGCATGAGCCACCACACCTGGCCGTCTTTCTCCTTTTTCCTTTTCTTTCTCTTCCCCTGTTCCTCATATTCTCTTCATTTATTTTTCTCCCAACTACCCTGCTTGTGAAGGTTAACCAGAACATTGCTTAGTTTTGCCAGTGGCATTCAGAGTTTACAGAGGTTGCAGACCTTGTACAAGGTATGCGCAAGAAGTGGCACATTTATTCTGACAGGGCATTTAAATGAAGCAAAATATCTTTCAAAGCATCTCACAGAAAAACTATTCCTGCTAGGAAAAGAGTCTCTGGGCTTCAAAATACGAACTACCCCACACAGACATGCTATGCACCTTAGAAAATAGCACTATGGCAATTCCTGACCACTGTGGGAAAAGTTCATTTTGACTTAGAAGTGCTTCATCCAAACCCGCATTATCTTTGTTAAAAAAAAAAAAAGAAAAAAAAGATAAGTAGTTAAATAAACTAAGATACAGAATTATAAGTGCAAAAATATTCCAAAAATTTAGATTTTATTTTTAAAAATCTTATCAAAAATATATTTGTGTTTTAATTCTTCCTTCCCTTAGCAATAGATGTATTTTCACTTTTTCTTGCTTGTTCTACTTCTGTTCTGCGTAGAATACTTCTTAAGAATGCTAATAGAGTCATGAGTCCAATTTTGTTTCTAAAGAAAGGAAAATTAGGCTGAGAAAGATGACTCACGCCTGTAATTGGGCACTTTGCGAGGCTAAGGCTACAGGATTGCTTGAGGCCAGGAGTTCGAGACCAGCCTGGGCAATAAAGCAAAAGGCTCCATCTCTACAAAAACTTTAAAAAAAAAAAAAAAGCTGAGCATGATGGCACACGCCTGTATTCCTAAGTACTTGGGGGGCTGAGGGGGAGGATCCCTTTAGCTCAGGAGTTTGAGGCTACAGTGAGCTATAATTGTGCCACTGCATTCCAGCCTGGAAACAGAGCAAGACCCTGTCTCAAAAATTAAAAAGAAAAGGAAAATTAAATTTAGTAAGTTCAAAGAGAAACAAAATATCATGATGAAATAAAATACTAAATAATGTTAACATTTATATTCCACTGTTTATGCCTCAACAAAAATATCAAAGTACTGGGTGAGAGGAGAAAGTAAAGCCAGGCACTGTGCAAGTTATTTTATACATTATTTTACTTAAGAATGTGAGGTAAATATTATGATTCTCCAAGCTAAGAAATTTAAGGCTTGGAAATGTTAGCTAATTTGCTTGAGATTAAGTAGCTAGGATACACCTTTAAATTCAGGCCTGCTTGAAAACTTGAGTTTTGCTTATATGTCTCTCTACTGCCTCCCTGGAATTTTTCTACTAATGTTATAGCAACATAATAATATCTTGACTTTTCAAATAAAGCAGGAGGAAAATAATTCCAGAAGTAAATGAAAATTTCTGAAATAAATTATAGGGATATAGTATATACTATACTTTCAGACTCTGCTAAATTAATCAATACTTGACTATTCAAGCAATTTCATAAATCAAATATAAATTATAAATTAATACTTCTATTATAAAAGAATCATTTGACATGAGTTAAATGTGGGAATCACTAACAAACTAATCTCTAAAAGTTAATTTAAAAAAGTTGGGAGGTGATAACAGCACAACATTTTCCCCTTTAGTGTCTATAATATCTTCTGCAGTGAAAGATATCCTCATAATGACATGCTCAAATATTTCATCCATTCATTCTGTTCAGTCAGTTCTTATATGGCTCAGACTTCTTGCTATCAGCTGGGGAACAGGATATAGTAAAATTTCCTGTAAGCTTTATTCTATCAATCTGGTTGCTAGCCAGATACAGTAACACATACATAAACTTAGCCAGGAAACATTTTCCAGAGCATTATAAAAAGAGGCCTTAGGGCAAACCAGTGAGCCAATGAACAAGGCAGGCGAATATTGTGAGACAGCGCTTCCCTAGCCTGAAATCTCAGTTCAAATTCCCTATAGTGCCCATCAATTTCACACTTCATCATCTAGAGCAGGTTGCTGGTAATAAGTCATAGGCAACTGATGTGGTGAGGATACCATCTTTGACATACTCCTGGGTCTGTCCATCATGAGAAATGGCAGAAACACATTTTGTGTTCCTCTTGTTAAGTGAGGTTGATTATTCATTATTATTAACATGTATTTGTTGGCAAGGAGCAATATGAAACATGTAATTAGATTCAACATATGCACTGCAGGATTTGTAATCAGGCAGTAGTTTTTTCTCTCTTGAGGGGAAAATAAGAAAGAAAGAATGATCAGGCATAAAATCTGAGTATCATATATCTTTCTATATAAAAGAGCACTGTTGATTTAAAATTAATTCTGACTTAAAAGAAAATTCCTTCTCTCAAATGTCTGAAAAAGCTAACCAATACTAAGTGAGCATTAATAGGCAATGCCTGAATCTTTTCCCTATTAGTGGCCTCAGATTTGGGTGGCAAAATTTGGCAAAATAAATCTGTCAAACCAATTACTTAGTTCAACCTCTTTATTTGTACCTGTCAAAAACATTCTTGCACAATGCTCTATTTCATATCAAACCCATGTTAGTATTTAATACCATAGATAACTAAATTTCTTACTAAAGAGTGTCTTTCTATATTTATCTTCATTTAACAATAAATACACTTGACAAATTGCAAAAATTTGACAGAGAACCTTGCAGAGAAAGTGTTATTCCATACTTAATATTTTACTGATTGGCTAAAAAATGAAAAATGTTAAATATAAATAAAATTGAGAAATATAAGTTTTCAAACATTCTAAAAAATTATAAAAGTGTTTCTTTCCAAATTTCCAAAATTTATGTTTTACTATTTTTGTTGTCCTCCTGACATGATGCACTGAGAAGAAAATATCACTTCTATGCTATTCCTGCTCCAAGTGCACCACCTGATTCTAATCATCAGAAAACACCAGACAAATACAAGTTGAGGGGCATTCTGCAAAATAACTGGTCTGTGTTCTTCAAGAAGGTTAAGGCCAAGAAAGACAAAGAAAGACTGAGGAAGTGTTCCAGATTAAAAGAGAACCAGAGAGATGTGACAACTACATGTAAAACATAAATATGGGATTTTTCTGTTGTTATAAAGGATGTTATTGGGACAAATGGCAAAATCTAAATAAGGTCTGTGGAATAGATAATAATATTGCATGATCTTAATTTGATAATTGTTTTTTGGTTATTTAAGAAAATATCCTATTTTTTGTTATTTTTAAGAATCTCACTCTGGCGTATTCAGGAGTAAATGATGGGTGTCATGTCTGCAACTATTTCACATAGTTCAGACAGAGAATGAGTATGTGTGGGTGAGAGAGAAAAGGAGAGAAATAAAGTAAAGATGTCAAAATGTTAACATTGAGGAATCTGGATAAAAGGTATATTAGAATTATTGTACTATTCTTGTAACTTTCATATGTCTGGAAAGTATATTAAAACAAAAAATTTAAAAAGAGTATGACAGAAAAAATCTTAGTTACATTATTATGGAACATATTATAATTCAAGACATGTTTAATTAAAATAAAATGACCTTGAACTTCATATAATATATATCCCTTGATTGTTTTCACATATCAAGCAATTGCAGCTGTTGTAAGCTGTCACTTATATAGATTTCTCTCAAATTTAGCTATACCAGTGGGGAAAAAAATGGCATGATAATCCTTAACAGCTGACAACTTAAAGCCATTTGCAAAGTATTGTCTCACTAATTCAAATAAACAGGAAGAATAATATATAGCTGAAATAAACAATATTTTAAAATAAATGTTTTCTTTGTACTTTTAAATGGATATTGCAAACAAAAATATTAAGGAAATGTTGCCATACAGAGATCCTTCAAGTTAGTGTGAAAGATGACGTGTGCATGTGTGTGTATATACACATATATACTATAAGTGAGTTTTTGTTATTTATTTAACATGTAGTCTATATATGGGGTGTTAAAACACAGGCTAATATTTACCATATTCTTACTATGCCAATGCTTTAGATGCATTTATTAACAAACCGACCCATTGAGTAGGTTCTATTATTAATGTAAAGCTTAGCTGACACTTCTCCCTGAAATTGCATGTCATTGGCTTCCAATGTTTTTTTGTTGTTCATTTCTGTCAAATCATAACTCAGACGTGAAAGTTCAAATGCCAACTCCAATCAAGTCTTCCTTAATCCAACAATCAGAACTAATCATTCCCTCTTCTGAATTCCTATAAGCCTTTATTCAACAACATTTGTTAAAGTTCTCCTAAATATATGTATTAAACACTTGCTACATCCAAAACACTGAGTGATTTGTAAGAGTTCACAGGGTAGAAGGGATTGTTAATATATAATTAAAATTATATAATAATTAAAAATGCCTTGAATTTATTGGAAACTTACCAATGAACCAAGCATGGTACTAAGTGTGTTACAAACGTTGTCTTCTTTAACTCTTACTGCTACCCTATACAGAAGTCATTACTAACATCCCCATTTTGCAGATGAGAAAACCAAGACTTAGAGAAAGCAAGTAACTTGCCTAGGTAGGCAAAACTGGTAAAGACAGAGTCTGGTCTATCTGACTCAAAAGCTTATGCTTTTAAGCTACTTCCTGCCTGCAAAAGGTAGCAGTCTCATGGAGGAGAAAATGTGAACCTAAGTAACTTATAGTTCAAGGTTAAAAAGTAATGTTCCATAGAAAAAGAAGGAAGATGTTGAGAAAGGAAGGAAGACTTGCTATCTAATATCTAAGCTGCATATTGAAAGATAAATAGAAATGTGATAAAGGGAGGAAAGTCATTCCAGATTGGCAATAACAAAGAGGTTTCGGGAATTCTGAGGACGTACATGAGAAATAGAAACTAGTTATGCCTGGAGGATCCATGTTCTACGTAAGAAAATTAATATCAGAAAGATAAGCATATATATATATACACACACATACATCGGCTAAGATTAAATACAAAATTATAGAATTTTAATTTCCCTACTAGTGTGATATGCATAAATTCTGAATCAATTCACTATCCTTAGGTGCCAGAATGTACCAGACATAAAAATGTATCAATATATTTTTGTTTACTAAGTAGAATTTATTTGGTCAGCTTTTAATAAATGGTAACTCACAAAACTCCCATTGCATGAAGAAAGTTATTAACATTTTATTCTTTTCCATTCCAGAACAGATGCTCAATGTGATTAGGGTTCTATATTATGAAGATTAATCCAACAACCATCATAGATTGAGTTGGACAGATACAGAATGGAGAATGGCAGGTAGTTATAAAGTAATAGGACTCCCCCAAAGCATACTGCAGCATAGTAGAGATGGATGGCCCCACAAAGCTCATTCAACACAATTTCCTTATCCTGGAGATGAGGAAATCAAGAAAAGATAAAGTTAGAATCTTTAAGAATGTACGGAGTATCAGGCTGGCAAGCTGGCCGAATAGGAACAGCTCCAGTCTGCAGCTCCCAGCAAGATCAATGCAGAAGGTGGATGATTTCTGCATTTCCAACTGAGCTACCTGGCTCATCTCATTGGGACTGGTTAGACAGTGGGTACAGCCCACAGAGGTGAGTTGAAGCAGGGTGGGGCATTGCCTCACCGATGAAGTGCAAGGTGTCAGGGAACTCCCTCCCCTAGCCAAGGGAAGCCCTGAGGAACTGTGCCGTGAGGAAAGGTGCACTTCAGCACAGATACTATGCTTTTCCCATGGTCTTCTCAAACCAAAGTCCAGGATATTCCCTTGGGTGCCTACACCACCAGGGCCCTGGGTTTCAAGCACAAAACTGGGCGGCTGTTTGGGTAGACACAGAGCTAGCTGCAGGAGTTTTTTTTCATACCCCAGTGGCACCTGGAATGCCAGCGAGACAAAACCATTCACTACCCTGGAATGGGGGTTGAAGCCAGGGGGCCAAGTGGTCTAGCTCAGCAGATTCCACCCCCACAGAGCCCAGCAAGCTAAGATCCACTGACTTGAAATTCTCGCTGCCAGCACAGCAGTCTGAAGGCAACTTTGGAGCTTGGTGTGGGGAGTGGTGTCTGCCATTACCGAGGCTTGAGTAGGTGGTTTTCCCCTCGCAGTATAAACAAAGCCACCAGGAAGTTAGAACTGGGCGTAGCCCACCGAAGTCCAGCAAAGCTGCTGTAGCCAGACTGTCTCTCTAGATTCCTCCTCTCTGGACAGGGCATCTCTGAAAGAAAGGCAGCTGCCCCAGTCGGGCTTATGGATAAAACTCCCATCTCCCTGGGACAGAGCACCTGGGGGATGGGGCAGCTGTGTGCGCACTTTCAGCAGACTTCAATGTTCCTGCCTGTTGGCTCTGAAGAGAGCATATCTCCCAGCACAGCACTCAAGCTCTGCTGAGGGACAGACTGCCTTCTCAAGTGGGTCCCTGACCACCGTGCCTCCTGACTGGGAGACACCTCCCAGCAGGGGTCAACAGACACCTCATACAAAAGAGCTCTGGCTGACATCTGGCAGGTGCCCCTGCGGAACAAAGCTTCCAGAGGAAGGAACAGGCAGCAATCTTTGCTGTTCTGCAGCCTCCACTGGTGATACCCAGGCAAACAGGGTGTGGAGCAGACCTCCAGCAAACTCCAGCAGACCTGCAGCAGACGGGACTGAGTGTTAGAAAGAAAACTGATAAACAGAAAGGAATAGCATCAACATCAACAAAAAGGACGTCCACACAGAAACCCCATCCAAAGATCACCAACATGAAGACCAAAGGTAGATAAATCCACGAAGATGATGAAAAACCAGTGCCAAAAGCCTATAAATTCCAAAATCCAGAATGCCTTTTCTCCCCCAAAGGATCACAACTCGCCAGCAAGGGAACAAAACTGGATGGAAAATGAGTTTGGCGAATTGACAGAAGTAGGATTCAGAAGGCAATAGCAAACGCCTTCAAGCTAAAAGAACATGTTCTAACCCAATGCAAAGAAGCTAAGAACCTTGAAAAAAGGTTAGAGGAATTGCTAATAGAATAACCAGTTTAGAGAAGAACATAAATGACCTGCTGGAACTGAAAAACACAGCACAAGAACTTTGTGACGCATAAAAAAGTATCAATAGCCTAATCAATCAAGAAGAAAGGATATCAGAGACTGACGATCAATGTAATGAAATAAAGCATGAAGACAAGATTAGAGAAAAAAGAATGAAAAGGAATGAACAAAGCCTCCAAGAAATATGGGACTATGTAAAAAGACGAAACCTAAGTTTGATTGGTGTACCTGAAAGTGACAGGGAGACTGGAACCTAGTTGAAAAACACTCCTTGGGATATTATCCAGGAGAACTACCCCAACCAGTCTAGAAAGATAGGCCCAATTTCAAATTCAGGAAATACAGAGAACACCACAAAGGTACTCCTCAAGAAGAGTAGCCCCAAGACACATAATCATCAGATTCACCAAGGTTGAAATGAAGGAAAAAATGTTAAGGGCGGCCAGAGAGAAAGGTCAGGTTACCCACAAAGGGAAGCCCGTCAGACTAACAGCGGATCTCTCTGAAGAAAACCTACAAGCCAGAAGAGAGTGGGGACCAATATTCAACATTCTTAAAGAAAAGAATTTTCAACCCAGAGTTTCATATCCAGCCAAACTAAGCTTCATAAGCAAAGGAGAAATAAAATCCTTTATAGACAAGCAAATGCTGAGGGATTTTGTCACCACCAGGCCTGCCTTACAAGAGCTCCTGAAGGAAGCACTAAATATGGAAAGGAAAAACCAGTACCAGCAACTGCAAAAACATACGAAATTGTGAAGATTATCGACACTATGAAGAAATTGAATCAACTAATGGGCAAAATAACCGGCTTGCATCATAATGACAGTTTCAAATTCACACATAACAATATTAAACTTAATGTAAATGGGCTAAATGCCCCAATTAAAAGACACAGACTGGCAAATTGAATACAGTCAAGACCCATCAGTGTGCTCTATTCAAGAGAGCCATCTCATGTGCAAAGACATACATAGGCTCAAAATAAAGGGATGGAGGAATATTTACCAAGCAAATGGAAAGCAAAAAAGCAGGGGTTGCAATCCTAGTCTCTGATAAAACTGACTTTAACTAACAAAGATCAAAAGAGACAAAGAAGGGCATTACATAATGGTAAGGGGATCAATGCAATAAGAAGAGCTAACTATCCTAAATATATATGCACCCAATACAGGAGCACCCCAGATTCATAAAGCAAGTTCTTAGAGACCTACAAAGAGACTGAGACTCCCACACAATAATAGTGGGAGACTTTAACACCCCACTGTCAATATTAGCCAGACCAATGAGACAGAAAATTAACAAGGATATTCAAAATTTGAACTCAGCTCTGGACCAAGCGAACCTAATAAACATCTACAGAACTCTCCACCCCAAATCAACAGAATATACATTCTTCTCAGCACCACATCACACTTATTCTAAAACTGACCACATAATTGGAAGTAAAACACTCCACAGCAAATGCAAAAGAACAGAAATCATAACAGTCTCGCAGACCACAGTGCAATCAAATTAGAACTCAGGATTAAGAAACTCACTCAAAACTGCACAACTACATGGAAACTGAACAACCTGCTCCTGAGTGACTACAGGGTAAATAACGAAATTAAGGCTGAAATAAATAAGTTCTTTGAAAACAATGAGAAAAAAGGCACAATGTACCAGAATCTCTGGGACACAGCTAAAGCAGTGTTAACAGGGAAATTTATAGCACTAAATGTCCACAGGAGAAAGCAGGAAAGATCTAAAATCAACACCCTAACATCACAATTAAAAGAACTAGAGAAGCAAGAGCAAACAAATTCAGAAGCTGGTAGAAGACAAGAAATAACTAAGATCAAAGCAGAACTGAGGGAGACAGAGACATGAAAAACCCTTCAAAAAAAATCAATGAATCCAGGAGCTGGATTTTTGAAAAGATTAACAAAATAGATAGACAGCTAGCCAGACTAATAAAGAAGAAAAGTGAGAAGAATCAAACAGACATGATAAAAAATGATAAAGGGGATATCACCACTATCCCACAGAAATACAAACTACCATAAAAGAATACTATGAACACCTCTATACAAATAAACTAGAAAATCTACAAGAAATGGATAAATTCCTGGACACATACACCTTCCCAGGACTAAACCAGGAAGAAGTCCAATCCCTGAATAGACCAATAACAAGTTCTGAAATTGAGGCAGTAATTAATAGCCTACCAACCAAAAAAAGTCCAGGACCAGACAGATTCACAGCCGAATTCTACCAGAGGTACAAAGAGAAGCTGGTACTATTCCTTCTGAAACTATTGCAAACAACAGAAAAAGAGGGACTCCTCCCTAACTCATTTTATGAGGCCAACATCATCCTGATACTAAAACCTGGCAGAGACACAACAAAAAAAGAAAACTTCAGGCTAATATCCATGATGAACTTTGAAGCAAAAATCCTCAATAAAATACTGGCAAACCAAATCCAGTAGCACATCAAAAAGCTTATCCACCATGATCAAATTGGCTTCATCCCTGGGATGCAAAGCTGGTTCAACATATGCAAATCAATAAATGTAATCCATCATATAAACAGAACCAATGACAAAAACCACATGATTATCTCAATAGATGCAGAAAAGGCCCTCGATAAAATTCCACACCACTTCATGCTAAAAACACTCAATAAATTAGGTACTGATGGAACACATATCAAAACAATAAGAGCTATTTATGACAAACCCACAGCCAATATAGTACTGAATAGGCAAAAGCTGGAAGCATTCCCTTTGAAAACTGGCACAAGGATCTCCTCTCTCACCACTCATATTCAACATAATATTGGAAGTTCTGGTCAGGGCAATCAGGCAAGAGAAAGAAATAAAGGGTTATTCAAATAGGAAGAGAGGAAGTCAAATTATCTCTGTTTGCAGATGACATGACTGTTTATTTAGAAAACCCCATTGTCTTAGCCCCAAAACTCCTTAAGCTGATAAGCACCTTCAGCAAAGTTGTATACAAAGTAGTGTGCAAAAATCACAAGCATTGCTATGCACCAATAATGGACAAACAGCCAAATCATGAGTGAACTCCCATTCACAATTGCTACTAAGAGAATAAAATACCTAGGAATACAACTTACAATGGATGTGAAGCACCTTTTCAAGAACTACAAACCACTGCTCAAGGATATCAGAGAGGACACAAACAAATGGAAAAACATTCCATGCTCATGGATAGGAAGAATCAATATCGTGAAAATGGCCATACTGCCCAAAGTAATTTATAGATTCAGTGCTATCAACATCAAGCTACCATTGACTTTCTTCACAGAATTAGAAAAAAACTACTTTAAAGTTCATATGGAACCAAAAAAGAGCCTGTATAGCCAAGACAATCCTAAGCAAAACGAACAAATCTGGAGGCATCATGCTACCTGACTTCAGACTATACTACAAGGCTACAGTAACCAAAACAGTATGGTACTGGTACCAAAACAGATATATAGACGAATGGAACAGAACAGAGGCCTCAGAAGTAACATCACACATCTACAACCGTCTGATCTTTGACAAACCTGACAAAAACAAGCAATGGGAAAAGGATTCCCTATTTAATAAATGGTGTTGGGAAAACTGACTAGCCATATGCTGAAAACTGAAACTGGACCCCTTCCTTACACCTTATACAATAATTAACTTAAGATGGATTAAAGACTTAAATGTTAGACCTAAAACCATAAAAACTCTAGAAGAAAACCTAGGCAATACCATTCAGGACATAGGAATGGGCAAAGACTTCATGACTAAAACACCAAAACCAATGGCAACCAAAGCCAAAACTGACAAATGGGATTTAATTAAACTAAAGAGCTTTTGCACAGCAAAAGAAACTATCATCAGAGTGAATAGGCAACCTACAGAATGGGAGAAAATTTTTGCAATTTATCCATCTGTTAAAGGGCTAATATCCAGAATCTACAAGAAACTTAAACAAATTTGCAAGAAAAAAAAAACCTCATCAAAAAGTTGGCGAAGTATATGCACGGACAGTTCTCAAAAGAAGACATTTATGTGGCCAACAAACATATGGAAAAAAAACTCATCATCACTGTTCGTTAGAGAAATTCAAATCAAAACCACAATGAGATACCATCTCATGGCAGTTAGAATGGCGATCATTAAAAAGTCAGGAAACAACAGGTGCTGGAGAGGATATGGAGAAATAGGAATGCTTTTACACTATTGATGGGAGTATAAATTAGTTCAACCATTGTGGAAGACAGTGTGGCGATTCCTCAAGGATACAGAACCAGAAATACCATTTGACCCAGCAATCCCATTATTGGGTATATACCCTTAGGATTATAAATCATTCTGCTGTAAAGACACATACACACATAGTTTATTGCAGCACTGTTCACAATACCACAGACTTGGAACCAACCCAAATGGCCATCAATGATAGACTGGATAAAGAAAATGTGGCACATATACACCATGGAATACTATGCAGCCATAAAAAAGGATGAGTTCATGTCCTTTGCAGGGACATGGATGAAGCTGGAAACCATCATTCTCAGCAAACTAACACAGGGACAGAAAACCAAACACTGCATATTCTCACTCATAAGTGGGAGTTGAATAATGAGAACACATGGACACAGGGAGGGGAATATCATACTCCAGGGCCTGTTAGAGTTTGGGGGAATAGAGGAGGGATAGCATTAGGAGAAATACCTAATGTAGGTGACGGATTGATGGGTGCAGCAAACCACCATGGCACATGTATACTTATTTAACAAACCTGCATGTTCTGCACATGTATCCCAGAACTTAAAGTATAATAATAAAAAAAAAAGGAAAAAAAAAAAGTATAAGGAACAGACAGTTAATTTTTGTTAAGCAAGTAATTCTCAGAAAGGTGCTACGCGGGGAAATGCTAAAATAGAAGACGCTCAGTCTAAACGCTAAGTAAAAGAAAAACATAAGAAATAAAACAGAATGAGCAGCTATAAACGTGCTGAACTTTTAAGATCTGAGTTTCATATTTAATTCAGTTTGCCGCTATGTGGTTAAGTCAAAACGGACTTTCAAAGCAAGCTTTTTCTTCTGCCAATCTGTCAAATCATGTTAGGATATAGATGATGTGTATAAGCAAACAAATAAAATCTGGGCCGGGTGTGGTGGTTCACACCTGTAATCCTAGCATTTTGGGAGGCTGAGGTGGGAGGATTGCTTAAACTCAGGAATTGGGAGACCAGCCTGCAAAACGTAACAATATTGTATCTCTATTCAAAATTTTTTTAAAAATTAGGCAGGCATGGTGGTGGGCCTGTAGTCCCACCTACTCAGGAGGCTGAGGTGAGAGGATCACTTCAGCCCAGGAGATTGAGGCTGCAGTGAGCTATAAATGTGCCATTGCATTCCAGCCTGGGTGACAGAGTGAGGCCTTGTCTCAAAAATAAATAAAATAAAATCTGTATTCTGATTGTAAAGGTAACATATACACAAAAAATCAGGGGTAAAAAATGTGGAATACCAAAAAACAAATAAACAAATTAAATAATCTATTATAAACTATACCAGCCAGGAAAGCTATTATTACAAATTTTGCTTGCAAAATTGATACAAATTCTGGAGATTCTAGGAAGAGAAAACAGCAATTGCAAAGGTGCAGAGGAAGGAAATCATGAGACATTCAATAATCTAAAAATAGAAACTTGGAATAAAAACCTGGGGAGGACAGGGAAATAGTAAAAGATGAAGCTTCAGTTGATCATAAACCACATCTTCCAGCTGTAGATCCATAAAATGTGGTTACCATGGGTAGGTTAATTTTATCCATGGTTTACTAGCTGCTTCCTTTATCAGCAAACTGTCACTGGTTCATGAAGACTGCCCCTCTGCAGACCTAGCCTTATGATGGCTTTATCCTCTTGGCAGGAAAGGAAAAGTGGTGTGTGTGTGTGTGTGTGTGTGTGTGTGTGTGTGTGTGTGCGCGCGTGTATAGTATATTTTTAAAAATAACTTCTTATTTTCTCTAATTAAATAGAAATGATTGAAAATAAAATATTATTTAATGAAATTTGTAAGTGGATTATTAGTCAGTATAAATTTTTGTATGTTTTTACTAAATGTAAAATAATTTTCTCATTTAAATTAAAACATTTTAGAAAATAAATGTAGTTTCATACTTTGATTCTTTGTTCTATACTTGTTTTATTGAATGGTTTATATGAGAATAATATATTCTATATTCTATAAAATAGTGAATAGCTTATGTCACTTGTTGAATAGCTTATATCTCTTATTCTTATATTATTTTCACATAATCTATCCTATAAAAATCATACTTTTATTTTTTGTTCCATACTTGTTTTATAGAATAGATTATATGAGAATAATATAAATCCTGAATAATTTTCCCAAGGGAAGAATAAATCATAAATAACACCTTATGACAGCTAGAAGTAGGAAATAAATCTTAAATTAACCACGTTAACATTTAAGTAAAAATCAGCATATTTTACCCAACTATATTATATATATTGAATGCTAATTAAATAATTATTGTGAGTTTAACTTAAAGTATGCAGTCTAATGATTTCAAAGGAAGGAAATTAAAGCATTTAAAGGAGCTAAATTAAGCTTTTTATTGTTGCAAACCTCAAATATATAAAAGATGTTTTATTTTTCTTACAAAACTAAGATAGTCTCCTGTGTTAGTGAATATGTAAGAAAATAAAACAATAGGCCTGATTATCTCTAAGGTCCTTTCAAATTCTAAAGGAAAATTTTTAAACCTATAGACTGCTAAGAACTAATTTTCAAAACAACAAAGCAGTAATTCATACTATGTATAAAAACACATAGGCACAGATTTAAGAATATAAAAATTATTGGCCGGGCGCGATGACTTACGCCTGTAAGCCTAGCACTTTGGGAGGCTGAGGCGGGCGGATCACGAGGTCAGGAGATCGAGACCATCCTGGCCAACATGGTGAAACCCCGTCTCTACTAAAAAATACAAAAAAAATTAGCCGGGCGTGGTGGTGGGCGCCTGTAGTCCCAGCTACTCTGAGCAGGAGAATGGCGGGAACCCGGCAGGTGGAGCTTGCAGTGAGCCGAGATCGCGCCACTGCACTCCACCCTGGGAGACAGGGAGAGACTCCGTCTCAAAAAAAAAAAAAAATTTTTTTTTTACACTATTTCTTCTCAAAATATTTTTATTTGTGGAACAAAATGTTTTTAAGTTAAAAGAAAAAGGCAAAAAACTAGAATTCTTTCATGAAAAAAAACACATCATTTTCTCAAGATGACACTTCGAGAAATTAAGTGCTTGTTTTTTGAAAGACTGACCCTCCCTAACCCCAAACCCCAGTTCTAAGGGCACAGAGAAGAAAAAGACAAAAGAAGCTATTATTGTGAATTGTAAGGGAACCAGTCAGGCTGGTTTAGGAAATGGACTTCAGGGATCTTTCAATATAGTTCATTCTAGTCCACCACCCAGGCTACAGGGCTGAAGGAGAGACACAGGCTTATAGTTTTTGTTTTTTTCAATATGAGAGTCCATGTTAAACGGTTTTCTGTCTTCTTAGATCCACAGTCTTAGCAAACTTGTTAGAAGAATATGCAAAAATGTAAATAAGCTATTTACAAAAGAAAATGTGCCACTTGTCAATAAATTTGTGAAAAATATACTCAATATCCTAATAAAACCTAATAAAACCTAATAAAACCATTGAAAACCAGTTACCATAACTCACCAACTAAATGAAGCAACAAGATTTTTTTAATGAAACGATTCTAATGTAGATAAAAGTCAGTAAAATTGGTTGTTTAAATTAAGTTTAACCTTAAGTTTACTCCTTACATATTTTATGTTTGACCTAAAGGTTTCTCCATACATAGTGAACTGTAACCTAACTGGATGTATAAATAGACTGTAACTTACTCTTATAACAAGTAGCCAAGTCTCAGCCAATCATTGCATCCGAGTTTCAGCCAATCACATGCGGTCAACTGTTCAAACCCTATTCAAATAAAGCAAACACCCAGCTGTAACCAATCTAGCTGTTTCTGTTCCTCACTTCCATTTTCTGCACATCACCTTCTTTTTTCTGTCCATCCATAAGCTTAACTGACCATGTGACAGCCAGGAATCACTCTCAACATATTCTGTTCTGGGGGCGACTCAATTCATGAATCATTCTTTGCTCAGTTAAACTCTGGCAATTCAATTGTCCAAAGCTTTTCTTCTAACTTATCATACTTATATACTGGAACACTGGAAAAATGCTATAGAAAAGCAATCTGGTAAAAAAAAAAAAAAAAAAAAAAAAAGAGTCAAAAACCTATTCATGCTTTTGGGACACTAATCCATCTTCTGAGTATAACTTTTAAAATAATAAAACAGTATAGGAGAAACTATCTTTCCATGAATATAGTCAACGTCAGAGTAATTTATAACAGCAAAATGTCAAATGCAACCTCAATGTTCCATTAGAAGGAAACAGATAAATTAAGGCACATATATTCAATGAAAACATGAGAGAGAAAGGCATATTCTAAAAGCCTAAAACTCATATCCTATGATCTATGAACATGAGTGTAATTTACAAGGGTGAATTTTTACGTGGGTATTATGACAAAAATAGAATTAATTAAATAAGAAAAAAAACCAGATGACTCTAAGTATCTATGCCAATCATTTGCTTAGATTAGTTGGTCTTAGATCCAATCCCTGCCTCTCCCTGGTTCTATTCTATATAGCGGGGAACTACATTTTTCTGTTTCCCCTGGTCTCTGGGCTTCCAGTAGTTTTGACCAATGAAGGCTATTAGTAAAAGGATGGAAGGTAGGAGCAAGGGAGAAGTCACATTCTTTCTTCTCTCTTCTCTTTGTTTCCCATAGTGTCTCCAGCAGCAGCTCCATCTCATTTGTGACTAAAGCTTATCTAGACAGTCCTCTCTGTGGTTCCAGCTTTTGCCACATGACCTCAGCTCCTGGGTTTCAGTAACACTGCCTCCAGCCAGCAGCTTCCTGCTGTTACCATTCTCTGGGATGAGTCACCATTCCTGGTTTGGCTTCTAGAGCTTTCATCACCTATATCATTTAATATCCCGTATTAAATTATCCCTGTTTGAAGTATTTAGAATGGTTCCTATTTTCTGAAAGGACCCTGAATGCTAGAGTATCTCCAATTAATGTAAAAGGGACTGTATTAATCTGTTCTCACGCTGCTACAAAGAACTGTCCAAGGCTGGGTAATTTATAAAGTAAAGAGGTTTAATTGACTCACAGTTCCGCATGGCTGGGGAGGCCTCAGGAAACTTACAATCCTGGCGGAAGGGGAAGCAAACACGTCTTTCTTCACATGGTGGCAGGAGAGACAAGTGCAGAGTGAAGCAGGGAAAGCCCCTTATAAAACCATCAGATCTCATGAGAACTCATTCACTATCATGAGAACAGCATGGGGGAACCAGCCCCATGATCTAATCACCTCCCACAAGGTCCCTCCCGCAACATGTGGGGATTACAGTTTGGATTACAATTCAAGATGAGATTTGGGTGGGGACACAGAGCCAGGCCATATCAGGGACAAAGATCATTGATGACAAATACATTCAGATACTTGTTGAATAGCTTATATCACTGTGCATATGCACCTGATTTTCATGGGAAATTGGCTTTCAAGGAGCCCAACCTCAACAATGTAGCAATCTCCTAGATCTCTTAGTTGCGCTGTTTCAAGATTTGAAAGAAACTGGTGCACCTCTAAATGAAGGGTTACACTTTCTAGAGAGTTTTCTTCCAGTCATTGAGTGCTTGAGAGTGGTCAACAACAAACAGCAAAACTCTGTGCTAAAAATATGTTTAAATGTTAAATTCTAGGGGAGTTATTAGGAATGCACATACAGCAACATTGCTACCTTGAGACAATACTGATCAAATGAGTTTTACCTAGCAAGCAGTTTTTCAAATTTTTGGTGTTAACTCATGAGTCAATTTAGTGGGTCATGACTATTATTAATTAAATTAATGGGATTAAATTTATTAAATTTAAAAATAAATGAGAACAGAATATGAGAAAAATACCAAGGTGCAATGCTTTTAAGAGGGTAAGATTCATAATATAAACTCTTTTTTCTGTTATACAGTACATGTGCATGTGTGATTGTGGGTGCATGTGAATTGAGTTGTAATGAAAAATCTATATCTATATGCAGATCAAGGTAAAAAAAATTTTGAAAGCCATCATACTAGTACTTTGCCTAAACTTAAAGATATAAAGTGAATACAAAACACCTCGAAGTTTTCTCTAAGTGAGGTAAGTTAAAGAAAAATGTCTTTATTTGTTGCACAATGCTAGTTTGTTGAACATAAAAAATAAAAGAATATGATCAGCAGAACCTGGCAGATTACCCACAATCACTGATGCTAATTGTTAGGAACTGAATGTGTCCCCCAAAAATTATGTTAAAAGCCTAACCTCCAACATGACTATATTTGAAGACAGGACCTTTACGGAGGTAATTAGGGTTACATGAGGTCATAAGTGTGGGGCCTTAATTTGACAGGACTGGTGTCCTTATAAGAGAAAGAGACATAAGGAGTGTGTGCACACAGAGGAAAAGCTGTGTGAGGACACAGCAATATGGTGGCCATCTGCAAGCCAAGAGAAGCCTCGCCAGAAAGCATCCCTGCTGGCACCCTGATCATGGACTTCTAGCTTCCAGAAATGTGAAAAACTTAATTTCTATTGTTAAAACCACCCAGTCTGTGGTCTTTTGTTATGGCAGCCTGAGAGGAGTAATTATCCCACATCTTTCTCTAAATCTGTTGCAGCCACTCATAAACGAACAAATTCTTACAGAGTTTAAAATAAGTATGGGCAACTGGAGAGATGTAGTATAAATTAGCATTTATATAAGACTACTCTTAGTATATCTGAGTTGGATATATAACAACATAAAATACATCACAAATCATTTAATTTCTGATAAATATTTTTTCTATAAAACTTGTTCACTTTTTTGCTAATATAAAGCATATATATAACTAAATACATTATTAGGTGATCAGTTGATATTATACGTGTAATTTAGAGGTACACTGTTAAACTTTTGATGTGACTTTCTGTCCTATTTTTTTAATTATAGCCACCCCTCTTTAATTTTTATCACTGCTAAAGAAAAAGATTAACTACTGAAATGTTAGGAAATATGTATAAGAAAGAATACAAACAAATCCAAACAATGATTCTGAAACTAAACTTTTTTTTTTGTGACCAATAATAATTCTAAGGTGACTTTAGAAGTGACCCTTCAAATTGATGGGTTACAACTACCTCTGGGGAAAAATCAAATTATTACTAAACATGTATTTTTTGATTCAATGTAAAAGCAATATAAAAACCTTGGAATGGTTTGATGAGAGAAACGTGTTCAGAAAACTCAAAAGAGTACAAATTTGATTCCAAACTTTAATGTAACATAACTCTGTATACCTCAGACATAATAGTTTAGATTTCTAAAAATACCAGAATAACTGTGTTATGTTTATAATTACTCCTTTGGTACTAAAATAAGATACATGATATAGTAAAACATTAAAAAATGGTATGTAAACTGTTGCTTGTGGACACATAAGGGCAGCATAGTGTAAATGGTGGTTAAGACAGTCTGGATCCAGAGGCTATGCTTTTAAATCAACTCTGCGTTTTACTAGTTGTGGGACCTTGTGCAAATAACCTAATTTCTCTATACTTCAGTTCTTTACCTGTGCAATGGGATGACAGCAGTTCATATATCATTGGGTTGTTAATGTGTGCTCTAGGAGTCAATATTAAGATAATGTTTTCCACACACTAAACACTTTGTAAATGTTAAAGACAGACATATATAAAGGCTGAGAAGAAAAATGCTTAACTCATATCCTTAAGTATAGTTATTTCCTTTGCCTTTTTACTTATTTCTGCTTTGCTTCATCCTTATAGAGATATCTTTCATGGTGGAAATATGAAATAATAAAGGGGTTCATAACAGACAAATTTCTAGGAGGATACTAATATCCTCTGCACTCTTAAATTCTGATCTACTTATGTGAAATTTCCAAGTTGATGAGCCATTTACAATAAAAAGAGAAACTGTGACAGCTTTCATATGGTACAAAAACATTTTGATGTTGGTTCCTAATGTGTGTCTTGTTTATTAGGTAAATGAGGGAGATATCATGCTAGGTATTCAATAGGTACAGTTATTCTTAAGCTACTTATCTCTAAAATATATTTTTTAAGTGAGATACATTGTGCTTGTCTGGGGAGAATTAAGTCTCTTCAAATTGAAAGCAGCTGGACTAACTGACCTTTCAAAATCTAAATTTATTTTATTCAGAAACATGTAGGAAAGAGTGAAATGAACACCATCCCCCAAAAGATATTATACTCAAGAATAAAACTATTCAGGGAAATTCAAACTACCTTATCTGAAAGAAAAGCATGAATCAATTTAAAACTGAGAATCAACTTTTAAAAGCTTATGTGGGTCTGTAAATAAAAGAAGCAAAAAGTTCATCAATAGAAACCAGTCACTGTAAATAGCAACCTGGAGCTCTGAAATGTCAATTTCACACTGCACTAAGCATATCCCACCAAACATGACCAATCTGCCGTTTGGAAAAATATCAACACCTGCTACTACATTCCTTGAAGTAGTAATAGGTCAGACACATGAACCAGGTCAGGTACAAAACTGCATCCACTTAGACCTATCTACCCAGGAATCATTTTCCATTTATTTTAAGTGTTTATCACTTTTAAATCAGATGTGTTAATTAACCCAGAACAAATAACTGACTCCAAATAAACTATAGTTTTGTTTGATATAATTAAATGCTAAGAATATCCTTACAAAGCTTTGGGGAGAAACTAAATGAGTTAGAATATATTCATTTAGGATTTCAGGCTGATGACCAAAATATATAACCTATTATTATAATCTGCCACTCATATGCCTCCTTCAGTTAGGGTGCCCACCATACGGCTGACAGCCCCAATCTGAATCATTTATTAGGTATAAAAATTATGCAAAGGAAGACTGACTATTTTCCATATGAGAAGTTCCTTTGGGAAAACACTTGAAATCTGGCCTGAGGGACTGAGGATTCACACACTTCCAATTTGACAACAAAGCCAAAGAATGTGTTGCTGTGTCACTCAAAACACCTAGGGAATTTTCTCCCTTCGGGAGAGTTGAGGTGGGGAGACCCACCAATATCCAGTCCCTCCCTGAGAAGAGTAAATGAGGGATGTCAGTAATGAGCAAATAAAAAGCAGCTCTAGAAATAGAATTTTCAAATTCAAGCAGATTTTATTGAGGATGACAAGCTACACAGACACAAAAATGTGGCTTCGATTTAAGGCACAGAAAGGTTAATGAGCCCTTGACAACTACAGATAATTTTCTCTGTTTTTTGTTAAGTTTCTTTCCATAGTATATCCCTATATTACTACATCCCAGAAGTAAATAGCAATACAAGCCAGTAAGTCAACTTCACGGAAATGCCAGGTTTTTATTATATTATGAAAAAAATGATGGTCAAGGAGGAGTCAGTAAAAAATGCTGTAGTCCTTATGTGAAAGAAAACAGGCAGAGTCAAATAAAGGTGTGCAGAATCAAGGAGCCAAACATTGCTTTATATTTAATAAATATAGTAAATTTAGTAAACTGAGTCACAGCCTTCTCAAGAATTATCAAGTAAGATAATTCTACTATTTTAATAGACAAACCACTGGTCTCTGACACTCATACTCTAGAATGTTACTTACTAATGTCCATAGGGCCAGATAACTAATAGACTGTAACAGTATTGATGCCTCTGTTCTCTCCAAAAGCTGTTTTTAGAAAATTACATTTAAAAGCATATTGAGTCCGAGTGGTGGCTGAAGCCTATAATCCTGGCACTTTGGGAGGCTGAGGCGGCTGGATCACTTGAGGTCAGGAGTTCGAGACCAGCCTGGCCAATATGGTGAAACTTCATATTTACTAAAAATACAAAAATTAGCCAGATATGGTGGCGGGCTCCTATAATCCCAGCTACTTGGGAGGCTGAAGCAGCAGAATTACTTGAACCCGGGAGGCTGGGGTTCCAGTGAGCCGAGACTACACCACTGCATTCCAGCCTGAGTGACAGAGCAAGACTCCATCTCAAAAAAAAAAAAAAAAAAAAAAAAATTAAAAAAGGATAATGAGATATACAAAATTATTAGAGGTTCTTTGTCCAGGAGTTCTGAGATCATGGAAAATGGTTTTGATATCAAAAGAAAACAATGCCCCATAACACCTCCCACTTAAACACTGTAAAATTTGGCTTTAATTATTTAAAAAAATAGATTTTAACATTAAAGCTTCTCAGTGAGCTGTTCTCAACTATACCAATCCATCAATAGCTGGCATTACTTCATAAACTATTTTTCTGACATTCACTTGAAATTCCCTTTCCACATTAATTCTCTCTAGTCCATTTTCATTTATGCTGCTCCCTCTCACTAAGATACTTTACATTCTTCTTCCTTTTTAATCTAAGGTTTACTTTGATTCAAGGCCAAATTCAAGACCTGGTTGACCTGCTTGGACCATTTCCCAACCAAGGATCAATCCCCCTCCTTTCTGGCCTTTCACAGCATCTACTGCCTCAGTCTTTCCAACTTAGTAATCCCTTAACAAACAGATAAATTATATTTTTAAAATGCAATGCAGTTGGTAAAATCTAGCTGGTAAGATCAAAGTCTCAGAAAAGAGAGGATTAAGAGAAAAAAAATTATGCTTTTAAGCATGTTTTCTTAAAAAGAAAAGTTATAAAAGGCATCTATTCCAAAACAATATAGATTATTGAAGTTACCTGCTCCCACAGGCTTCCAAATAGAAAAACCCTGCGGCTGAAGCAGATTCTCCCACAGTTTAATATTAGAGGGCTTTCTCTCTTGTCCTTGAGGCAGCCCTTACTAACTTGGAATTCACTGTATTTTATACTTGAATTCTCTCTTTTTTTTTTTTTTTTTTTGCCTATTTTTTTTTTCTCAAATCTTAGCCAAATGTTCATGTCATTAACTGACCAAATTACTAAGCTGCATAAGACACAGTTTTTTGGACTGGTCTTCTAAACATTGCGAAGGTAGAGAACACATAGGTTTCCTGTCTTTGCACTGTTTCTCAGATCCAGTGAGCCAGCCTACTAAAGAGGACTGCGAAATAACTACCAATGTTTTATTGCTTTAGGTCACAATTATATAAGACTGAATTATCTTGAAACATTGGCTTTGAGGAACTAAGGTACTGTATTGTATTTCACTAGCTATTCCATTAAAAAATGAGTATCATTGTATTATATTAATCAAAAAAGTCAATTTTTTGTTTAAGTCCACATGGATATTTACAGATATTCTAATTTTGGTAAAAATTTGTAAAAATCAGATCTTAGGGATAATTAAAAATTTTAAATTATTTTCCTCCTTTGATGACTCATGGTGGTCACATTCAATATTATAGTTTATAACTCCAGTTACCTCCCATACTATTTTTCCCTACAATTCATTCATTATTTCATTTCAGTATTCATTAAATCTCTGCCTTCTTTTTGCTGGTGACTCAGCTAGGCATAAAAGTTACAAACATGAACAGTTGATGCCCTCAAGTAGCTCAGTCTGTTTAAGGAGGATCCAGTTGGTAAGGGCATCTCCTTTGTTGAAACTAAACACAACTAACATTTAACCCTCCAGGAGTAAGAGACAAATGGACCAACAGCCTCCTCTTAGTCCCTTGAGCTTCATCTCTCAAACTGGGTTCACTTGAACTATCATCACCACCTTCATGCTGCCTCCTAGATGTAGGTTATTCTTTTAATAATAATAATAATAATAAATATTCTTGGGAATTCCGTTAGCACAATGTAGAGAGGCTGACATTTTAAAAAGACTTTTCTAAACAAATTCTGAGATTTCTGATTGTACCATTACTAGCTGACTCATAGAGCTCAGGCTCTATGTTGTTTAACCTGAGACTGTCATACTCTTAAGAACTAACAGAAACTGCCTACTTCTGCTACAGTTGTATACAAAGTGGAACTAAAACACAAAACCTGTGAAATGTCTCAGCTTTAAGAACATGTTGGTAACTGAAATTAAAAAAGCAAATTATATTCTGCAGAAATACCTTCAGCAAATAAAGATTAATATATTCATTTTGTTAAAGAATTCATTCAAATTGACAAAAAATGATGTCAGATATTAAACCAAATACCTGCAAATATCTAACCTTGTGATGATAAAATAATACAAAATAAAACAATGAGTTTTCCCTATCAGCCTGTAAAACTTATAAAAAATTGAACGAATTAATGTCACTGAAGGTGGAATGAAGCAGAGGTTCTTTAACATTGCTGATGGTAAAATAAACTAGTTAAGCCCTACTGGAAATCAGTTTAGCAATATGTAATATTAGTAGCAAAAATTTCACATCCTTTAACCCTATTATCGCCCTTCCAGAGTGTATGAGGCCATTCTTGCACTACTATAAAGAAATACCTGAGAATGGGTAATTTATAAGAAAAGAGATTTAATTGGCTTGCAGTTCTGCAGGCTGTACAGGAAGCACAGCAGCATCTGCCTCTGGGGAAGCCTCAGGAAGCTTCCATTTATGGCAGAAGGCAAAGGGGAAGCAGGCATATTACATGACAAGAATGGGAGCAAGAGAGAGCGAGTGACGGGAGAGGTGCTACACACTTTTAAACCACCATATCTCGTGAGAACTCACTAGTGTGAAGACAGCACCAAGACATGAGGGATCTGCCCCTATGACCCAAACGCCTCCCACCAGGCCCCACCTCCAGCACTGGGGATTACAATTCAACATGAGATTTGGGTGGGGATAAATATTCAAAAAGCTGTATCACGGGGAATAACCAAAAGTATAGAAAAAGCTATGTGTAGGATGTTTTCACTGTAGTGTTATCTGCGATAATGATAAGTTGAGGGCAACTTTATATTCAACTGCAGTTAGTTCAGCAAAATATATTAAATCTGTTTGGTGAGGTATTATGGAACCATTAAAAATCAGCGGTTATATTAGGGGTACTTGTATTATGTTTCAAATTCTTAAAATTAATTGTTTTAAAAGCAAACACTATAACCATGTGAAGTAGCTGAATTCTTTGATGGTTTGACATTAAATGGCAAGTTCTATCTCACTGTATAATAAAAAGATAGTATAGTAGGAACATGTCTAAAGGCCTAGTAAAAGCATTTGTAAAGCTACAACATATTTTGGCTAATTAGTTTACTGCTTTTTAAAAAGGAGGAAATGGTTCATTTATATTGAAATAGTCTTTTTTTGACTATAACCTTCATATTCTATAGGCATTCAAACCTAACAATGGCTTCTTTTTAATATAGAATCAAGGGAATATATCTCCTTGTGAAATAGGTTGGGTACAATGCAGCATTTACAATTAAATATAATAATCACAATTGTAGCAGAAAAGCTCAGCTGACATTGATGATTTCTACTTTTTGATACAGAGATATAAAATATCTTAGCAAGAACCTATATAACACAAGCTATATGAGAAAGGATGAAGAGACCCCAGAATGCAAAAATAACATTTGTGTGAGAAATATACAAAATTTGCTGTTCACAAGTAAAATCTTTGATTTCAGAGTGAGTGTTTTGACCAATGATTTCCAGAATGTGAACAGAGTTTGAAGAGATGCTTCATAGTCTCCACCCACAGGAACATTCAACAAGTGTAAAATTACTTGATATAATTGGCCAGATGGTATTAACAGATTAGTGAAAACAATAAGGTAGGAAAATGTTAAAAGGAAACATATTCCAACAACAATAGGTAGAATTCATTTTGAGAATGGGAAATTCTTAATATATTAAAGTTTTATATGCTCCTTTTAATCAAATGAATTAATCAAATTTTAAGCCTCATAAGCAATGACTCCAATAAAGGGTTATTATAATTCTTCCCCCTGTCTAAGATAATCACCTTAAACAGCAATTTTCTATAACAGGTATGGTCACTGAAAGTAATTTTCAGAGAATTATAGTACGAACTGAAATAAGTTATGTGGGACAAACTACTCTTCCAAAACATTTCCTCTAATATGGCCAAACTCCAGTCCCTTAGGTTAATAAATTTCAAATTTTATTAATTTTGTAGGCAATAGCAATGCTGATCAGTGTAACTTCACACACAACAAGCGATTTGCATAGATGCTGTAAGTGGTGACTGTGACATAATTATGAACTATAATGCATGTAGATCTAGAGTTCTCAACTCTGCTGATTGACGGACAGTGTGTCTTAACTGTAAATTACACAATGCATGTAACTTACTCTCACGAGGTACCTCAAATTTTCTGATTTTAGGTGATCTCTAATGTCTCTCCTGGCTCTGAATTTCCACAATTACTCTGTCAGATATCTGCAGAGTATTTGCCCCTTCAATTTAACCTGCTCTCTGCTTTGAAGGTTGATCTGCGTTGGCTACTCAACTGGCTTCCTTGCCATCTGGCATATGGATGGTTTTGGTCAGTGAAAATCGGTGAAATAATAAGACATATTATATATATATATATATATATACACACACACACACACATATATATACATATATGTATGCGTATATATGTATATACGTGTGTGTGTGTGTGTGTGTGTGTGTGTGTGTATGTGCATAGGTCTCTGCTACCAGTGCCTGACACAAATTTCCTAAATTCCTTGGGATTTTCAAGGTGATAGGAGTGTCTTGCGTTCTAATGAGGCAACTCTTGGGTGGACTTCTGAACAAGGGGTAGTCACCAGAAAGACCAAGACATGATTATAATCTGAGAACTTCAGACTCAGCTCCCATTCTCTGGAGAGGGGAGAGGGGATGGAAATTGAATTAATAATCAATCATGTTTATGTGGTTAAACCCTCCATAAAAATCCCTGAAGCAGGGGGTTCTGAGAACTTCTGCACTGGTGAACACAGCCATGTGCCAGAAGGGTGGCACACCTCAACTCCACAGGGACAGAAACTCCTGTGCTCAGGACCTTTTCAGACCTTGCCCTGTGTATTTCTTCATCTGTTGTTCATCTGTATCCTTTATTACATCTTTTATTAATAAACCAGTAAATGTAATTCAAGTGTTTCCCTGAATTCTGTGAGCTATTTTTGAAAATTAGTTGAACCTTAGGAGGGTGTCATGGGAACCATGGCCAGTGGTGGGAACCATGTACCCATATCACATGGTGATACACCATGAGAGATGACTGTAGTTTATACATAAACTATACATACCTGCTGTGAAAGCCCTGAAGTTGATTTCTGTTTATAGTTAATGCAAAACTAGCTCTTTATTAATTCCATTTTGTACATCTGCAAAAAGGCATTTTCTTGAATAATTTATCTCTTGGATTACCTTTCCAGACTTCTTTTAAATATCTCACAGTAAGTAATATTGTTTTTAAGCTTAAAAACTCTCCATGTGATACACCATGTGACATGGGTACATGTCACAACCTAGCCTGGTGATTGGCATCTGAAGTGGGGGGCAGTTTTGTGGAACTGAACCCTTAACATGTGAGATCTAACACTATCTCCAGGCAGATGATGTCAGAATTGAATTGGAGGAATTTCTTATGTGTGGGGAAATCCCTTCATGCATTCAGTATCAGAAGTAATGTGTTGAGTTAGAGTATGAAAAACACTTTGGTTTTTCCTCTATCTCAAAGAAGCCACAGCAGGAGATCAGATAGTAAAGGGGATATAGGTCAGGGAATTTATTCCTCTGGCTCTTAAGCCTGAGAGTCACCTAGAGCTCCCTCCCTTCCCTCCTTACCTCCCTACCTCTCTCCCTCCCTTCCTTCTTTCCTTCCTAGACAGGGTCTCACTCTGTTGCCCTCTCTCCTTCCTTCCTACCTTTCTACCTTCCTACCTTGACAGGGTCTCACTGTTACCCAGGCTGTGTGCAGTGGTGTGATCATGGCCCACTGCAGCTTCAACCTCCCAGGCTCAAGCAATCCTTCTGCTCAGCCTCCCTAGTAGCAGGAACTACAGGTGCGCAATACCACACCAGCTAATTTTTTTTTTTTTTTTTTTTTTTTTTTTTTTTTTTTTTTTTTTGGAGAAATGAGGTCTCACTATGTTGCTCAGGCTGGTCTTGAACTCCTGGACACAAGTGATCCTCCTGTCTCAGCCTCCCAAAGTGCTGGGATTACAGGAATGAATCACTGCACCCAGTCAGAAAGCAACTTTCTAAGTCATTTTCTGTAATATTGCCTTTTACAGCTAAGTTTTCTCTCCTTTTCTTGTTTTGCTGAAAAATATCAAAATGTGAATTATTTCCCTAGGACATGGAAGTATTTAGTCAATGAAGTTGTTAAAAAGGGGTAGGCCGTGACCCTATTTCCAGCCCCTCCAAACATTTTAATGTCTTGTTTATTAGATGTGCACACTGCCACAAAAATACTTTTATTTTCTCATTTCAACAGACAAGTGAGAGTAAAAGTGTCATATAAAATAATTTGTTTTTAAGATAAGGAGTTGTCCTGGGAATTAAGACTTTGCCCTAGTTTTAGAAAATATTTGCTGTGTAATCATATGCAAAATTTCTATTTTTTCCTAGGAAGCATGTTTGCATTTTTGTGTACAGAATACAGTCAACTTTCAAATGTGACTACAAATTTCAACATAAAAATAAATTTAACAATTTTCCACAAATAAGCATACAAAATTCACATCTATAAACATTATACTATTGATAACTAATATTGTATATTTATGCCATTTAAATAATGATGGTTGTCTATTTATGACTACATTTTTACCCTATGGTTAAGGATAACTTTTTTTCCCCTTCTTCTGATGATTCAATCTTAGACAACTGTATTGTTTAAGTGCCTGTGAGCTATTGTTATTGCATAGCTATTAAGGAAATTTCCTTGCTTCAGGTATCTCTCCAATGTAAGTTGGCCTAATTAGATAAAAATAATGAATGGGCTTGGGTGCTAAGAGGAGCTGGTTCAAAGCATGGAATAAAATAGTTCCTTGTATAGTTGAGCTGATTTTTATCATAACTGTCTGGAATAGCACAGAGAATGCCAATTTCAATCGTAATGAATAGTACTAATTAATTCCCATTAGCAGAAAAACAGGGATCTACATCATTAGTTTTCCCTCCAACTCCTATAAGCATTTAAGATTAAAAAAAAAAAATCTTGAAAGTTTAGCAACGTCGAGGATTTTTAAGCTTAAAAACAATATTACTTACCGTGAGATATTTAAAAGAAGTCTGGAAAGGTAATCCAAGAGATAAATTATTCAAGAAAATGCCTTTTTGCAGATGTACAAAATGGAATTAATAAAGAGCTAGTTTTGCATTAACTATAAACAGAAATCAACTTCAGGGCTTTCACAGCAGGTATGTATAGTTTATGTATAAACTACAGTCATCCCTTAGTATCAGTGAAGGATTGATTCTATGACCTCCCACAGATACTAAAATCTACGAATGCTCAAGTCCCTGATACAAATGGCATAATATTTGTACATAATCTATGCACATCCTCCCATATACTGTCATCTCTAGATTATTTGTAATACCTAATACAATGTAAATGCTATGTAAATAGCTGTTCTACTGTGTTGTTTAGGGCATCATGACAAGAAAAAAGTCTGTACATGTACAGTACAGATGCAAATTTTTTTCAAATATTTTTAATCCTAGGGTGGTTCATGAATACATCCAACTGTATATATAATTTATATATAACTACAAATAACTCTGTGAATGTTTTCCATTGTTCATTCTTTTATCTTTATTAGAAATCATGCTGAAAGCTGGAACTAAATGCTTTATTGCAACTATCTTTGTTTCAGAGAAAACATTATTTTTTCCTGTCCCTCATTGCTTCTGGATGACTCTCAACAGTAAGTTTTGTTCTACTTAAAGTGGTTTCTTGCTAAAAATTTACCCATTAATAATTTATGTCAAATATTTACAAATTTTCATGTAAAGCTGCCTCATTCTAAAACATCACAGCCTTTTATTATGGTATCCAGGATTTGTGATCAATGGAAAAACTCATAAAGAAAAAAATATAAAGTGCTTAGGAAAAGTCTTATCTTGAAATGGGTACATATTTCTACCCTAAGATAATGCAGATGCTGCTAGAAATATAGTGGAACTGGGAAGTGCTCCAGAAAAATTCACCAGGAAGTCTTGCTAAATTAAAATGGCCCCACACAACTACATTTCAATACTAATTGACGAGAGAATTGAACCCTTGGCTGGTAAAGGTTTTCAGAAACCAGTATTTCATTATTCACATAAATCCTGTTTTAGCCTTTGAAGCAAAATGATCTCTGAAACATATTAATACTTAAAAATAGTATTATTAATACTTAAGTATACCTTTGAATGGATAATTTGAAGTTTCTTACTAGTAAACTCATAATATTTCTAAAATAAACCATGGTAATTTTCAAACTTGCCTAGTGCTATGACAAACAACTTAGTGAAGTCAAAACCAAACCCAAATCTCCTTGATTATTCAATAAACATTCAATTCATTCATTTCCTATAGACACAAAAAAACCCAGACAATTTTTATACCCTACATATGACCTAAATAAAATAAACCTCAGATAAATTTGTATGATCACATAGATGTTTCCTCGCATCAAATAATTGCATTTTGTTTTAAAAAGCAATACTTCTAGAAGATTGTATATAATACACCCTTGATATTGGCCATTAAAACCTTTATTGATAATCAGTCATTATGGTCTCTGTTTGTAAAGTACTTAAAAACATGGTCTATAAATAGGGTTCTTGAAGTCTAACCCTACAGAGGAGAACAAAGCATAACATAATAATGAGAAGAATTACAGCAAATCTAATTCCAAGAAGAAAAAAGACTTTTAACCTTTCTCTTTTAATCACATGCTACAGTTAGTACAGTTTTAAAAAAGGCATTGTATTTTCCTAAGAAGACAATCTGGTTTCACGGCTCACAAACAGAAAAAGAGAGAGAGAAACCCAGTAAGCCATACATTATGTGGCAATGAGGCACTAAAGCTGTGAGCCCATTTTACCAAAGCTGTCCTAGCTAAAGAACTGCTGTCTCTATGTTAGATACAGGGCATGTGCTTATTTTTGTTGAGGACTCTAAAGTATAAAACTTGAATTTAATCTTGCTACTCTTTCAGGCCTTGCTTACAGCAAAGTAGTCCCACGGGATTTAGGTAATAGTATGTTATACAACTGTGCCTTTCACATATCTAAGCTAAATTTAAAGTTCAAAATGATCTCATTCACTCAGTCATTTTTTACACTCAAAATAAGATACTTAGTTTCAGTTTTCAGTTATTTTGAATGGAGATGTATAATTGAAATTGGATACTATTAAGCTTTCAGTATGAAAGAATTTCCCCTACTTCTCCTTCTCCATGAACATAACATCTATAACACCATAACATCCTCAAGATGTCTTGAAGTTTTCAGGGAGCCTAGGATAAACTATCAGCCAGGCTTAATTATTGAGCTACTCCTAGACTATATTAATCACTGTTTTGAAGCAATGTTGATAAAGAAACTCAAATTATGCTACATCAATTTGACTTTCTCCATTTCTCTGTGAGCTTAGGAATAGCAACCTGTGAAGTCTGACTGTCTGTCAAAGGTGAAAGTCAATGTTTATCTGTGTATACTAGTACTGCATTACTATTAATTACAAAGAAAATATATTCAGATGTCTTTGCAGCTCTTGCCTTGTATTAAACTATCATTTGATTTACAATCCATCTCCCCAATTCTTCTGTTTGAAAAAAGGTGAGCTGAGAAGTATTTCAATATTCTTAATTTCCCTGATTTTTCCAAATATTTCTGCTTAAATTATTTTTAATTTTTTTATTTTGAAACAATTTTAGACTCACAGGAAGTTGCAATAATAGTATGAGACTCCCATGAACCCCTCACCCAGCTTCCCCAATGGTGACATCTTAAATAATTTTAGTACAATAGCAAAACTAGGAAATCATTATTAGTGCAATACTGTTAACTACACACCTGAGTTCTCACCAGTTTTTACATGCATGCACTTGTCAGTATATGTATCCTTTTATGCAACTTGATTCCATGTATAAAGTTGTGTAACAAACCCCTCTCCACAAGGGACACTTTGCTACTGCCATTCTTGATCCCTGTCAAATATTAATCTATTCCCAATCTTTCTAGCTTTATCATTTTGATAATGTTATATAAAGGCAAACATACAGTATAGGTAACCTTTTCAGACTATTTTTTTCATTAAGCACAATGCCCTTGAGATCTATTCAACTTGTTGCAAGTATTAATAGTCCATTCTTTGTTACTGCTGAATAGTATTCCATTGCACATATATACCAGAATTACTCACCTATTGAAGGATATTTGGGTTATTTCCAGTTAGGGGGCCACTAAGAATAACATTGCTATAAACATTCTTGTGCAGATTTTCATGTTAATATAAGTTGTTATTTTTCTGGAATGAATCCCCAAAAGTGCAATTACTGAGTCTTATGCTAGTTGCATGTTCAGTTTTGTAAGAAACTGACAAAATATTTTCTAGAGTGGCTGTACCATTTTAAATTCCTACCAGCAATGTATGTGTGATCCAGTTTCTCTGCATCCTTGTCAGCATTCAGTGTTGTTACTTTTCTTTTTTTTTTTTTTTTTTTGAGACGGAGTTTCGCTCTGGTTGCCCAGACTGGAGTGCAATGGCGCAATCTCGGCTCACAGCAACCTCCGCCTCCCAGATTCAAGCAATTCTCCTGCCTCAGCCTCCCGAGTAGCTAGGATTACAGGCATGCACCACCATGCCCGGCTAATTTTGTATTTTTAGTAGAGACAGGGTTTCTCCATGTTGAGGCTGGTATCGAACTCCTGACCTCAGGTCATCCGCCCGCCTCGGCCTCTCAAAGTGCTGGGATTACAGGCGTGAGCCACCACGCCCGGCCTCAGTGTTGTTACTTTTCAATTCGAGACATTCCGATAGGTGTGTAGTAATATCTCATTATAGTTTAAATTTACATTTCCCTGATATTAATTGATAAAATAGAAGAAATTTTCATATATGCATGTGCCATCTTATATGCTCTGTGGTGAAATGTCTGTTCATGTCTTTTGCCCATTTTCTAATTGGACTTCTATTTATTTGTTTAACTGTTGAGATTTGAGAACTCTTTATATATCTTGATCCAAGTTCTTTGTCAAATTTGTGAATATTTGTGGTTTGCAAATATTTTATTTCAGTCTATAGCTTGTTTGGTCATCCTTTTAATAGTCTTTGGCAGGGCAAAGGTTTTTAATTTTGATGAAGTCCCATTTACCAATTTTTACAAAATGGATCATTCTCTTGGTGTCACATATAAGAACACATTGCCTACTCTTTGCTTAGGTCCCAAAGCATTTTGTGTATATTTTCTTCTAAAGTTTTATAGTTTAAAATTTTATATTTAATTCCATGATCTATTTTGGGTTAACTTTAATATAAGTGTGCAATTTAGGTAGAGATTTTTTTTTTTTTTTTGCCTATGGATGTTCAATTGATAGAGCAATGGTTGCTGAAAAGACTATCCTTCTTCCATTGAGTTGCTTTTATGCATTTTATGCTTCTCTATTCTGTTTTATTGTTTTATTATTCTGTTTTATTGTTCTGTATGTCTATCTCTCCAATTACTATAGCTATATAGTAAGTCTTAACACTCACTAGAGTGATTCTGTTGCTCTTTTTCAAATTTTTTTTTCCATATAAAATTTAGAATAAGCTTGTCTACAGCTACAAAAAGTCTTCAGATTTTGATAAAAACTATGTTGTACTTACAGATACATTTCAGGAGGATTTGATTAAATTATTTTATGTGTTACTTCACGTGAAATTTTTAAAAACCTTTTAAAATTTAAATAATAAGTGTATTATTATCATACAATTATAATAAAATTGTGCATTTTACGTTTCTTTTTTTCTAATTAAACCTTTTAATATTTCATAAGAAGATGGTAACACTGAAAAATAAAGATACCTTTCTACTAGTTCTCTACCTCCTTGTTACATTCCTCACCAATAAAGATTATATGGTACATTACTTTTTTATTTTTAAAAACTCACCAGATTAGTTATGGTTTTCATTAAAACCTATTATAAAATATTCCTATCAACAGTAACACCTCTTGATTGCCAAGCATAATTAATTAGTATTCTATTTTAAAAAAACATGTTAATATAAGGAATGTTTAATGTCATAATGGACAATTTTGCCCAGTAAAATTTTATCCATCTCTTTGCCAGTTTAAATTATTTTTCCTATTACTCTGGCTGACTTCTCTAACTTTCTCCCAGAAAAAGAAATAAATTTAACACATGTTTTGCTCTATATATCACTCATATATACAATATATAATACATATCGTATGTAATATATATCTATTTCAATTTCTATACTGATATACACTAATATTTTGGCACTAAATCCAAAGAGTATTATTAAGCAAATAGCAAACATGTTCTTGGCAATCTTGTTATATTTTAAACCATTTAATATAAATTGTGCCCATATTTATATATAGAATTGTTTAGAGGCATTTAATTTCAGATTAAAAATAAGTTTAAATAAACACTTTAAATAACATTTTGACAAAGCAACAAAATGCGTATTGAGAATTTCACTCTTAATAGAAGAGAAAATACTCAAAAATTGGTAGCGTTCTGAGTCAAATATGGGCAGGTTTTGAATTTCAAAGCTAAATATAACTTAGAGAAATGAAAAACATTTAAGTTAGAAAAATTTTTCCCAGAAAGTGAAAAAACAAAACAAAACAGAACAAAACCCACCTCTTTGATCTCATGCTATTGATACACTTTTAGTATTTTTTTTTCTTTTTCTTGAGATGGAGTCTCACTCTGTCGCCCAGGCTAGAATACAGTGGCATGATCTTGACTCACCCCAACCTCCGCCTCCCAGGTTCAAGCAATTCTTTCACCTCAGCCTCTCAAGTAGCTGGGACTACAGGCACGTACCACCACGCACAGCTAATTTTTGTATTTTAGGTTGAGACGGGGTTTTACCTTATTGGACAGGCTGGTCTTGAACTCCTGACCTCAAGTGATCCACCCGCCTCAGCTTCCCAAAGTGCTGGGATTACATGAGTGAGCCACCATGCCTGGCCACTTTTAGTATTTTAAATGCCAAAAAGTTCAAAATGTAATAGCCTTAAAATCTAAAGTTATTTAATATAAACAACAACAACAAACTGTTTACACTGTCAACCTGAAGAATTTTTTAAAAGTTAAGAAAACAAACGTGCTAGTTTTGAGTCTCATCTAGTGTGGTAAAGTAGAAATAATAAGAACCCAAGATGAGTATTTTACAAAAAATAAAATTTTCTTAAAGGAGACCATTATTTTTATTTACATTATCAGGATACTTTCACTTCCACTTATATTTGTCAGTATAACTGGTCTAAAATAGACATTCTTATAGTTAGCAAATGGCACAGAGATATGCACAAGCTCTTATATATGACTTACTCTTTGCTAAAAACAGAAAAAGAATTAAGTTTTAAAGAAATATTTGGACAGGTTTGATACTGTTCATGTTATCTGGGTGGCAAAGAGTGAAATCAAGTAGCCAGTGCATGCATTATATTGGTTCCCTAGGGTAATACTTCACATGGTGTGGTTTCCAAAGCAGCAGAAGCAGTATCACAGAGATATTTCTTAGAAATGCAATTCTAGGGCTCTACCCCAGACCTGTAAGAGAAACTGTGGGGTAGGGCCCTGCAATCTGATTTAACAAGCCTTCCAAATGATTCTGATAGATATCCTAGTTTGAAAAGTAATGATTTAGGACAAAGCAGCATCTGCATGTCCTGCCTACCGGCCTTAGAAAAAGCTTTTGTGTTTTGGATTCCCTGCAAAGGAGAGCATTACTGACATTGTGGATCAGACCATTCTTTGTTTGGTGAACTTTTAGCATCCCTTGCCTTCTGGCAAGAATAGCAATAAATAATGTGCCTACATATTTACCATACACTCAAGAGTTGGTAAGAACCTAGTTAAGAATCAATAATAGGGGAAAAGGCTGCCTTTAGCCCTTTCATTCTTCACCTTGTATCTGCCTCTTTCCAAAGACCTTGACCACACTCTTCCCTTGCTTCCCCAAATCACTTCTGCTGGGAGAAGAAAGAAGGGGTGCTGCTGTTGGTTTATAGAAACATACAACAAAGAAGTAGGGACTAGAGCACACAGACTTTTTATTGAAGCCAATTTTTATTAGTTATACATCACTACCTTGTTTTATATTTTTTCCTAATGTTAAGGGTCAGTTCATTCTTTTCAACTCCAAATATTTTACAGAAAATAAATGGGAAAAAAACCAGAGTATTTATATAAATGATCCTCATAAGGATAAGCCTTTACATTTAAAACTTTAGTCAACAATAATAACTACACATAAAGGTTGATAAGAATATCTTGCTACTAAGAGGATAATCTGCCACTAGAATTAAAAAAATTCATACTTCCTAGAAACATCAATTCAATCAGTGATCTACACAAAGAGTTAGAATATACCAGTTCATAATTCTTGTTCTAAGATTTCATAAATTATTATCCCAAGCAATGTCATCTGCTAGCTTTAAAGCCTTCTAGAAAGAAGACACTATAATATCTCCTTCTGATAAAACTCTTGCATTAAATTTTTTCCTTTTATCGCAGCTGAGAAGTATATACACTTGACCCACAGGTTTGAAATGCTCTGCCACCCCCAAGACTGCAAGACCAACCCCTCCACTTCCTCCTCATCCTTAACTTACCTAAAATGAAGATGATGAGAATGTACACCTTGATGATGAGCCATTTCCACCTAATAAATAGTAAATATATTTTCTCTTCCTTATGATTTTTATCACCTTTTCTCAAGCTTACTTTATTATAATACATATAACATATAAAATATGTGTCAATCAACTGTTTAGGTTATTGGTGAGACTTCCAGTCAACAGTAGGCTATTAAGTTTTTGGGGAGTCAAAAGTTATATGCAGATTTTCAACTGCATGGGGAGTCAGCGACCCTAACCCCCATGTTATTCAAGGGTCAATTGTACTCTAAAGTAGGTGGCAAGGGATGAGGGTGAATGGGTGGTAATGTTTAAGGTTTTTATGCACTCTCCCCATATCACTCTCCCTAGAAGATGGTACTTTCATGTAGCTTAAAAGCAAAACTAAATTCTCAGGTACATTTAATGGGGCCATATTTCTAAGACATCAAATATGTGAACAAAAGAGATTATAACTGGAACAACACCTAAGCACCTATCTTTTTGTCTTCTTTATCTTATGTAAGGTCATGCTTCTGACTATCTTCCCTCCTACATGATTTATATAGTTATTATGTGCTAGTAGCAACCTCTACTATAGGAACCACCTACCTAAGAACTACTGGAGAACAGAGAGGGCCACAGTGAAATAATGCATGGATTAAGTGGCTTAGGCCAGCTTTGTTCTAGGTCTTAAGGCAAAAGAACATAACCCTCTTTTATACTCAGAGGACAAAAATTCACAAGGCAAAAACAGAGGGTGACTCTGGACTTAACAAAAGGAGTCCTCAGGCTCAAACACTAGTTAACCTTGTTCATCACACAGAGAAGGAAATCACATGGGTATTTGAGGCCAAATAGTAAAAGAGTATGCAATTGCCTGGATGTTCTCAGTGAAGTAGAAGACTATCCTACTACTGAGTATTGATGGTCATAGCCAAATCTTTTTGTTACGTAACATGATTAATACTAACTAAAACCTTTCATTCTTCATAGAATTCATTTTGTACAGAATAGCACAAGTATCTGCATGAGAACTTTGACTATACATCCTCACTTCAAAGATGAAAATAAAGGTAAACCATCTGGAATTCAACTCAGTAGGTATATTTTTCACACAAATGTGGGTATAGTAATTCTGAAAGTACTATCCATATATTGAGAGACTGACAAAATGAGCAAATGCAATAATGATGTTAAAGGCTATTATTTTTACTGTTGGAAAAGGCAGAAACAGATACTGAATTTGGAAAAAGCAGGAAGAATCCTGTATTGTTAGATTTGAATTAGATGTATCTGTATAAACTCATGATTTTTAGTATACATATATATAGATAGATGGATAAAAGATATAGATGTATCAGTAGATATTGATGTGTATAGTTGTATATGTGTTTGTATGTGTACATGAATGCATGCATACATCTATTTCCTAATAGATCTATACATACAGGTCCCTACTGAGATGACCTAGAAGCTGTAACAGTTCATTAACAATGAGCATACTTACTGCTCTAATCTTAATTTCTAAATGCTCTTCTCTAGTAAAGGGAGTCAGGACTCCTTAGAGAAACAGCTGACTCTAGGGCTGGGGCAGGTAAATGATAAGATAAGCCTGTAATATGTTGTTATGCCAGAAATGAAGGAAGTTGCCATAGAATGGTTGGGGGCATTTCCAAGGGGTCAAAAGTCAGGTTGCCACTCACAACCTGGGATAACTTGAGCATTAAAACTAACAATAATAGTGTTGAATTATAAGTCACTTAATAAAATAAAAATTTATGAGTTGATACTGATGGTAAATAAAGAAATAAAAAGAGAAGAAAAAACTTTCTTACAGAAGAGTGGCAACTAATAAATATAGAAGGATGACAGACTTGAAAATCACCATTTTGTAACTATCATAGGCAAGAAGCATCCAATGAATATAAACTAGTGAGTGCAAGGTTGAAAAGAAACAAGGTATTACACAGTCTGAAAGTATCTCTCTACAAATTACTTATTAATTCAATAAAGCTTAACCAAATAGCACTGTGTGCAATCTGACATAATGTGCCTCCTGATAGGCTGCACTGAAAAGGATAAAACATCGCATCTGTGATATTCCTGCCCAAAATGCATAACTGGAATCTACTCATGAGGGAACATCAGACAAATCCAAATTGAGAGACATTCTATAAAAATATGGCCTGAACTATTCCAAAAATGACCATGTTATGAAAGACAAAGGCTGTAAACTGTTTCACCTTAATGCAACTAAATGTGCCAAAATCTGCCAGACTATAGGTTACATAATAATGTGTACTAAATTAAATATCCTGTTTGATAACTATACTATAACGATGTAAAAGAATGTCCTGTTTTGGCGAGGCATGGTGGCTCACGCCTGTAATCCCAACACTTTGGGAGGCCAAGGCGGGCGATCACGAGGTCAGGAGATTGAGACCATCCTGGCTAGCACGGTGAAACCCCATCTCTACTAAAAATACAAAAAAAATTAGCCGGGCGTGGTGGCGGGCGCCTGTAGTCCCAGCTACTCGAGAGGCTGAGGCAGGAGAACAGCGTGAATCTGGGAGGGGGAGCTTGCAGTAAGCCAAGATCGTGCCACCGCACTCCAGCCTGGACGACAGAGCCAGACTCCATAAAAAAAAAAAAAAAAAAAAAAAAAAGAATGTCCTGTTTTTAGGAAATATTTAAGTATTTAGGAGTGAAAGTGAACAATGTCTGCAACTTACTCCCAAACAGTCCATTAAAAATATAATAATAATGTACATTAAATCCTCAGTTCTCTTTTCTTCAAACTAAAAAATCTCAATTATTTCAGCCTTTGAAATCTACATGAGATAAAAGAATTTAAAGAGTTGCCTAGATAAAGCAGAAATTTGGGAAGTTTAAATAAAGGATCTGTAGTTTCAAGTCATTCAGTTTAATAAAAAATAATTGAGTATCTAGCTCTAGGAGTCCTACATTCGAAGAGTTCACAGTCTATTGAAGAAAAAAAACATGTACATAAATAATTATAGCGTATCAGAAGCATAATACAAGTACAAAATACAAAGTATAAGAAATTACAGGCTGGGTGCGGTGGGTCATGCCTGTAATCCCAGTACTTTGGGAGGCCAAGGGGGGCAGATCATGAGGTCAGGAGATCGAGACCATCCTGGCTAACATGGTGAAACCCCGTCTCTACTAAAAATACAAAAAAATTAGCCAGGCGTGGTGGCGGGCGCCTGTAGTCCCAGCTACTCGGGAGGCTGAGGCAGGAGAATGGCGTCAAACCGGGAGGCGGCGCTTGCAGTGAGCTGAGATCGCGGCACTGCACTCTAGCCTGGGCAACAGAGCAAGACTCTGTCTCAAAAAAAAAAAAAAAGAGAGAGAAATTACAAAAGGTCCAGCCTAGGCAACACAGTGTGACCTCCGTCTCTACACAAAACTAAAAAATTAGCCAGGTATGATGGCATGCACCTGTAGTCCTAGCTAATTGGGAAGATAAGGTGGGAGGATTGCTTGCACTCAATAGTTAGAGGCTGCAATGAGCTATGATTGAGCCACTGCACTTCAGCCTGGGTGACAGAGTGAGACCATGTCTCTAAGAAATAAAAAAAAAAAAAAAAAGTAAAAACAACAACAAAAAAAGAGAAAGTACTAATAGGATATCAAGAGGCAGTAATTAATTCTCACTTCCATATGAGCAAATATTTAACATTTGCAGTTTCCTAGGCACTGTGCTAATTGCTTTCCATATTAATGCACCGACTGTACCAACAATTCCATAAGGTATACACTATGATCTCCATTCCGCAGATGATGCAACCAAGGCACGGAGAAGTTGAGTATCTGGCCATGGGTTATCTAGCTAGGTAGCTAACTAAATTTCAGGCAGGTTGACTCCATAGAGAAGACTTAATGAAGGAAGCAGCGTTTGAATTGATCCTTAAAAGACAAGTATAATTTCAACTAGCAAGGGGAGTGGGAAGAAGAATATTCAAGGCTGGAAGAAAAAAGGAAAGACATGTAAATAGTAAATATAGGTTGTATAAAAGAAAAACAGTAAAAAGTTCAAGGAATGGTAGATAAGATGTGGGGAGAGAAATGGGTAAGAGCAGAGGATGGCAGATTGGATAGGCCTAAAAAATAGCTTATATCATGAGGATTAATACAGCCTTTATTAGTAAAAAGAATGGTTATTATAATATGCACCAAAATCTTGATGTAATTAAATGAATTCAGCATAAAGAGTCAGTCGTTGAGACATCCAAATGAACCAAGTACCAATAAAATCTTAATACAGATTGTATTAGAGATTTCTCCTGACAGTACAGAAACATGAATCTTGAGAATGTTTTCACAGTGATCCTCCATACCCCTACATAATTTTATTTCACAAAGATCTTATTATCATGCAATGTTTGAAATTACCAGAACTGAAAACAACAAACTTAAAATGCCACAATTCTGCCTTACTTTAACAGACTATAAACCTTTTAAGAAACAGTGAATGTAATGTGAGTATACCCTGTAGCCCTGCTGTTAGAGTTGCTTCTTTGTCATAATATTATGAAAACAAGATGATCCAATTATAGGGATGTAATGAGTAATATATTCCATGAACTCTGTTAGATATGAACTTCTAACCAGAAAAACGACCAGCCATGAATGTTTAATGTGAGATCTCCTTCAGTTGGTAGCTGATGTAATTGATTGCTCATACTAATAAGTGAAAATATTATTTTGTCTCCAAGTCGATGAATTATGGATAAAGCAAAACATGTGGCATTTAGAAAACTCTGTTTTCATTTCTTGATAAACATAAATATTAATGAAAATTGGATTTTTAAATTTAGTAAATTCTAAGTTTAGCTTCTTCAAAATCTATATTACAACTTAAGTGTATACAGCCAAAATTCAATTGTAAGTACCATAAAAACATTTAAATTTTTGAAGTGTCAGAAAATATGTAAAATTAAAACACTAACAAATTCTTTACTATCTTTGTATACAATTAATAAAACACCAAAAATTCAATTTTATTTTTATAAAATATCTTTGGGGCAGAAATCTTAATTCTCCAACATGATCTTCTTCCATACTGAGAGAATTCTAAATTATTTCCTTGATTAACAGAATAGAAATGACCCGTGAGATACAGGCAATATTAGGTAGCATCACAGAAAAAAAGAATATGAAAAGGGAAGGCAACTACTTCAAAGAGGATTAAAAATTAAGAATTATATATGGCTAAATATAAAACTTAAGAATAAGTGAATAAGTGAAGAAATTGAGCTATTATAAAGAATTCTCTATCTAAAAAACACCTAAAATGGTATTTAAAATTAAACAAGCATCCTTTACATGTCTAGGCGGGTTTCTCAGAATAAGGAAAATTTATAGGGCCTTAAGAATGTGAGGGGGTAAAAAGTTGGGGGGATTGCTGAAAATTTGTGTAATAGTCTTGAACTGACACTATGGCTGCCCTGAGGGTATTTGCTAATAATAGGGACCCAGACTTTAACAGTAGGACAAAAAGAGGCCAGTCCTTCATCCCAGCATGTTGGAGAGTTGGAACAAAAATCACTACCTGAAAGCAGAAACCTTCAAAAGCTATATTCCCTCTGAAAAGACGCATGAAAAAAGTTCTACCCAACAACAAAGGAAGATGATAAAAGGTAACTTGTCTGTTTAAGTCTCAGTTTTAGATGAAAAAACGTTTAAAGAATCTGTGCTTAAGAAGCCCCTAGCACTCCATATGCCCAAGCATCCCACGCCCCCACCACAAAAACAGCCTAAACAACTAATAAATAACTACATCATAATGAAAATGACTAAAGGAGAGCGCTGGAGTACATCAAAGAAGTAACAGAAACTCAGGTGAACACAGGAATTCAGGATAGCCGTACAGAGAACTGAAGGAAACACCTGGTCTCCACCCGCCCATTCCCCAGCAGGGATCAGATGGGAATTAGGAGGAACTCTCCCCGTGGGGAAAGGCTAGCAAAAGGCAAGCAAAACTATAGTCCTCACTCCAGTAGTGAGTCCTACTGGAGTGAGGACTATAGTTGTTCAAAGTGTTGATCGGTGTACTTAAGCCCAGCTGAGGGAGCTGCCTGTAGTCCGCATAGCTGTCATCCCACAGAGAAGGAGCTGACACTATGTCTTGCACCCTGGGGCCTACGTGGCTACTGCACAATGCCATCTGCAAACTGGAACTAATGTTGGAGTGTTGCTTGGAGGTGAGTACCCACAATATCCCTTCATTTCTGAGGCTAAGCTGCTGCCAAACCACCCCTGTCCAATGCCCTGACATCCCCAAGCCTACCTGTGACCACCTCTTGTACCATTTCCTGTGGGCTCAAGCAGTAGTGGAGCTGTTTCATGCACTCCTCCTAGCCCCCACTCACAGCTAGAGCTGAAGCTACACACTCATTCCTGGAGAAACGGTGTTCTGGCAGAACCGTTCCATCCCTCAGTCATGGTTGCACCTGCTCCTAGGGGACTGAGCCGAAGCTGCACACTGCCTCTAAGGAAAATGATGCCCTGAAAAAGCTGTTATAAAAACCTCTCCCAGTCTTTGCTACACCATGCCTCTCTGGACCAGAACTGAAGCAACACAAGACATCCCAGGTAAATGGGGCTTTGACCAACAAAAGCAGTCATACCCCTCTGTGTCTGAGCTGAAAAGGTACACAGTCTCTTCGAAAAACAGTACATTGGCCACCAACTGCAGTCATGTCTTCCCAGTGCCTATTGAAGCAGTGTCCTACCTCCTAGAAATAGACCAATTATGAGTAACAAGATGGAATTAGTAATAAAAAGTCTCCCATCAAAGAAAAGCTTAGGACCTGATGGCTTCACAGCTGAATTATACCAAACATTCAAAGAAGATCTAATACCAGTTCTTCTCAAACTCTTCCAGAAAATTGAAGAGGAGGGAATTCTTCAAAACTCATCTATGAGGCTAGCACTACCATGATACAAAAACTAGACAAGAATACAGCAACAACAAAAAAACTTATACAACAGAAAAAGAAAACTATAGGCCAATATCCCTGATAAAGAGTGATGCAAAAATCCTCAACAAAATACTAGCAAACAGAAAATCCAACAGCACATTACAACACTCATTACCATGATCAAGTGGAATTTATCCCAGGAATATAAGGATAATTCAACATATGCAAATCAATAAATCAGATACATTATATCAACAGAATGAGGGACAAAACTTATGTGATTATCTCAATAGATACACAAAATGCAGTTGATAAAATTCAACATCCTTTGTGATAAAAATTCTCAACAAACTGGGTATAAAAGGAACATACCTCAACATAATAAAGGTCTTATGTCAAACCCATAGCTAACATCATACTGAATGGGGAAAACTGAAAGCTTTTCCTCTAAGAATTGGAACAAGACAAGGATGCCCATTCTCACCACTCCTATTCACCTTACTGAATCCTACTAAGTCCTAGCCAGAGCAATTAGGCAAGAGAAATAAAGGGCATCCAAATTGGCAAGGAAGAAGTCAAATTGTCCCTATTTGCAGATGACACAATCTTACATATAGAAAAACCTACCAAAGAGCTCTATCAAGAAACTCTTAGAACTGATAAACAATTTCAGCCAAACTGCAGGATACAAAATCAACATGCAAAATTCTGTAGCATCAATATACAGGAACAACAAACAAGACAAACAAGAAAAAAAAATGAATTTAACTAAAGAAGTGAAAGACTTTTAGAGAAAAACTATAAAACACTGATAAAAGAAATTGAAGAGGACACACAAAAAAATAAATATATCCATGTTCATGCTTTAGAAGAATATGTTAAAAACAATCATAGTACCAAAAGTGATCTATAGATTCAGTGTAATCTCTACAAAAATACTAATGACAATCCTCACAAAAATAGAAAAAAAATCCTAAAATTCATGTATAACCACAGAAGAGTCTGAACAGCCAAAGCAATCCTGAGCAAAAGGAACAAAGCTGAAGGCCTCATACAACCTATTTTCAAATATACTGCAAAGTTATAATAACCAAAATAGTGTGGCACTGGTATTAAAAACAGACACATAGACCAAGGAACAGAAAAGAGAACCCAGAAATGAATCCACTTGTCTTTGACCATTTGTATATTGCTATAAAGGAATATCTGGGGCTGGGTAATTTATAAAGAAAAGAGGTTTATTTGGTTCACAATTCTGCAGGCTGTACAAGAAGCATAAGGTCAGCATCTGCTTCTGGTAAGGGTCTTAGGAAGCTTCCACTCATGGCAGAAGGCAAAAGGGAGCAGGCATCACATAGCAAGGGGGAGCAAGAGAGAGAGAGTAGAGGAGGTACCAGGCTTTTTTCAACAACTGGTTCTCATGGGAACTAAGAGTGAGAACTCACACATTACCATGAGGATGTCACAAAGCCAATCATAAGGAATCTGCCTCCATGAACCAAACACCTGCCTTGAGATCCCACTTTCAACATTTGGGTTCAAATTTCAACTTGAGATTTACAGAGGACAAATATCCAAAGCGTATCTCCACTCATTTATAGCCAACTCATGTTTTTACAGAAGTGTCAAGGACATTCACTGGGGAAAGGACAGTCTCTTCAATAAATGGTACTAGAAAAACTGGATATCCATATGTAGACCTTATCTTTCATCATACACCAAAATCCACTCAAAATGGACTAAAGACTTAAATGTAAGACCCAAAACTATAAAACTACTAGAAGAAAATATAAGGAGAATGCTTCTAGACATTGGACTGGGCAAGTTTTTATGAATAAGACCGTAAAAAGCATAGACAACAAAAGCAAAAACAGACAAATAGAATTATATTGAACTAAAAACCTATACAGCAAAGGAAACAATCAACAAAGTGAAGACACAACCAGCAGAAAGAGAAAAAATATTTGCAAACTATTCATCCAACAAAAGATTAATATCCTGAATACACAGGGAATTCAAACAACTAAACAGCAAAAATAAATAAGTAGTCATCAGGAAAATGCAAATCAAATGCACAATATCTTCTCATCCCAGTTAGAACGTCTATTATTAAAAAGTCAAAAAATAACATGGTGAGGATGCAAAGAAAGGGAAACTTATATACTGTTGGTAGGAATGTAAACTAGTACAGCCATTATGAAACACAGTATGGAGTTTTCTCAAAAATGAAATTAGAACTACTATAGGATCTAGCAATTCCCTTGCTGGATATATATCCAAAAGAAAAGAAATCAGTATAGTGAAGAGATATCTGCCCTTACATGTTTATTGCAGCACTATTCACAATAGGCAAGATATGGAATCAACCTAAGTGTCCATCAACAGAAGAAGAGATAAAGAAAATGTGGTACATATATATGATGGAGTACTATCCAACTATCCAGCCATAAAAATGAAATAAATCTTGTCATTCACAGCAACATGGATGAGCTTGGAGGAAATTATGTTAAATAAAATAAACCAGGCACAGAAAGACAAATATCACATGTTCTCACTTCCAAATGGAAGGTAAAAAAAGTTGGTCTCATAGAATTAGAGAGTAGAATAGTAGTTACTAGGGACTGGAAAGGGTGTATAGCCAGAAGTTGGTTAATGGATATAAAATTACAGCTAGATAAGAAAAATATGTTCCTGGGTTCTACAGCACTGTTTGGTGATTATAATTAATAACAGTTCAAACAGCTGGAAGAGCAGATTTTGACTGTTCCTAACACAAAGGAATGATAAATGTTTGAGATGATGAATATGCTAATTACACTAACTTGATCATTATGCATTGCATACATGTATCAAAATATCATACTGTTCCCCAAAAATATGCACAATTACTATGTGTCAATGAAAAAATAACAAATATAATTAAATTTAAACATTTTTTAAAGAAATCTGAAGCTGAAAAACCAATGCTAAGTGGTCTTAAGTCCTAGTAGGTATAAGCAAATATAATCCCTTTCTGTAGGAATTTACCCTTAATCCAAGCCCCACAAGATTACCACAGATTGAGGTAACCCCAAATGAATTCACAGTCTAAAATTACAAAACTCACAGGAAAATAAGGTACCAGAAATAAAGTCAACAGACAAAACAAACAGCAGGATTATACCTCTATGAACATTAAGTATTAGAAATAACAAGTACAAAATATAAAATAACTATTAACTATTAGAAACACAAAATATAAAATATAAAATAACTATGTTTAAAAAATTATAAAGAAACAAAAACAAACCAATAATTATTTCCAGCAAAGAAAAATATAATCATTTAGCTTAAAACCAAACAATAAAACAATATTTCTCAAACAACATTTTAAACAATCGGAGAAAATGGATTATAAATTGGGCATTAGAAGATCATTAAAGTTTGTTAATTTTTATTAGGTATGATAATGGCATTGTGATTATTTAAGATATCGATATTTTTAAAATATGAGTCCTAAAGTATGACATGTTACCTGGAATTTTTTTTTTCAAAATATGTCAGGGGCAGTTCCAAGATGGCCGAATAGGAACAGCTTCAGTCTACAGCTCCCAGCATGAGTGACGCAGAAGAAATCACACGGAGTGATTTCTGCATTTCCAACTGATGTACCGGGTTCATCTCACTGGGGCTTGTCGGACAGTGGGGGCAGGACAGTGGGTGCTGCCCATTGAGTGTGAGCCAAAGCAGGGTGAGGCATCGCCTCACCCAGGAAGTGCAAGGGGTCAGGGAATTCCCTTTCCTAGCCAAGGGAAGCGGTGACACACAGCACCCGGAAAATTGGGTCACTCCCACCCTAATACAGTGCTTTTCCAATGGTCTTAGCAAACGGCACACCAGGAGATTATATCCCGTGCCTGGCTCAGATGGTCCCACGCCAACGGAGCCTTGCTCATTGCTAGCACAGCAGTCTGAGATAGAACTGCAAGGCAGCAGCGAGGCTGGGGAAGGGGTGCCCGCCATTGCTGAGGCTTGAGTAGGTAAACAAAGCGGCCTGGAAGCTTGAACTGGGTGGAGCCCACTGCAGCTCAAGGAGGCCTGCCTGCCTCTGTAGTCTCCAACTCTGGGGGCAGGGCACAGCGGAACCCTCTGCAGAAACCTCTGCAGACTTAAATGTCCCTGTACAGCTTTGAAGAGAGTAGTGGTTCTCCCAGCAGAGAGTTTGAGATCTGAGAACTGACAGATTGCCTCCTCAAGTGGGTCCCTGACCCCCCGAGTAGCCTAACTGGGAGGCACTCCCCAGTAGGGGCAGAATGACACCTAACACGGCCGGGTACCCCTCTGAGACGAAGCTTCCAGAGGAATGATCAGGCAGCAACATTTGCTGTTCAACAATATTCGCTGTTCTGCAGCCTACACTGCTGATACCCAGGCAAACAGGATCTGGAGTGGACCTCCAGCAAACTCCAACAGATCTGCAGCTGAGGGTCCTGACTGTTAGAAGGAAAACTAACAAACAGACAGGACATCCACACCAAAACCCCATCTGTACGTCACCATCATCAAAGACCAAAGGGAGATAAAACCACAAAGGTGGGGAAAAAACAGAGCAGAAAAGCTGAAAATTCTAAAAATCAGAGCACCTCTCCCCCTCCAAAGGAATGCAGCTCCTACCCAGCAATAGAACAAAGATGGACAGAGAATGACTTTGACGAGTTGAAAGAAGAAGGCTTCAGACAATCAAACTTCTCTGAGCTAAAGGAGGAACCCATTGCAAAGAAGCTAAAAACGTTGCAAAAAGATTAGACGAATGGCTAACTAGAATAACCAGAGTAGAGAAGTCCTTAAATGACCTGATGGAGCTGAAAACCATGGCAAGAGAACTACATGATGAATGCACAAGCTTCAGTAGCTGATTCGATAAAATGGAAGAAAGGGAATCAGTGACTGAAGATCAAATGAATGAAATGAAGCAAGAAGAGAAGTTTAGAGAAAAAAGAGTAAAAAGAAATGAACAAAGCCTCCAAGAAATATGGGACTATGTGAAAAGACCAAATCCATGGCTGATTGGTTTACCTGAAAGTGACGGGGAGAATGGAACCAAGTTGGAAAACACGCTGCAGGATATTATCCAGGAGAACTTCCCCAACCTAGCAAGGCAGGCCAACATTCAAATTCAGGAAATACGGAGAATGCCACAAAGATGTTCCTCGAGAAGAGCAACTCCAAGACACATAATTGTCAGATTCACCAAAGTTGAAATGAAGGAAAAAATGTTAAGGGCAGCCAGAGAGAAAGGTCGGGGTACCCACAAAAGGAAGCCCATCAGACTAACAGCTGATCTCTCAGCAGAAATCCTACAAGCCAGAAGAGAGTGGGGGCCAATATTCAACATTCTTAAAGAAAAGAATTTTCAACCCAGAATTTCATATCCAGCCAAACTAAGCTTCATAAGTGAAGGAGAAATAAAATCCGTTACAGACAAGCAAATGCTGAGAGATTTTGTCACCACCAGGCCTGCCCTAAAAGAGCTCCTGAAGGAAGCACTAAACATGGAAAGGAAAAACCGCTACCAGCCACTGCAAAAACATGCCAAATTGTAAAGAACATCCAGGCTAGGAAGAAACTGCATCAACTAACGAGCAAAATAACCAGCTAACATCATAATGACAGGATCAAATTCACACATAACAATATTAACCTTAACGTAAATGGGCTAAATACTCCAATTAAAAGACACAGACTGGCAAATTGGATAAAGAGTCAACACCCATCAGTGTGCTCTATTCAGGAGAGCCATCTGACGTGCAGAGACACACATAGGCTCAAAATAAAGGGATGGAGGAAGATCTACCAAGCAAACAGAAAACAATAGAAGGCAGGGTTTGCAATCCTAGTCTCTGTTAAAACAGACTTTAAACCAACAAAGATCAAAAGAACTAAGAAGGCCATTACATAATGGTAAATGGATCAATTCAACAAGAAGAGCTAACTATCCTAAATATATATGCACCCAATACAGGAACACCCAGATTCATAAAGCAAGTCCTTAGAGACCTACAAAGAGACTTAGACTCCCACACAATAATAATGGGAGATTTTAACACCCCACTGTCAACATTAGACAGATCAACGAGAGAGAAAGTTCACAAGGATAGCCAGGAATTGAACTCAGCTCCACACCAAGCAAACCAAATACACATCTACAGAACTCTCCATCCCAAATCAACAGAATATACATTTTTCTCAGCACCACACCACACTTATTCCAAAATTGACCACATAGTTGGAAGTAAAGCACTCCTCAGCAAATGTAAAAGAACAGAAATTATAACAAACTGTCTCAGACCACAGTGCAATCAAACTAGAACTCAGCATTAAGAAACTCATTCAAAACCGCTCAACTACATGGAAACTGAACAACCTGCTCCTGAATGACTACTGGGTACATAACGAAATGAAGGCAGAATAAAGATGTTCTTTGAAACCAATAAGAACAAAGACACAACATAACAGAATCTCTGGGACACATTTAAAGCAGTGTGTAGAGGGAAATTTATACCACTAAATGCCCACAGGAGAAAGCAGGAAAGATCTAAAATTGACATCCTAACATCACAATTAAAAGAACTAGAGAAGCAAGAGCAAACACATTCAAAAGCTAGCAGAAGGCAAGAAATAACTGAGATCAGAGCAGAACTGAAGGAGATAGAGACACAAAAAACCCTTCAAAAAATCAATGAATCCAGGAGCTGGTTTTTTGAAAAGATCAACAAAATTGATAGACTGCTGGCAAGACTAATAAAGAAGACAAGAGAGAAGAATCAACTAGATGCAATAAAAAATGATAAAGGTGATATCACCACCGATCCCAAGAAATACAAATTACCATCAGAGAATACTATAAACACCTCTATGCAAATAAACTAGAAAATCTAGAAGAAATGGACAAATTACTGGACACATACACCCTCCAAAGATTAAACCAGGAAGATGTTGAATCCCTGAATAGACCAATAACAGGCTCTGAAATTGAGGCAATAATTAATAGCCTACCAACCAAAAAAAGTCCAGGACCAGACGGATTCACAGCCGAATTCTACCAGAGGTACAAGGAGGAGCTGGTACCATTCCTTCTGAAACTATTCCAATCAATAGCAAAAGAGGGAATCCTCCCTAACTCATTTTATGAGGCCAGCATCATCCTGATACCAAAGCCTGGCAGAAACACAACAAAAAAAGAATTTTAGACCAATATCCCTGATGAACATTGATGCAAAAATCCTCAATAAAATACTGGCAACCCGAATCCAGCAGCACATCAAAGAGCTTATCCACCATGATCAAGTAGGCTTAATCCCTGGGATGCAAGGCTGGTTCAACATATGCAAATCAATAAACGTAATCCAGCATATAAACAGAACCAAAGACAAAAACCACATGATTATCTCAATAGATGCAGAAAAGGCCTTTGGCAAAATTCAACAGCCCTTCATGCTAAAAACTCTCAATAAATTAGGTATTGATGGGATGTTTCTCAAAATAATAAGAGCTATTTATGACAAACCCACAGCCAATATCATACTGAATGGGCAAAAACTGGAAGCATTCCCTTTGAAAACTGGCACAAGACAGGGATGCCCTCTCTCATCACTCCTATTCAACATAGTGTTGGAAGTTCTGGCCAGGGCAATCAGGCAGGAGAAAGAAATTGTCCCTGTTTGCAGATGACATGATTGTGTATTTAGAAAACCCCATTGTCTCTGGCCAAAATCTCTTTAAGCTGATAAGCAACTTCAGCAAAGTCACAGGATACAAAATCAATGTGCAAAAATCACAAGCATTCTTATACACCAATAACAGACAGAGAGCCAAATTATGAGTGAACTCCCATTCACAATTGTTTCAAAGAGAATAAAATACCTAGGAATCCAACTTACAAGGGATGTGAAGGACCTCTTCAAGGAGAACTACAAACTCCTGCTCAATGAAATAAAAGAGGACACAAACAAATGGAAGAACATTCCATGCTCATGGATAGGAAGAATCAATATTGTGAAAATGGCCATACTGCCCAAGGTAATTTATAGATTCAATGTCATCCTCATCAAGCTACCAATGACTTTCTTCACAAAATTGGAAAAAACTACTTTAAAGTTCATATGGAACCAAAAAAGAGCCCGCATTGCCAAGACAATCCTAAGCCAAAAGAACAAAGCTGGAGACATCACACTACCTGACTTCAAACTATACTACAAGGCTACAGTAACCAAAACAGCATGGTACTGGTACCAAAACAGAGATATAGACCAATGGAACAGAACAGAGCCCTCAGAAATAATACCACACATCTACAACCATCTGATCTTTGACAAACCTGACAAAAACAAGAAATTCCCCATTTAATAAATGATGCTGGGAAAACTGGCAAGCCATATGTAGAAAGCTGAAACTCGATCCCTTCCTTACACCCCATACAAAAATTATTCAAGATGGATTGAAGACTTAAATCTTAGACCTAAAACCATAAAAACCCTAGAAGAAAACCTAGGCAATACCATTCAGGACATAGGCATGGGCAAGGACTTCATGTCTAACACACCAAAAGCAATGGGAACAAAAGCCAAAATTGACAAAAGGGATCTAATTAAACTAAAGATCTTCTGCACAGCAAAAGAAACTACCATCAGAGTGAACAGGCAACCTACAGAATGGGAGAAATTTTTTGCCATCTACTCATCTGACAAAGGGCTAATATCCAGAATCTACAATGAACTCAAACAAATTTACAAGAAAAAAACAAACAAGCCCATCAAAAAGTGGGCGAAGGATATGAACAGACACTTCTCAAAAGAAGACATTTATGCAGCCAAAGACACATGAAAAAATGTTCATCATCACTGGCCATCAGAGAAATGCAAATCAAAACCACAATGAGATACCATCTCACACCAGTTAGAATGGTGATCATTAAAAAGTCAAGAAACAACAGGTGCTGGATACAATGTGGAGAAATAGGAACACTTTTACACTGTTGGTGGGACTGTAAACTAGTTTAACCATTGTGGAAGACAGTGTGGTGATTCCTCAAGGAGCTAGAACTAGAAATACCATTTGACCCAGCCATCCCATTACTGGGTATATACCCAAAGGATTATAAATCATGCTGCTATAAAGACACAAGCACATGTATGTTCATTGCGGCACTATTCACAATAGCAAAGACTTGGAACCAACCCAAATGTCCATCAATGTTAGACTGGATTAAGAATATGTGGCACATATACACCATGGAATACTATGCAGCCATAAAAAAGGATGAGTTCATGTCCTTTGTAGGGACATGGGTGAAGCTGGAAACCATCATCCTCAGTAAAGTATCGCAAGGAGAAAAAGCAAACACCGCATGTTCTCACTCATAGGTGAGAAGTGAACAATGAGAACACTTGGACACAGGAAGGGGAACATCACACACCGGGGCCTGTTGTGGGGTAGGGGGAGTGGGGAGGGATAGCATTAGGAGATATACCTAATGTAAATGATGAGTTAATGGGTGCAGCACACCAACATGGCACATGTATACATATGTAACAAACCTGCACGTTGTGCTCATGTACCTTAGAACTTAAAGTAAAATTAAAACAAAACAAAAATCAAAATATGTCAGCAAAGAAAAAACAGTAACAAATAAAACAAATGTAGAAAAATGTGAGAAATATTAAATCTAAGTGGTGTGTGTATATATAATTTTCATAAGAAAAATAAAATGAAAACTCAACTGATAGTATAATCAGAATATTAGATAAAGCCAAAGGGAGATTTAGAGAATTAGAAGACATATCTGAAGACAGTATCCAAAGTATGAATAAAACTTAAAGAAAAAAGAAAACTCACCTTCCTTTGGGCTGACTGCTGCAGGGAGAACATTCCAATCAAGAGTCCAAGTAGGGCAAGGGTGGGGAGAAAACATCACTTCAATGCCCTTTTCCTAGAAAAGGAAATAGCCTCTTTCTAAATTAAGGAATTAATATAGTCTTATTATATTATTGAAGGCTAAAAAATTATATTTGTATATTGGTAAGGAGGAGGATAAATAGTAATAATCATCAGCTATTCCCCAAAATACATATTTTAATTAAATAAAAATACCATGTGTTGAGTATTTTGACATCACAATTACTTTCCTATTTTTTAATATTGTGATAATAAAAAGTAATGCTATTTTAAAATTATTACTAGAAAATCCATAGAAGCAATAAGCTACCTAGAAATATATTGGATATCAAAGAGAAAGTTCAGCTGAGGATGAAAATGTTATCAAAAACAATCCACATAGAAATAATAAAAAAAGAACTCTGCATATGTCCATCAAAGTCTCCCTTTACATATATGAAAATCGCCACAGCCTAAAAGCTACCACTTTAACACATACCCCAAAATACCACTCATACTAGTCTTTTATAAGTGCCTTTAATGTCACTAGAGAAAAATTCCTCTGGTGTAACCAAATGGTTCCCAATATTTTCAAGAATTAGGACCACTTTTCAATATATTAAAACATTTTCAGGATCCTTCTCCATCTTAGAAGCTGTACATTTGTTTATTTGATCTACGTACAGTGGCATGGCATACACATGGATTCACAGACCCCTTCCAATCACATTCCAGGTACACAGTCTATATCTATATCTATATCTATATCTATATCTATATATCTATATCTAGATATCTCCATGGCTCTGTTATTTTTATCTTTAGGAATAACCTATTCAAATAAAAATCTGTGAGACTCTAGCATCGAATGCTTTGTATCAGTTTATGAGATTACTTTCCATTATAAAAACTAGCTGAATTTGTGTCCCGAAGGAAATAGTACAAATAATCTTTCATTAGGGCTAGAGATATGGCTATTGATCTACAAGCCCAGAGCACTGATTTGCCTCCAGAAAGACAAACACATCTCTCTGACATCATCTACCTCTCTTCTATCTTCTTCAGTCTAGCCACACTGACCTTCTTGCTATTTCTCATTTCACTAAACTCATTCTTACTTTAGGGTCTTTTTAAAAAACACAACTATATTGAGATAAAATATATATATTAATACCATATAATTTATCCTTTTAAAGTATCCAATTCAGTGGTTTTTATAATATTCACAATTGTTCAATCATTGCCACTATCTATTTTAAGATATTTTCATCATTTCCAAAAGTAGTTGCATATTCACTCGAGAGGTGAACCAGAGGTCCCTTGGCAGTGTAGTAATATAATCAAGACACATCAAAATCTAGACATGCCTCAATAACTTCTAAAATCAACTATATAATCATGTTTCATTGCTTAATCAATAGGCCACAGAGCTTAGCTGAAGAGTTAAGGGATTGGTATCCTTACCAAAGTCTTCCTGTCCATTTCTAAATCAGTAAACTCTGTTAGCTACCGAACTCAAATACTTCCTAACCCAAATAGGGAAATATAATGAATATTTTTCCAGTGTAACTCGATGGATAACTTACTTCATGAATTCTCTATTCAAATAAATCCTCACATCACCTATTAAAAGCAAAATATTTTTGCAGATCATTTCAAATGTTAGGGAAAGGAAAGCCCATTGTTGAAAACTTTGCAATTAGTACTACTGAAAACAAACTATGCCCCAAGGAGAAAAAAAATAAAGCATATGCATTCTTTTTTTTTTTTGAAACAGGGTTTCACTCTGTCACCCAGGCTTTTATGTAACAAAAACATTAAAATCAAAGATTAAAGTAAAAATAAAATTCAAAGAATTCCAAAATTACAAATTTAAACAAAACCTTGGAATGTAAATTGAGATATTAATCTTTATATTTCTTTTTTTTTTTTTTCCGAGACAGAGTCTCACTTTGTTGCCCAAGCTGGAGTACAGCGGTACAATCTCGGCCCACTGAAACCTCCGCCCTCCGAAGTTCAAGCTATTCTGGTGCCTTAGCCTCCTGAATAGCTGGGACCACAGGCACGTGCCACCACACCCAGCTAATTTTTGTAATTTTAGTAGAGATGGGGTTTTGCCATGTTGCCCAGACTGGTCTCGAACTCCTGACCTCAAGTGATCCACCTGCCTCAGTCTCTCAAAGTGCTGGGATCACAGGTGTAAGCTACTACACCCAGCCTTATCTTTATATTTAACTTGCAATCATTATCCAAACTAAAAAAGGCTGAGACCAAAACTTTACAACAGAAAAAGATTATGTTAAAATAGTATACTTGACCAGGTATGATGCTACCTTGGTCAATATCCTGAATATACAAAAAAAAAAAAAAAAGTTTTGAGAAAAGGGCTTTTTAAAAGTATATATTGTGACTTACTTGGCTCCAAAAATACATAATACTAAAAGTTTTCAATTTAGTATACTTCACATAAATGAAAAGAGTAGCAGAAATATTAACTGGTAAAGAGTGAAGAAAGCTACAAATAAAATTTATAACAAAAATAATGTCAACAAATGATTACAAGTTGGAGTAGAATGCTCAGCAATATTATCACATAGAATTTTTCAAAGAAAATGTTAATAATTAAGTACCATTAACTTGGCCATGGTTGGTCTTGGTCCTCCTATAAATAAAGGATCGCTTTGCTCTTCTACACCTGGGACTTCACATAAGTTTGGATGCTGTTCAGTTGAGGTTGTCAACAACTTTGGTAAATGGAGAAATTGGATCCCACACTTAGAAGCTGCTGTTTTTACTCCTGGCACTTCCTGAATCCTCTGGTACCAAGAGGCTAGCAATGGAAATTCTACCAGCTTCTCAGAAAATTTCCTGCTGATAATTACCTAGGTAGGAAAATAATAAAACACATTATTATATATATTTTGTTTATAATAGCTGTGTTGAGGTAACTTTACAAACCACAACATTCACACATTTAAGTGTATAGTTCAAACAATGAGTTGTAGTAAATGTATCCAGTTATCAACCATCTAGTTTTAGAACACTTACGTCACCCCCGAAATTTCCCTTGTAACCATTTACACTCAATCTCTGCTACCACAGTCAGTTGCAGACAACCACTGATCGGCTTTCTGTGTTTACAATTTTGCCTTTTCTAGAATTTCATACAAATGGAATCATAAAATGTGGTTTTCTTCTATCACTTAGTATTATGCTTTTGAAGTTAATCCATATAGTTACATTGACCAATCGTTTGTTTCTTTTTATTATGACTAGTAGTCATTGTGTGGATATACTATATTTTGCTTACTCATTCACTGGTTGATAGATATTTGCATGTTTCCAGTTGTTGGTTATTATAAATAATGTTGCTATACATTATAATGTAGCAGTGTTTATGTGGCACTGTGTTTCATTTCTTTGAAAATCCAAGAGTCAAATTGCTAGGTTTTATGGTAACTGTATATTTAACTTTTAAAGAAATTAAAATCTTCTCCATGGTTGCCCTTCCATTTTACAATTCCCACTAGCAATCCATGGAGGTTCCAGTATCTCCTCACAACTTGTCAAACCTTGGTATTATCAGTCTGTTTGATTTTAGTCATTCTTGTGGGTATATAGTAGTGTCTCATTGTAATTTTAATTTGCATTTCCCTATGATTAATGATGTTGAGCAACTTTTCATGTGATTATTTGCCATTTGTGTATCTTCTTTAGTGATGTGTCTTATACGTTTTTATGATTCATTTCATAGCATAAAAATTGGAGCAACTCAGCAACGAGAAAATGAACAACACAATTAAAATGAGCAAAAGATCTGAGTAGACAACCAAAAAAGATACACAGATGGCAACTAAGTATATAAAAAAAATGCTCAGCATCATATATCATTAGAGAATTACAAGTTAAAACAAGGAAATGCCACCTATCAGAATGGCAAAAACCCAAAACACTGACAACTCCAAATGATGGTGCGCATGTGGAACAACAGGAACTCTCATTTACTGCTGGTGGGAATGAAAAATAGTACAGCCACTTTGAAAGACAGTTTGGTAGTTCCTTACAAAGGTAAATATACTCTTACCATACAATCCAGTAATTGTGCTTCAAATGAGTTGAACATTTATGTCCACACAAAAACCTGAACACAGATAGATGTTAATAGCATCTTTATTCATAATTGCCAAAACTTGGAATTAACCAAGATGCCCTTCAGTAGATGAATGGATAAACTGTGGTACAGCTATACAATGGAAAACAACCATCAATAGAAAAAGAAGAATACAATAATTCCAAAAAGAATCAATATAAATAACAATGGCATTTGCAAATGTCTATAAACAGTACAACTGAAAATCATTTTGGAAAACTTTACATCTTATATTCAATTGTCTACATCTTTCATTGGTAGTATGTTTTTACCCCTCTCTAAGAACTCCTCTATAATCAACTGCATTCCAATCTGGAAACCCTTTCATCTATAATTCATGGCCATGAACACATTCCTCTGTTCCTGACCCTCTATATACTTGATAAGTTCTTAACACACTGCATATAGAGAGTTAATTGGACAACATTATATCAAAAACCTAAAATCCTTAATATATACTTATGCAAATTAGTTTAACTGTTTAATGGGGAAAGAATTAAAATAAGTATTAAATTCCTCAACACAAATAATGTAACACGTTTAAATTATCACAATTTAATATCTGTAGTCTGCAATCATTGATGTATTTTGAGGGGTCTCATAGAAATTTTGTAGCTCACTGCAGAAGTGTAAAAATGGAGAGCTTGTACTATTAATAATGATCTAAAGTTCCATTTTTTTGTGTTTGTGAAACTACCTTCTCTGTATGTGTGAACTATTAGGCATAATCTAAATGATATTCCTTACCAATAATGTAAGAAGCATCTTTCAGAACCATATTTTTAAAAATTACACAATGAGGTAAGGAGAACATTTTACTAAAGAAAATAGTAAAAAGATAAAAGAGAAAATTGTAAATATTTAAAACTAAAAAAGATAACTAGCACTATAGAATTTTTTTTTTATAAAGCAGCACTTAAAGTAAGACTTTTATTTTTTCAAATTAGAAAAATTTTAAATTGTTCTTCCTGATACAAACTCATATATTTTTGTTTTCTCTTGGTCAGATGCTTTCTCCCTAGCACTACCACCAAATTCTATTTTCTTGAAAATTTAGAGTGTTCTTGCTTCTTTGAGAGGCAACAAATGTTTCCGTAGAAACCATTATGATGTCTCAAACACATTATGACTTATGATTATGAACAGATTATGAACAGATTATGACCTTTAAATAAAAAGGTCAAGTCACAGGAAATCTCTACAGATATATTTCACAATAATATCAGAGCATGAGACAGAAAGGACAGAAAATAAAAAATTCATACATATATATTATACTGTATTTTAAGTGGACTTTAAGATTAAATGAGCACAAGTAATTGATTATAAGAACAAGGACTGTAACTCTCTTTGAATACTGAAGCACTTAAAACACTGCCTTGCAAATAATACCCTGTTGAGTGAATGAACAAATGATAAAGAATCCATTTGTTACCTTCAGAGAGTAATCCCCTCAGTCAGTATTTTTCAAGTTGCTATTTATCACTCATTTAGGGGTTGTGAAATCAACATAGTAGGTTTTTAAAAAATGAAATAGAAAATATCAGAGTACACATCCTATAAGTTATTTTGTAATTATTTATATATTTTTTTACATATTATTTAAAGATATACATTTATTTCTATAATTATCCAACTTGTAAAATGTATTACAGTTGTCCCTCAGTATCCATGGAGGATTGGTTCCAAGACCTGTATCAGAAACCCAAATCCACAGATACTCATACTCATGTCCTTGATATAAAATGGTATAGTATTTGCATATAACCTATACACATCCTCTCCTATACTTTAAATCCTAGATTACTTCTAATACCTAATACAATATAAACACTGTGCAAATAATTGTTATTCTGTATTGTTTAGGGGATCACGACAAGAAAAAAGTCAGTACATGTTCAGTACAGATGCAATTTTTTTTCCAAATATTTTAAATCTGCGGTTGGTTGAATACATGAATACAGAACCAATGGATATGGAAGGCCATCTGTATTTACTGAGTTAAAGTAAAAAAAAAGTTTGAAAAATACTCTCTAAGGTACCCTGAGAGCCAAAAAGTTTATTAATTCTCTCAAGAATTGTGAATTGCTTGGAAATAGATTAGGTGCTAAGGGAATGGATCTTTAGACATGATAATCACACAAGAAATTTTCTCTTTTCCTCATCTTTCCTGTACTCTTCGTTCTAGTGACTTATTTTTATTTGTTAGATGTACGTGGCATCTTTCCTTTCTTTTGAAATGAAGTTGCAATTAAATAACAATAATTCATGTTTACAAGAAATTGAGGAGGTTTACTCTGACAGGTCACTCCATTTATCAACATGCCAGGCCACTCTACTAATATCCAGATAGCTCAGAAGGTACTGAACCACATTCATTACACTCATGAAGATATATTTAAGGAAGTTGCTAATGAAAACTCTGTGAAATGAAAATTAAATTTCTTCATAAGGAATGATTACCAAATAGTTACCTGGCTCATAAGATCAAAACCATTATAAATATCACAGAGTTCTTTAAGGACAAGAAAAAAAAAAGATGATCTATTTTTAAAACAAAGGTTTAAAAAAAAAGCATAGCTATCAAAGCAAAAATAAAATTTTAGTAACTCTGTAGTTAATTGTCAATAAAGGGCAGAAAAATTTGTCAGAATAAAAAGAGAAGCAAGATGTTGCATCTATTCAAAATATCTCCTCCTTTGCATTCCTTTACAATCACTTACTATATAAAATATTTGTTCTTATTTTATATCATTTCCTTAGTCATACTTCCTTTTTTGAAAATATACTCACAGATGTTTAGGTGAGCAGTGTAAGCAGAGAAAAAACAGTAAACAACCTATCTAAATGAAAATATAATCCCAGCTCTCTGTTTTTTACTTATAAATTAGAACTAGTGAGTTAAAGCTAAAAGCTCTTGAGGACCTAATGAATAGGAATAGACACAGAAAATACAAATTTACCACTAAATAAGTGGCATCAACCATTTTTGCAATATGCCAGCAAAAAGTGAGGTTCCCAACTTTATGCCGATGGGAACACAGGAAGAGGTATTTAGTTTTGCTAAAAAATCAATTTCTAAAAGAGGAATGATTTTACCTAAGCTAATAAAGATGTCTGTGTGTGTGTGTGTATGTGTGTATTTAAACTCAATTCAAAGCATTAGAAGTTAAAATGTAGAAAATTAAATCATAAGTGGTCAAATTACAAGATTTTATAAAATGATAAAATGCAACTTTCTGTCTTATAGGCGTACAATAATGTTTTAAATATTTCTGTCAAAGTGTACTTGCTTACTAGTAGCAACTGAAAAATAATATACAATCTTCTAGTATTGGAACAGTAGGATTTTGCCCTAGTATAGCTATTCATTGCTATTTCTCCCATAATGTTGATACGCTATCTACTAGAAAATTCTAGCAAATAAATTGAATGGGGGGAAACATGAGTGTACATATTAATTTATTCCTTTTAAATCTATTTCTAAGACTTTTCAGAGGAGAGGGTATCGTCAGGCCCCTTTCCTTATGAGGTGCTGAGCCATCAGGGGTTAACTTTGTAAAGTAATAAAGTATTTTCTGAAAAGGAAGAGCTTGCAGCAGGTTTATATATAATACCTTAGCATTTCCATGTTTGTCTCTGACAAATTAAAAAAAAACAAAAAAAACACCTCATCGATTCTACTTGTTATTGTTTTCCATCTTTGGTTTTATTCTGTTTAGCAGAACTGGGTATTTTCCCTAGTTCTTCTAATTTTGACCCTTAGTAATTCAAACCTTGATTTAGCAAAATTGACTCTTACTTTTATGTCCTTGACTTTATTCCTGCGACTAAATATTCTGTCCCTAGATTCAGTTTTATGTTTCTGGTAACTTGACCTTGATTACGGATGTTGAACTTGATCCTGATTCTGATCATTTGGATGGCCACTCCATTCACCTCAATGTATGTTAATGCAAGCAAAAAGGCTTGCCAACATAACCACTATATGAATTAAAATGACTACTTTATTACCCAAGATGATTTAAAGAGAAAAATATAACAAATATCAAGGGTTTATCAAAGAAGGATGAATTCTGGAAAACATGAGGTGGGCGGATCACAAGGTCAGGAGTTCGAAAGCAGCCTGGCCAACATGGTGAAACCCCATCTCTACTTAAAAAATACAAAAATTAGCCAGGCATGGTGGCGTGCACCTATAATCCCAGCTACTTGGGAGGCTGAGGCAGGAGAATTGCTTCAACCCAGGAAGCGGAGGTTGCAGTGAGCTGCGATTACACCACTGCACACAGCCTAGGTGACAGAGCGAGACTCCATCTCAAAAAAAAAAGAAAAAAAAATCCAGTAAAAATACAAAGGAACGAAGGAAAATATTTTGAGAATTAGTTTATGTATTCAAATAATTTTAATAAATTTCTTCAATAAAGGAATGGATATGCCACTTTCATTCAATTCTGGTGAAACTGGAAACACAGTTATCCAAAGAAGTCAAGAAGACAGAAGACCAAGTACTTCATAATGTATCAAATGACTGCTCTAATGACGGAACTTGGTAATAGAAGAGAGGGATCATGGAGAAGAGAACCTAGGAATCATCTGACTAGGAAAAAATTTAAAAATCAATGTCTTCTTCCCACTCAACTCCATGGACTCTGTGAAGACATATGACATCTGGCATTTAAAATAGCAATCAACATCTAAACAATTCCTGGATCTCTCTCTTTTTATATTGTTTTGGTTGCCAAATTTGGTTCAATTTTGAGGAAAAGAGAAATGTTCTTTAAGAAAATGACAATTGATGAATACTGCCGAGTTTACTTGTGAAGCAAAGCCTTCAAATACATAGATTTTCGATAGCAGTCTCTTCTGTCCATAGAGATACCTGAATTGTTGGTGATATATAATGAGAATGAAATCTAATATCTGATTCCTTAGTAGGGAAAAGGGGGAAATGCTTCCAAGAAAAAAACCCAAACAAAAGCAAAAAGCAATGCAGCTCTTGAAAACCAATTGGAAGGCTGCAGAGAGCTAAGCTTCCTATGTTCACTCTGGTATTATTTTCACCCTGTTCTTTTTTCCTCCACAGAGGGAATGTGTGTGTGCACACGTGTGTGCGTGTGTGAGTGTGTGTATGTAAGACAGACAGAGAGAGAGAGAGAGAGATCTTCCTACTCAGAAAACGTTCTATCTATTCTCCCCCAGCACATAATAACAGAGCCAGCTACTTTACTCTCAGAGAGAACAGAGAAAAGCACACAGGTCAGAATAAAATATTTTCAGTTTGATAATACCTAACATAAGATTAATTTAAGTGACTAACAATTCATTATAAAATTTAGCTGACAAGATTTTTAGTTTTTTTTTTTTTAACTGCACCCTCTAATAGTAGACGTCCAACGGAGTATCCATTGCACCACAGAGCCGACTTGGACCTTCTACTATTAGAAAGTAATCACAACAGAAACTTGAAATTAATAATAACAATTGTTAACATTTTAGCAACTTCACATTAAAAGTCATAGTAATTACTAACTTTGATTGAGAGCTTACTATGTGCCAAGCACTGTTCTCCATACTTCACACAAACTTTAATTTGTTCCTTACATTTTTCCTTTTAGATAGGTACTATTATTATCACCATTTTACAGATAAGAAAATGGAGAAAGATATTAATAACTTTCCTAGCAGCATATTGACAATAAAAAGTAAAACAGAAATTCAAACCTAGGCAATTTCATAGACTGAAACTCATAGTAATGTGTACAGTCCAGATGAAACCTTACCAAGAAATGATGGATACAGGGCAAGAGCACAATATCTGCCAGAGTGAAGTAAAGCCCTTCTGCAAACACATGCTCCAGAGGTGGAAGGTCGGAGGCTTTTGCTTTTCTGATGTGAGAAGGCTCTCTGTTGGTAGTAGCTGGTTCTTCCTGTACTGTGAGCTTTGAGAATGCCACTTTCAGTTCCAGACTCTTGGATGAAGAATCCAACCCTTCAGATGTTTCCTGTGTGTGGACCTTGCTCTTTGCCTTTCCCTTAGTAAGGGGAGGCCCAACTCCATCAGCCTTCTGTTGCTTGAGCTTCTGCCTGCGGAGTTTATCATCATTATGCACTCTAACAGGCTCACTAAGCTTTTTCTCTAGCTGTAGTATTTCTACAGGTATAGTTGGGGGCTGGTCAGAAGATTCTCTGAGAAAATTCTCAATAGCCAAAGGGATGGTGAGTTCACATAGCCTGGTCCACTGACTAACCTACAAAACAAAAACAAAACAAGAAATGAAAAGATTTTTTAATTTCAATATAACTTTAGAAAAAATAACTGTCTTATTGGGAAATAAGTTTTGAGCTCAATCATCCCTGGGCTAGGCTTTTATGTTGTATCAGGAGACACATCACAGTGCTTCAGAAGTAAAAACATTAAGCAAAAGAAGTTTAGCATTCCTGTATTCCCCTTACTAAATAAATCATTACTTCCCAAAGCCTTTACAATATACCTCCCCTGTCCTACCCTCCTCCTAGCCCCCACAATAAGCAGGGCTTCCAAAGCATTGCTATTTGAGCTCCTATTTATATGTAAACATTCCATTTAAAAATCAACATAACTAAAATAAAGAAAAAAGAGTTATTTTCTAAAAATGTCTCCAAACTTTATAAATTAAGACTTAAATTCTTATTTTTCAATACTGCACTGAAATATTGACACACGTAAAGGGTATATTAGCCCATTTGCATTGCTGTAAAGGAATAGGTGAGGCTGAGTAATTTATAAAGGAAAGAGGTTTATTTGGCTCATGGTTCTGCAGGCTATATAAGAAGCATCTGCTTCTGATCAGGACCTCAGGAAGCTTTTAGTCATGGTAGAAGGCAAAGGGAGTGCAGGCATGTCACATGGGGAGAGAGGGTGCAAGAGAGAGCAAGGAAGAGGTACCAGGCGCTTTTCAACAGCTAGATCTCTCATGAACTAATAGAGCAAGAACTCACTCATTACCCCAGTGAGAGCACCAAGCCATTTACGAGGCATCTGCCCCCACGACCCAAACACCTCCTACCAGGTCCCACCTCCAACAACATTGGGGATCACATTTCAACATGAAATTTGGAGGGGATAAATATTCAAACTATATCAAAGGGCTACTTTATTTCATTGGTTACTGGGGTTTTTTAAAATAAATAAACTTTTATTCCTAATAGGAAGTTAAAATATTAAATGGTCAGGTAATTATGTTATCACTGTGTAGCTTCAAATAACAGAAAAAAGACATTATACTTACTTCAGCACAGGCTTTCAAGCAAGTCTTTTTAAAGCCCAGAAGTTCCAAAAGTTCCTTCTTTAAGGGGTCTGCTTCATAGGATTTCTGGATTATGTGTCTCAATACAACAGCAAGTCCTGCTCTACAAAAATTGTCTGATCGTTCTACTACTGCAGGCAAACAGCAATTTTGGACTATTGGTGGGAGCTCCTGCCTTGAAATAATCTGTATTTCAACATCCTGGATCAGGTCATCTCTTAGTAGTGAACTATCTCTACTCACCTCTTTGGTGACAACTAAGCAAATTTTAAAGATTTTACAGTCACAGTAAGATAACAGAAATAAAGTTACAGATGTATGAAGAGGAAAGATGCATCCTTCTGTTTGGTGAGAAAAGTCCAGGTACAGGTATTCTTCTTCTGTAAGACTTTTCTTTATGGCTTTCATTTTCTTCTTTCATTGGGTCACCTAAAGTATAAATTGAAGTGATTATGGTCTTAGAATATAATCATTTAGAAGCTAAAATAAAAGATGAATGTTTCAAAAGCCTGTTCTAGAAATCAGTAAAAATTTGCAGTAGATAATAATGCTATAAGGTTTGTTTCTGAAGACTGACTAAATGACTTCCAAAAGAAAAAAATTCCACCCTGTGCAATTAACTAGCATTAGAGGAAATATTACACCCAGCTCCTTTAAAATGAGCAAACCCCAGTGCTTTGCAATAGAGCCCTCCCAATCAAGTATTTTGGGGTCTCACTATATGTGAGAACAGGAGATAAATAGAAGGGGAAATAAATTAACCAAAAATACTGAGAGCTGTCTGGGGATAATATCCTTGAGAAGTTTTGACAGTGCTGGTCCTTCCATACTGCTTCTTTTTTACGACCCTACAAAATAATAGGGAGGGGATATTCGTTCTTTCAGGAGAAGTGGATTCTCCTCAAGTAAGTGATAGCTGCTGAGTGCTGAATCATAATATAAAAATATTTAAATTTCCCCATAACATGGATACTGATAGCTATCTTAAAGTTAACCTGTCCAAAATCCAGTTCCTTATTCTCTCCCACCCCTCAAACCTGCTCCTTATGTGTCTTCCCATCTCAGGTTACACCATTCTTTTCCTTCACACCCCCATAACCAAACCCTCCAAGGTCTTCCCACCCTCCTTAGAGAAAAGCCAAAGTTTCTGCAACAGCCTACAAAAATCTCCTTGATCTAATCCTCCTTTATGTCTCAGAGTTTGTCTCATTAACTTTCTTCATTGCTCACTGCTCCAGCCAAAGTAGATTGTTATTCCTCTAAAACAGCCATCTCCAACATTCTTGGCACCACGGACCAGTTTCATGAAAGACAGTTTTTCCATGGGAGGTTGGTGGGGGGATGGGGATGGTTTCCAGATGAAACTGTTTCACCTCAGATCATCAGGCATTAGATTCTCATAAGGAGAGTGCAACCTAGATCCCTCCTGCGTGCAGTTAAGAGGGTTGGAGCTCCTATGAGAATCTGATGCCGCTGCTGATCTGACAGGAGGCGCCATTCAGGCAGTAATGCTGGCTCACCTGCCACTCACCTCCCACTTTGAGGTGGGGTTCCTAACAGGCCACAGATGGATACTAGTCCTGGGCCCAGGGGTTGGGGACCCTTGCTAAAACACTAGGTACATTCTCACATCAGGGCCTTTGCATTTGGTGTTTCCAGTACCTAGAACACTTCCTCACTTCCTTCAGGTATTTATTTATTCAATGGCAACTTCTTACTGAGATCCTCCCTGACTACTCAATTTAAATCACAAACCCCAATCCCCACGCTCCCTGAAAAAAACCTTTCTATTTCCATCTATGTTTTTTCTTCCTAGCGCTTATTGCTATGGTGATATACTATATGTTATTATTTGTCTCCTCTAACTAGAATGTTCCATGAGTAAAAATTTTTTGTTCACTGCTTTATAGGTTTATTATATATATAAGCAAGCAGTATTTGACAAATGAAAGCAGAGATAAATATACATACTGGTTAAAGGTGCAAACACACACAGTCTTGAGGTCAGATTCTTCATGGCTATTTTCAAGTCATATTCCTTAAGGTTTTTATCAATTGTCCTGTCTTTTTATGTTTATACATTTCCCGGGTCAAAAATTCCTAATGTTCTAATACATAAATTACAATTCCAAAACTGACACTAGATGGCACTCTTTAAAAGTATTCACCATGGAAATACGTACCAGAAACATGACATATTAGAAGGAAAATTACTTTAAAAGCTGTTAAAAAGTACACATGCACCTCTTGTCTTTTAAGTGTATTCAAAATGTTAGTGTACACTTAATTTTAGAAAACCTTCATCATACTAAATTTTCTTTAATATTTTAAATCCCTTTTTTAAAAAAATCTGAAACAAGACCTAAACACTTTAAGCTTCTTAGTTCTTCATTTTTTAAAACTAAGGAACTTGTAATCCATTATAAAAAATAAATATAGTCAGTAAAGTATTATCTAAGTTTCTTAATAATACAAATAATCACTACTGCTTTATTTTATATTTCTTCTATTAAAATATAACAGATATATACCATGATTTGTTACTTCTTAAAAGATTATCTGGGGGAAAATTATTTTATATACTGTAAAAGCAACAACTTTTTAACTTACAGATGCCATTTTCTCCCTGAGCTTATTTTTTAAAAATTTTTGTCACTGAGAGATAATTTTAAAACAAAAAGGTATTTATTAAAGATCAAAGTTCAAAGAGTTTTTTTATAAAGCTGAATAGAGCTCTGGAAATATTTTCATTATTAATATAACACCTTTATGCTATAAGTCCTTAAAAACAGTCAAACAAAGTGAGATCTGTAACAACACTAGGGCAAAAAGGACCAACCACACTTTCCAGGAATTAACAGTCTTTTTGAGGAGTTTGCTCTGGACTCACTCTCCTGACAGTAGGAGAGTAAAAAGAAGACTCACCCCTAAGTGTTTCAAGAAAGCAGTTTTGAAAGAAAACATGACTGATTTCATCATTTGCCCAACAGTCTAAAAAATAGTAATTACGAGGCTCATCCTAACACTTTTTAAAAAACTGGAAACAAAGCCATGCTATTTAATAGCTTTTAAGATATGTAGAAATATTCTTTTAAAAAGTATGCCTATATTTGCCACGTTGTAAGGCACATAAGAATATGAAAATAGGATTTTAGACATATTCTATAAACTCTTCTCACTGTTAGCACTTAATAAAATGCTAAATGTCAGCAAAACAGAATAGCAATAACCTGCCCATGGTGATATCTAAAAATTAATGAGATGCCTGAGAGAAAATGCAACAAAGTACTGTTGATTCTTAACGTATTTTTTTTAATATAGATGTTGGTTTTCCCCCTGGGAGATTAAAAATGTTACTTAATGATCTTAGAATAAAAAAAAAAATTACTCTCCTTGAATAATGTCTCCCTATTATGTACTAATATAATTTTTAAAATAAATATTAAATATTTGTAAACCTGTACAAATGTGATGTTTTTGGCTTGCACTGTGCCTTTTTAGAGAGTAGAACCAGTATTTGCTCCAAGTATGCAAATATCACAGGCAAAAAAAAAAAAATCCTTCCTCTTTTTTCTTTTCTAGCTTCAGAATGCCTTAGTTCGCTAATTTTCTGTCACGAGCTTTAAGAAGGTAGGTACTATAGAATCAACTTCTGTCTCCAGGGCTTCTGCGGCACAGCTCTTGTTACTCCATATTACATTCCTGCCAAGCACAGAAATAGAGTAATTTACTCTTTCTCAGCTTTGACAGGTGCCACTCTGCAGAGAGGGAGTGAGAAAGTAGCAGACAAAACCACAAACTTCAGGATATTAAATAGAGTGTGCATCTCTTTCCTGGACGTGCCAATTTGCTTGGGAATCTTGCCGAATGAATAAATGGGTAAAAAGAAAAGATTATGTCTTTGATTTCATTACTCAGGAATGTTCTAATATATTTTTAAATGGTGGAATTAGTCATAGGTTTAATATTTAGGCATTCAGATCTGGTTTTTTTTTTTCACTTTCATTCTAATGAATATATCTTAGCCTTGATAAAACACAGAGAATGAGAGATAAACAGTAAACATATTAAAAACAAGCATACTTCTCCACAGTCCAGAAAAAATAAAGCTTGAAAATTTTGTGATCAAAATTCAAGTCAAGATCTATGGCATTATGTATACATAACATTATATATTAGATAAATTATATATTATATAATGAAGACCAAAAAGTGCATAACTGCTGCAAATGATTAACCTGTGTTTTGTTTTTTGTTTTTTCAAATAAGTTATCTTTGTGACTACAATTTGATAGGAGCTCAACAAATGTTAGGTAAATAAAGTTTTAAATATTACATACATTTTATTGTCCACCTACTATGTGCTAAGCACACAGAACATGTGCATTACTTCTAATGCTCACAATCCTTAAAAGTATTTTATTTCCATTATAGAGATGAGAATTGTACATCAGTCCAAAAGTATTAATTAAATTCATAAAAGATCTTATTTAGAGACATTTAAGAATAGGTATTGTTCTAATATAACAGTACTATTTATAAATAAAATTTCATAAATTGAAGCAATTTTACCAAAGTGAAAATTGTCAGATATTATGTTATTCTAAGCAAGTATGCTGGTTTCAGTAATCCTTGATATAAACTTCCATTCCAAAGGCTGGGTTATTTGACAAGTTTCTGCACTGGATTAAATTCTTTGGCAATTCTTTCCTGATTCCTTTCATTGGCTACTCTGCAGATGTCTCAGTGACCCACAGCTCAGTGTTTTGCTCTCTGCTCAATCCACACTCCATCCTTCGAATACTGGCTTTCAAACTTTTGAGCATGCCACACAATTAGGTATATATTTTATAATGTAACACACAATACACTGAATAAAATAGAAACAAAAATGTCATGAAGCAATACTTATCCTACAATATGGGATAAATCTGATATTTTTTACTCTGTGCTTGTTTTTTTAAATGCTGGTTGTTACTCATTACATTGATTTCCTGACTCATTAATGGGGCACAACTCACAATATGACAGCACTGTTCTGGGTGATCTCCAGTGCCATAGCTTTAAATATGATCTGACTCTTACATGTATATCCCAGCCGTATCTTCTCCTCTAACTCCAGACTACTATATTCTACTTGACATCTCCATGTGGATGTTTTTCTAAACCTGCTCCCCTTCCCTTCGTGTTCTACTTCCTGGTAAAATGGCAACACCAATTACCCAGATGCTTAGGCCAAAAACTCAAAAGTCCCACTCAACTTCTTTTTTTCTCTCTCTCATACCCTGCCATCTCTACCTTTGAAGTATATGCTAAATCCAACTCCTCAGCACCTCTACCACTACCACCTTAATCTAAGTCATCGCCAGTGCTTACAAGGACTACTGCAAAAGCCTATTAACTATTTTCCTCCACTTTCCATAAAACAGTCCATTCTCCAACAACAGGGTGATCCTTAAAAACATAAATCAGATGTCTCGTGCTCAAAACCATCCAATGGCTCTTCAGCACACTCAAAATAAAATCCAAATTTCCTATTATGGCCTATAGGCCTACTGTGACCCTAGCTATCCCTTTCTGACCTCATCTCTTATCCTTCTTCACTCCCTTCCAGCCATAGCTGTCCTTGCTGTTTTTGGAAGGTGCCACTTGAGAATATTTGTACTTGCTATTGCTTTGCCTAGAATGCTTTTCTCCAAGAGATTCACAGGGCTTGCTCCCTCATTTCATTGATTTTTCTGCATAAATATTAACTCAGAACAGCCTCTCCTGACTGCCTGAATTGAAAAAGCACACCCTAGCCTCTTACCTAGCTTCCCTTTTTCTTCATAGCTCTTATCACCTAACACTATAACATCTCCAGTGCTTAATGAACTGAAACTTTAGTTCAAGGAATGAATGTACATATATGAATGTCAGAAATCACTGTCTGAGAGTATTATTAATAACTTTAGTCTTGGTACAATGTGTATCTCATTCTTCATGACACCATTCTTTCTTTTCCAAATTAATAACTCTATTTTAAGGACCAACTAAGTATAAATTAAAATGAAGAAATAAGATCACCTTTGTGAGGTGAATCGGGAAAAGTATAAATGGAATCTAACCAAACTCATAAATAAAGCAAGCACAGAAGTTTTTATGTATACTTATATCCAGGGCAAAGGAACTAAGAATCTTAACTAGATTCCATACATGTGCCTAGCAAGAATATTTATAAAACAAGAATTATAAAGTAATAGATTAGAGCCGAGACTGTTGAGCCAGACCACCTGGGTGCAAATATACTGGTTCTGATTCTTAGTAGCTATAAAAAACTTTTCTGCATATCTGTTTCCTCACTTATATAATAAAATGGAGACAATAATAACTGTACCTACCATGTAGTGTGCCATACAGAAAAAAGCTTGTCACATATTAAGTCCTTAAATAAATACTAGCTACTATTATTTCTTTATAATTTATAACCAAATTCCTTATCAACTGGCACTATTAAAATATGCAAACCTTGATGGGCAAAACCCAAATTATGGTTTATATTTTCAAGCTTCTTTCCATGAAAGGTAAAGGATTTATATTGATTGAAAAGTTTTTCCCAACCAAATACTGAAAAAAAACATATTTGTTACTGAGGCTGAAAGCCAGGGAATCATGAAATGGTAAAATATAAACGTGAAACCCTTAATCCATGTGCATATCAACCTATTGTACAAAATAAGAAGTTCAACACAGTTTATAAGTATGAAAAATCACAAACACTTACTTTTCTTAAAGATTAAAATTTAAACCTGCCTAAATTCTCTCCTACATCATATGTTCAACATTTTGAATTTTATAACTTATCTTGTGTTTTATGCTTTTCATAAAACAACAGTATTTGGCTGAAAATTGTACCCTATTTTATTACAATAATATAGATTTAACCAAAACAAAACAAAACAAAAAAACATGCCCCTCAACAGATAGATAGCAGCCAATTACCTTAAATATTTAGGGTCAAAAACGATAAGAAAAACACTGAGATTTTTTCAAGCTCATTAAATACGTAATATGGGATGCAGTTAAGTCCTAGAGAACAAAAGCCAGTGATTAAAATTAGCTGTTTTCTTATCTGGTAAAGAAGTAGGAAAAGTTTTTAAGTGAAAAGCTTACAGTAACCTTAGCCACAAACGAAGTGTGTAATCTCTCTGGAGAATCAGGGAATCATCTGTTGCCATGGAGTCATAATGCCTTCAGCTAAACCCGACCTCATAATTAACAGTGATCGACAGCGCAAATGGCTAACATGTTACCAAGTATGAAATAAAATTACTGAATTTTCACAGCAAACAATACCTGTGCTTGTTTTAATCTAAATGGTTTCAATATCTGCATTCCAAGTATTTATTCTTTGTTAGAAAAGCTAATTGGATACTCAGTATTTATTTTTATTTAAAAATCACAGATGATGAAACAAAAGCTACAAGTAAAACAAGTTTAAAAAAACAAAAACAGGCCGGGCGCGGTGGCTCACGCCTGTAATCCCACCACTTTGGGAAGCCGAGGCGGGCGGATCATTTGAGGTCAGGAGTTTGAGACCAGCCTGGCCAACATGGTGAAACCCCTCCTCGACTGAAAAAAAAAAAAAAAAAAAAGGAGCCGAGTGTGATTGTGGGCGCCTGTAATCCCAACTACTCGGGAGGCTGAGGCAGGAGAATTGCTTGAGCCCGGGAGGCGGATGTTGCCATTGCAATCCATCCCCAGGCGACAGAGCAGGACTCCAGCTCAAAAAAAAAAAAAAAAAAAAAAATTGATGGGCCCACTACTACAGAAGCTCAAGTTTGAGCTGTGTTTAAATTAAAGCAAAAACACGTAGAAGTGCAAAGTATATAAAATAAAAAGAAATGATGATTCTCAAATCTCATTGACCTTTTCAGTCTTATTTTTGAAGTGAGACCTCACAAAACGATACTTTCAGGTGTAATACAAACACAATTTTTAGTAATGAGTGTGCTTAAAGCAATCCTCTCAGTGGTGTATGCTCCCCATCAGGCAGTTAAAAAAAAAGAAAAAAAAACCCGCATAGCTTAATGTTTATTAAATATGACAGCGAATCACTTAGTTGTGTTATAACAGTTTATTATCATGGATTTAAATGACTATGTTTACATGTTTAAAATTATCACATCACTAGTTCTTGCTAGCTTTTGCATTTTCTCCTGTAAACATTGTTTTTACAGATAAGCTTAGGTAAAATAGAAATACACCACCTTCTTTATCAATAATGTAGCACACAATATATTACTAAAGCTGGCATTTTCTTGATATTCAAGAATTTATGACAAGGAATGGGATCCTGGCATTAAGAATAAAGGGGAAAAAAACAAGTCATCTCATCCCAAAACCAGGTAGAAAGTTGGGATGGGAAGTACGTGTATTAGCAAACGTTTTTGAAACCAAAGCAACTTTCATGCAAATTAAACTTTCTATAGAAGTTAAAAACCCAAGAGATACTGCTGTGATGACAAAACATAAGCAAATGGCCCCAAATGAAGCAAGTCCTTTGGAGTAAATGTTAAGTAGTATTCACATAGAACTGCTTTCTGCAATCAGGAAGGGCTGGAATGGAAAACTCAATGCCAAAGAGAGAAGAGAAGTTAGTGTGACCCAAGAGGTCTTGAAGTAACACTTAACAGCAAATATCAAACCACCCCAACCAACGCCTCCAACTGGAAGCTGCCCCATTTCTCCATCAGCAGAGGAAGACATGAGGGACTGGCTAGGGGGAAACTGGGAAACGCGTACTACCGAGAAGCCCAGAGCCCTCAACCCGCACCTTCAGCAGGAGTGGCCAAAAAGGAGTTTGAGGCGGCCCCAGGGCGGGAGAAAAATCAGGACGATGATACCACGCCCTTGTCCTTCCCACCCTTCCCCCGCATCCTCAGCCCTGCAGACCCCCGAAGAAAAGACCAGTTCTTAGGGGGTCGCGGAGGCTGAGAAGCCGGCGGCCCGAGCGCCCTCTTTACCTGGTCGCAGAGGCGCGGCCAGGCAGGGAGGGTGCGTGAGCGTGTCGGCGACCTGGGCCGCCTGCGCCTTCCCGCCCAGTCCGAGCTGGAATTCCAAGGCTGCCTCTGGGAGCTGCTGCCCGCAGACCACTCGCCTCCACAGACGCCAGGAGAAAAACGACAGCCACCTTATGTGGAAAATACTCGCGCCGGCCGTCATTCATAATCCGGCGGACCGGAAAAAGGGAAGTAACGTCACTTCCTACTGTCGCACTGCCAAACGTTTCCCCCGCCCCTACTGTGGGAACCTTTGTTTTCCTGCTTTCGGAGCCGGCCAGTGCGGGAACCGTTTCCGAAGGGACCACCGGGAACAGACGGATCGGCAGGGCGGGGCGGAACGGTGAGTTATGCTGAGCGACTCTGCTCCTGGCCTCCTGGAGGCTCGAGACCCCCGCGCCAGGAGCGAGGTGGGAGAGTAGCTACGTGGGGTATTAGTTTCCTCGCTCCTCAAGGGGAATCATAATTTACGGGCGGTTGCGTGCCCTAGACTGACTGCTCTCCCCTTTCAGTGAGGACTGTGCTTCCTCCGAGGGAGTTGCGGGCCGGGACATGCGGACCGAGCATATTTCTAGGTCTAGGGACAAGGGACTTGGAATCCTGCCTCGGACTTTGTCGGAGGGTTTTAGTGACTTCTCTACGTAGCTCCCTCATTGTCTCTCATCTTTTGGCTCCCCTGTCAAGGACCATCCCCCATTCTAGGACTTCGATGTGTGATGCTTTGATCAAAGGATTGACATTCCTTTTCTAAGTGTTTGCTGTCAGCTTTCAGCCACTTGATTGGTTTGGAATCGGAGCCTTTTCTCCTGCGATTCCAGGTGTCCCTAAGGTATCAGTGTTATCCAGAACCAAGAACTCAGTGGAGGAATGAAAAAGGCAGCATCTTTAAAATAATGTTTATTGGAAGGGGTTGCAAGAGCTTGCGAAGTCATGAAGAACAAAGTTTTTTAGAGCCATTATGAAATGGCAACGATAATACTGCACTCTATGTGAACAGTTTCTGTTTCCTTCATCTGGGGCACGTGCATATGATCAACTTTGGACTTCTTTTGAGATTGCCAGGTAGGGTGAAAAATGGATCTAGGAGAAAGCACATACTTATATTTATATATGAATGCCCAATTTAGACTGGAGAGATCACAGAAGCCTTATAAGGTGACATTTACGCAAAAAACCTAGTTCGTTCATTCGATAAATATTTTTGAGCCCTTATTAAGTTTCAAGCACTAGGGAAATAACAGTGAACAAAACAAGTTCCTGCTGTCATCAAGTTTACAGACCAGTGGGATTAATGAATTAAGCAAGACAGGCGAAAGATTGTGAGAATTTTACAGATAGGAACATTGTACTACAAGTCCCCAGTCGTGAAAGAGGTGATTGCTTTGCTTTTGCTTTTTTGATGTTTGGAGTTTTTTTTGTGGGGGCAGGGGTGAGTTACTTTTGTGATTTTTGCTGAAGGGACCTTGGAAATGGCTACAATTGTGTAGAAGGAGAGATAAGACCACTATACTTTGATCACTTAATTCCAGTAATTCTATAGCCATTATTTTGTTGTACTTTGCAAAGTGGCAAAGAGATAGGCAAAAAGATAAATATAGACTCTGCCCTTAAAGTACTCAGAGTTTTGTAGGGGACATAACACTTGTGCCAAAAAAAAAAAAAAATGCTTCAAGGGAGAAAGTTGCAATACCATGAAAAAGCACTATGAGATATCCTTGAATGGAGAGACTATTAATAGGGTTTGGAATGGAGAGGGGCACAGCAGCTGTCAGTCAAATCTTCATGAGAAGTATTTGAATAGGGTCTTGATAGGATGTAGATATATAAAAATAGGTAAAGAGCTTCCTGGACAAAAAAAATAAGAGTGGCAGGGTCAGCTAGCTATAAGGCAGATCTGGGGATGATGAATGATAATTTTTGTGCCAGTTACTGAATCTTCTTAAATGCTAGGCCAAGAAATTTGGTCTTTATTTCGAAGGTGGTAGAAAGCCCTAACTTCTCAGCAAGAATTTTTTTTTTTATTTTAATGAAAAAGAAGAAAACTGGGTTTCAGGAAAATTCATATGGCAACAATGTTGAAGTCAAGGAAAATAACGAGGTTATTGCCATAGTTCAAGTAAGCTAATAAAACCTGAATTTCAGTAGTAGCAGTGGAAGTGAAAAGTAGGACAAGTGTGAAAAATATTGCCGTCAGAATCCACAGGAATTCTGATTATTTGAATATAAGGAGTAGGGAAAGACTCAGTGAAGGAAAGACTTTGGTCTCAAACCTGACTAAAAGAAAGTTGTGTCATTTATTGAAAGTAAGAGCAGGACAAGGAACTTTTCGGGAAGATAATCAGAATCTCAATTTTAGTTGTAACTGAATTTGAGATGCCATTAAGGAATCACATAGACACATACACTAAGCATTTGGAAACATGGGATTCAAATTTAAGAGATTTGGCTCGCACTTGTAATCCCAGCACTTTGGGAAGCCACAACAGGAGGATTGTTTGAGACCAGATAAGAGCAACATAGCAAGACCCTGGCTCTACTTAAAAAACAACAAAATTACCTGGGCATGGTTACGGTGGTGCATGCCTGTAGTCCTAGCTGCTTGGGAGGCTGAGGCAGGAGGATCACTTGAGCCCAGGAGTTCGAGGCTGCAGTGAGCCATGATCTCAGTGCACTCCAACCTGGGTGACAGAGCAAGACCATGTCTCAAAAAAAAAAAAAAAAAAAAAGAGATTGAAGTTGGGGTAAAACATATTAAATCATCTACCCAGAGATGATAGTTGAAAACCTGATGTGTATAAGATTACCAAGAAGAAACTGCTAGCAGAACTAAGAAGATAGCCAAGGACAAATACTTGGACAATACCAAAAGCAACAAAGAAGATAAGCCAAAGAAAGAGTAGTCAGAGATAGAAGAGGAAAAACAGAAAAGTTGAGTATAACAGAACTCAAGGGAAGAGAAAGTTTTATGAAATTGGAAGTAGATAACAAGTATTTACTTGGCCAACATTTACAGTTATTTGCTGTTTTCCAGGAACTCTGCCAGACAGGGGTTACAACAGTAGGCAAGACCAATCCACTGCCTGCCTTCATGGAACTTACATTCTAATGAGAAAGAAAGATTATTTACATAATTAACAGTGTGATTAATATTACAAATAAGTACAGAATGTTTTTGGGCTATGTAACAGTGAAACTTCTAGTTTTGTTGAGGGAATGTGCAGGAAAAACTGAAACTTGAGAGGTGACTTAAGATGGAGGTGGGGGTGGCACACTTTCTACTGAAGTGCTAAGGTAAGAAAGAGTATATTGGAGGACTTGAAATAAGTCAGATAGCTATAACAGAGAGAGTGAGAATGGCCTAAGATACTAGGTAACATTTAATGAGTGTCAACTATGTGTCAGGTACTGTTGTAACTGCTTTATATGTATTATTAATCATGTAGAGCAATGGTCCACAACCTTTTTGGCACCAGGGACCAGTTTCATTGAAGACATGGTTTCAGGATGATTCAAGTGCATTACATTTATTGTGCACTTTATTTCTCTTATTACTACATGGTAATATATAATAAAATAATTGGACAACTCACCATAATGTAGAATCAGTGGGAACCTTGAGCTTGCTTTCCTGCAGCTAGACGGTTTCATCTGGGGATGATGGGGTATACTGTGACAGATCATCAGGCATTAGATTCTCATGAGGAGCACACAACGTAGATCACACACATGCACAGTTCACATAGGATTCGCATTCCTATGAGAATCTAATTCCACCAGTGATGTGACAGGAGGCAGAGCTCAGGTAGTAATGCAAGTGATGGGAGTGGCTGTAAATACAAATGAAGCTTCCCTCGCTTGCCTACTGCTCACCTCCTGCTGCATGGCCTGAAGGTTAGGGACCCCTGATGTAGAGAATTGGAGACCTTGTTAAGAATCTTATTCTTGAACCTTTGGATTGTGAGAAGTGATAAAAGGATTTTAAGCAAGTGAGTGATATGAAAAGGTTTAAAGGGATGACAAGAGTGATTGTGGGAGACTGATTAAGCTTTTGCAGTGGGCCAGATAATAGATGATGCTAGGTTGGTCTAGGGTGGTAGTAGTAAGGATTGAAAAGGGTGGATAGATTTGAGGTATGTTTAAGAGGTTTGGTTATTGAATTGGGGGTGGGAATTAAGGAAGTGGGAAGAGTTAAAGCTGCTTCTGGGTTACTGGCTTGGGCAATAGGGTAAATATCATTTGAAAAAGGGATTACTAGAGGAAGAACTGGTTAGGAGAAAAGGGAATAGTGTATGAGTGGCTCTGTTGGAGACACGTTGCATAGGAGGCACCAATGATATATCCATGTCAAGCTGGCAGTTGGATCTTGGGAGAGACACATGGACTGCAGAGATGTATTAGTAATCACTGGCAAAAGACTATATAGATCAAATTGTCTAGGGCAATAATTCCCAAACTTTAGAGTAGATAGAATTGCCTGGAAGGCTTAACACAGATTTCTAGACCCTACTCCCAGAGTTTTTTCTTCAGTAGGCCTAGGAATGGAGACCAAGAGTTTGTATTTCTAAGTTCTGACGTGATACCTATGCTGCTGACTCAGAGAACACATTTTTGGAAGAAGATGTAGAACAAGTCAAGAAGAGACCCAGAACCTAGCACTGAGGAACTCATTTTTAATTGGATAGGAGGAACCTACAAAGATGACTGACAAAGAAGTAGGAGGGACAATCGTATGTATTAGGTTTACCTGACTGAGGCGGCGAATGACTCATGAGAGCATTTTCATGGAATAGTGGGACAAAGGCTGAATTGCAAGAATTGCTGTGTAAATAGAAGGAATGAAGAAAAAGAGTACAAAAGCATATGATTTCTGAGAACGTTTTGCTATAAAAGAGAAAAGATAGAAGATGTTTGAATATATTTAATGTCAATGAAAAGATGCCAGTAGAAAGGCTGAAAAAAAAAAAAAGAAGATATGGGAAATAATCCATAGGCCAAGGTTCAAGAGGGGACAAGAAGAGATAGGATCCAGATCCAGGTGACACTACATAGAGAGCTACCTTCTCCTTTTTTATCAGATGGGAAAGAGGAAAGGATGAGTGCAGGTAAGTTTGTAGATGTGCTGGAAGGAAGTCGACTTAATTCCTCTCTGACAGCCTCTCTTTGTGAAGTAGGTGAGGCCATCTACTGAAACACAGAAGCAATTTTAAAAGAAAATGGAGGAAGTATAACTGATCTTTGCAGAAAGTGGGGAAGTGAGTTGACCAGAGAAGGATGAGAGAATTGCCAAGTTGTACTGAACGCCAAGCTGAGAATGGTGATTCTGAAGATAGAATGTATGTATATTCCTCCCAGTTGCACTTAGAGTTTGGGTGCAGGCAGAGAGAGAATGGCTAGCAGGGTGGATGTCTATAAAGTAGGGAAACTACAGGGCTTTCGGGTGCCTAGAGTACTGAAAGAGGTATTGAAAGGGTGGACCACAGAATGTGAGCTGGATAGGAAGTAAACGGCATACTGCAATAAATCAAGGATAATAAGAGATACAGAAAAAAGATCATTGTTCAGTAATGGCGATTTTTGTGCTATATGCATTTGACACAGCTAATTCCCAGCATCACCTAAGAATTCACTCCTATCAATACTACTACTACCACTTCCCTAGGTCAGCGAAAGCTTTAAAGTGGTAAATATTAATTTTCTCACATTCTCCTTTTTGAAAGCAACATCTACTTTTTAAATGAAACCTACATTTAATATATTAAATATCTTTCATATATACATTTTTCTTTCATACACACACACAGGACTTTGTTTTCTAGAACTCTAATCCATAGTAAGAATGATATGGCTCTTTTGCAGTCTGTTTTGGCCATGGGTTTAGGAATGAATATACAGGAAAGGAATTGTATAGAAGTAACATGATTTGGTGTAACTCCAGGAAAATATTTTTGTATGTGTAGATCAACACAGTTACACCAAGTTGCTGACCTCTTTATGACTGCTGTAGAAAGTAAACTTCTTTCACTATATGGATATTTGCCGGTAAGGAAGGAAAAGTAACAGAGATTAGAGAAGGCAACAGAAAAGGGGGAGTAAAGGTAAGATAGAAAACTAAAATATAAAATATAAACCACATAACCATAAGTGTTTTATTTTAGGTTCAACTACTGTTTTCTGTTTGGTGAGGAAACAAAAGTCAGGGCAAGAGGGTGCCAATAAGGAGAAAGCAGAAGGGACAAGAAATTGGAGGCTTCTGTAACAAAGAACAAGTAGAATGGGAATAGAGAAATGAATAAATACAGAAGAAAGATTGACTTGGCACTTTGAAGAGGTCCCTGGATTAAGGCAGTGGAAGAGATAGAGTAATGGAAGATTGTAGTCAGAAAGGAGAATTGATTGTAATAAAAGAGGACAATAGTTGTGGCAAGTTTCAGATTTCACTGGCTGAAGATAAAGCTCCTTGAGGTTAAAGATCAATTATATAACACACTATTATCACTCTGTATATGAATAGATTTTTAAAAAATAAATAGAAATAGAAATAAATTGGCTGGGCGCGGTGGCTCACGCCTGTAATCCCAGCACTTTGGGAGGCCGAGGCGGGTGGATCACAAGGTCAGGAGATCGAGACCATCCTGGCTAACATGATGAAACCCCGTCTGTACTAAAAAATACAAAAAATTAGCCGGGTGTGGTGGCGGGCGCCTGTAGTCCCAGCTACTCGGGAGGCTGAGGCAGGAGAATGGCATGAACCCGTGAGGCGGAGCTTGCCATGAGCCGAGATCATGCCACTGCACTCCAGCCTGGGCGACAGAGCGAGACTCTGTCTCAAAAAAAAAAAAAAAAAAAAAAAGAAATAGAAATAAATTAAAAAGTTAATATTTTTTTCTCTGTATTCCACCATGGGGACCACTGGGTCAAAGGGCCATGTTAGTAATTTAGGGGAGGGGTACAAAGCCTGTTAAGTTTTATAATGGCAAGATTGCATAAAAAGAACTGACTCCAAGGTTCCAACTGGAATGTTGGTGTTGATGACTTCCGCAGTCTTGTAATCTAGGTGCTGACTCTTGTCACCTAATCTGTAATGTAAACCTCTTACCTGTGATTGTAGAAATACATAGCAATAAATACTTGGCTTTCATTTTTCAGCATAGAAATTTCAAGAAATGGTTTTTCTAATATATTACAAGGGTTCTTTTAGGTGTCAACCCTTTGGTCAGCACCCAATAAAATAAATTGTTTTATAACAATCTGGATAAGTAAACTGCTATTTCCTTTACCTATATGAAATAAAATCAGTAGAAAGATTAGTAAACTGTCACAGGAGTGGAATTTAAAGAAAAAAAAGAGATTAGGCTGTTACCCTTGTATATGCTGGGGGAATGGCAGGTTTACCCTTTTAATCTTGGAAATTTTATTAAGGAGCTATTTTTTCCTCAGAACGTACATGGTGACCAGCCCCATGAGTAAATTTTAAAATAATTTTTCTGTACCTATCATTATGTAGAGGTGATGTATATAATAATATAATTTTAAGAAGTGACAGAGGCTGCTTTTCAATTTTGTTAAATTCTTAGAAATACAACAGTTTGAGATAAGGTTACTTTTTCATTATAGTACTGGCCTTTGGATTCCTTTCCATGGGTGATTCAGATGATATTTTAGTACAGTACAGAATTCGACAGTAATTTTGTAGTTATCAGGTAGATAACTAATACCTTCCTGGGAACTTAAAAAAAAAAAAAAAAAAGCCTAGGGATGTGTATGTGTGTTTCTTGTCAGATGTGGAGAAGGATGAGGAGTGAAGCTGGAGGGGAGGGGACAACAAAATCCATTTTCAGATGTGCTTTCATATGCTAGGATTCAACCTACAGCAAGTTTTAATGGTGTTATAAACCCCTGAAAATGGGAGATAACTGTGGAATTGCTGACAGTTCCCTAACTATAGCAATGCAAGTGTGCTGCATTAATACAATATTAACCTCAAGGATAGAAGATTTCAAGCCATAGTATATTGATCAAAGGATTGAACACAAAGAATACATTTTTATTTTGATAATTTCTTGCCTGGAGAGGTCTTTGAAAAAGTGACAACCAGAAGCAGAACCACATGATAGCATTGGTATTAACTAAAAACAAAACTTTTTAGTATTGTGGAATTTCATAAGCCTTTGATGTATATCTTTATCCATCTTGGCTATTTTTTAAGCTCTTTAGGACACAAAGCATCATAGGCTCTGTGTGTGTGTGTGTGTGTGTGTGTGTGTGTGTGTGTGTTTTAAGTAGATATGATATTATCCCTCAGAGACCTTACTTTTAAAAATAGGTTAATGCATGAGATACCACAATCTAAATGTGATCAAATAAGGTTATCATTAATATGTTTTCTGAGACATTTAGGGTTGGGGCAGAGAACTGAAGAGGTGAGTTTAGAAAAAAAAAAAAAAAGAGTTGAGGTAAAAGTGGCAGCAGTGACCATGATAGCTAATCACTTAATATACCTTTTCACCATTGCCCTCTTACGATAGCCCTTACACACACAAACACCTGCACACTAAGTCTTCCCTTGTGTTATGGAAATAAGGTTTGAGAGAAGAAATTTTGATACAGAGTAAACTTGACGTAAACCCATCAAGTTCTATGTACTGAAACTGCGAAGTGTATCTTTTAAAACACAGTTAGGAAGGAGTTCTGTGGCAGGGAGAGGCCTACCTGGATTTAAAACGTTACCATCGATATGGATACACAGAAAACTGATACTGCTAGTTGTTTCAGGGGGAAGGAACTAGATAATGCCTGTCAGGAATAAGAAGGAAATTTACTTTTATTTGTAATAACTTTTTGGTGATTTTAAATTTTATATCATGTGTACAGTATTATCTATTACAAATTAAAAAACAGAAAAGTAAAACTTTAACATAGATAATTGTGCATTGTCTTCTAGATTACTTTCTCTTTTTTTCCTTCAGGCGTTTGCAATGGCTGCTACTGTGAACTTGGAACTTGATCCCATTTTTTTGAAAGCACTAGGTTTCTTGCATTCAAAGAGTAAAGATTCTGCTGAAAAGCTAAAAGCACTGCTTGATGAATCTTTGGCTCGGGGCATTGATTCCAGTTACCGTCCATCTCAAAAGGTACTTGAATGAATAAAAAGCTTGGAGAGAGTTTTGTAAGGCCTGTAGTACTACATTGATAACATATAGACCATCTCAAAACAATCTCTGCCGAAATAATCTTTCCTTGTAGCATGAAGAAATTATATTCTTTATTTTCTTTTTTCCCTTCAAGTTTTCAGAGAACTGTTACACCACATAGAAAAATCAGCTGGGGGTGCAGGATATTCTGTTCTACTACTTTATGTGTATATGAATTCACTTGTTTACGACTTACTTTAATTTCCGATTCTTTGTGATCAGAATTTTTTTTAAGCTGCTGAATGTAACCACAACTTACTTCTAATTATTGCCTAATATTTTAAGGATTAAAAAAAATCAAGTAAAAGGACAGATCTTTCAACAAAATAAATTGAATATGGGTAGGATAATTTAAGAGAAAAGGAGGTATGGATGAACTCTGAGAACTGTGTAGCTCCTGTCTTGATAATAACAAAGCAGCCAATGGCAGCTTTATGTGAAAAGAATATATGTTTTGATACCAAACACACCTGTTTTAAATCCCACTTAAATCTTATAATTGTGTGATGATAATAGACAACGTATCTTGATGTCCCAGGCACTTTTCTGAGTAGTTTATGTGAATAATTAATTTTAATTATGATAATGATCCTTTAAGATAGATAACTGTTTTCTTCATTTTACATAAGGAAACTGAGGTACATAGAAACTTCATTTCACTTAGTCTGTTTATTGGTAAAATGGGGATAATAAGAACTACTTTGCAGAGTTGTAAAAATTGAAGGAGATCCAGTAAATGAGTTACCTAGTGTAGTACCTGCCTGGTACATAATAGGCTGTCACTGAATGACAACTCTTATTATATTCCCTAATACCTACTAAGACATTCTATCAAATCCTTCTAAGCTCTGACCCTCAAACTCCAAATCACTCAGGTCTGTGGACTTAGATCCCAAACTGAGAAGGAGAAAATAGAACATGACTAGCTCAAGTCTAACCAGAATCTGAAGCTCAAGAGAGGATCTAGTCCCAGGCTCAGAGCCCAAGTAAACACTGGCATTTTGTCCCCAGCCTTCTTTCAATACTAGGTCTAGTACTCCGAAGCCTTTTTATTGTATTTTGAATAGCAGAACCATTGTGACTTCATTTCTTCTATCCATTCTCATTGCAGTAGGTTCAGTGAGTTCAGATCGACCAAATCAATATGGCTCTACAAAACATACTACCAAATTCATTCCACTGTGGGTGTTGGTATTGTCCAGATAGGGAAACCTATTATTACTAAAGAAAAAAAATTGTTTTAATGGGGTTCTAAAATGGAAGTTTATCTCTTAAAGAACATGAAAAATTTGTTGTGATTAAAAAGCACGCTGCCCTTAGGTTTCTAGCTAGAGTTCATTTCTCTTGATCAGTTTTCAGAAACTACTTTGTTATAGGTTTTTAAAGCCCAGGTCCATTTAATTTTAGCCTTCAGCTGAATATTTTCATCACTAGATTTGTGTAAGAAGAGTGATTTATGCCAGTGTTTCTCAAACTTTAGCATGGATAAGAATCACCTGGAGGTAATGCTTACTAACATTACCAGGTCTCCAAGTGTATTCTAACATGAATATTGGTTGATATTCATTTACATTAATGAGGAAGGCAAATGTGAAATAATGGAGTTAAAACTTAACTCATCCGTCAACAACTAGAACAACTTTTTTGCTGAATTAGGTAATAGTTTAATACTGCATGACTTTGTCTTCAATTTTTTAGTTACACACAATACACGTTTTTGTTTTTCTGTTGTTTTTTGTTGAGACAGGGTCTCACTGTGTTACCCAGGCTGGAGTGCAGTGGCACAATCTTGGCTCACTGCGCTCTCTCCCTCCCAGGTTCAAGCAATCCTCCCACTTCAGCCTCTTGAGTAGCTAAGACTACAGGTGCATGCCACCATGCTTGGCTAATTTTTTTATATTTTGTGGAGACAGCATTTTGCCATGTTGCCCAGGTTGGTCTCAAACTCCTGGACTCAAGTGATCTGCCCACCTTGGCTTCCCAAAGTGCTGGGATTACAGGCATGTGTCACCACACCTGCCCACCACACATTTTTAAGTTTAATCTGCATTATTAACATTTTCTTCAACACTTTACTAAGTCTACACCAGTGATCAACAGACTTTATAAAGAGCCAAATAGTAAGAATTCTAGATTTTGTGTGCCAGATGGTCTCCATTGCAACTATTTAATTCTGCCATGGTAATGTGAACGCAGCCATACATTATAAAATGAATGGGTGTGGCTGTGTTCTAATATAACTGTTTATAAAAAACTATTTATAGGCCTCAGTTTGCTAACCCGTTGTCTAAACAATCAGCATAATAATATATCAAGCCCTGCCACCACTAGATCTGAGGACCCATTCCTCCTTCCTTTTTCTTCTCTTCCCCCCTCAGAGGTAACCACTATTCTGAAATTGTTGTGTATTATTCCCATTTATACTTTTGTACTTTTACATATTATCACAGTAAAATAGACTGCACTCAGCTGCCTTAGTTTTGTTTAGAATGATGGGAAAGTGCCCTCCTTTTGGGGGAGGGGGAATTCCAAGAGCTGCCAAAGTTTATGCATACTATTAATGACAACAAATAACAAGTTATCTATATCAGCAAAGCTATAATACATGAATAAGGAATTGAATTTAAACAGAATGAAAAGACAAGCCACAGACTGAGAGAAAATATTTGCAAATCATATATCTGATAAAGGCCTTGTGCCCAAAATCTATGAAGAACTCTTTTAACTTAGTAATAAAACAAACAGATTCATTTCTTTTAAATGGGCAAAATATTTTATCAAATAGTTTACCAAAGAAGATATATGTATGCCATATGAACACTTGAAAAGCTGCTCAACATCATTAGTTACTGGGGAAATTTAAATTAAATCTAAATGAGATATCACTACATACCTATTAGAACATCTACAATTTAAAAAGAGTAGCCATACAAAGCATTGGTGAGGATGGGAAGGAACTGGAACTCTCTCATATATGCTTGGTGGAAATATAAAATGGTACTGCCACAGTTTGGCAGTTTCTCAAGTAATTAAGCATATATTAATACTTACCATATAACCCACTCCTATTTTTTCTAGAGAAATAAAAACATAGATATATATATAAATACTTGTACATGAATATTCATAACAGCTTTATTTGTAATAGTCCCAAACTGCAGACAACCCAAATATCCATCAATAGGTAAATTGATAAATAAATTGTAGTCTATTCATTCAATGGAATATTATTCAGCAATAAAAAGGAATTAACTATTGATACACTAAACAACATGGATGAATCTCAAAATAAATATGCTGAGTAGAAGAAGCCAGACCAAAAAAGAATATGATTCCATTTATATAAATTTCTAGGAAATGCAAACTAATGTATTGTTACAGAAAACAGATAAGTGATGATGATGATGGGAGACATATTTTTCTATATGCCTGATGATGGGAGACATATTTTTCTTGCTTGATGATGGGAGACATATTTTTCTATAGGGTGTATACCTGTAAGAGAGTAATTACAAAGGGCCACAAGGAAATTTGGAGAGATGATGGATATGTTCATTATGTTGATTGTAGTGATGGTGTCACAGACGTATACATATGTCAAAACTTATCAAATGTTACACTTTAAGTAGGTGTAGTTTGGGCCAGGTGTGGTGGTACACGTCTTTAATCCCAGCACTTTGGGAGGCCGAGGTGGGCGGATCATTTGAGGCCGGAGTTTGAGACCAGTGTGGCCAACATGGTGAAACGCCATCTGTACTGAAACTACAAAAATCAGCCGGGTGTGGTGGTGCACCTGTAGTCCCAGATACACGGGAGGCTGAGGCAGGAGAATCACTTGAACCCAGGAGGCAGAGGTTGCAGTGAGCCAAGACTGTGCCACAGCACTCCACTCCAGCCTGGGCAACAGAGTGAGACTCTGTCCCAAAAAATAAAAATAAAAAAGGTACAGTTTGTATATCAATTATTTCTCAATAAAGCTATTTAACTATTTAAGAAAGGAATATTACATTGGTTATAATGAAATGTCTTAATTTTTAACTGAAAATTGTTTATATTAATGATCTTTTTTTATGATGATCAGTCTAAATATTTAATTACTGGTACCTTTTTTCATCTTTTAGGATGTGGAGCCACCCAAAATTTCAAGCACAAAAAACATTTCCATTAAGCAAGAGCCCAAAATATCATCCAGTCTTCCTTCTGGTAATAATAATGGCAAGGTCCTCACAACTGAAAAGGTAAAGAAGGAAGCTGAAAAGAGACCTGCTGATAAAGTAAGATTTTATTTTAATCTTGTTAAAAGAAAGTAAATTAGTTGTTCCATAAGCAGAAAGAAACAATGTTTTATGCCTATTTCTTTTATATAATAATGGGTATAGGTATATAATAATCAACACTCAGTGAATATATATTGATAGCTATAGATTTTGACTTTTCAAAAAATGAGTAAAATTTACAAATTTTAAAGTTAAGTGGTTAAAAGTTATTGTCAATAAATATTTGAGTCCTAGGGAGTATAGTAACTTTGAGTGTAAACTTTAATCTATGCCTCAGAGATCCTAGATGGAACAGTTGTTAAGAAGAAAAGATAGATACACTTTGGGAGGCCGAGGCAGGTAGACTGCTTGAGCTCAGGAGTTCAAGATCAGCCTGGGCAACATGATGAAACCCCATCTCTACAAAAAATACAAAAATCATCTGGGTGTGGTGGCATGCACCTGTAGTCCCAGCTGTTTGTGGGCGGGTGGGGGGTGGGAGGATTGCTTGAGCCCAGGAGGCAGAGATTGCAGTGAGCGGTGATCGTGCCACTGCACTCCAGCCTGGGTGACAGAGTGAGGCGCTGTCTCAAAAAAAAAGGAAAGCAAGAAAGAAAAGATGGGAAAGAGTATAGATGTAAATGACTAAACATAAACTTTATAGAGTGGTATGCACCTGAACAGTGCCAAAGATGATTCTTGGATTGTCTATTTTTAGATGATTTCTACATATAGTAATTAAGATTTTAGTAGTTAGAAAAAAATACATTTGAAAGATATCTTCAGTAACCCTTGCCCTCAAGATGGAGTATATTATCCCGTATGTTTTCATACTTTTGCTAAATAGTGGCTATTCATAAACTACATTAGATTATTTCTCTGTTTTTAGATCTACATAAGTGAAGCTGGGTGTGGTGGCTCATGCCTGTAATCCCAGCACTTTGGGAGGTCAAGGCAGGAGGATCACTTGAGGTCAGCAGGTCGGGAGTTGGCCACCCTGGCCAACATGGCAAAACCCCCTCTCTACTAAAAATACAAAAATTAGCCAGGTGTGGTGGCGCACACCTGTAGTTCCAGCACCTCAGGAGGCTGAGACGTGAGAATCACTCTAACCCAGCAGGCGGAGGTTACAGTGAGCAGAGATTGTGCCACTGCACTCCAGCCTGGGCAACACTGCAAGACTCTGTCTTAAAAAAAAAATTATGTAAATGTTATCATACTGTGTGTGTGTATATCCTTTGGTAACTTTTTCTCCACTCAACTATGTGCTTTTGAAATGTATCTTTGTTAATGCATGTAGATCTAGATTTCTTTTAGCTACTACATAATACCAGTTTATCATTCCCCTACTGATTTATCATAGGGGAATGATTAACCAGTTTATCATTCCCCTACTGATGCACAATTAGATATTTCTCCTTTGTTTCTATTACAATGGAGTTTGAGTGAGCTACTTTATACATATGTCATGTTAATAGTTTCTATAGGATGTATACCTATAAGTGAATATAATAGGATATGACATCTTCAACATTACTAGGCATTGCCAAATTTCTATCAAAAGTAGATGTACTAAATTTACACTGTCATCAACAAAGTATAAGAATTCCAAATTCCATGTCTTATCAGACTTTTTGATTTTTGCCAAATCTAATGGGTATATTGATAATATTTATATCTTAAAGAAGGGAATCCGAATTTGCTTTGAAGCAAATATGTGTTAAGTCTGTATGGTAGATACTAGTCTAAGTAAATCCATCGATCTTCCATAATTCTTTAGTAGATAGAAGAGTACAAAGAGAAATACAAATATTTGTTAAACTGTTCTGATTTATTTATTTCTATCTTGCTGGTTTCATTTAATATACTAATAAATTCATTGCAATTCTTCTACAGATCTTTAATGTGCACATCTGTCCCTAACTATGTGAATATATCTGTAAAATGGACTTGTTCATTGCCAATTGTCCTTCTCACTCGTCTTTCAGTGACTTAAAGTTTATTCTACCACATTACTTTATCATTTTCTGATGCCTGCTTTTTATAGATGAAATCAGACATCACTGAAGGAGTTGATATTCCAAAGAAACCTAGATTGGAGAAACCAGAAACACAGTCATCTCCCATTACTGTCCAAAGTAGCAAGGATTTACCTATGGCTGACCTTTCCAGTTTTGAGGAGACCAGTGCTGATGATTTTGCCATGGAGATGGGATTGGCCTGCGTTGTTTGTAGGTAAGTTGTACCTTGCCACAGATTCTTTTGTTACTTTATAAAGAACACATGACCCTTTCCACTCCTCAACCCCCAAAATCAGAAAAATTGTTGTGCATTTTCTATTTTGTTTTTACTATTTGGAACTGGGGTGGAGATAAGTAGGTAACTGCCCATATAACAATTTAGCATATTGAAAATTGTCAACTATTTTGTCTTTCCCAACTATGGCTTTTAAATCTGTTATGTTGTAACATTTTCTGCATTTTTGGGTTCCAGAGGGAAAGTGATTATTATATTATGATATATATGCCTTTGATAATCTAAGGCTATGGTGATTGCTTTTTGTGCTGTTGAAATTTATACTTTTTTATACACACATGGCTTCATTCTATTAATCTGATCAGACATTTATTGAGCACCCTATGTGTGCACAGTAATGTGCTAAGGACTGTGGATAATTAGGTCCAGTACTCACCTTTAGGTGACTCATATTAATGAAGAACAACAACAACATACAGCTAACTAATATAAGGGAATTTAATGGAGATACAAAATGTTATGAGGCTGTTGGAAGACTAATCAGAGTCTACTACCTTCTGAGAGAAAGGCAAAAATTATGACGAGAAATGACGAGAAAATAGCCAAATTTAATTAAGGCATTCTATATATTTATTAATGGTTGACCATAAGCTTTAAAAGCTTATGCTTTTGTGCATGCCAAGTGTTGGGGTTTGTTATTTGCTCTTTGGGTTTCTGGGATTTTTTTTCTTTTTAATATACCAAACTTTACCAGAACAACCTGGAAATAACTTTTTTTTTTTTTTTTTTTTTTTGAGACAGAGTCTTACTCTGTCACCAAGGCTGGAGTGCAGTGGCATGATCTTGGCTCACTGCAGCGTCCATCTCCTGGGTTCAAGCGATTCTCCTGCCTCAGCCTCCTGAGTAGTGGGGATTATAGGTGTGTACCACCATGCCCAGCTGATTTTTGTATTTTTAGTAGAGACAGGGTTTCACCGTGTCAGCCAGGCTGGTCTTGAACTCCTGACTTCAAATGATCCGCCTGCCTTGGCCTCCCAAAGTGCTGGGATTACAGGCATGAGCCAGCACACCTGGCCCCTGAAATAACTTTAAATTATGGCATTTAAAAAAGTAGTGTAATGTTTAATGGTATGTTTTCTTAGGCAAATGATGGTGGCATCTGGCAATCAATTAGTAGAATGTCAGGAGTGCCATAATCTCTACCACCGAGATTGTCATAAACCCCAGGTGACAGACAAGGAAGCGAATGACCCTCGCCTGGTGTGGTATTGTGCCCGATGTACCAGACAAATGAAAAGAATGGTAGGAATCATATTTTTCTTTATTTTAAACAGTCTGTCAATGTTTTTGTTGGTATGTGCTTTCAAAACAAAGATTTGAATATTTAAGATATTGAAAAAATAAATAATATAAGCTGATTATTTATTTATATGTATAGTATGTACATGTGATTAATATTTCTATTGCTAAAGACCAGACCATGTTATGTGCATTTTTCTCTTTTTAGTTTTATCTAATTCTAATATAGATAAAACAAGATTGGTGACACACAAATTATGAATATTCCTTACTAGTCTGTCAATGTATTGACAAACATTTTAAAATACCATGCAGCACTGAGAAGTGGTGAGATACAAAGCCCCACTCTTTGTTGAGATCTGGTAAGGAAATATAGAAAATTTCTGAGTGAGCTTAAACCACCGCATGGATAAGATGTGTACAGAGGCGATATTTATATGTGCATATCTGTCTTTCCAGCTGCATTTCTCTGTTGCTTAGTCTTTCCTTCTCATTGTCCTCAAGTGACCATTACCTCATTCTTCCTATGTACTTTCTCTTTTTACTGTTGACTAACATACCTGCCTTTAATATCATAGTGAAATATCTTTTCATTTGTTATATTGGATAGTTTTCTAACTTTTATTCACTTATAAAATAGATAAATGATAAATGAATTTCATAATTTTTCTTTTAAAGAAAACAAGAAATTGCCATAATGTCTTATTCTCCACCTCTCCCTCCCACTTCCATCTCTCTTCCCCTGCCTTAAATTAGTGATTCTCAATTGCAGAGTTCTCATGTCTGTTAATCAAATGAATTTCTATATAAATTTGTCTAACCAATATATCTTTTAAAGGTCAGAAGTACTTAGTTAAAAGTAAAAACTCGGGATACCCATTTTACTTTTTAATCAGTTAAATCAGAAATAGGAAGTGTTTTTATTTATTCCTATGAAATAAAAAGTAGTAAATGAAAAGTGTGTATATCAATAGTGTGTATATTTCTTACTTGTAACAGGAAATTTCTATGACAAGTTACAATCTGTTCTGCTCAGTTTGGTTTTTATTTAATTTATTATTTAAACTAGCCCTCCAGGATCTCAAGTGAAATTATTACAGATGAGCAATGCATTCCAGAGCATTGATAAGAAACCACTAAGAATTGGAAATTGTCAAAAGAAACAAATTGTGACAATAATCTATCTTTCTTTAGTATGTACTCAACTGTTTCATTATTATTATCACTTTAGCTCCTTTAATATCTAAAGTAAGCACTGTTCTTCCCCCAAGTTTTTTCTCCTCCATTTTTTCTGATTTATGTCAAATCTATGTTTATGGTTCTAACCCTCTTCCTGGGTGAGCTTCTATAGCTAACTAGATAGTCTATAGATACTTTAAGGTCAATATATTTAAAAGTGAAAGTTGTTCTATTATCCAGTTTTTTTTTTCTGCAATTGCCTGAATTAGAAAACATCTTTGATGCCTCTTTTAATTCCATATCCCATTGTTTACCAGATTTGCTAATTCTACCTCTTATATGTCTCTGAAATCTATTCATTTCTCTTTTATTACCCTGTTCCACAAATCCATTACTTGTCTATTGCAATAGCCACTTAATAAATCTCCTTGCCTCCTATCAATCCACTTTGCTTACTATCATTAGAATTCTTCTAAAATATTTACCTACTTATATATGCCCAGTGGCTCTCAATTACTTATATAATGAGATTATACTCATTAGGATGCATATATGGACCTTCTCTTTTTGACCCGACTCTACCTTACAGCCCTCTCTCTCACTGCTTCAGCATACACATTCATACACTCTGGCCACTCTGACACAGACTAAGTGTGTCATTCCCTGAATATGTGGAGAACTTTCATGTTCCCATATTTTCTGCTTCTCAGCTTCTTCTCTTCATCTGGGATACTGTTTATTCTTTTATCTGCTTTGCAAATAATATCTAATTTATCAGTAAGAGCATGTATTCATTGGCATAGCACTTAAGCAGAGCTCAAGACTGGACACATTCTACATTCTGTTGTTCTTAAGTTAAATAAAATGAAGCAAATGTAATTTTTTTCTTTTTCTGAGACAGGGTCTCACTCTGTTTTCTAGGCTGGAGTGCAGTAGCATGACCATGGCTCACTGCAGCCTTGACCTCCCAGGCTCAAGCAATCCTCCCACCTCAGCCTCCCAAGTAGCTGGGACTACAGGCATGTGCCACCAGGCCTAGCTAATTTTTTTTTTATTTTTTGTAGAGATGGAGTCTTGCTACATTGCCAGGGCTGGTCTCGAACTCCTGACCTCAAGTGATCCTCCTGCCTCGGCCTCCCAAAGTGCTGGGATTATAGGCATGAGCCACCATGCCAGGCTAAATGCAGATTAGTACCAGAAATCAACAGTGAATCTGGTCTGTGTGTCCAGAAGTCAAAGTACTAAATGGGGAGTCATGGCTAATATTATAACATGACTAGAATACACCAAGAGCAAATGTGGGGAAATACCAAAAGACATGATCTGAAGTGAGCCTAAAGATCAGAATCCAGGAAATGTAAGGTTTAATGAGATAATTTTGGAACAGTGGGGATTCTAAATACAGTCATTCTAACTATAATTGCTTTGAGTGAGATTCTCATATGTGCATTGGTTATTGTTCCAAGGTATCTCAAAGATATTATAAATAGGACCTGATATCCCCTTTCTCCTCAAACAGATTCCTCAAACTGGGGCAAGTTCTGCGGTACACATCATTGTAGGAAGACCTAGTTAAGAATGTTGTGATCGTGTATGGCAGGGTCCAAGGTTATTCTTCAGTTCTATAGTTTTCTCTCTACGCAGTAGTGGAGTTTTTCCCCAGCTTCAGGTGAGAGACTCATATCACTTATTGCAGTGGTTCTCAATCTAAGGTAGTAACACACTCCTATTTTGCAGCATTTAGAAATAGGTGGGGTTTTTAGTACTGCCATTCTGGCAGTTAGTGCCTTAGTGGAGAATTTTATACATTTTGCAATGTTTGAAGCAGTCATCCAATGAAAATTTTAGTACCTTTGTTGAACAAAACTGAATCAGTAATTATATCCTAGTTCCCTAAACTAGTATTACCAGTAAAGGACAAAGGGTTGTGGGTATTTCTTACTCAGTTTCTAAGATGGCTGGATAAAACAGGGAAGGCAGAAGATTGAAACATGATCTCACAGGCAGAAGTACTTCCTGGGGCTTCATCATAATTAGTCTTTATCTGTTAAAACATACAAGTTAGGTGGGTCCTCAGAGTCTAACCTCAGGAGTGCTAGATGTGGGTGGAAGGCAGTGTTAAGATTGAAAGCCATGGTTTTGGAGCCATATGTTTCTGTTTTACTGTGAGGGATGCATTCTCGTAACATGGTTTTGCAATGAAGGATAAGATGGCTCTGCTTTCCTGCTAGTACCAGTAATCAAGTAATCAACAGTGAATTACTTCGAACATTCTTAATATTCTTGATCTAATTGTTGCTTTATAAGTGATGTTGAAGGTAGGTGTACTTTGATGTGGAAGGTATGTAGTATAAAAAGTGATACGAATTGAGATTTAAGGACCCAAACTATATAGTATGGCAAACAGTAGCCCAAGATTACACAAGAAGGCCCAAACAAGAGCAAAATAGGCCAAATTCTGGCTTCCAGAAATGGTGACAAATTGTTAATAAATTCCCTGGTATAGTACTGTATGGGCTTATGAAGATTATCAAAGACTATGGAATGGCTGGCGGGAAGCATCTTTCCCCGTTCAGTATGCATGGATTTTTCTGGATTCAGTTTGATTATCCTTTGTAAATAATAATGATGAATAAACAGTAACTTTTTGTTAGCACTCAACATTTTCCAGACACTATGCTAAACTCTTACATAATCATAATTCATCCTCATAACCCACCTTTGAAACAAATGCTATTACCATTTTACAGATGAAGAGAATGAGGCTTTTAGAGATTCACATATTTTGCCTGAGGTAATGTATCTAGAAAAATAGTTGCTGTTTTTTTTTCTGTTGTTGTTTTTTTGAGATGGAGTTTTGCTCTTGTTGCCCAGGCTGGAGGGCAGTGGTGCGATCTCGGCTCACTGCAACCTCCACCTAATGGGTTCAAGCAATTCTCCTGCCTCAACCTCCTGAGTAGCTGGAATTACAGGCACCCGCCACCATGCCCAGCTAATTTCTGTATTTTTAGTAGAGACGGGGTTTCACCATGTGGGCCAGGCTGTTCTGGCTGTTCGCAAACTCCTGACCTCAAGTGAACCACCCGCCTCAGCCTCCCAAAGTGCTGGGATTACAGGCGTGAGCCACTGCACCCAGCCAGTTGCTGGGTTTTAATCCTAACTGTGTTTGACTCTGAAAATTACTCTTAAACATGGCACATAACCATTTATAAACAGTTATAATTATCTACCTAGAAAACACTAAAAAATAAACTCAAAAATGATTAGAGTTTATAGGAAAATTTAGTCAAGTACCTAGTTATAAAATAAAGGAAAAAATCAGTTATTGGTCAAAATAAAACTGAAGATGCTTATAAAATAATAGTGGGTGAAAATTCTTTCATAACATAGAAATTTGTATTTATTAACTTTCTCTAAAGATTTAGTGTGCCTAGTTTTGCAATGTGGAAAAACCTCAAAAAGTTTAATCATTTATCAATAGTTTTTTTCTCCCTGTTCTATATTTAAAACCATATAAATGATCTGAGCTGTGTTTTAATTTGCCCTCAGCAACTGAGGAGTCGACTTATGCCTAGACCCCAAGAAGAAAACTCTTGTGTATTTGACAAACCCCAATGAGAAATAAATGTACTTCATCATGAGTAAAGCTAACGGTTACATATAGTTTGTGATTTTGCTCTTTAAAAAACAATTTTATCTTGTTAAAATGGTATTTAACTAACCCTCTTCTGTATTATTTCTAAAGCTTAATATTATCTTTACTGTTTAGAAACTAATACAATCTGTAAGACCATTAATATGATAATAATTTGTCAAAGAGCATATATATTCATTATCATCACACTATTTTTTAAAATGTTCAACTGTATTTCATTTCAGTGATGAGTCCTGTGAGGGATTATTATCTTTCTGTATATTCAGTTAAGATTTTGTATCTGATTTAATCCACTGATTTTTGCAGGCTCAAAAAACTCAGAAACCACCGCAGAAACCAGCCCCTGCAGTTGTTTCTGTAACTCCAGCTGTCAAAGATCCATTGGTTAAGAAACCAGAAACTAAACTGAAACAAGAGACAACTTTTCTAGCGTTTAAGAGAACAGAAGTCAAGGTATAGTAGATTCTATTTTTATCTAAGATTATATCTTAAAGTTTAGTTGACTAAAAAATAGTTGCTTGATAAAAAATTTAATGAGAAACTTTATATACTAAATGGCTATATTTTAGAAATTAAGACTTTACTACTATTATATTAGGTAGAAAGGGAACATTTATATCATTAATTAATCTCTAACTCTGTTGTTTTTCTTTTTATCACAAATACGAACAGTCTATGATCATTCCAAAATGACATTCTTTACCATTCTCATCTGGTTAGATATTTGTCTTCAATCAGAAATCTGGTTTAAATTCAGGCGAGGTGCCATGACTCACACCTATAGTCCCAGCACTTTGGGAGGCCAAGGCGGGTGGATTACCTGAGGTCAGGAGTTTGAGACCAGCCTGGCCAACATGATGAAACCCCATCTCTACTAAAAATACAAAAATTAGCCAGGGGTGGTGATGGGCACCTGTAATTCCCAGGCATAGTGGCGGTGCCTGTGATCAGCTACTTGGGAGGCTGAGGCAGGAGAATCGCTTGAACCCCAGAGGCGAAGTTTGCAGTGAGCTGAGATAGCACCATTGCACTCCAGCCTGGGTGACAAGAGCGAAACTGCAACTCAAAAAAAGAAAAAGAAATCTGGTTTAAATTCAAAATACCTCTGCCCTCAGTAGCAACAATTTTGCTCCCCACACTACTTGAGCAGATTGGCCTTGTAATTTTTTTTTCTCCCTTCTTATTGGCTGTTGAAGGAGTTTTCTTGCTTTGTCTTGTTTTGTTTCTTTATAATAAACTTTCAATGTTATCTACCTCTTATACCAAGGGACCACATTGTCTAGTGAGGGTATCACCTTTCTCATTCCTAAGTTTGCATCCTTGAAATCATACTACATTATTTCTTAATATCTTGGCCTTTTTATATCATGGAAAAAAATAATTTTCTAATCTAATTTCATAACAAAAAGAATACTTTTACTGAGGTACACATTCCAATATTAAGCATAGCACTAAATATGGAAGAAAAAATATTAAAAAAAAAATAGCCTCAAATTCTCAAAGATTGACCTGAGAAAACTCTAAAGTTATTGCCTTATCTAAGTGACTGTAAGTAGTAAGCTTCATACCCTTGATGTGATGAAAAAGAATATGAATACGAAATACTTTTAAAAACTTATTGATAATTATATTTGGAGATTATTTTTCATTTTAATTTGCCAGGGAAGATTTGCTATCCAAGGCATATCCATTATTGATTTGTCATATAGGAACTTGGTGAATTGGAATAGAAGTAAGAATAACCAGTTTATTGAAAGTAATTAGAGTTGCTATATTCTGCATATAATCACTTTTTAGTAGATTTTTAGATTAATCTGTTACTACTAAAGTTTATTTTTAGAAAATTCAACATGAAATCATTTTATGGCAAACAAATTAAAGACTGCTGTCATATTTGTTTTGATTAAGAGGTTTTGTGTTTCTTTAATAAAAAATTCACTTTTTATAAAAGTGAATAAATTTATACTATAAAAAAATTGTTCCCATTCACATATAAAAAGCAAATGTCTTTTCTAACTTGCCCATCTAGCAAATAGGCAAGAAAATATTTATAGTTAAAAACTTGAGAAATTTGTTTTCTACACTGAAATAGTAAGAAATCACTTGGTCTCCATTGTTTGTGTTATATTACTTCTATGTGTCCTGATAGTATTATAAACCATCTGTCATCCTGTTGAAAAGCAATACTAAGCAACAGCAAGCCATTAAAATGAAATGCCAGACACATAGAACATGCTTTCTTGCTTGTACTTCCTAAGTGTTGGTCTTTTAATTACTAAAGGTGGGTTTTCTTTTGTGAAGTTTTTTGAAAGATCATTTAACCATATGGCAGACAGTTTTATGTTTAATAGCAAGAAAAGGAAAAAAAATTAGGTCTTTCATAACTGAAAATTAAAGGTTTACTTCTTGACTAACTTTTTCTCTCATTGCTGGTATATATTCCTCTAGGAATAAATGGTTTATGTAGTTTTTCTTCTCTGGATAACTTCATAAGATAGTTAATATGTTACTGTAAGAAAACTTCCTATCAATTTTCAGAGTATGTGGACAAATATCTGGATTCCTTCTCTTATAAATCGAATATCTCAGAACTCTATTTTTGTTACTTTTCACATTGATTAAAAATGTATGCATGCAGACAATATTGAAGGCTACCTTGATTTCAAGAGCTAAAAATGTTTTATCAACTATTTCAGAGTAAAGTTCTAAATTATAACTGGATATATTTTAGGTATAATAACTACCATTTTTTAAGTAGGATGTTATTTTGTAAAATTTTATCTTTTACCTATATGTGAATGTAATGCTTTTGTGAATCTTCTTAAGAGTATAAAGGTAGAAAAGGTGTCAATAAGAAGTTCAATTCAAAATTAATTTGAATACGTACATTTGTGCCTAATATGAAAGTGAAAAAATATATTCTTGTGTGAACAAGAGCAATATGTATTTATATAGTGGCATTGGTACCATTGTGAGCTTCTGATTAGCCAGGAAAGTTAATCAGAGAAGTTGAAGTGTTATACCCTTATGAAATATATCAGAGAATGAGATCAGTCCTACCCAAAATGTCACTGTGCAGCCTAATGAGGCAATTGATAAAATCCTTATTAAAGGAGCAGGAGACTCTTACATGATAGTTTAACCGGAATCATGGGCAAATTGTGAAACTAAAATCATGAGAACTTTTTAACACATCATAAAAATTGTACACTTCCAAGTAATTAACTTTGCATATATTTTGTACTCCTGTAACTGTTGCTCAAAATTTAGGAGGACATTTTTTTTTAATGGGTTTAGAATCTATACAGCTGTCTTCTTTCTCTCACACAGTCACTCAGTAAATAAATATTGACTGAATCTCTTCATCTTGGATATGTTCTCCTGAATATTCTGGGTATGGGCATTTTTGCTATTAAGAGTGAATTAAATTTTTGAAATGATCCCTAGTTATTTGGAGAAAAGTCTAAAAGAATTAGATGTTTAACTAAGGTCGATAATACTTTGTTGGGTAAAAACTATGTTAAAGCACTAAATCTGGTTTTCAGATATAGCTTAGAATTGAATCTAAAAGCAATTCCCAAAAAGGAATTTCATATATTTTCTTTTGGAATCATTAGAACAAGAATATGGTATCAAAAATTTTCTGCTTTGCAAATGATAATACCCACTAGATACAGATAAGTTTTGTTCTGTGTGGTTTTTCAGATCAGCTTCATAAGAACCTAATTTGGTGGTGTGATTTAAATTTCCCAATTCATAACTTGGGATGTTTATACAGGTACTGATTAAACTTGGCTCTAATGTAATTATTTACTTTATTTTTTTAGACATCCACAGTTATTTCAGGAAATTCTTCTAGTGCCAGCGTTTCCTCGTCAGTAACTAGTGGCTTAACTGGATGGGCAGCTTTTGCAGCCAAAACTTCCTCTGCTGGTCCTTCAACAGCAAAATTGAGTTCAACAACACAAAACAATACTGGGAAACCTGCTACTTCGTCAGCTAACCAGAAACCTGTGGGTTTGACTGGTCTGGCAACATCATCCAAAGGTGGAATAGGTTCCAAAATAGGTTCCAATAACAGCACTACGCCCACTGTACCTTTAAAACCACCTCCACCTCTAACCTTGGGTAAAACTGGCCTTAGTCGCTCAGTTAGTTGTGACAATGTCAGCAAAGTAGGTCTTCCTAGTCCAAGTAGTTTAGTTCCAGGAAGCAGCAGCCAACTAAGTGGGAATGGAAATAGTGGAACATCAGGACCTAGTGGAAGTACTACCAGCAAAACTACTTCAGAATCCAGCAGCTCTCCCTCAGCATCCCTTAAAGGCCCAACTTCACAAGAATCACAGCTCAATGCTATGAAGCGATTACAGATGGTCAAGAAGAAAGCTGCCCAAAAGAAACTCAAGAAGTAATGTGGCCAAGTAGGTTTTTGTATCATATTAGCCTAAAGATGAAAGGCTTATTATTATGATATAATCTGTAATACACTGTAATTTAATAAAAGTCTTCATAATCAAATTTCTATTGTTTCTTACCTTAAAATGCTAAATATTATATAACAAAACTTGGAAACTTTCATTTTAAATCAATCTTCAACATTTTTATTCTAATGATTTCCATAGTGTGTGAAAACAATGATTAGAATGACTGGTTCTCAATGAGATCTTCAGAAGATTGAAAGCATCTGTGAATTTAAGGAAAAAGAAATAGTTCATCTTCTAGCAAAGCCCCAAGAGTTGATCCTGATGAATGAGGTGCCTTATGTGGCGGCAGGGACGACCCAACATAGTTTTCTATTTTCCTCCCCGTATTCTGGGTGTTCATTTTCTGTGCTAGCCCCATTTCAACTGACTCTCCCTCTCCCTCCCAATTATTTCATCTTTTTCAAAATTATTTTTTCATTATTGATTTCTCATATCAATGGATTTTCCTAATTGATTTATCATACTTCATATTATATCTTTACCTTTTTTATCACCTCATTTCAATTATTTAAGGGTATATCTTTTTCCAATAAATTGTGAACTCTCCTGGTGCTTAATACAATATTTTTTCTCACATTGCTCACTTTTCCTACATTGCCAATGTAATACATGCACATAGTACGTAATAAATGTTGAATTTTGATTCATCTTGGTTATGCACATTCCTGATAAGTTTTGAAGAAAAATACCATTTCACAAAGGTCTTTGCAGATGGAAATATATGACTTGTTCACACACTGATGGCTTCTTCCTATACCATGAAAGAAAAGGCTATCTTACTTAGTGCTCAAAATGTTATAGCACTTTACCTAATTTTAGCTAACTTTGTATACAATAAGCTCCTATATAATGATTAATTCTTGAGATTGTTTTGTACATTGTTAACCCATTTATGCCAGAGGTTGCAAATTTTTTTGGTGAAAAATCAGACCTGATGATGACCTTGAACAGTAGGATATAAATAACTCTATAAGCCGAGCATTGCAATAATGGAACACTAGGCATAAGTGGGTTAAGTCAGAAAATGTGGAAGGTCTGCGTTGTTGTCTTACTTGCAAGCTAACAAATTAACCAGCAATTGTTGTACATGTATATTCTGAGAGAAGATAGGAAGCCCTCTGCATCAGAGAAACAGTTTATTATTCACAGCAAAAAAACTGGATATCCAACAAATTCACACATTCACAAGACTATGAACAGCCTGTTCCATCAAACTTGATTTGTGCTACTAAATCTTCACTCTACAAATCTCTAATCTCAAACTGTCTTCCTTAATCCCTAGGTTTTTCTAACATCATTATTCTAAAGTATATTGATAGGTGATCTCTGTAAACACAAAGCTTTTAAAATTAAGCTTGGTCTTTTTTTTTTTAAGGAAAGATTATTATTTTAAACTGCTCTGTTAAATAATGGTGCTAAATTATTTGTAGTAAATTAGAATCCAGGATTGAGATAATCCATTATCTCAATTATGATCTCAATAGGCAGTAAATGTCTGTTTACCCTATATGTAAATAATGAATTATCTCAATCCTACAGAGACTTTTGCTTTGAGAAACAGATTTATTTTGATAAAACATCAATTTGACATAAACCCCAATTTCCCTTTGGGGTCAAAGAAACCAAAAAATACATATCCATAATTGTTTATAGTTCAAAACCAGTTTGGACTAAACAAAATTACCTGACATAAAAACTCAGCTCCGCAACTATAACAGTTAATGTAACCTCCATACCTACAAAAAATGAAAGCAGTAATGTTTATTACAGTTCACACATTGGCACTTGAAATGAAAACATTTATCCCATCATGGAAAATACGTGCTACATAGAGTTGAGAAGAGAAGCAATTATTTTAATTTCTGTTGTACCTCAGAGGGGACTTTAGTTTAGGAGGTAATTTATCTTTCACTGAGTATGGCTCTTTGTATAGATAATGTGTGCACACGTATATTTAGGTTATGTACATATGTATAAGTACACATATACCGTATTTAGCTCAGTTTGGTATTTTATAGAGGTATATTTGGTATTAGAGTTTAAATTGTCTCAAGGAGCTTTTAGACCTTGATTTTTTTCATGTCATAAAATGAGCTACAAGACCCTTTAACTGAGCAGTAATGAAAGTAGCCAGTTTTATATAAATAGCATTTATTATTTTATGATCATTTTATTTAGTTTGTTATGTGCAGATGTTTTCCCCACTAGAATTTAAGTGGTATGAATGGAGGGATCTTGTTTGTCTTGCACAGCATTGTATTCCCACTAACTCTCAATAAATACTTACTGGTTCAATGAATGAATGGACAGATAAGCAAGTGTGCTAACAAGTAAGCTTTTAGGATTGTACATTTTAATCCCATTAGTAGATATGTGGTGACTATCATTTTTCTATTTTGCATATGCTTTATGTAAGATTATATAACTACAGATTTTAGTGACTTAAGGAAAAGAAAAGGGAAAACACTAAAAGAAAGGCCTTAAAGTCAGAAGACCTGGTTTTAAATTCCAGTCCCTCCATGTGAGGTCCTCAATTTCCTCCTTTATAAAACACAGATGAAAATGAGATGTCCTTCAAGTCTACAGTGGATCTGAAGGGAGGGCTATTATTTTCTGTGAGACGAAGAAGAATGTAACTGACATGGCCATGAATCCGCACAAAACAGAATGCACTGTGTTTACATGGGGACATTGCACAGTCACAAAGAGAAATTACACTAAAAGGCTTCAGAGAGGTAATTATAAAGTTTTGGTGGCAACCAATGTGGCTCCTCGTGGTTTGGACATTCCTGTAGTTGACCTGGTGATTCAAAGTTCTCCTCCTCAGGATATTGAGTCCTATATCCATCTCTCTGGATGCGTGGGTAAAGCTGGACAGACAGGGGTTTGTATATGTTTTTATCAACCAAGAGAAAGGTCAACTAAGACATGTGGAACAAAAAACACAAATTACTTTTAAATGTGTAGGTGTTCCTTCTACAATGGATTTAGTTAAATTTAAAAGCATGGATGCCATAAGGTCTCTGGCTTCCATTTCTTATGCTGCTGTTGATTTTTTTCCAACCATCAGCTCAGATACTGATAGAAGAGAAAGGGGCGATAGATGCATTGGCTGCAGCTTTAGCCCACATTTCTGGTGTATCAAGCTTTGAACCATGATCTTTAATCAACTCTGATAAGGGGTTTGTGACCATGACTCTGGAAAGCCTAGAGGAAATACAGGATGTCAGCTGTGCTTGGAAAGAACTTAGAAAGCTGAATAGTAATGCAGTGTCTCAGATTACCAGAGTGTGCCTCCTGAAAGGAAATATGGGTGTTTGCTTTGATATTCCTCCAATTGAGTCAAAGGTTACAGGCAAAGTGGCATGATTCCGGCTGGATACTCTCAGTGCCAGCTAAATTACCTGAAATTAAAGAATATTATGATGGAAACATCTTTTAATTCCAGACAGAGGAGTGGCTGGTCAGGCCAGTCAGGTTGTCGATCTGGCAATTGGTCAGGTAGAGAGAGTCGACAAAGCAGTTGCTCAGGAAAGTCGGCAAGATGGTAGAAGACGAAGTGGAACAGAAATAGATCAAGAAGTGGGGGCCACAAATGGAGTTTTGACTGAGTATTTGATAGTTAATTTAGCAGTGTGAGCTTGCCTATTTCTACCTAATCTTACATTATGGATCAAAAATTAGGTCATCATTGTTGAGGTATGTGTCTACTATTTGCAAAGAAGTTGATCGTATTTTTTTAAAAAAGTATTTCACAAGAATGATTGTAAACAAATCTACTTATCCAGTTATACCTTTGAATAAAAAAACCTCCTTTTATTGTCTCTTTAAAAAAAAAAAAAAACAACAAGAAAAGAAAGAAAAAAGCCCTGGCTGAAGGGGAAGTCTATTTAGATGGTTGGAAGCCTTAGAATTTTATTTTTGGTTTACACTACCTAGGTTTAAGTCCAGGCCCACCACTTAATAGCAATGTGATTTGGATTAAATTACTTCACCTTTTTGGGCCATGGTTTCTTCATAATGTTTTGAATATTAAACAAGTTACTACATATAAAGCACTTAGAACAATGTCTGGCATATAGTGTGCATTCAGTAATGTTACATGTTAATATCAAGTTATTCAGTTTTAGTTCAAAACATATAAACGAAACATTAACAAAATATATTATCAAAGACTTCTAGTTGGTGGTATATTCTTCTTATGTATATTTGGTGTATACTCTGATTTATACATATAGGTGTATAATTCATATTATCCACATACGTGTATAAAGCTACATAATATATATGGTTTATATGTATGTATATAAACATGTATGCATTTGCAAGAGAGCAATATGAAAAACAAAAACATTTAAGGCAAAATACATCATACAGTAAAAAAAAAAGTAAATTGAAAAACCTTTGGATCCAACCTTTCTTGATGATAAAAGAATATAATTACTCCTTCAAAAGATCTTCACTTTTAAATAGTTGATAGTTGAAGCTTGGGTCATTTGCTTTGCTATTTCTGTTGGCTTAGTATTTCTTTCAACATGTATCCTTTATAATACATTCATGCAATAATCCTGTTAGGAAGTACAGTATTCCTGAAAACCCAGTACAGTATCAGTTTCTGTAGTTCAGAGGTTTCTTGCTTTCTGGTCCAAAGTTTTGTAATGTCAGTTTTATGAGGTAGTCAATCAACAACTTGCTGGAAAATAAAAGTTGAAGGCTTATTTTCTTAAGCATAAGTCATCTTTCCAAGGTAGTTAGCTGGCACGTATCCTTTCTGCCCTTGAGCTTCAGCTAACCACCACTCTTTATTGCCACTTAGGTCACAAAACCTGAGTATATGAACTCTCTGGTATTCCTGAAGGCTGAGTTCATGGTCACTCCGTGCTTGAAAAGCATGAACTGCATAGAAAATCTAGACAAAGAAACAAAAGACATTATTGGAATTGGAACCTGAATATTAAGAGAAACATCATAAAAGTTTCCAAGCTTTTAGAAGCAATGCTAAAGTTTTTTTGTTTTGCCAAAGTCACATTGTCCAACTCCTTCTATTGGATGTATTTTGCTAAAATATAACCCAGGTGAGAATGGAGTGAAATAGGTATTCCTATTATTCTGTTAGGAGGAATATAAATTGTCCATGCTTGAAGGCAACTTGGCAGTTTCTATTAAAAGATTTTTAATAATGTTAAAATGTTAATTCCTTGTGAATCAAAATAGCTTGAAGAATCTCTTCTACAGAAACATCGGCAGAAATTTTTGCATAACAATGTTACTGGATTACCCATAAGAATGGCGAAAAGTGGGAGAGTAGTAGGAATAACACTATAAGTTTAGCAAGAGAAAAATAGTTAAATTCCAGACCCTCATACTAAGGAGATTTGTAGTCATTAAAAACGGTGCAGGCCGGGCGCGGTGGCTCACGCCTGTAATCCCAGCACTTTGGGAGGCCGAGGTGGGTGGATCACGAGGTCAGTAGTACAAGACCAGCATGACCAACGTGGTGAAACCCCGTCTCTACTAAAAAATACAAAAATTAGCTGGGCGTGGTGGCGTGTGCCTGTAATCCCAGCTACTCAGGAGGCTGAGGCAGGAGAATAGCTTGAACCCGGGAGGCGGTGGTTGCAGTGAGCCGAGATCGCGCCACTGCACTCCAGCCTGGGCGACGGAGTGAGACTCTGTCTCCAAAAAAAAAAAGAAAAAACACAAAACAACAACAAAAACGATGCTTTCTGAGACTAATAACATGGGAAACACTTATGATAAAATAGTAAACCTTAAAAAGAACATAAAATTAGATGTACGATATAAGTCTAATATTATTGTTTCTTTGAATGGTACAATTATAGCTGATTTTCATTTTTACTTCCTTGTTCCCTTCTTTATTTCCCAAACCTTTATAATGACAATGTATTAAATTTATAATTTAAAAATTATTTTATGGCCTAGAATAATACAATATTTCAGTCAAAAGAATTTTTCTCTGACCTCAAAAGAACAATTTATAATTATTAAGTGCGTAAGAAGCCCCAAAATAAGTCTTTATTCTTCCAACAAAATCATAAGATTGATAATAAAAATGTTTAGTTATGGCATAAAATTAAGCAACTGGCTTAGTTTATTCCCATTCATTTATTTAAGCAATATTTATTCCCATTCATTTATTTAATGAAAATTTTTCAAGTACCTACTAAGTGCTGGTTATTATTTTATTGGACAACTTACAACTCAGCTAGGAAAAGAAAATGCCAGTGAACAAAACAAAACACACCAAAACAGCAACAACTCTACACACAGATGATACATCAGCTAATGGTGAGCTGAATTTTGAAATAAGTTATCTTTCATAAATGACAAAGCTGACAAAAGGCATGAATATGTCATATTTGAAGGTACGGAGATGAATACATGAAAACAACATATAGGAAAAGACAAGCAGATTAACTCTCAAACTTGAGATTCAATAGGTAAGGGAAACTATGAGAAATAAGATGACTTCATTACTTCATTAAGCAGAGAAAGAGAATGCGTAGTGTGGAAAGGAGACTATAGCTGTAGCTGAAGTTGTTATTTAAATATTAAACTGTTATTTAACTTTTGGTGAAACTTTGATTCAATTGATTGGGATATTGATTTATCAACTAATATGAGCTGCTCCCCAAGGAAAGAACCACATTGCTATGGACTGAATGTTTGTTTCCCCTCAAAGTTTATGTGTTGAAAGCCTAATCCACAAGGTAATGCTATTAAGAGGTAAGGCCTTGGGGAGGTGATTAGCCTTCAACTTCCTGAATGGGATTGGTTTCTCTTTAAAAGAAGCCCAAAAGAGACTCTTCACCCCTTCCACCATGTGAGGGCCCAATGAGAAGGTGCCATCTATGAACCAGAAAGTTGCCCCTCAGCAAACACCACATAAACTGGTGCCTTGATCTTGGACTTCCAGCCTCCACAACTGTGAGAAATAAATTTCTGTTGTTTATAAGCCAACCAGTTTATGGTGTTTTGTTACAGCAGCCCAAATGCACTAAGACACACATTTAAACTTTTCTCCATTGACCACATTATGGTACAAAGTAGGAATTCAAATATTTATTGATTTGACCTGAAAATTAGTAGGAATATTCAAATATTTATTGAAAGGCATGGATATCATACAAGACATCATCTTGTATCATAAAAGATACATACAAGAGATTGATGAACATGGTCAAATTATTACATAATTTTTTTAAGTAAAGAAGAAAATTAAAAGTACTATAAATTCTTTAGCAATGGAGTGGTAGCAATAATAAACACCTTTTACAGAGCGCATGGCAGTTATATGTTAAATGTGCTTTGTCCTCAACAACCTTATGAGTTATGTCTTACAGAAGAAACATATTTTTAATTATAGAGCTAATTGGTGCTGCTATGACCAATATCTTCTAACTTCAAATCCTGTGCTTGGTCCATTTCTCATAATGCTTTAGAGACCAAACTCTTGTTCTAGCAAGTATGTACAGAGTGTATTCTTGCGGAGAGGGACTGGAGTTTCTAGTATATTGTAGATGGTGTTGTTTTGCTGTGTAGAAAGTGAAAACATTGAATAAATCCACAGGAACAGAATGGAAGATTTGGTTTGCAAAAGTATTCGGGAATGTAACGTACTATAATACATCTGAAACATCTGTAAGAGCCTGCATTAGTGGTTGGTAATCATCTTTTATAATTTTTATAAATAATAGGTAATGCTTTACCTATGCAACTATAGATTTTTTTAGCAGGTTAGATTGCCTACTAATAGAACATTTCTAAATAGTGGTAGTTTTTTACTTTAGCACAATTCTCTCAAGCGAAATATAAACTCTTCCATCTAGATCTGTTTGGTATGAAATTATAGTTTATATTCTAAATATTAAAATATATTCTCATGAAATTGTAAATTTAAAGTACAAAATTATATACTTTCAATGCTTTAGATAATCATGACCCAAAATTTGTTTAGGATGAGCACTTTTTAGTTTTTATATAATTTATGTTAAATGGGGGCATATATTATATACTCAAAATGGAAGTAAGCTGCTTTTAAAGAGACAGCAGTCTATTTTCAGTCTCTTTTTTAAGTCTCCTTTTTAGTATTTTTAGTCTCCTTAATGTTAGACTACAAGTTATAAATTTTTAACCTGTCATGCATTTAAGAACTGAAAGATTTCTCATTATCTTCAACATTTTAATTGTTTCAGTCTGTAACTTTCTAATCTTAAATGCTAATATGTTTTGGTCCAGGCACATTAATTACAATGTTGTTAATTTGAGCCATAATCACCTAATCTTCTTCTGTTTTTCCTTGGCACTTTTTAAAATGTATTTTATTGATTGCTTCTTTCTACTCTATAAAGCTCTGACTCATTTTAGGTGCAGTATTCTGTGAATACAACTCAGTTTTCTACCACACTTACTTTTTTTATAACACTGTATTATTGACTCATACCTAATTTATTACCCACTGCTTATAACCACTAGATCTTTCCCTGTGGTAACATTCCCAGTTTGGCATTCCCTTATTCTATATTTGTGCATTTGATTTTTCCTTCCTCCGTGAGCCACATTACCTGACTTCACTGAATATCATTTTATTTTTATCCCAATTCTCCAATTAACAGCAACAAAAGTCATAATATATGTTAATCTTCTGTTCTAAAACTAAAAGGTACAGAATCAGCATTTATGGTACATTATATGTATCTCTGGAAACCAAGGTAGTTGTATTGCATGAAAAATGCTCATTATTCTCTCTTACCCTTCAGGAGCAAGCTTTCATGTTCTTCACTTAACAATTATATGTTTTAATTACACGAGCAATTTCGATGAAGAAAAAAATTTTAAGTAAAGTTAAGCAAAACAAAACAAAACAAAACAAAACCCACCCAACTGCTATTAGTATCTTCTTTTCCTTCCTCCCATCTTCCTCTCTTCCTTTCTTCCTTCTTTCCTTCCTTCCATTTTTGTTTTCTACCTACCTACCTGAAGTGGTAATAAAAATGGACTTATAGTATACATAACTTTGCAAGCTGTTTTTTACCTCATACTATTTTTGAAAATCTCTTCATGTTAATAAGCTGACTTTTTTAAGCACTTTCTAAACAATGACACAGTAGGTATATAGCATCATCATCATAGGTAGCTGGAAAATGTAAAGATGAAGGGCCAGACTATGAACGTGGGATTGGTAGCAAAACGACTACTTTTTTTAGAAGTCAAAAATTATATTTTCAATATTACTTATGTGGAAAAAGAAAACAACACTGATTCTCAGACACTGAACTGCCCCCCAAAACTGGGTTTTAGCCGTTATTAAACCTAGTCCTTTTTGAGAAGTGCCAAGGACAAGATTCTGCTTGCCAAACAAGGCATCTTAGACACTCTGGAAGGCAGAATTCTAGGATGGACCCCAAGAATCCCACCCCCTATTGTACATGTTCTATATAATCTCCTCCCCTTGACTGTGACTGGAACTTCTTAATAGATGTGCTATTACTCCTGTGATTAGGCTACACTCTATAGCAAAGGTAAAGAGATTCTGCAGAGGTGCTTATTAAAGTCCCTAGGAAATTGACTCGGAGTTAGTCAAAAGAGGGATTATCCTGGATGGGCCTGACCTACTCATATGAGACTTTTGAAGTGCATTCAGGCCTCCTCTGAAGGGAGAGATTTGAAGCCAGAGAGATGCTCACCTACTGACTTTGAAGAAGCAAACAGCCATGTTGTAAACTGCCTATAGAGACAGCCACATGGCAAGGATTTGAGAGCAGCCTCAGGTTGTTGAAAGTGGTCTCTGGCTAATTGCCAACAAGAAAAAGGAGTCCTTAGTCCGACCAGAACAAGAAATTTAATTCTGCCAATGACCATGAGCTGGGAAGAGAACCCTCAGTTTCAGAAGCAATACAACCAGCAAACAGCTAGATTGCAGCTACATGAGATCTTAAGCAGGGCATCCAGCTAAACCGTGCTTGGACTCCTGACAACAGCCCCTGAGAAATATGTTTGTATTGTTTTAAGCCACCAAATTTGTGGTAATTTGTTATGCAGCATGGAACACTAATGCAGAGCATGCCATTACTATTTGATGGACAAAAGGAGAGAATACATTAGAATGGGAAGGCATATTTACGTGAATGCTTTTGTTATATTCTTCGATATAGCAAAAAACAAAATGAAGAACTTAAAAATTAAGGACCTTGGTATAAATCAGTACTGCCAGGTTGTGAATATCCACTAGCTCATCCCCATTATTCAACAAAGGCTCCAGAATATAATTTGGGGGAACTTTTTTGTAGCAGTCTCTCTTCTTACTTGAGGTAGAGAATGGATAAGCAAGTTAAATCTCTACAGCAGTGATTTCTAACATTTTAGATAAAATTTTCTTTTAAAAGTCTGTTTAAAAAGGTAGACTTCTTTTACCATAGATGTGTACATATGCAAATAAGCACAATATTTCCAATGTATTTGAGGAGACTCATTAAATCCTCCCAAAACTCATTCATAGACCACTTCAGGTCTTCGCGTCCAGGTTAAAAATTCAGCTCTAGTATAAAAATCACAGAGCCACTAGAATCTAAGTTTGAAATTGCCTATATGTGAATGATCTTTAGAGACCCAAAGATACCCCCTGAGTATGAGGTAGAGGCCACCTGTCCTTTTTGTCAGGGCCCACTAGACCCATCAATAAATCCAGACTACATCCTACAACACCCCTTGGAAACATGCTATAGCAATTCTGGAAGAAATAAAAAAAGTGCTACCACAGTAGGAAGGGAGAGGGAAATAAATGATAACAAAAAGTGGCATCCAATTAAGCCAGTACAAGTTTCAGCTGATGTTCCTGATAATAAAATAAAATCAAGAACGAAAGTCTAAATAGCCACACAGAAAATTGCTTTGTAGGATACCGCAAATGTGAAATATTACAATATGTACTGTATTCTCACTGTTGGTAAAGAAGATATAATTTTCTTCCACTTTTGATCACATTACAGGGACCTCTATAATGTATTGACTTATACTATCACATCACAAATACAGAGGTTAATCACTTTCTTCTCCCCACAATTTCTCAAAGCCAACAGAATAGAAACATCGGCCCTGGGGCAAGGATTAGGCACATAATATACTCCTTTCTCTCTGTTTTCAATATTATGCATTATGCATTACAGGGGGAGTCTGGAAACCACTGGCCCATGTGCATCTATTGGCTAGAGTTAAGACATTAAGGGAGATATTTCCATGCGGCCTTCTCTTCTCCCTTGTAGTGAAGTTTCCAACAGGTGCATCCTCTTCCTCATCTTGCAGTAAGTTTATTGGGACAGACTTTTTCCCTGCACAGGGTTCACCTTCAGTTTGAGTTAGATGATTTCTACTCTGAGGGAAAGTATCAGGGATCCCATGTGCTACCGATCCAAGATGCATCTTCAATCCAGTTTTATTAGTAATAATGCTTATATGTGCTTATATTTATATTCCTGATGCTATGCCTACTTTGAATTGGTGCCAAATGCAGAGGAAAAAGAAAGCAAATAACAATTTATGAAGATATGCCATTAATATATTTTTTGTTTTGAAATACTATCTCATTTTTTTCCTCTCTTGGTAATGGAAATCTCTAATGGATGTAATTCACATTATATATATTGATAGGATTGCTTGGAGAAAATTGCTTTGAAGTACCAGCTAGTAGGAACTAAATGCAGTCTCATACTACAAACACCAGGCAGAAAGTCTGTGTGAGGTGCTCAGTCCAAAGTCCCTGTAGAGCCAAGTAAGAACAAGAACTCAACATCAAGCCAGCTTTAGAGTGTGCTGATAAATTTGGCCCTCAGATTTCTGTCCATCTAGGTTATTGGGACAAGGCAAAGTCTGACAGGACATTTAATCAGGTACATAGATTTCACTGATAAAAATTCATTAGTTAGCATTATAATATGTTTTTTAGAAACTGAATAAACAACAGAGTGAACAAGTAATAGAGAAATAGTGTTTTGAAACATCAAGACAGAAGGGTAATAAGAACAAATAGTAATGTCCAGACAAGTTAAGAGTCAGTTATAACCAGGGGAAAATATTTGCAAATTATATATCTGATTAAAAAAAAACTTGCACTCAGGTTTATAAAGAACTCTTACAATGGGAAAATAAGAAGGAAAATGACCCAGTTTTTTTTAAATAGGCAAATATTTGAATAGACATTCACCAAAGGAAATAAAAGAATGGCAAATGAGCCCATGAAAAAATGTTCAATAGCATTAATCATTAGGGAAATGCAAATTAAAACCCCAGAGAGATACCACCTCATACCCACAAGATGGCTATAATTAAAAAGACAAATAATAACTAGTGTTGACAAGGATGTGAAGAAACTGCAACCCATAAACCTCACACTTTGCTGGTAGGAATCTAAAATGGTGCGCCCACTTTGGATTACAGTTTGGCAGTTTCTTAAAAATTTAAACATACACTTATAAAACCAATAAGAAATTACACTTCTGGGTATCTACTCAAGAGAAATAAAATCCACAACAAAGACTTGCACACGAATATTCATAGCAGCATAATTCACAATAGCCCCAAACTAGAAGTTACCCAAATGACCATCAACTGGTGAGTGGATTAACAAAATATACCCACAGAATGGAATATTAGTAGGCGATAAAAAGCAACAAAGTACATATACATACTACAACATGAAAGACTCTCAATAAATTTTGCTAAGTGAAAAAAAGCAGCTGTAAAACACCACATATTGTACAATTTTGTTTATACAAAAGATACAGAAAAGGCAAATGTATGGAGACAGAAAGTAGGTTAGTGGTTCCCTGGGGTTAGGGGTGGGAAAGAGGAGGGACTACAAATGGGTGCAAAGGGTTTTTTGGAGTGAAAGAAATGTTTTAAAATTGGATTAAAGTGATGGTTGCACAACTTTGTAAATATACTAAACTTGTACAACTTTGTAATATATACTAAAAGTCATGATTGTACACTTAAAAATGGATTAATTATATGACATGAATATAAGATATTGATAAGCTGCTTTTGAAAAAAAACACCAAACCAAAAAAAAAAGAAGTCATGAATTGGACAGCAATCAATAACTGTTAATGAAAGAAACTGAATAGAACCATACTTTTGAAGGTCAGTATGGCAATGTCTATAAAGACGTTAAATGTACATACCTTTGGCCCTCTAATATTTTAGGAATTTGTTTTACACTTATATACTCATACAAATGCACAAAAATAGATGGACAAGCCCCTTCCTTGAAATATTGTTTGAAATTTTTTAAAAGCCCAAAACGTTCTATGTATCTATTATTAGGCTGATAGTTACATAAATTATATACATAAAATTAAATACTGTGTAGAGCTTTTTAAGGAATAAGATAGCTATTTAGGTTTAATTGTGTCTAAGATATATTGTTACATGGAAAAAAACCCTATATACCATACATGCTATGTTTCCCACTGGTATAAATGTGTTTGTATATGCACAGAATATACAAAGGATATACCCAAGCATTGTCTCTGAAGCACAGGACAAGGGGAGAAGGGACTAAAAACCATTACTTTTATTATTATTATTATTATTTCTAAAGACAGGATCTCCCTCTGTTGCCCAGGCTGGAGTGCAGTGGCATGATCACGGCTCACTGCAGCCTCAACCGCCCCGGCTTGTGCAATTCTCCCACCCCAGCCTCTCCAGTAGCTGGGACTACAGATGTGGGCAACCACTCTTGGCTAATTTTTTTGATTTTTAGTAGAGATGAGGTCTTGCTATGTTACCCAGGCTGTCCTCAAACTCAGCCCAAGCAATCCTCCCACCTCAGCCTCACAAAATGCTGGGATTACAGGCATGAGCCACCAAGCCCAGCTTACTTTTAAGTTACGTATGCTTTTCTACTATTTTAACTTCTCTATCTATCTATCTATCATCTATCTATCTATCTATCTATCTATCTATCTATCTATCTATCTACACATATACATATACATAACCTCTATAAAAATAAATTTAAATAAATTATTAATAGAACACTAAAGAAAAAGCAAGGTAAATAAATAAAGGAATTAGATGGTCACCACTGGGGAATGAACCATTAAGTATACTGAACCTTTCTGATATAGCAAAAACAAGTCCTGCACTATAATTAACTTACCATTTTGCAAAAAGATTGTACCAGTAGCTTTTGCATTAGTGCAGTGAGGGAAATATAGCTCTTACAAGTTTCAGTATAGACCAGTCTGACCAATATGGTGAAACCCTACTAAACTCTACTAAAAATACAAAAATTAGCCAGGCGTGGTGACGTGTACCTGTAGTCCCAGCTACTTGGGAGGCTGAGACAGGAGAATTGCTTGAACCTGGGAGGCGGAGGTTGCAGTGAGCCGAGATTGCGCCACTGCACTCCAGCCTGGGCGACAGAGTGAGACTCCATCTCAAAAAAAAAAGAAAAAAAGAAAAAGTTTCCATATATAGTGTGTGGTATTATACATGAGATTAAAACTGGCCAATTACTAGATAGCTCAATGAAGATTATGCTCTTAGAGGAATCATGGGCAATTTCCCATGTGCTATTGATGGCAGCAATCTGTTCAGTATTGAACTACTTTTCTTTGATGGAGGGGGTATAAAAAGATACTTTGCTGTAAGTATGTAACAGCAGGGTAGTAATAGTAATAGCTCCCATTTATTGTGTGTCTACTTTGTGCTGGCTACTTTACATACACACTTTATCTCTAATTCTTTGCTTCATTTAAGGAAACAGGCTCAGGGAATTAAACTCCTTACAAAAAGATCCACTGTGCTAATAGAGCCAGGTCTCCTTGATGTCAAAGCTGGCACTTTTCCACCAAGTGTTACAGTATTATAGAGTACAGTAGAGAGATACTCTTTCATGATTTGAACAACCACATATTTTTACATCAAATTTTTACCTGTTCGTCTACTTCTTGAAAACTGTCAACATCAGTACCATTTGTTTCAAACTTTCCACATGTGCCACTAAGAGATGAGCTGCTATCACCAATGCTGCTTTCTGAGGTGCCTGTGACACTGTCACTAGCTGGCCGTGAAGACACGAAGAGGCTGATGTTCTCAAAATCATCGTCACAGAACCTGTTCTCAGCATCCACTTTCTGCATTTTTGCTGGATTGTAGGGTTTTAGGAAGGAGGAATAAACATATCCTTTCACATCTGGATAGGAAATAAAAAGAAAGAAGAACCAAGTTCATGGGTATACTCTTCCCAAACATGTGCCCTCAGAAAAATCTCAGTTTAAAGAAGAGTGGTAGTTCTGGGGAAAAACTTACTTCCTGTGTCCACAAGCCACCTGCTTGTACTCCCCAGTGGATCTTTCTGTTCTATCACAGCCACCAAGTCTCCTTCCAGAAGATTGATGTCATATTCTTGTGTAGCATTGCACTTGCGCTTAGCTTGATAGAGTTCCTCTGCACTATATGTGGATAGAAGTTTGGAGCGATGAATGTCAGTTTGATGTGGCATTTCTGGCTGGGAGAAATAAGGAGAAGTTTTGGTTTAGACAGATACATAATAAAATCCTCATGGAGTTGGTAAATATTTTTTCCCTGGAGATTTTTAAAACGTAGGAGTCATATATTTTTAGAGGATTATTTCAAGGTGCAGGCATAGAGCAGGCTATTATCGTAAAGTACCCAGCTGAGTTATTCAGGGAAAAATGTTTCTAGTAAGCACAGGAGGGCAGTGTTGTAGAGAAGAAAAAACAAGAATAAGAAGGCAGAGGTTCTAATCCCTCTTGGATGTTGCACAACCATTTTAAACTCTTTGCCATTCTGCAGACAACCCGTTGCATATTAAGTATTCAGCTAAGTAAATTGTACATGTACATGTCTTTATCTGGGAAATATCATCAGCAAATTAGACAAGAATCAAGACGCTTATACTCCCCCCCTCAGCTCGGGCCCTAAGAGACTTTGAGAAACCCACTTATCTCTGGGGCCTGGTATGCCTTATGTAGAAAAGGAAATGTCTGGACTATATGATTTATCTTTATAAAATCTTATTCAACAAATATTTATTGAGTGCCTCCTACCTTGTGACAAGCACCATTTTAGTCATTTTAGGCACTTTGGGGATACGCCATGTACAAAGTAGAAAAAAAATCCATGATCTTATGGAGCTTATGGTATATAGGATAGAAATGTACAAGAAATTCTACACATATGTAAATTATAGGATATTAGAATGAGATAAGTGATCTGGAAAATAATATGATACTACAACTTGGATAAGGCAAAGAGGTGAAAGTTATCATTGTCATGAATGCTGCCAAACTCACCAGAATCTGCACAGGTTTCTTCTTTTCAAAACTGAGTTTCCTCTCAATAAAGGTGGCACTGTTTTCTTTCACACAATTCAAATTTTGGATCTCTTCTAGTACTTGATTCTGAATCTCAGAAATGCTTGAAACCAACAGTGGCATCTATAGGTAGAAATAATATGGCATTGTTTCCAGACACCTAGATAATCATATCAGGTGTTAAATGTATTGAGTTGTGATGAACAGTTGAGGAGGTATATGGTAGCTCCATTGTGAAAAGTTAGGGCAACTTTAGAACTTCTAGATAAATATGGTCTAATTTATTGTCTCTAGAAACCCCACAAACATGATAGGAATTTTTTTTTAAGTTTCAAGCCAAATGAAAGAACAGAAGAGAAAAAATAGCAATGAAGTCTTGGAAAAAAAGCTCAGGAGCTCATGGCAGTAGGTACCTCCCTTGTGGTGGGGTAGGATGGTGGCAAGGGAAAGCAGCTAAAAGAAGGAGCACTGATTAAGAGCCTGTGCTGGTTTTCAAACAAATTCTTCAACATTGCTTCCTACAAAGAAATGGAGTTTACATCCCTACCCCTCAAAAACTGGGTAAGTCTGGCATAGTGGCTCATGCCTGTAATCACAGCCAATAGGGAGGCTGAGGTAAGAAGACTGCTTGTGCCCAAGAATTTGAGACCAGCCTGGGCAATGTAGCAAGACCTTGTCTCTTAAAAATTTTTAAATCTTAGCCAGGCATGGTAGTACATGCCTGTAGTTCAGCTAATCAGGAAGCTGAGGCCAGAAGATCACTCGAGCCCTGGAGTTCAAGACCAGCCTGGGCAACTAGTCACTACTAAAAAAAAAATTTTTTTTTTCAGGCTGGAGTGCAGAGGCACGATTTTGGCTCACTGCAACCTCCGACTCCCTGGTTCAAGTGATTCTCCTGCCTCAGCCTCCCGAGTAGCTGGGATTATAGCCACGCATCACCACGCCCAGCTAATTATTTTTTGTATTTTTAGTAGAGACGGGGTTTCACCATGTTGGCCAGGATGGTGTCCATCTCCTGATCTCATGATCCGCCCGCCTCGGCCTCCCAAAGTGCTGGGATCACAGGCATAAGTGACCGCACCTGGCCTGCTACTAAAAATTACAAAATAATAATAATAATAATTAATAAATAAAATTAGCCCAGTGAGGTGGTGTGTGCCTGTAATCCCAGCTACTCTGGAGGCTGAGGCAGGAGGACTGCTTGGACCTGGGAAGTTGAGGCTGCAGTGAGCTCTGTGATCACACCATGACACTCCAGCCTGGGTGACAGAGTGAGATCCTGTCTCAACAACAACAACAGCAACAACAAAACAGCTTTCTTGCTCTCTGGCTTCCAAATGGATTCAATCAATCCATCATTAAGGAGCACCTGTAGGAAATTAGAATGGGGGAAGAAAATGAGATAAGGATATTTATTTCCTAATTTTGCTTTCAGTAGTATTGACAGAAATACACAGCTCCTATCAAGTCACCCTCTCCACACACCTCTCTCTCTACACATTGCTATGACTGCTCCCTCCCCATATTTCTTTGAACCTAGATGTTGTTGTACCCCAAACCCCTATGCCTGCCCAGGGCAAGGCACTATTTCTAAAGGTTTTCCTGTGCCATACTCACATTTTTGTAAATAGTTATTAAAGTTTTCTCCAAATGCCTAACTTGAATGCATTATGTTTTTCCTACTGGAATCATGACTAATACACAAATCACATACTTTACACGCTTAATGTGAACTCAACCAAATCTATGCTATAACTGTATTGAAGGGGGTATAGAAAGAGTGTGTCTGACTATAGCAAATGTAGGGGTATAGAGAGAAGAGAGAGCTAAATCCTCATTTTTCGTAGTGGAATGTATTATACCTAAAGTGTATTAATAATGAAATGACAACACAAGAGTCTTATTTTTAAATATGAAGGTAAATACCAAGAGAATCATCTAAAAGAGTTGGAAAGTAGTTACCACTGAGGCGGGAGAAATGGAATAAAGGGAGCGAAGGACAAATGTTTTTCGTCATCAAACCTGAATAACTACTTGAATCTTTATGTGTATGTATAACTCTAATAAAAATGAAAATTAAAAATAGAGCTTTGAATTCTTCAAAAAGATAGAGTTACCATATGATTCAGCAATCCCACTTGTGGGTATATATCCAAAATAATTGAGAGCAGGATCTTGAAGAGATATTTGCACACCTATGGTCATTGCAGCATTATTCACAATAGCCAAGAGATAGACACAACCCAAATGATCATTGACATATGAGTAAATAAACAAAATGTGCTTTAGGGTTTTTTTTTGTTTTGTTTTGTTTGTTTTTTTTTTTTTTGAGACGGAGTTTCACTCTTGTTACCCAGGCTGGAGTGCAATAGTGCAATCTCAGCTCACTGCAACCTCCGCCTCCCAGATTCAGGTGATCCTCCAGCCTCAGCCTCCCGAGTAGCTGGGATTACAGGCATGTGCCACCACACCTGGCAAGTTTTTGTATTTTTAGTAGAGACAAGGTTTCGCCATGTTGGCTAGGCTGGTCTTGAACTCTCGGCCTCAAGTGATCCGCCTGCCTCAGCCTCCCAAAGTGCTGGGATTACAGGCGTGAGCCACCACATCCAGCCCAAAATGTGTTTTTTATATATAATGAAATATTCACAGTTAAAAATGAAAGAAATCCTATCACATGCTACAACACGAATGAATCTTGAGGACATTATATTAAGCAAAATAAGGCAGTCACAGAGACAAACACTGTATGATTCCATTTACATGAGGTATTTAAAGTAGTCAAATTTGTAGAAACAGAAAATAGAATGATGGTTGCAGGGACTTGGGGGAGGGGAGTATGGGGACTTGTTTAATGAGTATAGTTTCAGTTTTGCAAGATGAAAATGTTTTGGAGAGCTATTACACAACAATATAAGTATACTTAACACTACTGAAATGTACACTTAAAAATTCTTATAATGGTAAATTGTGGTTTTTTATACAATTAAAAATTTAAAAATTATTTACATTATTATTCTCATTTTAATTCATATGAGAAAATTTAAACAGAAGGATACATTAATTTACACAATGTAGTATAGCAGTGAGCAGGTATTAAAACAAGGTACTCTAGTGTTCTCTAATCACTATTCAATTCTGCCTTTCAGAAATACATGTAGTTATGCAAGATGTGTTACCATTGGGTAAGCTGTGTGAGGGTTGTACAGGATCTCCGTAATACTTCTTACCACTGCATATGAATCTCTAAGTATCACAAAATAAAAAGTTTAAATATACAGAACATATAAAATAAAGAATAAAATCATTTTAATGAGGATAACTTCTCCAAAATGCCTTTTACTTTAAGACACTAGAAATTTCTCAAAAACAAAGCATCTCTATGCTCTTGTTTGGCTATGGACTGCAATGTGAAAGATACTCAGATAATTTAAAATAGAAACTGAAAATGCCTTTAAAAATCACATGATTCAAAGTGGGGATCAAAGATACCTAAAATAACATGTCTTTTCTGACTAGTAAATTCCTGCCAAAGCTCAACTTTGTTCTGAACTTATGAACCCACCTTCTACCATGACCTCAGAATGAAATTATCGAAATAATTTGCAAATTAAATGTGTTTCATTGAGAAAGCAGTAACAAGAGATTATTTTTAAATAAATAGTGTTGGAGCAACTGGAAAGTCATTTGGAAAAAGATAAAATTAAATCCATATTTTACAACATGAACCAGGATAAAATCTACATGGATTGATTATTTAAATAAAAAAATATGAAACCCTAAATATACTAGAAGAAACACTGCTGAATTTATTTGGAGCCTTAAAATATGGAAGTCCTTTATAAGATTCAAAATCTAGAAGTCATAAAATGAAATTAATAAATCTGACTGCATTTTTTAAAAACACAAACATTAGCATGAAAAAAAATCACAAGTGAAGTCAAAGACAAAGGTTAACTTGGAAAAAGTAGTCTCAATTTTTATCTCAACAAAAGGCTCATCTCCCTAGCATATACATTGCTGCTAGAAATTAAGGAGAAAAATACCAAGAACCCAAAGAAAAAGGAGTAAAACACATGAACAACTAACTCACAGGAAGATAAATAGCCCTCATATGTGAAGACTCTCAATCTCACTAATACTTAAAGAAATGCAAATTAAAATTACACTTGAAACCTATTAGATTGGCAAAAATCCAGAGAAACCAGCTTTCTTACATGTTACAAGTGGGAATCCAAAATGGTACATAGTTAAGCAGGGAATCTGGCAATATCCAGCAAAATTACATACGTCTTTACCCTTTGACACAGAGATCCCACTTCTATCATTTCTATAAATCTGTCCTACAGATACATCTGTCCACGTATCATGACCCCGGCATTATTTGTAATAAAAAAACGTTGGAAATAGATCAAATACTCATCAATAGGGACAGGTTAATACACAAAAGAATACATATTGTATGATTCCATTTATATGAAGTACAAAACAGGTCAAACAATGTATGGTAATACAGGTTAGAAAAATGGTTACCTTTAGGTGCCTGGGAATGGTCATGAGTGATCTTTATGGGGAACTGGAAAGGGATTATATCTTGATCTGGGTGGTAGTTACACAGATGTGTATATGCAAATATTGATTGAGATGTGCAGTTCAGACTGGTGCAGTTTAATGTATAGAAGTTATTACTTCAATTTAATGAGTTTTAAAACAGTGCTGATCAGGGAAATACAAATAAAAACCACAATGAGATACCACTGCACACCCATTAGGATAGCTATAACAATAATAATAATAATAATAATAATAATAATAATAATAATAATAAAGAGGTGTGGAGAAATTGAAACTCTCAGTCGATACTGCTGAGAAGATAAAATAGTGCAGCCACTTTGGAAAACAGTCTGGTTGTTTTTCAAAAGGTTAAACATAGAGTTAACATATGATCCAGAAATTCCACTCCTAGGTATATAATCAACAGAAATGGGAACATATATCCACTAAAAACTTGAATGTTTACAGAAGCATTACTAATAACAGCCAAAAAATGGAAATAACCCAAATGCCCGTCAACTGACGAATGAATAAGTAAAGTGTGGTATATTCATACAATGGAATGTTATTTGGCGATAAAATGAATGAAATAATGAAACATGCTAGGCATGAAGAAACCCTGAAATGTTATGCTAAATAGAAGAAGCCAGTCACAAATAACCATGTACTGTATGATTTCATTTATACAAAATGCCCAGAATAGGAAAATCTGTACAGGCAGAAAGTAAATTGATAGTTGCCTAGAGCTGGGGAGGTTAGGAAAAAATGTGGATGGGTACAGGGTTCCTTTAGGGGGCCACGACAATGTTCTAAAATTGGTTGTGGCAATGGCTGCACAACTCTTGTGAATATACTAAAAATAATCAAATTGTATACTTTAAATAGGTGGAATGTATGGTATACAAATTATATCACAATAAAGTTATTTTAAAAAAAGGGAATGGTTATACATTATTATACAGCCATGCAGTAAGTTACTATAAAGCTGTAAAAAGAATTAGGAAGCTCAGGCTGGGCGCAGTGGCTCATGCCTATAATCCCAGCACTTTGGAAGGCCGAGGCGAGTGGATCACCTGAGGTCAGAAGTTCGAGACCAGCCTGACCAAAATGGAGAAACCCCGTCTCTACTAAAAACACAAAAATTAGCTGGGCTTGATGGCACATGCCTGTAATCCCAGCTACTTAGGAGGCTGAGGCAGGAAAATCGCTTGAACCCGGAAGGTGGAGGTTGCAGTGAGCCGAGATTGGGCCTTTGCACTCCAACCTGGGCAACAAAAGTGAAACTCCATCCCCCCCCACCAAAAAAAAAAAAAAGAATGAGGAAGCTCTTTATGTACTATTATAGATGCATTCTCAGAATATATTGTTAAAGAGCAAGTGCAGAATGGTATATATAATATGCTGTTTTTTACTTTTAAGAAATAAAAATATATACTTGCATTTATTGTTACTGGCATGAGAAAGCACTAAATGCATAAAAATAAACTAACAAAAATGGGGATGAGAGTGGCGAATGGGATGCTAGAGGAACAGGTATGAGTGTGAGACTGATTATACATTTACACAGTTTTGGCTTTTGAACCCTGTAAACATAGCCCTCGTTTATTCAATTTAATTTAATTCAAAGTATAAGTTAAAAGTTAATTAATGCACAATAGAAAATAAAGTAGGGACAATTATTTCTGCTCCAGGTGTTACCCATTGAATAGCTGTCCATCTCATTCAGATGAGAACTAGTGTAGTTGAAACGTAGGGCCAAGAAACCAAGCTAATTTTTCAAAAGTTGATATAAGTTGTAAATATCTTTCTTCCTCATCAGGAAAATAATTATAAAATTATATCCTAATGGGAGGCGAAGCTACACACACACACACACACACACACACACACACACACACAAAACCAGGCTTCTCTTTCTTGGGGAAAAATGAAATCAAAACAAAGCATGGTTTGAATGTTATCCTGCATCTTTCATTATGCTGAGATGGCCTTCTTTTTAGAGCCACATCTTAAATAGTCACAGTTAACATCTAAGAACTATTGATCAGAAAAAAATACAAAATATAAATTGTTGATAAGCTTCAATGTTGCATCAGGCAGGTGGAGCAAGGCTGAAAGGTGTTTGGTATTTGAAAAGGCATCTCCAAAAAAGAATTACAAATGTGTAAGTCACAGTAAACCTGAACTAGGAAACCCTCTTTGAGTTTCCCATGGATAAGACAGATAAGGAACAGGAGACTATCTGACTGGATTTAGTTAAAATAAATACACACACACCACACGGCATACATGTGCACACTCTGAACAGGGCTTTCGTATGGGTGTGGTTTCTAGCAGATCCAGTAGGCCAAGGTAGCTAGCTAGGTGTTGGTGCTGTGCTTACCGGCACAAGTGTGGAGTAAGCCTGCTGTGCCACGAGCATCAGGTCCCTAAGGAGGGTAATGAAGCTGCATAGACAGTTCAACAGAATCTTCCGAGCAGCCTGGTTGAATGCCTGGAGCTCCTCCACAAGCTGGGCGTTGAGGGCCTCATACTCCTTTTTGGCCAAGTCTGACTCCTCTCCCGTTGATCGCTGCAGGTAGCTGTTGCAATCCAGCAGTTTGTCATAGCGTTTCTGGATGAGCTTGTGAGGCCCTGGGAATAAGGACAGCAGGGCTGACAAGGGGGTCAGGATGAGTCTCTGTAAGTGAGATGCCTGCCAAAAGAAAAAATGAGCCCATTTCAGAGAGAGGATCAGCCCATACCTTGTCCAGTTCTGCTATCCATAGGTTTACCTTTTCCCCCACGAGAAGCACAAAAGAAAACAGGAAAGCACCTACCCAGATTAAAAGAGGATCTGATCATTTTGTGTCTGGCTAAACCTATTCAAAGACTTAAAACAGGAGCTCTAGGTTGTAACATTGAACCTAAAAAGTGAGCAGGAAGAGGAATACAAAAGTTAAAGCCTGCTCACCCAAAATATAACTCCACTTTTTTCTCTACAGTCTTTGGTTTTGTCATTGTCATCTCCTTCAACACTTTCTCATTCCCCTCCTTTCTCATCCCAGAGCCAGCACTTGAGGGTAGGGGGGAATCTCTAGCCTTTGACTACCAAGACTGTGTAAAAGATTCACCATATCGCTCCCACCTTCTGCTGGCAGCAAAAGGAATATAGTTCATCCCATAGGAGACTGTACCCTATTCTTCCCATATCAGCCCCAAATCCCTGGCTACCCTGGAGGCTTATGTTTGATAGTGGAATTATATCCCCTATACAGATAGTAACCCCTTAATAAAGGTATTTTAATCTTGAAACAGAAATGACCACAGAGTTGTAACTTGTTTTATTTTTAATTAATTAATTAATTTTGAGACAGGGTCTCACTCTGTCGCCCAGGCTGGAGTGCAGTGGCACTTTCTCAGCTCACTGCAGCCTCTGCTCAAGCCATCCTCCCACCTCAGCCTCCCGAATAGCTAGGACTACAGGAATGTATCACCACGCTTGGCTAATTTTTAAAATTTTTGGTAGAGATACGGTCTCACTCTATTGCCCAAGATGGTCTTGAGCACTTAGGCTCAAGCAATCCTCTCACCTTGGCCTACACATTCTGTTTTAAATACATTAAAGGATTAAGCTGATGCTGTTTCTGTGTCTTAAATTGTTTACACTTTTTGGCCTGAGTCATTGAAAATGAACTTCATAGAACTGCCCAACTTCATGACATAACCTGATCATCCTAGATTTAATTTCTTCTATTTCTCTTCTGTTTTACATTTGCTGACTGCCCTACTTTACCCTTTATCATATATGCTTATATGATATTTTATGATAATTTGGAAGTAGGTTTCTCTTTTGTAACCCGAAAGCTATCCTAGGGAATCAGTATCTGAGCAGCAGCTTGTATTAATTAACTTAAATGGCCCCTGGTAAGTTGGTCTGAACTCATGGGAAATCTAGGGGAGAGGGAAACCAATCTCTTATTGGCACCAGCAATAGCCAACACAAATTAAATTTGATGTCTAGCTTATGAGATAGTCAATATACACCTAGAGACTGTTTAATGAGTCCCTTGATAAACAAAGAATCTATTTACTGTATCTGGGATAAATTACTATGTTTGTGACTTGACTGGATTCTACAGGTAATCTAATTACAGTATTATATATATATATATATCCAGTGACTCACAGACACAAAATGATTCACCTTTACTTAGGAATTGTTGTTAGAACAAATAAGAATTAGACTTTATTATTTTGTCCTAAAAAAGTGTAGATATGTATTACTCATGGTTAGATAAGAATAACTGCTCTGCCTTTAGACAGATTTTGAGTTCTTAATATTTGATTTTTAAAAAGAGTTCTATATATGTTATCCATAAAAGTTACTTTTATATTGAGCCTTCTCACAATTTTTTTAACTTAGCCTAATTAATCATCTTGTGGTTTTATGCAAGGTATGCAGGACACTTCTGGCTTCTTTCCATCAAAGTCTGGAGCATGCTTGCTGAGGGAGAAGCTACATATCACACTTTCAGGTGGTACTCAATAAATATATATTAACTTAATGTATTGGAACTAAGCTAAAGAGCAAACCTTTAAAGACTTCTAGAATGTGTGCTCTCTATAATTAAATGCAGAAAATACATAAAGAACTAGCCACACCTTTTCCATTAAACATATACTGTAAAAACTATCTATCTATCTATCTATCTATCATCTATCTATCTATCTATCTATCATCTATCTATCTCATCATCACCATCATCTATCTGCCTGTACCTATCCATCCATCCATTCATCTGTCGTTGACCTGTTTCTCTATCATATTAGCTCAGATGTAAGCCTGACTTTCCATTCCCCAGTGCCAGAAAAGCAAAATGCTCCTGCCTGGTTTTTCTACTAGATCGGGGGCTGTATGACTTCCTAGGGTTTGGAATTATGTGAGGCTCTTCACTGGTTGTCACAACGTCTTGATGTGAGGGGATGTTACTGAGATTTTGAGCCTGGTGGGCCAAAAATGCTGAACATCCTCCACCAAAAGGCCACTCCATGAAGATTTGTCTTACCCAAAATGCCTATAATGCCAACACGAAAATGCCACTTTCAAGATGATCAGTCTATCTTCTCTATAATTCTTGAAATACTACTATGAAATAATAATACCTATAGAAACACAAGGCACTAAATTAAAATTAATATTACCCAGAGTAACTTACTACTAAAATGTGTTATTGGCTCAAGCATGTTTTTATGATTCCCAAGATATATTTTATAGAACTCTTACAAAATAAATGTTTTACCGTGGAACAAAATAAATAACATATGACTCTTAAATAAAAGTCTTTCTCAATAGGAAGTCTTTGCCTTCCAGTATATAGCATGTTAATAAGTGTCATATCCTCAGTGAGTACCTTTGCTCTTTCTGTAAGGACTCAAGGCATTTCCAGAGACTTGTTTAAGAAAAGCATAGCTCACTTGACCCCAGGAGTTTGAGACCAGCCTGGGCAACATGGTGAAACCCCGCCTCTACAAAAAATGCAAAAAATCTTCTAGGTGTGGTGGTGTGCCCCTTTAGTTCCAGCTACTCGAGAGGCTGAGGAGCGAGGATTGCTTAAGCCCAAGAGGCAGAGGTTTCAGTGAGCTGAGATTGTTCCACTGCACTCCAGCCTGGGCAACAGAGCCAGATCCTGTCCCAGAAAAAAGAAAAAAGAAAAAGAAAAGCAAAGCTTTCTAACTTAATAATTTCTTAATATTTCACATGCAGACTTAAACTAAATATTAATTTTAAAAGCTGCACTGACACTGGCTACCCCTAGAAACACAATCTGTGGTCCTCTTAAATTTCCATCATAGTAAAATCCTCACTAATCCACTTTAAAAATATTAAATGATTTAAAAAAATCCCATTTAAATCTACTAATTTTGACATTAATATTTGCTTTAGTGCATGTTTTATTTCTGACTCCAGAAAAACAAACAAAAAGCAGCTTTCCTTTCAACCTCACTATTTAATTTGCATTTATCTGTGAATATAAATAACTTACAAAGTCATGACACGAATTTAAGGCATTACTTAGGGTCTCAGAATAGTCCATCTCATCGTCTTTGTTGTATGAAATCTCCTGAAGGTCCATCACACTCTGCAGAGCCAGGGGCATGGCATCCTGAAACCCAAGAACAAAGTTACAAAAAAGGCAAGTTTTGAGGTCAGTATAATTAACATATCCCAAATGTGGACTTCATCAGCATAACCCTTAATTATCACTGAGAGGTTATTTAAAAAGGAACAACAAACATTTTATAAATGCTCTGTACAATCAGGTTGCTTGTAAGAATATATTTCCTTACATTTTCCTTATGTCTCTTTCTCATAGTACTCTGTATACGACCCTCTTTGATTAAACAGTCCATCTTAAATTCCCTCATTAGCTATTCTTTAGCTTGCAATTCTTACAAATTTCTTATTTTAAAAATCACTCCTCTTTGATTTAAATTCATCAGTTTTCCTTAGAAAATTTAATGCTCTCTTTAAGAGAAAATGCTTACATTTTTTGTTGAATCTATTAGTGGAAATAGAAGACTTTCCTGTAGATGTTCCCAAGAGACATTTACTCCTTGAAAGATACATAAAGGATGGGGTTCCCACTACTCTCTGGCTGTTATAACTGTTTTTGGTTTTCTTTTCACAGAAGGCAGCATTTTAGGAAGAAAATAGCAAACCGGATTGTAAAGTAGGCTTTGTATCAGATAATAAATAAGAACAGAATGGTACATGTACATGGAAACTTGTCTCCAAATCATTCTGATATTTTATCTAAGAGTGCAAACATCTGCTTCCAGAAACGGATATCTAAGATATCCAGGAGAAAAACTTCTGGAATATAGAAGGGGACAATTTAGTAACTGATTTACATGTAACACTACTAACTTTCTATGTGTCATGGTCATAGCCATTGTCAAGGTGGCATGAAGGACACTGTTTCCTCTTTATGAGATCGATTAGAAAAAACCTCTGACTGGTTTTTCTACCGAGCATAATCATACTGTACTCCAATTAGTTGGTTGAAATCAGTGATTCTCAAAGGGTCAGGACAACTTCTTATGGGATTGGAAATTTCTGGGAGTATTTCTGTTTTCTAACATAATCTCATGGGAGCATTTCCATATTGTAGTTAATAGGATTTTGTAGTTCAATTTATTTTCCTTTATATTGATTTTTATACTTATTTTAGGTACTAGAAAGAGATGTGTTAGTACAAACAAACAAATTTTCTGTCTCTTGCAATTTTGTGTTAATGAACTCATCTCTGTTGCAAAGAAAGCATGCTGATAGTCCATGAAGCAATCATCTGAGCAAAAAAGTCCCACAATATGACTATTTGGACTGGGGAGAGAGTGGAGCAGGTAAGAGGTCAAACAGCAAAACACCTCTATATATTGGCTTCCTTTACCAGCAGTTTGCAGCCTTCCAATTTTGATCCGGTGTCATAACATAAAGGAAGGAACAGTCACATTTACTCTTCAAAACAACCATGGAAATCAATGGTTTGTATCAGATGTTCCTGTAGAACACTGAAAACAGTTGTGTCTCACCTACCTGTATGTGTTGAAGACAGAGTGAAATGTTCTTCACACAAAGCCTCACAGTCTTTTCTAAAGCTCTAAACAGCTTTTCTTCTCTGTTAAAGGTATTGTCTTTAACCTAAAATATATATGAAATTATTTTCATAACTCAAATGAAACAGATATTTTTTAAAATAGCACAGACCATATTGGTCCAGCACATTACAAAAGAAAATTCTTTGATGATATGAAAACATTTGATGACATGCTGTCTGTCTTAACACATACTTTCTCTGTTGGTACATAACACAACTGATGCTCAGTTAGTGTAGTAAAGCCAAGTCCTATAACTCAAATTGCTGTTGTTAATTTCCACATAACTTCACCCATGTCACAGTAGATGTGGTATTGTAAAACTTTCTCTGTAGTTTTTAATGGCATATATTATGTATGTACGCAAACCATATTACATTTTTGGGTTTATAAAATAGCCACATTTGATCTATTGACTAGAACTTCTTGTTTTGTTCGTATGATTCATTCCAATTTATTTAACAGTGCTTATTTAGAAAATATTCTTAGATTCATGGTTAAATAAATGTGGCCTGTAATCCCAGCACTTTGGGAGGCCAAGGCGGGCGGATCACGAGGTCAGGAGTTCGAGTCCAGCCTGGCCAATATGGTGAAACCCCGTATCTACTAAACATACATAAAGTAGCCAGGCCTGGTGGTGTGCACCTGTAGTCCCAGATACTCAGGAGGCTGAGGCAGGAGAGTCGCTTGAACCCGGAAGACGGAGGGTGCAGTGAGCCAAGATCATGCCATTGCACTACAACCTGGGCAACAGAGCGAGACTCTGTCTCAAAAAAAAAAAAAAAAGAAATGTGAAAATTCTTTATCAACTCAAACTTGAAGGATAATATATAATCTTAGCAAAAATAGTCCTTCTGTTAAGATAACTCAGCAGACTTAAGATAGTGTCACATGTATTCAGTTTTTTTTGTCATCTTACATGTACATCCATTAGAATTCAGAAAGATATGCTTTTTATGCTGTGACAATTTCTAGGAGCACACATTTATTGCTGCTATTAATAGCAAGCAGTATTTCTTGGCTATCAAAATGGCTACAAAACAAGATCGGAACCAGCCTCATCCTGGCAAAATCTGTGTGAACGTGCAAATGCTTCATGGAATAGGGTATGTATTATTAAGCTTGGCACTGGGTGATAACCATAGCAGTGCTTGGTTCATCTGTTTTTAAATTTAAGAGGGTTGATATTAGAACTCAATGTATCAAAAATGGTGACATTTTATTTTATTTTTAAACTTCTTAATATTGTTTATCTACAAAGCTTTTGATTAAATAGGCAGCAGAGTTCTTTGGAATCCCCACAAAATCCAACATTCTGTGCCTTAGGGTTGCTATGCTCCAACTCAGTCTAGTGTGTATAACAATATGCTGGGGCAGATTTTTTTTTAAATGCAGTTTCCAAGGAGGCGTCACCAGATATTTTATTTTGTATATCATCTGGCTAGGACCCAGATGATTCCAAAGTAGAAGGTTCAAGAATCACACTGTGAGAAATATTGCCCAATTCTACTTTCCTATAAGCAAGACTTTTCCATGCTGTTTTCTTTTGCTGGAATATACTGCTGTTCGTTTCCTGCCTTGCAAAATCCTGTTTATTTTTAAGGACTAGTTCAAATGTCACCCATTCTATAAATCCTCCCTTTTCTCCTATTCTTCCCACTGTAGAAAATTAATTGCTCTCTCCTATGTGCTCTCATAACCCTGGTTAATGATTTAAGTGATTCTCTCCACTGATGGATTTCGGTTGTTTCAGATTAACTATTGTTGTTTTAATGAAAATAATAGCGAACATTTGTTAAACACTGACTGTGTTCCAGACACTGCCAAAACCTTTCTTCCATTTTCTCATTGTAATCCTTACACATATATAATGGAATTATGATTACTCCCATTTTAGAGATAAAGAAACAGAAGCTTCAGGAGGTATGGCAGAGATTGTTAACATTCCTCCTACTGTCCCTTTATTGATAGAATCCACACCTCTATTTCAAGTTGGACACTTGGCTGCCCTGCTAGAGACTACATTTCCCAAACTCCCTTGCAGCTGGCTCTGCCCTGGTAACCAGGTTTGTGCAAATAGGATGTGGATGAAGCCTTGTTTTCATGTCTGAGTCTTGGCCTTATAACATTTCTTTGGGACTTGAAAGAAGACATGGCAGGAATACAGCTTCAACCAGGCAAATGAAAACAATATGTTTAGAAAAATCACTAAGGGAACTGGGTTCCTGAAGGATCTTATGAAGCAGAGCTCATCTGGATTCACATCTCAGGACTCTTAAAACAGAGAGAGCGGCCAGGAGCAGTGGCACACGCTTGTAGTCTGCGCTACTTGAGAGGCTGAGGTGAAAGGATTGCTAGAGCCCAGGAGTTTGAGGCTGCAGCGAGCTATGATAATGGCACTACACTCTAGCCCAGCTTGGGCAACACAGCAAGACTCTGTCTCTAAAAAATTTAAAAAAAGAGAGAGAGAAATAAACAACTACCTGACTTAGCCTACTATGCCTTTGGAATCTCTTTGTGACAGATATGTTGTCTTTACCCTAGTTAATATGGGGAGTTAAAGAAACTTACCCACGGTATAGTAGGATCAGGATTCAACCCCAAGCAGTCTGAATTCAGAACCTATACCTGTTCATCTTTGTAGTCCCAATCTCTAACATGGTGCTGGGTACAAGAGAGTTCAATATATGTATGATGAATTGAATAGAATCTTCCTCTTCGGTAATAGCTTTATACCCTAACTCTACCAATATTTCACCTGAGCTGCTGACAAGTGCAAAATTGATTGATTTGAGATTTATCTCTTTTCCCGTCCAGCCTATGCAGCTGATTTTCTGATTAACAGTAAAATGCTTCATTGCTGACAGGACATCCTCTCAAAAGATTAAGGGGAAAAATCTAATTAATATCCCTTCAGGCTACTTTAACTACAATTCACTTTTAGTTCACAATTGAGAAATATAAGAAGTTGATGATAAATGTCTTAAAGAATATAACAGCTTATTCAAAAGCCAGCCCAGAATTAGAGGCTGCCTACTATTCCTCAATAGAATTGTCTTGAGTCAGAAGCAAAATCCCAAAGACTTGGGGGGGGAATTGTTTGCCCTACATTTACACATGCCTATCTCTATTATGGCTACAATCTCTTCTTAAATAAATTTCCAATTTGATTTTAATATGGTTGTCTTTAGTTGAAATGTCTTCATTGTCCTTTCTCAGATATGTGAGTATATCCCATAAATGTCCCCAACTTCTTACATTATAGTTCCACGTTGAGAAGAGGAACCTCTTACATGCAATGGACCCAGTTAGCCCCTAGAAGGATATTAAGGAGTAAATACAAAAATAATTCAAGCCTTGTGTTCTAAGAATGTACATGTTGGTAAATTTGGTACAGTCACAAGAAGAAACAAGAACATGACTTGGAAGGAAGAAGTTTATTATACTCACAGGTCCCAGAGAGAGGAGTCACCACATGCCACACAGGGCTAGAGGCAAAGCACCAGGTTTTGGTGCAGTGGCAGAAGATAGGAGTAAAGAGAAAGTCTAGACCAGAACCTCTGTTGGGATTTCCTTGCAAAAGGTGAGGCAGGGGCAGAGTAAAGAGTTTAGGACTGGCTATTTTAAATAACTCCAATGGGCTTTGGGATATAGGGGTAATCTCTAGTTGCTGGTACTGGGCCCTGAAATGATTTAGGGCAGGGGAGATATTGGCTTGGTGTGTAAGAATTAGATAAGGATGTGGTTAGAGCTATATACTCAAGATTGATTGGTTTGCATATGAAAGTTGTGTTCCAGCCATTTGCTATCCCTAAGAATTGGCTAGCCCTAGAAGGGCAGTCTGCTCAGCCAGAAAGGTATTTTAAAATGTCAAAACATTACAAAATACAGAAAGTAAAAAATACGATTAATACACCATGTATGAAGGACTTAACATCACATAGGAAGAAAAGTCTGCACATTCAAAGGTAAATAACCATACAAGGTGATGATATAAAATAATAATGATTAAATTTATGATAATAATGACAGCTAAAGTATATTGAGTGCTTACACACTATGTTAGGTGTTTTCTTGATGTATGCATCATCTCATTTAATCCTCACAACCATCCCATTTGTTAAGTACTAGGAGAATCCGAATTTACAGATGATTACATTGAATTTGTTATGTGCCCCCAAACAAACATTTACTAAGTGGCAGAGGTAGGGTTCAAACCCAGGTTTGGATAACTTCAAAGATGTTGTTCTTAATTTCTTCCCTGTGCTGACTCCTGCAAATATGAATAGTGTCAAGATTGAAATATAGAGTCAATATATTAACCCTTTCCAGAGGAAGAAGGGGCTGCTTTTACCTAAGTGGTTGGAAAGCTGCAAAGACTTAACGGAAGGAGAAAAGACCACAGCAGCTGCCAAAGCCATCTGAAACCAACATGAACCACCATACAGCTGCCTCTTGTTCAAACTAAAAATCTTAGAGATATTAATACATGAGTGATAAAAACAGGCAAATGAGAAGGAAAAAATAAGGACTAGATAGTATACTAAGAACTATCTTCCCTAATTTTGGTTAGAAGCCCACTATATTACCATCTCAGGACCATGAACTTTCTATCTTGTGATTCTCAAAGAATTGCAAGTGTGTTCTGTTGATAACTTACTTTAAAATCATTGGCTTCAAAATACCTAGAGTGTTTGCAAAAATACAGACTTCTAGATTGTACCCTTGAGGCAAGTGGAACCCTAGAATCTGTCTTTCAGCAAGCTTTTTAGGTAATTCTTAATGCACATTAAAGTTTAAGAGTCTTTGCTAATCCATCTATTATTTATTAGGGATTGGGATGACAGTGGCTCAAGCTAGGCTAAACAGCTGACACAGGACTGTTACTCACTAATATAATGTGCATCTGGGGAGTGAGGGAAGAGGAAGGGGATAAGGAGTAGAAAAAATAATTGCACTAAGTTATGCCTCTAAACACTTTGTTTATAAAGATGAAATAAAGAGAAAATGAATATCAAGGGAACCCTAAAGAAAAGTACAACTTTTAAGAGCAGAAGTAAAACAGGATGGAAGAAGGGCATTGCCTTGAGGGAGAATATGTGCTAGTTGATGATGAGCATCAGGACTCCTGGGGCAACCTTATGTCCCATGTCCGTGTCTCTCTTTTGTCTGTTTCTTGAGTAGAAGCACCACAGCTAAGACAGTGTCAATCCTATTCCCACTCCCACCCCTGTTTTCCAGAGAGAGAGAGAGAGAGAGAGAAAGAGAGAGAGAGAGAGAGAGAGAGAGAGGGAGACAAGAGAACAGCATAGGGCAATTACCTTGATTCTCAGTATTCTAGAAATAGTCCTCACAAAACAAAACCTCACAAAAATATCTGCATTCATGTTCCCTGGGAAAAGGTGGGTGGTCCAAGAAGAAAAATTACCTGTGATTCTCCTCTGGTCAGAATCTTCAGATGATTTGTCACTCTTTTTGATTTCTTGCTAATTGAATGAATATTTAGTTTAGACAATTTGTCTTTAAGTGATTCATCCTCGTCATTCTTCTTGTATTTTAGAACTGAAAAGGAAGAATGTAATAACGTAGCTGAACACATGCAGCATAGAAAGTGTGCACTTCACCCAAAGTTTTCAAGACGAGTATTTATATTCAAGATAAATATGTATATGATTTTTGAGCCTCTGCTGCAGAGGCCATATGCTCCAGCCCCACTGTCCACCCATGTCCCAGTCAGGCACCCACCCCACTGACCTCCAGAAACAAGGACAAAAGCCCCTCAAGGATTAAGTTTGATTTATCTACAATATTAAAGAAATCCCTGATACTAGAAAAAAGTTCTCCCTCTCGTCTCAGATAATACATTTATTATCTGAGGCCTCTGGAATGGGGAATCAAGATCTAACTAATGAAAAGACAACTCAGCCGGGCACGGTGGCTCACACCTGTAATCCCAGCACTTTCGGAGGCCGAGGTGGGCGGATCATGAGGTCACGAGTTTGAGATCAGCCTGGCCAACATGGTGAAACCTCGTCTCTACTAAAAATACAAAAATTAGCCTGGCATGGTGGTGCGTGCCTGTAGTCCCAGGTACTTGGGAGGCTGAGGCAGGACAATCTCTTGAACCCAGGAGGCAGAGGTTGCAGTGAGCCGAGATCATGCCACTGCATTCCAGCATGGATGACAGAGCAAGACTCTGTCTCAAAAAAAAAAAAAAAAAAATAGAAAAGAAAAGACAAGACAACTGTGCCCAATGTAAGGAGACCTCAGATCCTAGAGCACCTCTTCACTGGCTGAGAGATTTGGGGCAAGCTGAATAACCTCTCTGAGCTTCACTTATTTATCTTTGCAATCATTTTCACCTTTCATAATGTTGAAAACATTAAATGTCTCTAACATTCAGTGTTGGTAAAAGTGTAGGGAGATGGACAATCTTACAGACTGCTGATGAGAATTAAACCAACACATTTTTGTAGAAAACAATTTGGCAGAAACTAACAAAAAGGAAAATATTCATAGTCTATTACCAGGAAGTTCATGCAGAGAATCTGCTTTCCATAATCAAGTATACAAAGTTTTATTTGTTAGAGTATTTTTTTTCTAACAGCAAGGTATTAGGAACATCTATATATTTATCCTTAGAGAAATAGTTTAATAAATAATGATATACTCATAAATAAAATGCTATGGAAACATTAAAAAGAAGGCAATATTAATTGAAAGAATGTTCATGATATACGATTAAGTTTTTAAAAAAACAAACTATAGTACCATATATGTTGCAAGAAGTATGGAAAGAAGGAAAAGGGAGAGAGGGAGAGGAAGAGAGAGAGAAAGACAGAAGAAAAGAGAAAAGAAGACAGAGTACGTCTGAAGAAAACAATAAAATGTTAGCTATGCAAACTGGAATCATGGTGGGAAGGGAAGAATTTTACTCTTCAAAACTTTGAAATAGTTTAAGCAAACAGAAAAATATAAAGAATAATGTAACAGCCATTATCTAAAACCTTGTCCAGTCTTAACATTTTGCTTTGTTTCCAGTCTTCTTATTTTTAAAACAACTCACCTAACAGTTGAGGCACCCTGATCTCCATGTATGATCCCTAAAGGGAACTGTTATCCTAAATATTGGGGCTTATAATATCTGTATCTATTTTTATGCTTTTACTGTGGATGTTTGGAATTATAAAATACATTTTGAATGTTTTAAAACTTTATAAAATAGTATCATATTGCACATATTCTTCTACCACTTGCAAATTTACTTTAAAAAAAAAACCCTCTGGATTGTGTTTTTGAGATTAACCCATTGATACACCTACTTTTTTATTTAGTTAATTTTTATCTTCTTGTGGTATTGTAGTGTATAATATGCAGTTTATCCACTATCTGGATTAATGTGTCTTTTTTATTTGCATTTATGAACAATGCTAGTTACCAGTACACCTCTCTTTGAGCACATGGGCAAGAGTCTCTCTTGGGCAAATACTTAGAAATTCATTTTCTGAGTCTCCGGTCTGTGCATCTTCAACTTTGCTAGGTATTGTCAAGTTGTTCTCTAAACTAGTGATTCCAAGTACATTCTCACCTGTAGATTGAGATTCAACATTTAGCGTATTCATTACTTTTTCCCTCCAGTCTCTTGGACTGGAAATGGTATGTTAGTGTGATTTCAATGATTACATTTCCCTGAGTATAAATGAAGATTAGAATTTTAAAACTGTGAATTGCTTCTTTTTATTTTTAACCTTTTTGTATTACAATGTTTTTTTATTGATTTAATGTCAGTGATTATATAGTCTGGACAGTGATCCTTTGTATACTATCTCTTCATTTTGTTCACGGAGTTTTCTTACTCCATAACATTTACTTTTTATTCTACACCTTTCTTTTTAATTTACTAATACAAATATATGACTTTTGAAATAAACATCAGAAAATAAAACAAAAATAAATAAAGTGATTAGACCATTTAGCTCTAAAGTCCTGCTGTGGCTTTAATGTCAAACTGAGATTTAATAATAGCAGTACAACACCAACTAAGAACTTATGTGAACACAAATCACACTGAGGGAGGACCCACAGCCTAGCTCAATGCATTACTACCTCTGGGATGTATAGGAACCATGTAATTATCCCTTCTGTTTTGAAATTTTACATTAAACACTAATTTTATATTTTAGCTTACAAATAGTTAACAATAATTTGCTAATTCTAGAAAGAAGTATACTTGCTCACATCAGTAGAGAAATTATTGCCACAAAAGCTCCATTCTCTGTGTGCCAGAACCAGATGAATCCAAAAGACTAGATGGCCTCTGTCACCTAGATCTTCCCCTTTCCTGGGTGCTTTCTGCATTTGCTTCCCACTGCTATTGCAACGTGGCCATTTCTCTTTCTTACCACACATATCTCCAGTGACAGGAGGACTATATGCAATGGGTTTCTTCAGCCCACAATATGTCACCAGGATTGCAGTGGTCCAATGAAGTTGAGCATATGGCTGCTTGATTTATTTTTTAATTTCATTTCTTGTGCCTCTTAATCTTCTCCTTAACCCAGCTGACAAGGCAAAACCACACTCTTCTCTCCAGCTTCTAATTGTAGATTTCAAATGATCAGTTCACTGCAGCTGCTATAACTACTTAAACATTCTGATTCTCAGAAACATAAAGCAAACACTCCAATAATGGAAAACAACCAATTCATCATGTCTCTTCCTACCTAAATCTTTCCTTCTTTTAAGTTCATTGATGTTAACATTAATGTCCTTCACAGCAGCAAAGGCATCGTCCAGTGCTCTGTAATCTGGGTGAGAGGGAGGGGTGGAATTCCGAAGTTCGCACAGTAATAGGGGGTATTTCATCACACGTTGAATTGGTTTGATCATCAAAGAGCCCATGTCCAATAAGTTTGGTTTGCCTCTACAATACAGATAAATAATATCAGTTTCACAAACATATGTTTTATTAACACATTTTCATTTTTGTGTGTTTTTATGATTACTTCTAAAACATTTTCTCTTTTTTTCATTTGTATATCTAAAATTTCTAAATAAAAGCAAGAGCAAAAGACGACAGAAAGAAGCAAATCTGAAAGACCCTACTATGAAACAAAAACCTAAAAGAAACAAGTATAACTTTCCATCAAATTGTCTCAAAGCATGATTTTCATCCATATGCCATGTACAGTTTACAAGGTTTTTTATAATTGGCTTTATAATATAATGGGAAACAATTTCAGAACGTATTTTACCATGACAACAAAGAAAAATGCATTTTCCTGATGGCATTTTGGTGATTATTATTGAGGAGAATAACCATTTAAAAATCTTAACAGAGGCTTGCAAAGGTATAGTTAAAAGGAAGTCTTGGCCTCTCTCTTCCACCAAATTGAGAAGTTGCATTTACAATGTTTTGTAGGTTCTACCACAGTCCCCAAAAGGGACTTCTGATAAATGTGATAATTCTTTAGTTATTATTATTACTATCCCTATCACTAATCATTGCTATCACACAGTGACATTCCATGTGGAATTCTTAGTCAACAAATCTTCAAATGACTACACAAAAGTGAGACTCATGCCTGACTTTTCCTTTAGCAGCTTCTGAGACGAAGTTGGAGCCGTTCCAACTGGTTAGGCAGTTCACAGGAGGGGAAGAAGCTACAAGCTTGGTCATGCCATTGTCTAGCCCACTCTCATTGATCATTCAGACAGAAGGCAGTGATTTCTAAAAGCCTCTTTATGCAGAGACCAATAAAGATACACTGTAGATAGGAAATACAGACACTGTTTTCAAATCCCAATAGGTGGATGTTTTATACTTCAATAATTTTTTAAAGTATTGCTATGGATAAATGACTGACCATATTATTAGAATAGTAAAACAGCTATAAAAATGTTGAACAAAATTAGAAAAGTTGCATCATTAGAAAGGGTCGGGGGCCAGGCACAGTGGTTTGGGCCTGTAATCCCAGCACTTTGGGAGGCCAAGGCAGGCAGATTACTTGAGCCCAGGAGTTCAAGACCAGCCTGGGCAACATAGCAAAACCCCGTCTCTAGAAAAAAATACAAAAGTTAGCCAGGCATGGTGGCAGGCACCTGTAGTCTCAGATACTTGGGAGGCTGAGGTGGGCAGATTGCTTAAGCTGGGGAGGTCGAGGCTGCAGTGAGCCGCTGCACTCCAGCCTGGGCAACAGAGTGAGAGCCTGTCGCAAAAAAAAAAAAAAAAAAAAAAAGTAGGAAGGCATCTTAGAGACCATCTAATTCAATTCATTTGATAAATGAGAAACAAAAGAATGTATTATCACATGTACATGCACACAATGTGGAGAAATACACATGCACATACATTCACAAACATACACTAGTCACTATCACATCTCTCCACTTATCACTATCTGGAATCATCTTGTTTCCCTATTTGCCAGTTTATGATCAGTTTCCCTGTCTCCACTCTACCTCCTGCATGGCATACAGTATTCTCTCAATGCATATTTGTGGACTGAGAAATGATAGAGTTCTCAGATTTTCTGTAATGTACTTTTATCTTATACCGAACGTTTTTTCCAAAAACGTGAATAAATGGCTGAGGAATTTTGTTCACATGCAGAGAAAATGATGATAGCATAAGAGAGACAAAGACTAAAGCAAACCCAAAGGCAACATTTTTTTAAAAAGAAAACCAGAATAAGTATTAAAGGTCTGCAAGGGAGTAAAGAGTTGCTTTAATAGGCTGTATCTTCTACTTCATACCTATTTGCACCAAATCTATTAAGGAAGAAAAAGAGGAAGGTAAGGAGAGAAAGTGACAGAGGGGGAAGGAGGCAGAAAGAGGGAAAAAGAGAGACTCGGAAAGAGGGAGGGAAGGAGAGATGGATTATTGGTTTCCAAGACGACTGAGTGAAGTAGATTTTAAAAATAAATCTATTATAAATACTGAAAACTGTTTTCAGTATTTATACTGAAAAAAAAAAACTAACAAAAAACCCAAAAGATATTTTCTAACTGATGGTGTATCAGTAGCAAAACCTTTAAATATGAAGGACATTTTCTTATATATTGTAAGCAGAGGTTCTTCAATAATACAACAGTTTAGTCACTTAAGTAGAAAGTAGAAATAATTCCCTTAAATAAGAAACAAGTCAAGGATATGAAAGGTATTAACTTGATTAGAGGAAATCATATTATCTACATGAATATAATCAGAATTTCTTTTGAATTTTTATTATCAAATGCTAACTTATTTAATCTTTGAAAATCACTAAAAGACTATCAAAATATAATCAAACATTTAAATCAATATAAATTCAACTTTAATAAAATAGTTTATTAGTGTGGTCTTTTGTTATATATATGCTCTTATTTTTAATTATAAAAAACAAAAACCCAGATGTGCAGCCGTCTTGTAGGAATTCCCCTCCCATCATCCTGGAGATTCTCTTTGCCTCTTTCCTGTGTTGGTTCTTCCTCATTTTGATAGAGTACATCCTTCAGTAGTTTCTTCTATTCCTCACAGAATGAATGGGAAGTAAAATGTTAAGAACTTTAACTTTAAATGTTAAGAACTGCTCTCATTTCTTTCTTATCCAGATCTATCAAAAAACCAACTTAGGCTCTGTTGTGTCTAGATTGTATCATTACTTTTTATTCATCACTCTTTGGGATTAAAGTTCTATCTCTCCCTTTTATATTTCAAATGACAATAATAGTATTTATACATGATTGTTGTTTCTCCTAAAAAAGTCATAAATACAAATCCTAAAAAAGGCGTTCTCAAAAATGAGAAATCTCCCAGACACTTTTGTGTCTGGAGATATACTTGAGAGAGTTGCCCAAGTGATGAGCAATGATATTCAGAAAACTGCATCGCACAGACAAGCAATATCGTAGAAAAGATAGAGGGAGTGTTATAAGATAATAATACTCCATGCTTTCAGTGCCACAAAATTCACCCCATCTAATCTCCCACAGTAAGATTCAGTTCTGGTAACCATGCGAGGCAGATGAGTCCTATGTGTGATATAACCCATCTCAGCCAGGAAGTCAATTATCCCATGACTCCCCACAGTAAGTAAACAAACGTGTAACAATTGCTCATATATATTGGGCCAAAAACTAAACTACTTATTAATTTGTAATTCTATTTCATCTTCCTCTGTCTTATCATAAATACTTTGGCAAGTATTTAGTGCCAAAAGTAGCTACACTAATCTCATTACAAATTATTTTTGGGTCTTTACAAAGTCAAGTAAACACAGCTGGCTTTGTTTTAGCAGCATCCAGTTTTGCTGCAGAGTTTCATATCAAATACAAGAAAAAAGTACAATGAAAATTAAAATGATTTTTAAATAATATAAACATTATGCTGGAAAACAAAAAAAAATTAGATATTCAACATGCAGCGCATCTATATTTCTTAATGGGAAGGAAAAAATACATAAAAAAAAGAATAATTATGTAACTATTAACTATATTACTTTGAATTTCCTTTATTTCATGATCACAAGCATCCTAAATTTAATATTTATTTTACAGTAGCCACAAGCATTTATGCTGTTACTTTTTTCAATTTACTCTCCTTTTAAAATACCTAAGTCAATTTTAAAGGAAACTGTATATTGTTACACAAATAAACAGCATTTGTCATAAATAAAAGATAATAGTGAAAATAAATACATCATAATAATTATTAAATTAGAATACATAAGGGAGATAAATGAATAGTAACCGATGTAACAGACCAGATAGAACCAGTGAAATGGTGAGGCAATGTTTAATCATTTTGCAAATGTTAATCAATTACAGTCACTGGTTACCCATGGAAATAGGGAATGAGGGGCTGGATACCAAAATAAGGAGGGTCCATTGAAAATCTGTTTAAGAAAGTGTCTAATTCTTACAAGTGTTGGAGATAATGTCTTGAAACTTTCCAAAGAGAAGAACAAACACACAAAAGAATAGAAAATAGAAAAAAAAATGAGAAAATTAGATGACTGGTCTAGGAACTTCATCATCTACTAATAAGAATCACAGAAAGGTAAAACAAAGCAAATATGAGGAGTAAATAGTGAGCGAAATAATTCAAGAAAAAGACAGGAATTTGCAGGTTAAAAGAACTCACTAAGTGTCCAGCACAATGGAAGAAATGGAGTCACACCTTGGAATTCATGAACTTCAGAGTGCTAAGGACAAAAAGAAGACTCTATAATCCTTCAGAAAAAGAAATAAGCACATAGGTATAAATGCATAATTAGGAATCAGAATGTTTCAGATTTCTAATAGCAACTCTGAAAGCTAGAAAATGATAAAGAATTACCTCTAAATTCTGAAGGTGAATGGTTTCCAATTTAGAATTCGATAGCAAATCAAACTATAAACCAAGCGTGAGAGTAAAAGAAAAGTATTTCAGATACAAAGTTCTTAACATTTTACTTCCCATGCATTCTGTGAGGAATAGAAGAAACTACTGAAGGATGTACTCCACCAAAATGAGTTAGAACCAACACAGGAAAGAAGCAAAGAGAATCTCCAGGATGATGGGAGGGGAATTCCTACAAGATGGCTGCACCTGGTGTCACCAGTCCAACTGGACTGGAGACTCTGGAAGGGGCTCTTTTGGGGAGATGAAATTGATAGCATACATAATGCATCTGGTTGTCTTGAAAGATGACTTAGTTAACTGGCTGTGAGTTTGGCATTAATTGTTAATACAAAGAAAACTAAGTAAATGAAGAACAAGAAGCAGCAGAGAAAGTAGATGAAGTGGAGGAGGAGGGCACAATGAAAACGATAATCAACAATTGTTAATTCATAGAAAAATAAGTAATCACTTTAAGGTTTAGCTCTGAAAAGAAGTTTACTTAGATATAATAATCAGACATTGATTATTGCTCTAACAAAATTACAGCGTAACAACTTAGGGGGAATGGAGAAATGGAAAAGGCGTTTGTGTGTGTGTTTGTTGTGTGTAGAGGAGATAGGGATAGGAAAGAGAAATAAATTCTTGTCTTCTACAGGAGAAAGTTAAAGATAGTATCTAAAAAGGAAACAACCAAGCATGTTTTTAGAGTAATAAAGATAAATACCAAAATAGACAGCTAAAGATGTGAAAGTAATGTATTCTAATGAGAATTTAGGGGCTGGCAGGAGAAGAGGGGATTACTATTTTTCTTGACAAATCTTGCAGAACGATTTGGCTATTGAAACAGGGCTATATATCATTTTTAATAAAAAGTTCTTTATAAAAAGGGAATATGCAAGAATACTCAAAAAATTGTAAAAGAAAAGTACTGAGCTGAGACTAATGATACTCAATATTAAAATATATTATAAAGCTACAAAAATAAAAGCAGTTTGGTATTGATACATTTATGGACAAATGAGTAGCACAAAATAGAAAATCAAGAAATAGATACAAATATGTATAGAAATAGAGTACATGGTAAATTTGACAATCCTATTCAGTGGGAAAAAGTGAATTATTCAATATCAGATGTTATGAGAATTAACTAGCCATAAATAAAACAATAAAAATGGATTTTGGCCTCATTCTTTACACTAAAATAATTTCGAGATAGGTCAAATATTAAATCTAAAAATTAAACCATATAAGAATTTGAAGAAATCATAGGATCATCCTTTATAAACTAATGTTGGAATTTCTAAGGCAGACACAAAATCTGAAAGGCACAGTAGAAAAAAATGATGTCTATTTAAAAATTTAGCTCCGTAAAATTTTATAGATTAAAAACAGCCTGAAACAGCCATAAACTGTGTTAAAAGTCAGATGATAAACTGGAAAAATTATATATAATACATAAGACAAAGGTTAATATGCACTAATTAAAGAGACATTACAAACGTATTAGAAAAAATGAACATCTCAGTAAAAGTGAATAATCATTTAAAAACATCATTCGTTAGAAATGAAATACAAATAGTTAAATACATAGGAAAAATGCAAATTAAAATAACAGGATACTATTTGGGCCTATACATTACAAGTTATAAAGATATCAATATTATTTGTATCTAGTGTTGGCAAGTAGTGGATAAATGAACAATTGACATAAGAGTAGTGAGAATATAAATTAGCTCAGCTTTTTTTGAAATGTTCTGACAATAAGTATCAAAAGCCCTTTGATCTAGCAATTTCACTTTCAGAAATTGATCCAAAAAATCAAATTATTGTACCAAGATCATATATAAAAATAAACTTATGACATCAATAAGACAGACAAAATTCAACTGTCAGTAAGGGTTTGGCAAACTAAATTATGGCATATATATCAGACAGAATATTATGCAAGTATAAAACAATGTGGATTTATATTTACTGACATGGAAAGATATTCACAACATATTGATGATGAATGAGGTAGCAAGTCGACATACAAGAAACGTATAGTGTTCCTATTTTAGTCAATGTATGTGTGTGAAGAAAAAAGTATGGTGAAGTGAGGGACTCACTGCAATGCTACAATAGTTAGCTTTGGAATGTGACTGCTGATTGTCTTTACTGTCCTCATTTTTATTTTCCTTTTTTTGCAATGTTTCTTCAATAATTTTTAAAATACAAAGAAAAGAGAAAATAATTTATAATATTTTGTGATTAATAGGAACCTTGAAATCCAAGGTGAGAATAGCTAATCTGACAGGGAACACATAAAAAAAAGAGTGAAAGCATAAAGATAACAAAACACTGCATTTCTGAAGATAGCTGTGTTTAGAATAGGCATTTTTTTCTTGCTTTTAGTGGGAAGTTCTATGATTGCTGTCACTTTAATACTGTCTGATGTTTGCGTGAGGTTATAATTCAAAGTAAACATTTTAGAAATTACAAATATCTTTCACTTTGTATTTTTAAGAAGGTAGGTTGTAAAAAAAACCTAAAAAACGGATAATTTTTGATTGCCATAAGTGAGGGATTATTGAATGCCATGTAAAAACCCACATCTTGTACTCTTAAATGCCCTTTTGGCTGCAACATTGCTGGCCTTTGCCACTAAAGAACCCAACAATTACACAGCACTTGACATTGCCTTTTGCCCTTTCCTGTAGCAGTATGTGTGCTTCATGACCTGAATGAAAGGAACAGGAAGGAAAATAATTCATGGCAGACTTGGCTTTGATGTGCATCCAGCCACATGCTGGGATTGCTCTTCTTTTTTAGTTCTTGATGTATAGAATAGTCTAGAGGGAGCAGACACAACCTGGCTAACTCCTACACAGCAGGATTGCAGCAAGTGCTAGGGCCATTTTTAAGCGTGTTTCAATACAATGAACTGTTTAAGTATTCTGTATGTAGAAGTCCGTGCATGCAAATTGTACTAAGAAGAATATCTCCCTTTTTCTCCTCTGAATCTCTCTCTCCTCTCTTCTTGTTTCTTGGTTCCAAAGACCTAATGCAAGCTTTAGAAAAGGAAACCTAAGCAGAATTTGTAGCACATGAAGTTCCTCTCTAACCACTCAGTTATGCAAAGCTCCAGTCCTTGGCACAATGCCAGGGACACAGGCTGTATAATGAGGCAGAGCCATTTCCCAGCCCCCATCAACTATCTTTGAAGAGAAGCCAGGAGGCCGATGCACCTCTTTGAATTCAAATGAGCCTAGAATTGGAAACTCATAAGACAAATCTACTCATATCTGTTTATACTGTCGGATAGTTTTTCCTTTTGAAAAAAGAAAGGAAAAGAAAAGAAAAGACTGATAAAGTGAGAGAACTGGTTGCCTGTCTGGTGTCTCAAAAATCAGCTTCTCAACTTGACTGAGATATACAGCCCTGGTCTACAGATCTGTATGATGCCTGACTCCTTCACTTCAGTTCCAGAATTCCGTTCTCACTGTTGCTCTGCACCAAAATATGAATGACAGATATTTGCTGCTTACATTAATATAATTTATATTTTGTAAGCTCTTTATTTCTTCATATAAACTCTTAGGAATTTAAAGTACATACACACACACAAGCAAACACACACTAGAAGCTTGGGACCTTAAAGAGTTGCTCATCATAAGCCAAACATGTGCCTGGTAAATAAATTGGAGTTTGTATTGAAGTCAATTTCATCCTTTCAGCATTAATCAGCCTGGATACATTTTCTTCTAGAATAATGGACCTCTTTCAGAGTGTTTGTATACGCTGTTTTTCTAAAATAATTTCTATATTGTCCTAGTAACCAACTATTTCACCTTAATATTTCATTTTCATGCTATAATGTGTATGATTTTTTTCTCCATAAATCATACAAGACTTGAAATTAGAAGAAATCTAATATTTTCATAAAATAATCTTTTCTTATGCATTAATCTATAGAAACTTCAAATGCATTATGATATTAATCTGAGATTTTTTAAAGACTAATATGTTTCATAGAAAGAAGTGTTTTTGGACACATTAAGATTCCCAAACATATGTATGATGAGCAGTTCCCAAAGACTTTCTGGCATCAGCAAACTTAGTAAATTATATGTTGGGATTCTTCTAAAAGGTTTGGTAAAGTATATGTGATAATAATTTAATAAGTAAAATATGCACCAGTAATGGGGTAAATGCCTTTGCAATCCTGGATTATTAAAAGCAATACTCATGATTAGAAAAATCAGAATTTCTGATTTGGACAGGAACAGTCAGCTGCATTTTCTCGTGATTTTTATATTTGATTTATATTATTTTAAAAAGTACTTACTCTTGCATGTATATTTTCCTGTAAGAGAAGAAAAAGAAAGTAAATTCATGTAAATCTGTATATTTAAGGTAATATACAAACATTATAAATCCTTTTAAATTTTCTTATGTAAAATAAAATAAGTAATTTTCATGAATGCCTTATAGAAGTAGTCTCATTATTTTATAATCATGTCCCTAACAAATAAAGAAGATGAAAGTTTTTATCTAAAAGCCTCAAGTGGCTATGGATAAATAAAATAATATCCTGTGTTTATTATCTGATCACTGTGGGCTTTGGTTTCCAACCATTTGGAGTACAATAAATGTTTTCAATATAAAAAAATTTTAAGATCCATTCCATAATAATAGATGGTCTTTTTACATTCAGTGATTGAGGAAAAATTTAATAAGTGCCTAAGCTGCATTTTGTAAAATTTAATGGATTTAATAAGTTTTTTTCCATTAATCTCAGTACTTTGTATATGTGGAAAATGGTGGGGGACATGTGTGAAGCAATTGTTTCCTCAATCTCCAGACATGCTATATGAGTGAATTGCTAGACATCCTAACATAACTAGGTTTTGCTTAGTCTAAGACCTATTAGATGGGAATCAAGCACAGAATTATAATTTTTTTAAAATCAGCAGCTGCTATAATTTTAGGCAATTATTCACGACTGTTTAAAGAACTCTCCTATTGCAATGAAAGAAATACCACCACCACCTCCTGCCCAATATTTCCTTCCAATCATTTCCTTTAAGCTCACATGCTTCCTTCTTTCCTCTTCTAAAGGGAAATTTTATTTGCCAGATATGCTTTGTGCGTCATAGGTCAGAAAATCTGGGGAAGAAAATGAATAAAAATAAAAATGCAATTTTTCATGCAAACCAATAAGTGAATAATGTGATCATTTAGGAATCAAAACACATACATTGAAGTTGAAAGAGAAGGTTATTCTTTTAACTCCTACAGAAAACATGGGGTTTTTTTTTCTATTTCATTTATTTTAGCCAAGTAAAACCTAAATATCATAACATAAATTAAACATTGTGTTTATGTAGTATAACGCTTTATGAAAGGGAATCTGAGAGATTTTCCAGTAGGATAAAACAACAATCTGTGGAGTAGTGGCACTATATTATAACATCTTTTTATTTGTTCATCATTTTTAAAAAAATCTCTTTTAGGCTGAAACTTTGCAGAAGCTAATCCCAACCAAGGGCAATTCAGGAAGGAAGAATTTAAAATGTGTCCATTTACCCTTTTATGGGATAAAGTAATTTAATATATTTATCACTATACCTCCTACCCTCATGAACACATTATACTTTGACTCACAATTAACAAGTTTTTATGTGACTATTCCTTAAGGATTATAGTCTTTGTTCAAACATGATGCCATATAACAAGGAACTGAAGGGCTTTCCAAAAGTGATTTTAATTTTTACTTGGAACACTCCATTAGAATAATGAGTATAAAATGTGGTGAACAAATTGAAATGTATTCCTTTGGATTTTGCATTGCATGAGCTTTTAGCTTCCTCCCTGAATGGAGAAGCTCCAGGAGTAATGTGAGCAGCCAAAGTGCCCAGATGACTAGAAGTTAGAAGTTTTCCTCCTGGGGATGATGGCCTTGATTAGCAAGAAGAAAAATACAGATACATTTATAACAACTAGACATGAAGCTAGAAATGTGTCTTCCATCCATCAAAAACTTAGAAAATCCCCTTCATTCTCTTTCTATTACAAAATAAACAGATCTCTGGGGCCTCTGAAATGCAGCAGGGACTTTAGTGGTATTTATAAATGGAAAAGCAGAAAAAGGAGGCAACAGACAGGCTATTCTAATTATAGCTACATTTGCATTTATAGCCACGCTATCTTTCACATTCCTCATACAGATCAGAAACCTTAAATAACCCCAAGAAGGCTAAGTAATAAGATCTTTAGCAAATAACTTCCATAACTTTGGAGACTATTTTAATACAGTATTTCACACAATCTTAGGGGTCACTAATTTGACTGTCAAAACTTTTTGTTGAATAAATAAAAACTTGCTAATTTCCAATTTGTAGGCTATAGATGCAGATGTGTATTTGCTTTTGGAGAGCCTTAGAATCTTTTCTTTTTGAAGGTCTCCAAACTCTGTAGTTACTGCTTAGATTGTATCTATATTGATGAAAAAACCCACCTGCTTCAGGGAAAGCAGCAAGTATGATTTCTCCCACTAATTTAGTTCTTAACTTGAGTGTGTATGGAAAATCACCTGAGGTGGCTTGTTAAAAGAGCAGACCCTGAACTGGACCACCAGAAATAGTATTTTTTTTTGGTCTGAGGCAGAGCATAGGAATCTGTACTTTTAATACACCATCCTGGTGGATCTGGCGCAAGGGAACTCCACACAGAAAAACACTGCCCTCACGTTATGAAAGGATTCAACATTATTCTCTCTTTTGAAAGATAATTGGCTTCAAAGAATAATTGAAAGTTAGAAACTTGGGTCTTTTACAGAACCAGGTAATATCTCTACTACTCTTTTGGGAATTAGTCTTGAACTGCAGCCACTGTGAAAGCTTCTGGTGTTATTTAAATTAATTCTTGTATTGTTATTAAACTTTCCACATGGTTTTGTTTATCTCCTCAACTAGGGTTTGTGTTCCTGAGAGGCAAGAACTATGCTTATATATTTTTAAAAAATATTTTCAACATTATTTAGCACTCTTATTAAATATTTATTAGGCCCTCAATAAACATACTGTAATTTTGGTTAAAAAGCAGCCTAAATTGCTTTAAAATCCACCTTAACTTCTGAGGCATGAAGCCACCTCTCTCGTGGATATTGCTTCGAACAAAGATTTCCAATATCCCCTTGCACAGGATAAAATGGAGGCCACACCTAGTATTCATTAGAAATTGGCAACTGCACTTGGGCTGTGTTATCTAGCCACAAGGAAAAGGCAGAGTGACAGTAATAGCTTTGACTGATTACTTGGCCAGGAAAACCAAGCCCTTAGGGTGTTCCAGACTCTCTTTGGCCTATAAACCTGTTTGAAAACCTGTTTCTCAGAATTTAAAGGTTAGCTCGATTGAGGTCAGTATTATAGTAATGTCAATAATTCTACTGCCCTCAGCCTTCAGGCAGACCAGTACAATCCATCATTAACTTTATTTTCATGGAAAGGCAACTTTTGGGAAAATAGCTCTAACTTCAGCTATTTTATTTGATTTTCTTTCCCTTAAGAAATAGTTGTGCCAATACTGCTTCTTTTGGCTTTTTTGCTTTCTAAACCTTAACACCTTCCAGTGCCTGCAACTGTTACCTAAAATCAGAATAGCTCTAAACTCAAAATTTGGGGCATGGCCAGGGGAATTACCTGAAACTTGCAGAAAAAGACCAAATAAGCCATTGGGTCTGAAAATAATTTTCAGTAACTGAGACTTCATGAGGTTCTAAAATCACCTCTGCCTTTAGCTGCTTTGTGGGGATATGATACTGGGCTATACTGCCTAGTGGAATCTTCTGGCAGGGTCTGTTTCTTTCTCTTAAAAGTTAAAAGTTTAATGAATAGTAAACTGATGTTCTTTCCTCTCTGAACAGACTGCTCCACTTCTGGTGAACAGTTAGAAGCGCATGCCTAAAGTAGAGGCACCACATTCTTTTCAGGCAAGGACCTCCATCCCCAGGGCTGGCATTGGGTGGGGTTTGATCAAAGGTGCTAAATGTTCACTTTCTGTGACATTTCTCACGCTTAGTTCTAGAACCCGAAGAAGGAAAATGGCTCCAGCTTTTATTGGATCAGATCTTGCCACTTGTTTAAGGTAGGAAAGGTGTTCATTCAAACCCAGGATAACACCATTTCCTTTTTTTTCCCAAAGAATAAAACAGCTGAACATTTAGAGGACTGTGCTTCTAATATATGAATTTATTAAAATGAACACAACTTCAAATTTGAATGTTTCTCTGAATTGATATACTAACACTGAACCTAAACTGAAAATAGAAATAATTAACTAGAGCTACTTGCTCATTACATCTTATATTTAAGACTTAACTGATCATATTGAGTTCCTTAGGGCAGAATCTAAGTCTTATTTACTTTTGTATACTTAGCCCCCAGAACTACGCTTGACACAGCACAAACACTAAATAAATGCTTAAGATTTGGTGACTTGAATTCTTTTCCATAGCATGAAGAATGGTTTAAAACTGCAGTAATTTAATGACCAGTAGACGGCAATAAAGTTGAAATTTTATTTATTTAAAAAAAAAATTCACTGGGCTCATTTTAAACTCACTTTCAGACCCAATTCTAGCCGGGAAACGCCTCCTCCAGAGTAGTATCATGATTTCAATTTAGTGCAGCTAAAAACCTCTTGTACCACGTTAGGATCCCCATCCCCATCCCCGTTGGGGATCCCTCTTTCCCCTATCACACAGAGTAAACGGGGGAGGTGTGCTACAGGATCAGACGGGTGTACATTGACTTATACACCACAGCTCTCTGTGGTTGTTTAATTCCTGGTCTAATCAAAATTATTTGACAGTGGATACTACTTACAAGTGAGAGTCTGTAAGAGAGCCACTGGGTAAGATGTGGAGTATGGTAGTGATTTTGGCTTTAAGCTTCATGTGATAGGAAACTGCATATTCAGAAAGATACCAATTCCATTTAAAAGAATCAATCCAAACACATACCCACATTTATACATATAAATAATATCAGAAGAAAATGATTATTAAGAAGAAAGGGGCTAATAGTGAAATAGCAAGGGGTTTTTATCTTACACATACTTTGTTATATTTTTCAGATTTTCACAGTGAATAGATACTTCCTCTAGAAAAGAAAAAGTACATTGTGTAGCTCCCCCACCAATGTTTTAGGGATGAGAAAGGAAGGCATGAGTAATTGTTCTGAAACTAACTTTAACAAGGCCTGACTTGTCTTCACCCATCTCCCCACAGTGAGTTTGGGGAAAGAAGACGGCCATGCAGAGTTGTAGGCCATTCCCCTAACTCCATTAACCCATGTGCTCCAGTGGTCATGGGGCCACGTGTTATCTCACATAATCCTTGAACTACGTGGGGCCAGGCAAGTTACAATAGCTTTAAGAAGAGGCTTTTCTTCCACATTTTATATTTTGATATTGCATTTTTCAATCGCTGCAGAGCTCTAAATCTTCTTCCATGTTATTTTTAGTCATTCTCGCAGGGGGAAAAAAAGTCAATCAGGGCTTCTGGCATGTCAGCTTTTTATAAAGGGAATGCAAAGCAGAGCTCCCAGCAAGTCTCATAAAACATAGGATTTATGTGAGACCTTTCATCTACATCCATTTAAAATGTTCCCTGCTAGGCAACTGAGAGGAGATGGGAATCATCATTTGAAAAGGCCTTACTTTAAGGACTGGATACAGTGGCTCAAATGTTCCTTCAGCTCTTCTTCCTTTTCATAGGACTCCAGTATACTATGTGCTTCATCATGGTGATAGCAGTAGATTTTATAAATATCTTCCAGTGGCCCTTTAATCTGCAAGAATACTTCTCCTGATAAATGCAAAACAAAGGCAAAATGACATCATCAGACAAAGCTGGCACTTCACATGATTATTTTCAACAATGTCGACTCGTGTCAAAAACTTGGATGGGATCTACTTTATCCCCAGGTTATTCAGGGAGGGTGGAAAACATTGAGTGATTTTTTTTTCCTTTTCTTTCCTTTTTCCTTCTCTCCCTGCTTTCCTTCTTTGCTCCTTCTCTTTTTCTGTCTTTTCTTTTTTTTCTTTTATAAAACAAAGGATGAACAAGTTATCAGAGATGGGCAGCAAAAGAAAGCTGGTTTTCTCAAAGGCAACTTTACACACAAGGTTGATGTGCAGAATTGCGGTTAAGAGTTGCAGTGTGGCCAGGTGCAGTGGCTCACGCCTATAATCCCAGCACTTTGGGAGGCTGAGGTGGGTGGATCACGAGGTCAGGAGTTTGAGACCAGCCTGGCCAATATGGTGAAACCCCGTCTCTACTAAAAATACAAAAATCAGCTTGGTGTCAGGCGACCTGTAGCCCCAGCTACTCGGGAGGCTGAGGCAGGAGAATCGCTTGAACCCGGGAGGCAGAGGTTGCAGCGAGCTGAGATTGCACCACTGCACTCCAGCCTGGGTGACAGAGCAAGACTCTATCTCAAAAAAAAAAAAAAAAGAGTTGCAGTTTAGAGTTGGTGTGCACGGATTTGAGTCAGGCTGTGCTACAGACTGGCACTTTGACTTGAGCAAGTTATTTTTACTCTTTAAACCTGATGACACCAATAGATTCAATTTTAGAGAGTCATTGTAAAAAGTAAAAGAGGTGGTATTTGTAAAGTTCATAGTATAGTAAATACATATGAAATACTCAAAATGAAGCAATTTTTTGTTAATTTATAAGAGACACAGAAGGTGAAATTTCAAGTGCTGGGTAAGTATTTTTCAATATTTACTCCACTAATATTTCCTGAGGCTCTCTGAAAGGCAAGCAATGGAGTTTAGAGAAATAAAATATTTCCTTCTATGTGATAATAAAATAGATCATTATTTTAAAAATCAGTTTAATACCATGAACAAAGGTTATGACTGTATCTTCGTAAAGCAACTTAGACTAATTGTATCCAGGCATTTAATGAATCCTTTTTGGTATTATGATGAAATAGGGTCTATAACTGGTGACTAAATTAGATATTGGACGATAGTTTGATTTGATCCACACTTCATTACTTAAAGATAAGTATTATGCATCCACTACTCAACCCAACACTATAGAAATTATTTGGCAGATATCCAAGCAATATGTGACAGGGTCAGCTCTCAAAACATTGCAGATTTGAGACTAATAATGATTTGGTGGCTGAATTAATTGGGATGGCTGAATAGATTGACAGTGATCTGGACCTATTAATCTGGACCTATTATAGTTAACAGGAGTAAGTCATTCTTTCCACAGAAATAAAAGTGCCCTTAGTATTTTCAACATGTTTTTCACACATTAACTTCCTACTTGCATGAAGAGATAAAAGGTTATTTATCCATATTAATTCAGGATGAATAAATCTGAATTTGAAACAAATAAATGATTTTCCCGAAGTCCTGTCTAGAGGTGGAAAGGCAGAATTAGAGGCTGTATTCTTATTTTTTCCCTGGATTTTAGCACATACCCCTCCCCAGCCACCCAATTCAGAGCTTTGCTGAGCACTGTATGAGGTGATGCACTTGGAAAGAACACTAAACTTGAAATCAGAAACAATTTAGGGTTTGTGTGGGGAATTTGAGAATGACTTTTTAAAATTTTAGTAGCTTTTAGGGTACTAGTCGTTTTTGGTTACATGGATGAATTATACAATCGGAGAATGATTTTTTTTAAAATAAATTATTTGAGTCTTAGTGCCTTCATTTTATTTGCAAAATAAAAATAATAGTAGCCATTGAGATTCATTTGAGAATGAAATGGGGTGATAGATATAAAAAGTGCCCGCCACTGACTAGTTGCTCAAGAATTGTCATTTGTCTCTTAAGGTTGCTTTGCTACCTCTAGAATTAAAACACTAACACTTTTAAAGTATCACATTCTTTTCTAATTTATTTACAGCCAATAAAATATTTTTCCTTTTCATGATGTGGGATTTTCCTGTGATTATATGCTTATAGTTAGACTCTGAGGTAATGTGAGATAATGTGCACACATGTGAGTGTGTGTGTGTTTGTGTGCATGTGTGTGTGTGTTTTAAGATTTTTGTTTGTTTGTTTTAGTAGTGCTTTCTGGGGGCCTATAAGAAAACTCAATAACTGTGAGCATCTTTGGAGCTGAAGGACACAGGATTCTTGTTTTGTTTCTGATATCCTATAGAGTTCATCCTTCAACTAGTGTAGGTCATATGGATTTGTTCTTCAACACTGATAACAACACAAACAGTAAGAGCTATCAAGTAGAGGAAAGAAAACAAAATAGAACCGTGACTGAATTTAGGGAAGGGAGCCTCCCAGTAGCAGAACCAGGTAGCAAATGGGAACTAGTGGCTTTGGCTGGGAGGGCCCAGAAGTGGGACTGGTGACAGGCTTAGATCACAGACTTAGCTGGACGCTCAGCAGCAAGTCAACAACAGTGGACCTGCATACACACAGCCCAACACAAGATGAAGCTGTAAATAAGTGTGCTTACTACAAAGAAGCTAAAAGCAGAGACCAAAAAAGGAAAGAGGTAAGGACAATCTCACAAATCCACAAGGTGATCAAATTAGAAAGTCAAAAAACAAAGAAGAGCTAAAACACTTATCTTTATACACAATGAACCCATTAATTGTAAATTCTCTTGCATTTTCTTTAACAGGAGTGGTGTAGTTTGAAAGAATTTATAGCTCTTACTTTAACAGAAGAATCTTTTTTTTTTTTACTCTTTTCCAAGTAAAATTCTGTTGAGGCTCTAATAATAATTATTAAAGTTAAAAGATATTTAAGTACTCTAATTGAAAGTCATTTATTCCCCCAAAGGCCAAGTACAACACTGGCAGGCAGAATATTTTATTCCCCTCCCAGCCCTACCAATGTATTCTGCTTCATAATAGTGCAGATGAAGCAGTGTGTCTTGCAGCAAAAAGTGATTCTGTTTCCACGGTAACATAACTCTCGGCTGCATTTCTTTAGTGGTGAAGGACAACCGCTCTGTCTAATGTATGTGGGTTTGAGGGGATGATTAGGAGCAGAGGAGGGACTAAGCCAAGACCATTGAAGGTAATTTCACTTGTGGTTGCCTGTCACAAAGGCACCAGAATCCTGTAAAATAAATAAAACTAGTGTGCTCTTCTTTTTAAAAATTCTACAACCCAAGAATTTCTGCATTGGCATCCCCAAAAAGCAATCGCCATGCAAAGGAGAAAAAAAATGCACCCTTTTAAGTCCCCTTAGTTATCTTCATTAAAAATAACTTCCCAAAATATTGATATTATGTCTGGATACCATGACTCCTATGTTTCAATTTGTTCCCTTTACTGATGTGAATAAACATATGCTACTCTTTCTATTTCCATACTCTCACGTGCAGCCCCAACATGTGCCACACCAAACCAGGTGGCCTTTATAGTATTGTGATCCTGCTCCAAGATGAATTTCTCCTGCAGGTAAGTAAACAAGGGTAAAGTCAGTGATTTTCAAGGGATCTCCTTGTCCCGGGTTTTGTTTAGGAAAATGCCATAAAAGGGAAGAAGCAGTTGTGTTCCTTAGTTCATCCCTTTTTGAAAATTACTCGATGATCATCATGCACCAAACACTTTGGTAGGTACTGTAGATACAAAGAACCAACTCTTCCTTCAAGGAAATTATACAGGACACCAAGGGAGAGAGAGAAGACTGAACTTCCGTTTACCATACTATGTGAAAAGTAAATAAAGTACAGAGGGTTACCTATTCAGCCCTTGGGGAGCTTTGAGCAACACTCATAACAGTGTACTTTTGACATAGGACCTCTGAGTGAGTGCAAAAAGCAAGGAGATAGGTGTGGAGAGTAAGATCTGTTCAGAAACTTGGAATGATCTAGTGTGGCTGGATGGGACCATGTCTGTGAGGAAGTTCCAGAAGGGACTGTAGAGGTGTGCTGGGGCCAGATCATGAAGGGCCTTGTGCAACATTAAGGAGGTGAAACTTTCACCTGAAAGTGATGGTGAAGCACCGATGGATTTTTAGGTAACTGACCAGATTGTGTTTTAGAAAAGCTATTCTGGTAGTTATTCGTATGAAAGATGGAATTTCGGGGAGGAGTTGGTGAGATTGAAGAAGATAAACAAACTGAAAGTCTTCTATAATAATAAGGTAAATAAACAATGAGGGGCTAAAACAGAAAGTTATTGCAGTTAAGAGAGAGTGCACTGGAGTCGACTTCCTGGGTTCAAATTCTGGTTTTACCATTTACTCGATGTGTGACAGTTGGGAAAGTTACTTATCTGTTCCTTAATTTCCTCATCTGTAAAATGCAGATAATAATAGTAGGGTTGTTTGCAGATTAAATGAGTTAAAATATGTAATATATTTGCATCAGGGGCTGGCACATGCAAATGCTCAATAGATGTTAGCTATAACTAAAGCAAAGCAAAAGCAAGGAGGATGCAGAGGAAAGGAAAAAAATGGACATTGAACATGTGTGAGAGATGATTCCAGGCATATCCCAGAATTGTGGTTTAAGTGACCATGTGGGTGTAGACACTGATGGCATAACAGAGTTTAATGAGAAAGATGACGAGTTTAATTTCAGATGTATTGAGTTTGAGTTGCTTATTGTATATTCAAGCAGTGAAGCCCTTTAGGAAATTGGATATATTAATCTAGGATTTAAGAAAATAATATCTTGGACAAAGATGTAGGTTTGTAAAAATTGGGTAGTATAAGACATGAATTTATGTGGCCATGCGAGAGTGTTCACAGAGTGAGAAGAAAAGAGTGCCTGAGGACCAGATGGTGGCAAACACTAACATTGAGGATGGTATAGAAGAAAAAGAGACTGCAGAGAAGCCTGAGAAGGCATAGCCACAAAGAAGGATCAGCATGAGGAAGGACAAGAACAAAATAATGAGAAATACTGCCAAGATTGACTAAGTTGGTGGGGTGGGTGACAGAGCTTGCTAGCTGTCTCCCCATGGTCATAATCTGCTTCTAAAGAAATGGAAGTTTTGGCTGCCCCAAATCAAAATGACATTTCCCACCCTCCCATCCAATTGGTATGGCCATGTAATTAAAGCCCACAGTGGGATATAAATGAAAGTGTCCCATGACAATGTCCAGGAATTTTCCTGAAGAGGCAGCTGGCTCAGCCTTTACACTGTCTTCATCCTTGTCTCCATCTGCTACCTAGGATTTGGATACTATTAATACCTTTACCTTGTCCATGAAGATAACAGCCACCTCTTGGTGAGTGGAGCTGTGAGCTGGAAGGAGGTTGCATCCCAGAGCACCTTGTGGAGCAGAGCTGCCGTACAGCTCTAGAACACATCCCCTTCAGACTTTTACACATAGAGAAATCAACATCTGTCTTATTATGCTAGTAATGTTTTGTTTTTGTTTCTGTTTCTCCCAGCTGAACTTAATTCTAATCTACTCACTGTGTTTTGTTCTGTTTTCTCTTTGACAGGAAAATATTTTGGGAGAAATCCTGATGAGTTAAGGCCCCCTCTATACTACCCATTTTTACATTTCATTTAAAAATTATATGAAAATATGACATGAACTGTTAGTTATGGAGGATATAAAGTTGGATGTTGCTTGTATTAACAAGAAAAACTATGCAGTAAGTTCAATTCTAAAAACCAACTAAGATAATGTTTACAAAAATAATTTTAGTTAAAATCTCATGTATAAATTATGGCCTGAGATATATCCCAAAAGGAAGTTATCTGTGGTTCTAAATAAAACTTGTGGTCAAGGCAGAGTATTTAGAATACAGAGAAGGGGGTGTGATGAACAGAGGGTAGAGATGGCCCACTCTCTGGAAAGAAGGTCTGAGATCTGGGTGCAACAATACAGGCCTCTGACTGTCATTTCCCTGAGTGACACACACAGCTGAGCGAAAGCTCCATGGTATGCCATCTCCAGTGAAAGAGCTTTCCTGGCAGCTTTCACCCCAAGTTCAAGGGTTGCTCCCCGCGGTCTTCTTATCCTCCTTGGATGGGAGCCCAGCTGCCATGACTAAACAAGGCAGTAGATTCGCCAGCCCAAATGCCAGATCATCTGAATACTTTCTCCCTTTCTTTCCTAGCCTCATTCTGTTCTCCAAGGGAGCATAAAACAAGGAGAGGAAGTGAGAAGAAAGAAACTGAAAGAGTATATGCTGCTTAAAGAAGCCACACTCCCTTGCCTTCAGTCTCATTTAGCTTCCACCTAGCCTAGGGGATAAAACTGCTGCTGTGGATACCCAAGAGACCCTGGCTAGGGTTATAATATTCAAACCAAATACAGGCAGCAGGTGGGACATGCAGCCATGGGATTAAAACAAGTGTATCCCTTGAGTATCCATTTTATTAAGAAATTTGAAGAAAAAAACTCTGGTTTCCTAGAAGAGTAGACTGGAAAACTGACATGAATTCTTACGACAAAATAAGACTTCCAAATTATTTCACGCCTGTGGCTCTAGCTTCAGATCATAACTCCACACTTCCTGAGGCTTATGATATTTCTCTCTTGATATTGGGAATATTCTGGTAAAAATTTTTTTTCAGAAGCACTAGCGTAAGATAAGTTCAGAAAAAATATGTGTCCATTGGATTTGACAATTCTGAGGTCCCTGGTGATGCAGTAATAGCATTTTTAGAGGGTTGGGTTTAGGAGGGAATGAGAGATGAAGAAGAGGGACCAATGAAGGGAGCTGGACCCTAAAGAGAGAAACAGAGAAAGGAAAAGAGCAGAGTGGAGGATGGGAACCTGTCGTGATCATCTCTGTGTCCAGTGCCAGGGAAGACAATGTCATAATTGTGGTGGGGCTCTCAAAGAAGGGGCTGTTCTGAAGCTAAGGTGGCATCCACTCAGTACATCTGGCCATGGGAGGTGGCTAGCAGCTGAGCAGGACAAACTGGGGGGTGCTAGTGGGCTGTGGAGAGGGTCAATGTTTGGAGAGGAAAAAGCTCTGGCCTATATTTGGAAGAGCTAGAGTCCCTTCTGAGAGTGTCCAGAGTTACTAATATAAATTGGGCAAATCAGCTCTTACTGTTTTTGTCTCAGTAATGGAATAGATGCTCTTGAAATATTAGTCCAGTTCTAACATTTAAAAATACAGCTGCATATTTTGATGATAGCTCACGATGTCTTCCTGAACCTTGTTGACTTCTAGATACTTTAACTCCAGGTCAGGATTCTTTAACAACTGACATCTTAAGGCAACATTGGTTCTCTGAGAAAGTGAAAGTTTTGCTGGCTGGATCAGGAAAAGGTACATAACTTTTTTTTAATGTAAGGTTGACAACACTGAGGAAAACCCTGTCTTAGACCAATCCATGATTTTCCATTTAACTCACGTTAGTAAATACCTCTCTTGAGAAAGCTTGCCTCTGCTGTAGCTAGTTGCTCTATATTACTTAGCAATCTCTGGCAATGACATTGACTTTTGAAAGTGACATTTGACAATGACACTGACCACAGACAGACTCAGTGACGACAGTAACAACAATCACCTCCTGGACCCTCTGTGTGCCAGCCAATGCACTGCACGCTTACTATTATCTCTAATTTCATCCATTCAGCAAATAGTTATTAAAGACACTGTTCTGGGTGCTGGTGACACAACAGTCATAAAACAGACAAGAATTCCTTCCCTCATGGAGCGTACATTCTGGAGGGGTTATGCCCAGTGTTTGATATTTTCCTGCCATGGGAGTCTTGTTGTCCCCATTGAAAAGATGAACAAATGCATGTGGAATCCATTGCTATTTACTTATCTGTTCTTCCTTCTTCCAAAGGCATAGAATTTGGACTGGTAACACACCCAGTTAAAAATATTGACCTTTCCCCAAATCTCTGGTATTTAGATGGCCAAGTGTGTGTGCAAAGGTGTGTTTGTGTGTGTATGTATGTGAAATGAAATAACATGTGTGCAAAATAGAATGAGATATATGTAGAAGTCACTGGGAAAATGGTTATATTCCCCCAAAATGACAAAAGCCTTCTGAAGAGGTGATTTTGCTTCATTGTCTTTAGGAAGTGATGCCTGGAAATGGAGTAGCCATCTAAGGGATGATATCAAAAGCCACATGCTGAGCATTGTGAAGGGAAGAGGTTGAAGGAGCAGCAAGCAGTTGCACTAGTCCTGGACTTGTGAGTTACGGATTTCTTGTGACGTGAGAAAAATAAACCCCTTTTTGGTCAAACCCTGTTGGCCAGCTTTTTATTACAGGAAGGCAAACTGAATCCTCACTGGCTCAAGTGACTTGCTCACAGCCATCAAACTAGTGATGACAGCCAGGATTAAGACTTGGATCTGTTTCACTTCAAAGGCCATGCTCTTTCCAGGCTATTGGGCAACTTCAAGGTTTGTTACTCTTTCTATGTACTTCTCATTTTAGCTTCCTGGAGGCTGGGAAAGTGTTCAGGAACTCACAGACTCTTACATTCCTTCCTGGGATTTAGAAATGTATTTCTATGTGTATCCTGCGCAATATGTGACTTTTCGCAGGTCCATTCAAATCTGACCTCAACTCTCCAATACTCCTCCTGGCACAGCTAAGCCACTGACTTCCACTGGCAGGCTCCATCAGCATAGCATCCTAGAACTTACCATCCTCCTCAGAAATCAGAACTGTAAGACTTTTTACTAAGCCACCTTTATTTTATTTTTATTGTAAGAAATAAGTCCTAGCAGCACTGGGACCCATATTCACCCCGCTCAGGAGACTGGAAGTCCAACCCCCATGTTACAGCCTGGTACCTGCTTCCTGCTGATTTTTTCTTTCTTGTGAGGATTGGTGTATCCTTGATCCTGAAAATACCATTTCCCCATTGTCATTTTCTCCAAAGCGGACAGCTTTCCTATTACTTCTAACATTTGCATTCTGATCTTCCAACTGTTGCATCTGGGTGTCCCCCAAACCTCCGCACTGACCTCATACATTCAAGTATGCAGGTCTAGGACCCTCCCAACCAGTCCCAGTTGGCCAAAATTAACCAGGTCAAGCCTATTTGTGTCCTGAGTAAAACATGCACACACTTACACACAATAATAATCCTGAAAAATTCATTTAAGTGAGCTCCAATGTAGTATCTCCCACACAGCATTATGATATGAATTGTCAGCAACTAGTACTCTTCTCACAAACTCACTGCTAAAGGCACAGATTTCTACTTCAGGGACCTACAAGAAACATTGCTTTAGGAAAACAAAGCACTGCTATAGAACAACAGTGCATCACCTACTACACCTTCAAAGAACAGAAAGCTCTAAATTATTTCTCTCCAAGGAGAGAGTCACCCTCAGGAAAATGCATACAAGAAATTACAATTCCTTTATCAAAAGCTTCTTTCAGTCTGATTCTCAGCGCACTATGCATGAGGTAAGCCAGTAAAGTAGACTCAAGCATGTTCATGACAGTCTTGTTTTAATACTTTGAAACATTATAATATGCAAACACATATAAGAGGACTATTGCTATTGGGTTATTTATTGCTATGTAACAAACCATCCCAAAGCTTAGTATCTTGAAACAACAGCCATTTTTATTTTCTGTCACAATTTTGTAGATTGACTGGGCTCAACTCTGTGGTTCTTTTGCTACACTTGACATCCACTCAGGCTGAGTCATCCAAGGACTTATCTGGGTTTTAATGTCCGAGATGACTAATTTCACAAATCTAGTGCCTTGGCAGGAACAGCTGGGAGGCTGGCCTCTGCTGGGATTCTGGGATAGCTGTGCCACTTTCTCACTCTACATAGTCTCATCTGCTGTCTCTCTCCATGATACTTCCAGTAAGGTATCTCAACTTTTTAAATGGCAGGCTTCCAAAATTATGAAAGTAGAAATTGTCAGGCTTTTCTAAGGCTTGGGCCCAATTACTGATACAGTGTCATTTTCACCACATTGTAATAGTGAATCAGAGGGCCAGTCCAGAGTCAATATGACACTAGACTCATATAACAATGTGAACTAGGAGGCATGGTCCATTGAGGGCCATCTTTGGAGACTAATTACTGCCATTGCTGTTCACTCTACCAAATGTGAAAATGACACTTGATATGTTAAATCTCCCTTCACAGAAAAAAATATGTCACCATATTAGATCCATGAATCATTAAGATGCATAGATATTGGAAGCATCTAGAAATCACACACATCCAGCAAATCTGACTTGTTTGAAAAACATGATCAGGACCTCTAAGAAAAAGTCACATTTTATTCACTTGTTACATACAGAAAAAATCAGGCATTTTAAATAGATGAGTAAATCTAATATTCTTGGGATAATAATTTATAACATCATCTATTGGATATTAATTAGGGATAGGCACTGGGCTATCATTCTGTACACATAATTTTGTCAAATCTTCATAAAAACCATATGGGATAGGTACTATTGCCTCCAGTTTCCAGATAAGAAACTGAAGTTCAATTAGGTTTTGTAACTTGCCTAAGATCGCACATCTAGCAACAGGACAAAACGAGATGTAACCCAAGTCAACCTGATATTAAAACCCATGTGTTCTTAAACTCTACACTGCCATCTAAGTGGAAACAAGAGCCACATTTCATACTCCCATCTATAAAGATTGAAAACCCATTTCCTATCTAGACACTGTGCTTAAGTCAAGATTTTAAAATCCACTTTGTATCTTGGCATGACAGTACAGACAACTTCCTCAGAGCTCTCAGATCTGCAAGCATATGCCCCTGTGTTTAAACTTAAACCTTATCCAAACTCCAGTGTTATTATTGAGTAAAATTTTCTTCATAGTTTATCTAGGTATCAGGAAAATTCTCCCTTTGGCACTACAGCTGTGAATCACAAACTCTTATTTGTGCCATCTAAGGACAAAGAAATGGGACACCTGTGCTTTTCATTTGTGATAACATAATTTTGGAAACATCTCACCAACAATCAGTTTATCTTATGGAATGAAAGTGCTTTGGTAAAAGGTTTAGTAATGGAAATTGCCAGTGAACTCATTTTGGTCTGTCTACAACGTTTGGCTCAGAGAGGCCTTCTCGGCACTATGCTCCAGTCACATAGGGCTGCTGCTATCCTTTTTCAGAATTTCCTGTACTCTTGCTTTGAGGCCTTTACCCTATTTCTCATTTAGAAAGCCTTTTGCACCCAATCTCCACTTTTCTAAATCTTTCAAGTGCAAGCTCAAAAACCACTTCCAAATCAAGTTTTCCCTCACCATTTGAGTTGAAATAAGTTAGTCTCTCACCTGTTAATCTGTATTAGTTAGCAATTACCACAGGAAAAAAAAGAATCACTCCAAAACTTAAAAGCTTAAGACAATAACTGTTCGTTTGCTCACAATTGTATGGGTCAACAATTGGGCAGCATTTAACTGGCATTGATGGGGTTTACTTCTATGTTTCCCGTCAGTTGGTGGACTGGCTGGGGGCCAGCTGGCCAGCTGACAAGGACCTTACTCTCAAGCCTGAGGCCTTGGCTGTGTTGCTTTGAATGGCTGGGCAGTTTGGGCCTCTCCCCTCACAAGCAGAAGGCAGAAGTGATAATGCTGTTGTAGAACATCATTTTGCCTCATTTCATTGATCAAAGCAAGTCGCAAGGCCAGCCCAGATACAAAGGATAAGGATATTAAAATGAGACTCCAACTGATTCTTTTTCAAATATGGCCCCATTGTCTTAATTTTTTAAATAAAATTTTCTGTAATTTTCCTCAAAGTTGGAATTCTATGATTAGTGAATCTGAAAGTATGAACATCTTCAATTGAGTTTTCTCTGTAAATCATAGTTTTCAATTTTTCATTTTGAACTAATTTTTGATTTACAGAAAAGTTGAAAAAATAGTGCAAATAGTTTTCAAATACTCTTTACCCAGCTTCACCAATATTAACATCTTACATATCAAAATACGATTGTCAGAGAAGGAAAATTAACTCTAGATCTCTAGATAAAGGTGGCTGGCCTCTGCTAGGTTTCTCAATGTAAAGTTACCACCTTTCCCTTTGAGGTTAATAATTACTTGGGGAGAAAGTTTTGAGACTATGAAAAGTATATTTCTCCTCTAACTTTCACCCACTAAACATAGCATCAACCAGTAGATTTTGTCTGCAATAGTTGACTGTGGTGTTTATGTAATGTGAATTTGATTTTCTATTTTCTTCTTTTTTCTTTTTTTTGAGATGGAGTCTCGCTCTGTCACCCAGGCTGGAGTGCAGTGGCACGATCTCAGCTCACTGGAACTTCTACCTCCTGGGTTCAAGCGATTCTCCTGCCTCAGCCTCCTGAGTAGCTGGGACTACAGGTGCGTGCCACCACGCCCGGCTAATTTTTGCATTTTTAGTAGAGTAGGGTTTCACCATGTTGGTCAGGCTGGTCTCGTGATCCGCCCACATCAGCCTCCCAAAGTGCTGGGATTACAGGTGTGAGCCACCATGCCCAGCCGTTCTTCTTTCTCTATTTATTAATTAAAATCTGTAATGGACAGCTGTCCTTTCTCCACATTTATTTATATCAGCAAGAACTCATTGATATTTCTGTGGGTTATAATTCAATATCAGCATATTTATTTTACTACTGAAATTTGTAAACCATAATATTTAAAACTGAGAAAATACTTTATAAGCAAGGAAATATCTATTGAGCTCAGAGGAAATTATGGTAAATAGAAGCTTTACTCTCATTACTATACATATTAAAACAAGTAAATATTTGAGCTGAAATATTTTTATAGGCATTATCTTTTTGCTTCCATTTGAATTGTTTTCTTTCATTCTCTCTCTCTTTTTTTCAAAATAAAACTCACCAAGTAAGTTGTTTCTATTTGTAATTTTGGAATATTTTCCCAAATGTAGATTGTGAAATCTGGTACAGAATATTACTTTATCCTACTAAAGAGGAGCTCCATCAAAGGCTTCTCTTCATAAGTCAGATTTTCCAAAGCATGATTATGGACTTTCAAAATTAAATATTTTATACATGAGCTCTCATTGCTTATTTTTTTTAAACTTACTCCTTGTTTTCATAGGGATACATTTCAATGTCTTCCTATTTGCAATTTTGTTTTTAATAATTGTTATTTGTAAAGATTAAAAATTGAAGTTATTTTCTCCATTTGATGAATACCTTAACTAAAGACTTCCAACTGATTTTTAACAAAATGCAATTCAATTTCAGAGGCCTTGTTTACAAAAATAGTCCAATGCCATGTTAGGACACTCTGGTTGATTTGTAAAGTGGTGCTTCAAAGAATCAAACATTTCCAAAGACTGATTAATGACCAGCAGGAAAGAGAGTGTATAGTTTCATACATAAGATTATTTTTAATTCAATATCAAATTTATTCTTCAGGTAGTGTTATTCACTCTAATTTTGTGTATATAAAAATAAATGCAAATTTTCACTACAGTTTTTACTTCAATTAATAAATTCCACAACTTCATCATATATACACCAATCATTTTCAACTACACGTCTGCTCTATAGATTTTTATTTTAATAAAATCATTGTTTTACTATGATGCTGTGCTCCACTAATATTTGTATTTATGTTATCATTTGCAGTCACAATGTTTAATTTTTAAGTTAAAGTGACAGCATTTATAATAAGGTCAGACAATTCACCATTGACATGATAAACTTCTAAAAGCTTTTCTTTGGTTCTGTGAATTGAATTTTTAAAATTTTAACTGCTATTGAAACTATTATTCGATTCATCTGCTCACATTGATATAAAACTGTCATCATTTAACTGTTTGCAGTACTCTTTTGCTAACGGTGTCAACTCATTAGTAACCATTGTTTTATATTTCTCATAGGCCTAAGGAAACTCAGAATTAAAAAATGAATGTAATTAATCTAGGAAAACTGTTGTCTGACCTAAATGAGAAGCCATGCTGCATGCAGTGAAATGTAAACACACCTTAAGCAGCTGCATGCATTTAATCACTTGCTTAGAGCACAGTCTTTTAAAAATAATGACTAAACTTTGACATAGATGTTGCCGCTGCTTCAGCATATTTCCATCTTCTGATTGTCTATGGTCAATGATAGCATTGAGGACCCTTTGATGGATGGTATTTTGTGTGTTATAGGCTCAGCAACTTTCTTGAGATAAAGAAAATCAAAATTTTTCTAAAACATTGATATGGTTTGGCTCTGTGTCCCCCCTGCCAAGTCTCATCTTGAATTGTAATCCCCAGGTGATGGGGGAGGGGCCTGGTGGGAGGTGATTGAATCATGGGGGTGGACTTTCCCCTTGCTGTTCTTGTGATAGTGAGTGAGTTCTCATGAGATCTGGTTGTTTGAAAGTGCATCGCACTTCCCCCTTGGCGTGCTCTCTCTCTCCTGCCACAGTGTGGAGAAGGTCTTTGCTTCCCCTTTGTCTTCTGCCATGATTGTAAGTTTCCTGAGGCCTCCCAGGCTTGCTTCCTGTTAAGCCTGAAGAACTGTGAGTCAATTAAACCTCTTTTCTTCATAAATTACCCAGTCTCAGGTAGTTCTTTATAGCAGTGTGAAAACTGACTAATACAAACATGAATATATTAAATTCTTGCTTCTGAAAAGGTTTATTTCAGAATGAAACATAACCAAAAAATTTGTAAAAGAGTTGTCAATCTATAACATGCAATAGGTAACCAAATTACCATAGCAAGAGCCTCTAGACACTCTGTAGCATGATTTCTCAGGCCCTATTTTCCATACATATTTTATTTACATCTATTCTGTAAAAACGTGTCCCATTAACCCCACTGACTGGCATCCCGATGGCTTCATGCCTCTCATAGGTCATGACATGGGCCACCCAGCATGGGTCATGACACAACTAGCTGCTACACCCAGTAGATGGCGGGGTCTGCAGCATCCAACACATCCACAACCACCAGGACAGAAAGGAGTTAGCAGTTTCTAGCTGTTCATATCCAAACAGCATCATTTAATCAGCCACTTCCCTGCATGTGGCAATTCAAAGAAAGATAGAACTTTCCTTGAGACTAGAAAAGGTTGGCATACGAGAGATGGACTATGTTTCAGAGTTTACCATGTGTTACAGTGAGAACCGTTAACTGCACATTACACTCTACTAAAAGAGATTGTGTCAGAAGTTGAAGTATGATGTAAAGGTCTTATAAAACCTCTTCTGATGCAACTAATAATAATAATAATTTTTAAAAAGGAAAAGTCCATGACAAATGCTAAAGTGGACTGAATGCTTACGTAATACACTAAAATCAGTATGCTCTAGACAAACCACAATACATGGTCACCTTAAATCTGGAATTGTTTTTGACTTCAGCACATGAATCAACAACTTGTTTATGCTTTCTTCTACATTTCTCTTGAAATGACCCCATTTTTAAAAATTTTCACTGTATCTCCCTTAGTCTCAATGCTTATTACCACATGCCTATATTACTTATAACAACCTATTTACTAGTCTAGGACTCAGTTCCTCCTCTGCATGCTGTTCAGACCTACCATATCTTTCTCTCTCCAGAAACTTTTGTGTCTCATCACACCCTTGCCAGAAATCTTTTAATGGCTCTTTATTACTTGTACAGTAAATTCCAAACTTCATTTCCAAATGCTGCCAGTCCCTACTCTGCACTTTCAGGTTCATTTCTCATTTCTTGCTTACATCTGTCCTTCACTCCAGCTTGATCACTCTTCATTTCCTAAACACACTTGGCATTTGGCATTTGTTTCACACTTGTTTTTCATGCTGTCATTTCCATTTGGAATCTTCTCCTCAACATGGACCCTATTGTTGAAATAGAATCTATACTTTAAGCCCAAATAACATCTTCAAGAATCCTTGGAGTTTCCATCTAGAAATGTTTTCTTTATCCTCCAAGGTTTGCAGTAGTGTAGAAACTGCTTTGATGGTGTATTATACCCACACCTTCAATTCAAGAAGCTGTTTGATTGAATGTTTTTGAAAGAGAGAAATGAGCCCTTTCACCTTTTGATACCAAGCAATGTGGTACAGTACCAAATCTTGTGAATATGCTGCTACTTCATAACTATTCATTGATTGAATTAATAAATGAATAGCCAATGAATTCACACTAATGAGTTAGTGTGGTAATGAGTAGAGTTCTTCTTTTAGGAAATATTTTTACAATTTGTTGGGGACATTTCATCACAAAGAACAATTGAATTTAAACCTATCTGTGGAAGAAATCTTTCTGAGTGGGCTGGCCTTATTACCCAGTCATTTCTTTCACTATATTTCATGTCTTTGATCAGCTTTCCTCATTAAACTTTGGTTCTCTATAAATATTAAACAAGACCAGTTCCATGACATTTTTATAACTCTAACAAATAAAAGGTAACAAAGACATAATCAGTAAAGACATAAAGTGTTTGTGTGTAGTCTTTGTGTGTGTATCTCAAAGTAAAGATCTACATCAAACAAGCGGTTACTTGTGGGGAAGGCAGTGGCATTGGAGGGATATATGAAAGGAAATTTTACCGTTACTCTACGTGCTCCTGAATTGTTTTAGTACTTTTGTAATGAGGAGTTATTGTATATTAAGTGTGAAATAGAGAAACGATAATTTTAAAAAACTCTTAGCCTACATGACACTGTATGATGTCTCGAAGTGCAAACTGCCTTTAAGGAATTCATAGCACATATTCCCTTGGAAATTCCCAAGAAATGGAGAGCATAAAAATTTGGCTCAATACTTTTCAAATTATATTTTCTGTTGTTATTTTTGAGAATCCTACCATAGTAAGAAAATAAATATATCTGATTGACAGTAAAAACATATTTGGAAGGTAAATAATACAGAAAAAAAGAGAGCATGAAAAAAAGTAGAACTTGTGTAAATTTTTAATAACTTACATTCCTTTAATAGTTTTACATTCCTCAGGTAAGAAGTTTATAATCTAAAAAAATTGATTGATGGGCATAAGATCTAAAAAACATTGTAATGAGAAATCAGTAAAGCTATTAGAATATTTAAATAATTAATTCTTTAAGGATCAAGTAAGTGTTAGCCATTAAAAAAAATTACAGAACATCTGGAAAGCAAAGAGATTGAAAGATTGGAAATTAAAAAGCAAATGGTATGTTTTGTGCTACTGAGGGACTTCAGCAAATGGATATAAACCCATTTGAAAATAAACACAGAGTCTGCATAATCACAATGAGCCCAAAGATGGGTTTAGCATTTATATATCTCCTGGGAAGCATGGTGAGTCAGGAACAAAAAACCAAAGCAAAGGGAGGTTATTAAAAAATTATTTCCTGTTGTATTGTAGAACTCGAGAAGAGAATAAACATACCAATTACTTGCATGGCCGGTTCCACGTCTGTTGTGGCCTCTTCCAACAATGACAGCAGCTTGGCTGATATCTGATGCACGGACTCAATGTTGCTAAACAAGCTATCCACATCCAGCCTATCAGTCTGAAGAAACAAAAAACATTGAGCTGATGGAGAAGCACTGTATTTAGGATGTTTTCTCCTCCTAAACAGTAAGCATTTTAAATGCCAGCGCATGCTGTCTCCATTAACCATTTCTGTTAACATTCTTATTTAGGAATTCTAGAGTGCAGTTTTTTTTTCCAAGAAATTGGGATGATGCATCTGTTACTTCTGTCTTTTTAAAAAAATTTTGAATATGTTTTGTATCAAACATACATCTATATATTCCTATAAGAACCAGAATGGGAAGATTTGGGCCTAATTGGTATTAACTGCCCTCTATGAGGATATGTACTAGTGTGTAAGGATTTAGAATAGTTTACTGCTTATACAGCAGAAGTCAGACCTTACCCGAGGCAAGTAACGATTTTCAAAGCTGTTTTTTAAACCACAGATGTTTGAAAAGTGATGATAAGTAGATGTGCTGGGTTGCTTTTTCCTTTTTTTTTCTTGATATAAATGTAAATGGAAATCATTAAATATATTCTACTAATTAAGGATTCATTATATTTTGTTATTTCATGCACACCCTTAACAACCAGTGTAATTATTCTTAGATCTTATAGCAAGTGTTTATAATAATTTATTTATTCATTTATCCATCCTTTCATCAAATAATTTCTGAGAAGCTTCTATGTACCAAGAATTACGAAAGAATCCAGACTGTGTTATAGGTAGTGATTGGTTAGTAGAGGGATGGACAACTATCCTCAGCTGTCTGAATATGGTGAGATATGTGCTCTGATTTTGATGAATCTTGTTCAAAATAATTCCCTTTAGTTTAAGTTGGATCTCCTTTCATAATCATATAGTGACTGGTCAGGCCACAGCCGTATTGGTGCAGGCTCTACTGGGCTACATCAGGGAACAGGAGTAGGTGCCTTTTACTCATGACTTACTGTGAATGAGGTCATAGGTGGATAATTAATTCATCAATAATCAATTCATGGAGGAGTAGCACAAGTGAAAATCAGAGTTGCTGGCTTAAAACCAGCTCAGCAAAGTTAGGGAAATGAAAGAGACAGAGAATCCAATTAAAGAAAATGTGCCGAGAAATTAGGGGAATTGGGAACAAGGGATATAAAAGGGAGACATGGAGGAATTCTGCAGACAAAGGCCAACAACTACAGCTTTTTTCCATTATTTCAGACTCAGTTTCTTCAGGTGTGTGTGGGGTCTATTCAAGGGGTAAGGAAGAAAGCAACCTGCTCATCTTTTGATCCCATTCCTTTTTGACATTGTCCCATCCACTGTTCTCCATATTGGATACCAATATTATTTTGGTAAGGATATTCTGTCATTGAATGTGGAAGCATGACTTCACATGGCACCTTTTCAAAATGTGGTGACTATGTCAGTTATTTTTTATGCAATATGGTCTTGCTGTATACAAGTCTTTCAACCATCTTGGGAAATTTTTCACTTTCCCATCATTCATCCTGTCCTCAAGATAACCCACAGCCTCATTTGTAATCAAATTCATATGATTATATGCAGTGGTTTATTTCAATATAGGATTAGACAACTTTTAAAAAACTAGTTTTATGTATTCTGAAATTGTCTATAATTCCATACTAATTATTACATTGTAACCACTATTAGTTCTTAAGGTCTTTAATCCAGTGTCACAAAATATTCCTTAACTGATCATTCACTTTAATAGGAGATGGCACATGTGGTTTTTTGCTTGTAATCTAGAGAGGTTCAAGATTTTCAATTTCTATATTAGAAAGTATATTTAATATCACAGAAAATATTTAAAAGGCATATAACAGTTACATGGATTTTTGTTATTATTTAATAATTTATTATTAAGTAGTTAACATGAAGTTGTCATTTAATAATACTTCATTATTATCAATGGCTCAAATGTAATATATCTCTGAGTACCACTGATTTAGCACATTACTTATCCTAAAGAATTGCCTTATGTGTTGGGTATTAATTAAATCCACAAAGGTATAATAACTCTGAATAATGCAAGATGTTTTCCAAAAGTTGTGTATGAATCAAAGTTTTATAAATTGGTTTAGTTCAAATTTACTGATTGTATATTTCTTAAAATCATTTTTGAAATAAATCCTTCTAATATATAAAATTTCAGCCCCTAATTTACTTGCTTTATAAGATAAACTATCAGCAGTAAATCATACAGTGTATCCCTGTTATTATTTCATTTTGCTCTGGAAACTTTATTCTGAGAAACTTGAAGTGTTTCATGTTTATTATTTCATACATGACTCCAACTTCTTTGTAAAGGATGAACCATCTTGAAGATACAGAAAATAATGCAGGGTGAAGAAAGGAGCCATGCTCAAACTTATGCAAGAAGTTCAGGGGAGAACTGGATTCAGAAATTGGCCTTTTTGTTCTATGCCTTCGTTCTTTACCAGGAAATATTAATAATAGAGTACTTTACTATCTCTGTTTAGATTTTTTGGTTTGTTCCTGAGTTTTTCACCAATTTGTCACTCCTACAATTTATTTCCCGAGGTCAGTTTCCTGTATATCTGTTTAATTTAGATTATGAATCCATTTGGCAAGGATCTAATTCTACATTTTATCTGTAATCTTAGCTTAGTGCCACAAATACTAAATAACAAAAACATAGATTTTAATTCCACTTCTTCCTGAAGGACAGAAAGGATTAAAACATCAATTGGCCTGATTTCAAACGCCCATATCACTATGAGCCCATGGGGATTCTGTGAATCATAAAATGAATTCATATCCAATCATTGCTATGCCAAGGAACAAACAAATGTCTGGTACACGTAGACTTTTAAAACTGATAGATGATTTTATGATTACTGATATAAATTCAAGGAAGCATGTATTTATATTTATTAATCATTCACTGGAAACAGGTAATGTTCTAAAAGCTTAAGTTGAATTACATTTTAAATGGATTAAAATTCATTTTTTTAAAAAAAGACAGTCTGAGTACACACTATTCTAAGTCAAGTCAATATATAATAATTCAGACTTACAAAACATAAAAATTAAAGGCTAATGTTTCTTTTTTAAAATTTTCTTCTGAAAAAAATGGGATACATGTGCATAACATGCAGGTTTGTCACATAGGTATACATGTGCCATGGTGGTTTGCTGCACCTATTAACCCATCCTCTAAGTTCCCTCCTCTCCCAACCCACCCCCTAATCAGCCCTAGTGTGTGTTGTTCCCCTCTCTGTGTCCATGAGTTCTCATTGTTCAGCTCCCACTTACGAGTGAGAACATGCCGTATTTGGTTTTCTGTTTCTTTGTTAGTTTGCAGAGGATGATAGCTTCCAGCTTTATCTATGTCTCTGCAAAGGACATGATCCAATTCCTTTTTATGGCTGCATAGTATTCCGTGGTGTATATGTACCACATTTTCTTTATCCGGTCTATCATGGATGGGCATTTGGGTTGATTCTATGTCTTTGCTATTGTAAACAGTGCTGCAGTAAACATACGTGTGCATGTGTCTTTATAGTAGAATGATTAATATTCCTTTGGGTATACACCCAGTAATTGGATTGCTGGGTCAAATGGTATTTCTGGTTCTAGATTAAAGGCCAGTGTTTCAACTGGCAATTTAATTTATTGCTTTACAAAAGTACTTATCGCAAGATATACTTCAAATAGCCAGTTCCCATTACATTTAAATAATTACTAGGTTTTAAAATCAGGTAATGTGATGCCTCCAGCGTTGTTCATTTTGCTCAAGGTTGCTTTGGCGCTTCAGGGTCTTGTGTGGTTGCATATAAATTTTAAGGTTGTCTTTCTATTTCTATGAAACACGTCATTGAAATTTTAATAGGAATTGCATTTAGTCTATAGATTGCTTTAGGTAGAATGGATATTTTAACAGTATTAATTCTTCCAATCCATTAACACCAGATATCTTTCCATTTATCCATGTCTTCTTCAAATTCTTTTATCAATGTTAAGTAGTTTTCAGTGACTTCAAAATCTACTACAAAGCTATAGCAATCAAAACAGCATGGTACCAGCATAATAACAGATACATACACCAATGCAACAGAATAGAGAGCCCAGAAATAAATCCACACTTTTACAGTTGATTGATTTTCAGCAAAGATGTCAAGAACACACAATGGGAAAGGACAGTCTTTTCAATGCATGGTTCTAGAAAAACTGGCTATCCACATGCAGAAAAATGAAACTAGACCCTTACCTCACACTAAATCAACTCAAAATGAAGACTTAAACGTAAGACCTGAAATTGTAAAGTTACCAGAAGAAAACACAGGCGAAAAGCTCCATGACATTGGTCTGTGCAATTATGTTTTGGATATGACCCCAAATCACAGGAAACAAAACCAAAAATAGACAAATGGTATTCCATCAAACTTAAAAGCTTCTGCACAGCAAAGAAAACAATAATCAGAGTTGAGAGACAACTTGTGAAACAAGAGAATACATTTGCAAACCACACATCTGATAAGGGGTGTTAATATGCAAAATATATAAGGAGCTCTACTCAGTAAGAAAACAAATAATCCCATTAAAACATGGGCAAAACTAATGGATACTAGGCTTAATACCTGAGAGATGAAATAATGTGTACAACAAACCCCCATGACACACGTTTACCTACATAACAAACCTGCACATCCTGCACATGTACCCATGAACTTAAAATAAAAGTTAAAAAAAAAGAAAGAAGATACAGGGTGACTATAGTTAACAATAATTTATTGTTATGTTTCAAAATAGCTAGAAGAAAAGATTTGGAATGTCCCAACACAAACAAAATTATAAATGTTCTGAAACCATCCTTGAAAATAAATTTTAAAAAGAAATGATAAATGTTTGAGGGGATGAATATCCCAATTACTAAGATTTGATCATTGCACATTGTATATTTGTATCAAAATATTACATGTACCCTGCATATATGTACAAGTTTTATATATTTATAAAAATTAAAAATAAGTAAATAAAAATAAATTAAATTACAAAAATGGGCAAAGGATCTAAATAGACATTTCTCAAAAGAAGACATAAAAGTGGTCAATAGGTATTTAATGCTCAATATCACTATCATCAGACAAATGCAAATTAAAATCAAATGAGATATGACCACATACTTGTTAGAATGACTACTGTTAAAAAGATGAAGGAAAACAAGTATTGGTGAGGATGTGGAGAATAGTGAACTCTTGCACACTGTTGGTAGGAATGTAAATTAGTACAGCCATTATGGAAAATAGTATGGAGGTTACTCAACAAATTAAAAAGGTTACAGCTAAAAGATGGCTGTCTAGAAAGCGGGCCCTCATCAGACACTGAATCTGCTGGCATCTTGATCTGGGACTTCCCAGCTTCCAGAACTGTGAGAAATAAGTTTCTGTTGCCTACGTTACCCAGTTTATGGCATTTTTTTTTAAATAGAAGCCTAACTGGACAAAAATAGTATGTAAGTTTCTATCTTTGGCAGTCATCTTTGTGGAGAACTTGTCTGTGAAAAAGTCACAAAGAGGAAAGCTAAGCCTGGTGGCAAAGTCTTGTTAACTCTTGGATCCAGCCTTGCCTAAACAAGAAATCCTTATTCCATAAGCCGACAAACTGTCTTTTTTATTTAAGCTAGTTTGAACTTGATTTCTGTTATCTATGACCCAAAGAAGATTAATACACTTTTAATTGTAGCCAAAATGTTACTTTCTCTAGGAAACATTTCCTGTTCCTTAGTTAGAATTAACCTCTCTTTCTCCCTCACTTCCATGACTCTTGCTTTGTATTACTCCCTGCTTATATGGAAGCCCATTCTATTCTATTTATCAGAAATATTTACTAATTTATCTGTCTCTATGACAAAACTGTGAATTCCTCTAAGAATTGCCTTTATGAGTACTCTACTGTGTCTAACACGGTTCTGGGGATGTGCAGAGTTACTCAGTAAAAGTTTAAAAATTTGAACTGAATTGAATCTGTACAATGCACATGATCTATTTACTCTTGTAGGAGTCAAAAATGAATATTCTTTGTAATCAATTCACTAGGCTCTGAATAATAAGCATGCAAAGATCAAAAGTGGTTTAAAGGGAAAAAATTACCAATCTAGTTGTTCAAAACAATTACATGGATATTTTATAATTTTATCCTTAATTTTATCTGCAAAGGCACACTGGGGTGCTTAGTTTGGCCATTGGTATAACTGGCTAATTTGCTGACAGAAGCCAATCTTCCTCTAGTTTACACCTGCGACATGCCTGTTTATAGGCTTCTGTTTAATGAGCACTGGATGAATCGGCCTGAACCCCATCACAGGGAGGAAAAACCAAACTTTCTTAGGTGTCCTGCAGACCCCCAACCACTAACATCTCTAAAAGTAACACTGTAAAGAAGTCTAGGAACAAACATTGTTTGAAAAAATAAATTAGGCTATTATTATAAAAGTAGTTCATGTCACTGTAGAAAATTAAGGATGAGTAGACAAAAGAAAGTAAAAGAAAGAAAATACAGTCACCTGTAATTCTACCACACAGAAATAGCCACTAATAATGTTTTCAGATATGTTTTTCTAGATTATTTTTCTCTGTGTGTCTGTGTGTACATCCATACAAAAAATTATATACTTCAAATAGTTTAAATTTTTTTTGCCTTAACAACATAACATGAACATCTGTTCATGTCAGTAATTTTCCTCAATTGCACCATTTTTAACATTTTGTGGAAATACTGTAATGTACTTAACCATTCATAAATTTTTGAAATCTAGATAGATCACGCTTTTCATTATTATAATCAGCTCTTAGCTAAAGTCTTATTCACACTCATGATTATCACTGAGCTAAAGTTATTAATTTTTTAAAGGATTTTAAAAAGTATTAACAAATAAACATTGCTTTTTTCTTCTGACAACCAATGGATTTAAAATTGTCAATTGGATATTGCTGTTCTGACCTCAATTTGGAACTATATTTTTGGGCTCTTAATTTGATGGTCAAAATCACACAACTTAAAAATTCCATATATATGTGCATGACATATATATTTAATACAACAATTGTAGAAGAAGGGAGAAAATAAACAGCACTGCTTTCAAGGGTCACGGTGATTGCCACCAACCAAATCATCCTCTGGAAATTGTTTCTAGAAAAGTCTTCAGTGTTTGGATTTGGTGTAGTTTTGCAGTAAATCCAGGTTCAAATAGGGCCCCAATTCTGGGCTCTGAACTTATGTAGTAATTACATTAGAATTAATATAGGGCAAATTCTCCTTGGCCATCATCTGATTTGGTCTAATAGAACCTTGGTGCCCTCTACTCCTTCTGTAGGACAGTTCCACACACAACATTTTGGTGAGGCCTGGATGCATCCTCTAAATTAGATTGATCCATTATTAATGCTGAAGCCATCAAAACCCAATGATATTGAGACTGCAGTAAGGTGGAAGTGGAAGAAAGCTGCCATGGGTTACCAAACATTTGAGAAGTGGAGACTCACTGGGGACATTCTGAGAGGATAAAGTAGGTTTTGTTTTATTTTTTAGTAAGGAAGTTGAGAAGAGGACTGCTTGTGAGATAGAAATTGCAGCAAGTGGAAAAAAAGGATGTTGGCAGAAAGCCCCAGCAACCACTGGGCTAGGATAATTAACTCATTACTATGGCATTTACTGAGACAGTTGGCTTCTAGATTACAAAGCGTTTCAGGGTAAACTAGCCATTATTTCATCAGGCTTCTCAAAAGTGCTGATTTGTATGTGTGAAATTTCCTGCTGTGAAACTGGATTTGAAACTGGCTAATTGAGTCAAACTATGAGTTGAATCAATATCACAGCTATACAGCAAGTCTTTTAACTAATCTTGCAGATAAATGCTTAAGTTACCTGATAACTGCCAGAAAACATTCCAGGCCAGAAGATACTAATGTGGACAGACCTACATTAGCCACAGAGATGTTAGTCCCTTTGCAGAAAGGGGAGTGGGAGTTCTGGAACAGAAATCTCAGCATGTGTGTGAGGAAGGACAGAGGCAACAGTCAAAGCCAGAGAAAGAGGCTGGGTTCAAACTCGAGAAGTCCCTGAGTTAAGAAGTCCAACAGCCCTGGAACTTAAAATCAAAATTAAAATTAAAAAAAAGTCCAACAGAAAATTTGTTTTGACTAGTAATAGAAAAGCAAAGTTATTATATTGGTATCCTTGAGTAAAAGGTAAATAGTTGACTAAAGGTCTCTGCCTTTGTTTCTCTTCTCTGCCTTGACACAGGGACAGGCAGAAAAGAAGTTACTCAGCAGAGGTTTGGGGTGGTCTTGCCTTCCTTTTCCTACTTTGAATTTTATATGAAATGTTCCAAAGACAAACAGTCCTGCTAAAAAATAGGTCTTTTGAGCTGGAGGGCTAGTATATTTTGTAATCTTTTCAGAAATTGTTTAGAAAGCATAGACTAAACACTATGATTTATATTGTTGAAATATAGAGAAAGTAATTTGGAAACTTTTTGGAACAATCAGTGAGATTATAGGAAAAATTTATAATTTTTTAATGTATCCATGTCAGCCAAAAAATTATATTTAAAGGCTTGTGGCTGGGCATGATGAATGGGGTAAACATTTTTTGCTTTGATCACTTGAGTACTCACTGTGTGAGGGTGTGTGTGAATGTGTGTACATGTGTGTTTATTTCTTCTTCCTGTACATACTCAAACTGAGAGCTTATAGCAATACTCATAACTTTTTCAACAAGCATCCATATCCTTTAGGCCCAATATCTGAAAGAAATTACTGATATCAGGGATGACTTAGCATTAACACCCATTTTTTTCCAGACTTAATGACACAATTACAAAGTTCTAATCTTCAATAATACAATAAAAACTAGAACTCACTGAAAATAATTTGAAAAATGAGGAAATGCTTTTGCAAAAGAAAGGAAAAGAAAAATTTCCTAGAGATGATAAATGAAAGGAAAAAAGAAGGCTGAAACAGAAGGCTCAAAAAGATGTGGTGGGCAGATGTGTGACAGTAGACTTGAGTAGTAACACAGGAATTACGGACGAAACTGGTACAACATAGAACAAATATCCATGAAGTCCATCTGTGTTGTAAATTCTGGTGTTTCCAGGATTTAATCACTTGACCACTGTAATTCCCACATTTTTTCCCTTGGGGAATGTCACTTGATCATGACATCTAAGTTAAGCATTACTGTTTAAATTTCCAATGGTTTCCCTTCCCCACACACATGAAGTCAGTTCTTCTGGCATGGGGCTCTTCGTGGCCTTGCCTTTGCACCTCTTTTCTGCTTTGCCTCCTGCCGCATGGCACTCCAGGAGCTGTTTGATTTCATGGCCCATACTATGCTAGTCCATATCATGTTTTCTTCCCCAGGATGTCTCCATGGAATCCCATGAAGATAGTAAACATACCAAAAAGGTTAAAAAACAAACACCTCCTGCCTGAATTTCAGTTGAGGCATCAATTTCTTAGCTATCAGATACCAAAGTGAGCGGGAGATGGTTTGCCATATGCAGAACTTGCAAAGGAAAGTTCAGTGAACTGTTTCAAAGTCACCTCTGTTGAGCTCATACCTGAGAAACCTAAAGGAGCTGTGGCAGTAGGAAAGTGATGGCTATGTTGGGATGAATCTGTACTCCCACAGTTCTTGGGGGTCAGGGATGCTTGAATGCTTCCTATGGACCAGCTGCAGACACTGTGAGGTGTGGAAGCTAGTATAAACATATCTATGACTCTGCCTGCAAGGCTGAATGGCAGAATATGAAGGTACACTCTGGATGCCTCGGGGCTCAGGAAAGAGTTGCAAATCACCAACTGGGACAGATGCAATTGGATCTAGTGGCTTTCAAGAGAGAATCTCCCCAACACCACCATCATGGGAATAGCCTGAAAAAGGCCAGGAAAGTACCTGTAAGAGTGCCACATTATTATATCTAGAAAATCCAAAGAATGTAAAGCTAGTCTATGATGGTACCAGTTCAAGTACACCTTCCCCCTCCCTTACCTCTCCTCACCCATCCTCCCGAGGGTCAGGAGCTGGCTGGTGAGCAGGTGTCAAGGAGGAGCCACATTCCAGCTGTGTGACTTTGGATAAGTTACTTAACCTCTTTGTTCCTTGGTTTCCTCATTAGTCAACTAGGAACACTTAAACCTGCTTCATAAGTTGCTGGGAGGATTATATTAACTAATATAAACAAGTTGTTTAGAATAATGCTTGGCTCCTAATAAGTACTCAATATATTGTAGCTATTATTGTTGTTTTTAGGAAAACTGTGGAATGAATTTTGACCAAACTGCTAGCTGCTAAAGGCAGTTCCCAAACTAGACAAGTGCTTCAGATGTTCATTGATCTGTAAAATGATGGGACTGCCAGAGTCCTTATCTGGAGACAGGGCGGGATCTTTGCACTACTAGGTAGACTGATGCTCCCCACAGCATTAAGCTGCAGTATGAATCCCAAGAACCACAGACAATAAGGATAAGGAAGGGAGCAGGAGTGAGTGCTGATTTTAGGAAGCAGAGCCAGTTCTGGGAACATTTTTAAATTGCTAAAAATTTCTCACTTGTCTCTTTTTTTTGAACAACTACCTTTGTCAAAAATCCAAGGTGCCCAAATCAATGTTAGGTCACCTGAGTTCCAGAAGATTCTCAAAACTCAGCCGAGTTTGGATTTTGCTGGGTATGCCCAGGATGATGGAAACAAGCGTGAGCCCTGGAGTGGGGACTGGTCTTTGGGTGCATCATCTATTAGCTGTACCACTAAATTCCAGACTCTAGACCTTAGGGTCAATGCAGGCTCTCCCCTCTGTCATCCCTAACCCTGATCTTGATAGCTTAACCACACTATCTCCAACATTCAATTAGCCTTTTCTTAGTCACTTTGTAAAACTCTATCAGGCCCCAGTTTCTGCCTCTGAAAAAGCTTCTACACTCATTTTTATTTCCTATTTCCCCAAATCAGCTTACTAATAACTTCAGATTAGTCTTCCTAAAACGTGTTTAATTGGGTTTAAAACACAGTTTAAATTCCTCTGTTTTAAAACATTTGTTTCTTCCCAGTTGCCTACAGAAAAGATCTCAAATTCCTCAGTCTGACAGTTTGCCTGGACAAGACCTATCTCGTCTTACTCCAGTTATTTTTATTTTTATAAGGACCATCTGCTACTATCAAAAGGAATTAACTCATTTTTAAACTTACCCTATGTTAGCTCACCTACTCTTGCTCCTGTGGTTCTCCACTGCTGGGCTGCTCTCCTGACCCTGCCTCCACCTAACCAATGTTTACTCAGTGCAAATCCCATCCCTTCTCTAAGACTTCCTGGATCACTTACCCATCCTGAAGTTGTTCATCCACTCATTTCTTTTTCAATCCATAAGTATTTATTGCTGCTCATGTATAAAGCACTGTATTAGGTGCTGGGGATATAGCAGTGAACAAATGAGACAAAATTCATGATTCATAAAGGAAAAAAGTAAACAAGATAAGTAAGGAAAATATATTGTATTAAATATAGGGTTAAATGTTATAGGGATAAAACAAAAACAGCAAAAGGAAGATACGGAATTTTGGGGAGGCTGCAGCACTGGCAATGCCTTACTTATATCTCCTTGATTCTGAATATTCTTGGACATGTGAAGGGCCTTCTGGTGTAAGCATCTCTGATTTTCTACCTAAAGGCTTTCTCTGACCGCTGATGCCTGCTCTGCCTACACACAGGCAAGGTTAGAAGTGCCAGGAATTAACACCCCCAGGAGCATCCCTTAGCCAATGTCTAACAGGAATTGAGGAGGGTAAATACTCCTCCCATAGGACAATGTGTTCTGTACAGCCTCCCCAAGCTCCCAGTGGGAAATGAGCCCTATTTGGCCACAGAGTTAACCCACTCATTAATGTACCCTATATTGTCTTCTTTCTCTGTCTCATTTCCCTGTTCCCTTACTGCTATTTCAGGGTATCATCTCCCAAATCAATACCATCTAAAATCCTTTTATCAGGCTCTGCTTCTGAGGAATCCAGTCTAAGATAGATTGAGGTGGTGAAGGAAGGATTTACTGAGTAAAGTCTTGACGGACATGAAGTAGCAAGCTATGAAGTTATTTTGGGGAAGAGCATTCAAGGCAAAGAAAACAGCAAGAACAAAGAGCTTGAAACAGCAGTGCTCCTGGTTTGTTCAAGAAAGAGTGAAGAGGTCAGAAGGTAAAAATAGATGACATCAGTGAGAATGAGGGCCAGCCCCTGTAGGACCTTGTAGGTCATCATGAGTATATTAGGTTTTAATCAGAGTGAGAGGGGAAGTCATTGGAGGGTTTTGAGTAGAAGAGTGACATAATTTGACTGATATTTTAAAAGGATCACTCTGGCTGCTTGGTTGAAACAGGGTAGAGGAAGAAAGATGGGTCACAAGACAGTTGTAAAAATCCAGGAGGTTATTGATAGGTTCTTGAACCAGAGTGGAAGTAAGAAAGGAGATGAGACATGGTCTAATTCTGGATAAATTTTGAAGGCAGAACTAAAGAATTTGCTGATCGATCTGATATGGGAATTAAGAGAAAGAAAAAGTTAAGGATGACTCCAGGGATTTTTGCCTGAGCAACTGGAAGGTAGAGCTGCCATTTTCTGAGATGAGATAGAATACAAGGGAGAAAGTTTTAAAGAGGAAATTAGGAACTCAGTTTTGAACATGTTAAATTGGAGATGGCTTGTAGACAATTAAGTAGAGATTTGAGTGGGGAATTGGAGAAACAAAGGAGGACTTCAGGGAAAATGTCTAGGCTGGAGATAAAAATTTGCCAATCACCAGCATGTAGATGGGATTTAAAGCCATGAACTACATCAGATTTGCAACAGAGCTAATGTGGACAAAAGAGAGAAGAGGACCACAGGCGGAGCCCTCAATTACTTTAGTGTTTATAGATGAGGATTAACCAGCATAGGAGACTGAAAAGCAGCAGCCAGAGTGGTAGGGGGAGAACAAAGAGTGTGTAGAGTCCTGGAAGACAGAAGGCACTGTTTTTGTCAAATGCTGCCAACAGGTCAGGGAAGTGAGTGCCTCCTTTTGCTAATGTCTAAAGCAATTAATTGTTTGCATAACTAATGAGCACAACTAATCATGACTGCCTTCTGTCATGATCACTTCTAGCGTTGCCTTGAAATAGATCTTTGATTGTTATTTGTGTTTTATATGTTTATGAGTCATTTTCTTGGCCACATTATAGACTTTACTAGGGCAAGACTGTGACATAAATTTTCTTGATACCCACGCAGAGCTCAGGAGCAGGCACTGCATGCAATAGGCACTTGACAAACATTTAATCTTTTAATTTGCATATTCAACTAAAATATCACATTCTTCATGAAATATAGCTCAGTTAATCTGTCTGGAAGTGATCTGTCCCTTCTCTGAACTCCAATTGCACTTATTGTCTACACTTATCAATTATCACTTTGCATTACAAGTTATCTTCTCATAGCTATAAGAGGCCTCTCACAAGGGATTCTTAGTTTTTTGATGACACAAAAATGTGTTTCATATGTCCTTACATACTCTAAATGACCTAAAATTAATTAGTTAATTAACTCATGTAATCATCTACCTTGCCTGTGTCTAAAGTGCCTTACATAAGTGCATATTAATAAAATAATTGTTTCCTTAATATCTGCTTCCTTTCTGGCCCAGTGTTATTGTTTGGAGTCCAGGATTTATCGCCCTGTACTGATATGCATGGCTATTTTGACCTATGCCTGAATAAAGCTGTCTCAACATTGCTGGCATTTCATTAGAGAGGTTTATGGCAATATTATAATAATCACAGCCGCTGAAATTTTGTCGCTTATTCTACACATGCACAAAAAAAAGCAAATTAAAATTGTGGTTTATGCATCATCTCCATTCTGGGAAGTAAAGTAATGAGCACAAGATCATCTTGCCCAGGCTGAGGGATGACTTTTCTGGATATTAAAACAGATCCGCTTAACACATCTATGTTTTTCAATTCTGGGCATCCCAAATCCTGCACTGAATTGGGAAATGCATTCATTTTTATCCTCACTTGGTCCAGCAGATTCTGATCGATCTGGACTATAGATTATAAAAATTAGAGAGCACTGAAGCTGTCCTAAAAAGGAGCTTAGGAGGTGCTTATAAATGTAACAACAAGGAGGACAGTTTCTATCATAAAACTACAGTACAAGGATAAAAATGAATGCCTCATTTTTTTGAGTTGAGACTTTCTGAACAAGCAAAGATAAGAGATTTCCTTCCCATAAAAAGAAAATTCACATACTAGAATATTGATGTATCACTTTCATACCCAACTAAATCTGAATCCAATATGACAGCAAACTATGTGTTTTCCAGGTTGACAAAACAGAAACGTCCCTCCAGGGGAAAATGGGAAAGTAAGTGAAGTGTGATGACTCAGTGTCAGTACTTGAGAAAGAGGCCAGTTAGATATTATGTATTAACACAGTCACATTGTGGCTGGCAACACTGTGACTTTTATTTTTAAATTTAACATTTCACATTTTTAACCTCCAACACATAGGAACTGCCCTTATTAACACACTTACATAAAATCAAGAAAAATTTTATTGAGTTTTTTTTTTCTGACTTTATGAGACCTCAGGTATCTGGCCTTATTATGGAGAAACAATGGCCCAGACTATATAATAAATGCTAGGATTCCACAGAAAGTGTGAAAATCAAGTCTTTGATTAAAAAAAAAATGGAGTTCTAACCTGGTCATACAGATTACAGGATTTTTTGTTGTAATGTATCTTATTCTTCATGAAAATCGGTATTTGTAAAGGATTGAAGAATATTTGTATTGATAGTTAAAGCAGACTTCCAGCAAGAGTATAACATTTTCAAGTCAGCACCTTAGTTCAGAAAGGCCAATACAAAGTAGAATGAGAAAGGCAGGTATATTTCTTTTGAGTCATTTCTCCCAGCATCTTAATTATACTTGGCAGGAATTGCTCTGGTTTTCTCAGATTTTTATTTAATGTAGTGAACAAAATCCCTGTTTTTCTCTGGCTTTTAGGGCATCTTTTACTTTGGAATTATCAGCCTGGTTTGGATATCTGTACTCACTAAAGTCTGTGAGGTCTTGTGACTGAGGAGTTTGACCTCAGGAACTGCCTTACTCTACAGTGGGTGGGGCTGGATCGAATAGGAGATGGAAGTGGAGAAAGGGACTTGGCTTTTTCATCAGTTTGTTTTACAGTTTACATGGATTTCTGGTGTTTCAAGCATAGCGTGAGAAACAGCCAAGATACATAGGAGGTTGTTTTATACATCATAAAATTTCTTCCAAACAACCGAATGTGTACCCTTATTCTTAAACGTAGTCTCTACCCCTCTGAAAACACAATATATTAAAAAAAAAATTGGAAAGTTTGGGAGAGTAAACAAGGTAAAGGATCAGAGGAAAAATTTTATCCTTACATGTAAAATTTTACATGTGTATTTAAAAGGATAATTTAAAGAGAGAAAGGGAGGAAGATAGAGAAAATAAGGGCATTATGTTTTTAATTAAAGTTCTTATTTTGAATTAACTGTAGATTCACATGCAGTTGTAAAAAAAATTGAAACAGAGAGATCCATGTACCCTTTACCAAGTTTCCCCCAAGGCTAACATCCTGCAAAACAATAGAATGTGTGCATTGGATTTTGATGTTGTGGGGTAGAACATATTATAAATGGCATAAGGCAATTGTTTGCATAAATAAGACATGTCTGTGAGAAATCAATACCTTAACTCCACTGAGTTCAGGGCAATTTCATGGAAGAGACAGAGTTTTAGAGAGTAGCCAACTTTAAGAAAGTTGTGGTCAGTGAGCCAAGATGAAATGTGTTTTCAGGCCCAGACTACAATCAGAAAATTCTGGAAGTGAACAGAGATGGGAAGGGTAGCTGGGTGATTTAAAAAGAAAGAGAGAGAGAATTCCATGGTTGCCTATTAAGCAAAAATGAAAGACCATTCTTCCTGGAAACAGTAAATGTCTTTTAGTGAAGGTGACAGCTGGAGAAAACAATTTTGACAAGAGTCCTCTGTGACCATCGAAAATTCATTCCCAAAGATATTTGCTTACATCTGGTTTCTTCTATTTGTTATGTGGGCAAAATTTTAGCAAATAACTTTGAGAAGCTTCATTTATCTATCTATCCACCTATCTATCTAGGAAAACTGGCTATATTTTGATAATTACTAGATAAAATATTTTTGCCTTGGTCCTTTTATCTTGTATTTCAGTGAGCTACTGTAACAGTAATTCTGTCCTCTGCTCAATGAAAGTAGCAAAATTTCATTACATTTCATTGTCTGAATTCCTGTTATGGACAAGTTGGGGGTCTGAGGAGCTGGGCTGGGAGAGAAGGGTGGTGAGAGTATTCAGATAGAACTGAGGGTCATCTCAGAGAGTGCATCTAGGCAGTGACACTAAAATTTAGAGCCGAGTAAGCAGTGCATCAGGGCTGCTGCAGAGCCGCTATGCACTGTATAATTTCTGGGAGTGCTGTTCCACAGCAAGGCAGCCAGGGGCTGGATATAGAGGTAGAACCTAGCTTTGAGGTGTCATGACGGTCACCAGGGATGCCCAACCAGCTAAAAACATCGGAAGAGAGGGCAGGATATGGAACTCAGGAAGATTCCCATGACGTGCTGAAGCTGCAGTTCCTGTTGTATAGGACGGCAATGGGCTCACTCTGGTGAAGGAAGAGCCATGAAAAACACAGCAAAGGGATATACAAGTTTCACTGAATACTTTAGCAGTAAATATAGCTTAAAATGCATAGGAAGTCAATGGGACTTTGGCTATCTCTTTATTATATATAAATTTTCATTGTATTATGGTCTTTGAACAGTATTTTTATTATTATAGTACATCTATATTCCCCTCCTCCCTGTCTCCTTTCAGGGATACTTGGATCTATACTGTGTTCTCAGGGAGTTGGTGAGCCCTCCTCACACGCAGCCTTCTCTGACAGGGTTGGTATGATGGCTGACGCTACAGCAACTTGGTTTGGGGTGGGGGGCACAAGCAGGAAGCTGAATGCCTGAGCCCTGGAGTGCCTTCCCTCCCTTGCTCCTTTGAAAAAGCGGCCAGCTAAGAATTTTCCCTCCCTAACTCCCTCTCTTTTGTGTTTCCCTATCCCAGGGCTTTCCTCACCCACTTTGGACCCTGAGGGAGAGATTTTGTAGGATGTCACACAGAACCATTGCTCAATATACTCCCCACCATCCTGACATTGAAACAGCCCACTGCTAACCTAGGTATGACTGATAACACTGGTAATAGGCACCATTTTACATTCAAGGACTCTGAATTGAGAGAGAGCATGAACATCAAATTTATGGTCCCTTATTTTAATAAGTTTTTTTAAATTTTCAATTTCATATTTGTTATTTGTGGCTGAAAATAAAATGTGTAAATATATAGTTGTCATCAGGGGAAAATATTCCATAATGGCATACAGTCAACCCTCTGAATCCTTGAGTTCCATGTCTATGGAATCAGTCCTCTGTGGATCAAGAATATTTTTTAAAATGCATCTGTATTGAACAGACTCTCTTTCTTATCATTATTCCCTAAACAATATAGTATAACAACAATTTAGATGGCATTTACATTGTATTAGGTACCATAAATAATCTAGAGATGATTTAAAGTATACAGTAGGATGTGTGTAGGTTATGTGTAAATGTAACCATTGCATTTTACGTCAGACACTTAAGCTTCCATGTATTTTGGTATTCTTGGTGGATCCTGGAGCCAGTGCCCCGTAGATACTGAGGGACAACTGTGTATGGTATAATTCCTATTCCAGAAAATATTTCAGTATGTTTGTATAAACAATAAGCCAAAATAATTATTGTGCTTATTTCTAAGTGGCAAGACTACAGGTGATTATTTTCCTCTATATATTTTTTCTAGTGAAAATTATTTATATAATGTTGCCATATAGTATATCAAAATTTTAACAGAAAATTCCAACTGAATTCCTGTCAATACAAAATTATATATATTTTAAACCATTTTTTAGAAAACACAAATTTTTGAGCATAAGGCACATGATTAAACCAAATATGAGTAAATTCAAAATAAATACACATAACTTTCTTGTTATAGAAATAAAATCTACCAAGTGTGCATTCAAACACATACACTTGAAATATCATTGGATGGGTAAAAAGATGCTGGTAATGGAGTTTGCCTCTAGGGGAGGAAACCGAGTAGCTGAGGAATTCTATAGCCCCCTTGAGATCTTTGGTAGATTTGCACTATGTGAATTTTAGCAACTGAAAATAATTAAAAAACAAAGAAAAATAAAAATAAGTACAGTACTCAAATTCCTCCAGCTATTCCTTTCAATCACTTTTTGCCCTTTCCATTGTTAGATTAGTCTACTCTAGTTTGATTTACTTTGACTTATAGCCAAAAACATAGAGTATCTCTCACTGCCCTGTTTGGATAATAAATAACTAGAACCTGTTTTCCCACTAAATGTTTCAACACTAACTGATGTGGATAACGTTTGCCTTCTTTGCAAAACCTCTCACAGTGCTGCTATTAAAGAAGATGTGTAACTGCTGAGTTTGATGTATTATCAGTTCGGTAAAGGTCTGACATAGAAAAGCCTTGAAGTTAAGATTAAAGTTTACAGCACGATTGTCACAGAACAGTTGTCAGTCAAGGGCTAGATCTAATCACTCATTTGTACACTGATTCACTCATACAAGGTGACTCAGTTAAGCCAGGAACTTCTGGTACTTTCCTCAGTTTTCAACTTCCTTCATCCAATTTTCACTTAAATAAAATGACTTGTTTTGTTTTGTTTTTACTGGGAGTGGTCTGAGTTTGATTTTGTATAGAGAAAAGATGATGAATCCGATGATACCCAAATTCTCTCCTAGCTTAACCTGTAGTTGTAAAATATTTATGTTGCCCCAGGTTTAGCTAAGCTTGGTTTACAGATTATTGCTATAGTTATCTGAAAACTGTATGTGTTAATCTACACATTTTGACAGTGATGACAGGTGGTTTGTGCTCAAAGACACTGGTAGTTAAATGTCCAGAAGGGAAGTGAGAACAGGAAAGAACTAACGAACATTGAAAAGGTAGTGAACTGAATGAACTGGTGGTGTCAACTAACTACCTCAGCACTCATATAAACGCTGATAAGAGTCATATGAGTACCCGAACATTTATTTACTTAATCAAAGGTTAAAAGTTTTGAGAAGTGGGAAAAAGGCAGATCTGACATGAGAATTCTGAGAACCTTAAGAGAATTGCTATTACCTTAGTGGAGAGAACTAATAGAATGAAATTAAAGTCCACAATGAGGAAGGCAGAGAGCAGACAGCATTGAAAGATAGCTAAATAACAAGGTCAAAGTGTGAAAAATCAACAACCTATAAACAATTCAAATAAAACAACCTAGAAAATGTGAGTTAGAATTTTGAGAATTGTAATTCACAGTATTGAGAGCAAAAGCCAAATGTGCCAAATAAACGACCATAAATGTTACCATAATGGAAAAGTTTTACCTGGCATGGTCTAAGACACCAATTCTGAGAACTGCTTATAAGAGTTTCATAGGAAGCCAAAAACAAGTAAAGAAAAATAACAAAAAGTAAAAGCACAAAAAAGAATTGGAGAAAATATATAAGAATACAGCTATCAATGACATTCATTTTAGCGGGGCTAGTTTGACTCACCAATGTAGCAGATTATTTAAATTGGCAACATTTTCATATAAGGTAAACTTAGTCCATTTGATACAAATGTGGACTAAGAATTCAAAGAAAGACTTTTCTTGTATATTTGATGTTTTTGTCTGTCTGTTTATTTGTTTCTTCTGGAGACAGGGTCTTGCTCTGTCTCTCAGGCTGCAGTACAGTGGCGTGATCATGGCTCACTGCAGCCTCAACCTCCTGGGCTCAAGTGATCCTCCCACCTCAGCCTCCTGAGTAGCCTGGACTACAGAAGCAAGCCACTACACTTGGCTGTTTTTTTTTAAATAGGGATGAGGTCTCCCTATGCTGCCCAGGCTGGTCTCGAACTCCTGGCCTCAAGCAATCCTCCTGGTTGTGCTGATCTTTCCAAAGTGCTGGGATTACAGGTGTGAGCCACTGCAACTGGGCGTGTTTTTTACTGTTTTTTATATTGATCATTAGCCAATCGCAGGGACAGATTTTTGATAAATTGTGCTTATTTTGAAACATGTTTTAGTCACAAATGTTCTTATACCTAGTAAATATTTTATATTTAATTTTAAAATAGACAATGAATATAGATGATTCCTTTAGGATCGAGGAAAACAATTTTTTTGGTTTGTTTGTGTTTGATTTTGGTTTTTAAGATAGTAGATAATAGTGCTATGAATGATTCCATAAGGAGGGTAAACTAATTATTCAGGAGAGAGAAAGGACACAGACTGGAGTAAAACCTTTCAGTCTGAGGGGATAGAATCCACTGCACTAGCAGAGAGAGGTCATCCTTCATTAGAAGCGGGAACCATTGCTTCCGGTAATAGGAGGAAGCCAACTTATATAGGTAGAGATGCAGTAAGTTGGTAGATTTGGTGTTGGGAGTGTGCACATCTTATTGTTTCTAGTTTCTTTATGAAATGATGGAAAAGGGCATAAGCTGAGAGAAGAAAAAGGGGTGTTTGACATGTGAGGAAAAGAATGTGAGAGAATCTCCTCAGAAACATTACTGGGGGCCCCAGTAGAAAGTGGTCATGAATTTTATAAGAGATTAATTCTGCTGCACAGGTAAAGGTGTGAAGTAGACGAAAAATTGAACTTCACTCGAGTAAGTTGTTGCAGGGAAGTAAATGGAAAGAAAGAGAGAAAAAGGAATTGAGGTCGTGTGCAAGGAGCGATTATAATGAAGGACCCATAGAAATTAAAGCATCTTTGGGCCCGATGAAGAGAGAAATGGTAGTAATGTCCATAGTTTGGAGGTCTCGGTGCCATCAGAAGGTTGTCAGAAATCGTACCAGTGGGAGTAGGCTTGGGCATCAGAGAATAGTAAGCTTGAAATTCTGATTTTGAGGGGATGAAGTTGTTGGTAATGGCAAGTTCTAGGTTATGACCCTGGCGTGAGTGGCTGAATGGGATTGAGGAAAGATTGTTGGATATGAAAAAGTGAAAGAACTGAGAGGCCCGAATGTTGCATGGGTTATTTGCATGAATATTGAAATTACCTAAAAAAGATGTCAGAATTAAGGAGGAGAGCGAGAGAGTGAGAATACATAGACACAGTGGGCTAGGTTCCAAATTTTTCAAAGAATAAGAGTTGACAGGGAGGACTGTACCATAAGGAAAGGTAGTGACAGAGTCTGATGCTATGTGCATTTAAAATCAACATTTGAATAAGTATGTAAATGAACATGTTAGTAACCATTGATATCTGCCAGAATAGCAGTTATATCAAATACATCTGGTTTATATGTTAATAAAATAAAGAAAACACAGCAGAAAACATTTATATACGTAGCAATGACACTAAAGAGCAAATTTTTATCACGACCATCAATATTACTTCTACTCTTACATCATGAATAAGAAATTTCCAGGTTTTCAGAAAGTGTCTGGTAATTCTGGCGTGGGAACTGTGGGGGATTAAATGAGAATGCTAATGAAGTGCCTGGAGCAAGATCTGACATATAGTAAGCATTAAATAAAAGTCATGAGGCAAACTGAAGATGACTTCCTGTGTAAGAAAAGGCTTCCATGCCTTCTTTGCTACTCCTCTTTATACATTGTCTTAGACCAAAAAACAATTTTTGTGTCAGAAGTGCCTTGACCTATACTGGTTTTCCCTAATATGTAGGCCAGATGGTTTTTTAAAAAATATTTCTGAGGCCGGGCATGGTGGCTCACGCCTGTAATCCCAGCACTTTGGGAGGCCAAGTCGGGTGGATCACAAGGTCAGGAGATGGAGACCACCCTGGCTAACACTGTGAAACCCCGTCTCTACTAAATATACAGAAAAATTAGCCGGGTGTGGTGGCAGTCACCTGTAGTCCCAGCTACTCGGGAGGCTGAGGCAGGAGAATGGCATGAACCCGGGAGGCGGAGCTTGCAGTGAGCAGAGACAGCGCCACTGCACTCCAGCCTGGGTGACAGAGCGAGACTCTGTCACAAAACAAAACAAAACAAAAAAATCTGAGAAGAGTACTGTGTTAAGAAATATAAAATCTGCTCCTGAATGTTGTAAATAGTTGGGGGCATGACAGGCTAGCAATGCTTTTATAATCATGGGTAATATTAAAATATGTCTCAGAATCAATAAAGTTGGATATATTTGACTAAACATGGCAAAAACAAAATAAACATACATCTTAAACAAGGTTAGAAACCAAAAGACTTACCAGAAAAATTATTTGCAACATGTGGGATGGAAAAAGAATAACTCTAATACACAGAAAGTTCTTATAAAATAATAAGAAAAATATTAAACCATCATTTTTTAAAACAGCAAAAAACATGGATATGAATAACAGAAAAGGCCAATGAATATATGAGAAGATATTTATCAGAAGGAATCAAAAGAACATTTATGAAATCAACAAGTCTCAGCATTAAAGAGGATGCAGAGAAAATGCTCTCTGAATCATTATTAATAGGAATGAATATTAAAATCATATTGACTTTCTGTTTGGCAGTTGTCCATTTTATTCAAAATCTTAAATATGCATACCCTTTGACCTAACAATTAATTTCTAGGAATTTATTCTAAGGATATAAGGAAACAAACATCCAAAACATCTCAACCACTGTAATAGTAGACAGATATTGAAAAATATTAGTACTCATAAAAAGATACATGTAACAGATTTATGGATGAAACAAGTATGTTACAAGATATTATTTGTAGTTTTGATCACATTTATGTAAAAATATATGTGCTTGTATATGTATATGTAAGTGTTCAAATAGATGTCTGAGGGGATATGTCTGATTGTGTTAATGGTAATTTTCTTTGACCGTGGAATTTCTGATCATTTTCACTTTCTAGCTTCTGTTTTTCTATATTGTTTGATTTGTGTATTTACAACCCTAATGATGAGTTATCACTCCTTGGAGTCTTTGCCCTTGTATTCCACTTTGCCTGGACCATTCTGTTACCTCCTTCAGTTCTCTGCTCAATGTCCTCCACTGGAAAAGTCTTCATTTGCCACTCTATTTGAAATAGAATGACCACTCGTTTGTCCCCATCTCTCTCTCTCTCTCTTTCTTTCTTTCTTTTTTTTCTTTCTTTCCTTCCTTCCTTCCTTCCTTCCTTCCTTCCTTCCTTCCTTCCTTCCTTCCTTCTTTCTTTCTTTTTCTTTCTTTCTCTCTTTTTTTTTTTGAGACAGAGTCTCACTCTGTTGCCCAGGCTGCAGTGCAATGGCGCGATTTGGCTCATTGCAACCTCTGTCTCCCGGGTTCAAGCAATTCTCTTGCCTCAGCTTCCCAAGTAGCTGGGATTACAGGCGTGTGCCACCATGCCCAGCTAATTTTTTGTATTTTGTAATTTTGTAGAGATGAGGTTTCACCATGTTGGCCAGGCTGGTCTTGAAATCCGAACCTCAGGTGATCCTCCCACCTCAGCCTCCCAAAGTGCTGGGTTACAGGCATGAGCCACAGCACCCGGCCTTGTCCCCTTATTTCATTCCTTTTCCCTGCTTTAGTTTCCTCAGCCATACTTCACACCATATAACATATCTTAATTTTGTTTGCTTATTTATTTATTGTGTATTGTCTGACTCCTCCTTTTCTGCACTAGAAAGTGAACTCCACAAGGGCAGGACTTTGTTTTGTACTAAACTGTAACCCCAGAGCTGAGAACAGTGCTGTTTTGGGGAGAAAGGCACATCATCCCATTGATACACCTGAGTGCTTCAATTTCATGGTGCTAGTGATCCTATTTATGATATGGGAGAGAAAAAAAAATCTCAAATATATATTTACCTTTTTATTTCTCAGGGGCTGAACCACTTCCCTAACACACAGCTCTAGATCATTGAGATAATCCTTTTCTGTCTGTATCAGCTCCTTAATGATCTTTTCCCGCTTTGCCATCATCCTCTTCATATGATGCTCTTCCTCTGGGGTTAAGGTCTCAGCTACAGAACACTCACCCTGTGGAGTCATCTTTTCTGTTAAATGAAAACATATACAGGTGAGGCATTCTGCTGAGGTTTCTTTTTCCTTCATTACAAACAACGCCTTCGAAGGACTTTGTTAACAAGGAAAAAGGCTGAAGGTATCCTCATGATGTTTTCTTAGGAAGTGATATATGGACATTCCCCTACAAAACTATAAGCAAGAAGAAAAGTGGGAGCGAACTTCCTCTAACAAGTGAGTTAAATGATACTCAATTATCGTGGCTTCTTTAAAATATCCCATTGTTGTAGCTTAGCCTATAAAGCCGGTATTCAGCCTGGAGATCAAATGTATAAAAAAAACAGTTCACAACTTCCGTTCACATTTGCTTTTAAATCAAGGGAAGAATTTTAATTAGTAAATGAAATGCCTTTAATTAGTAAATGAAAATGAATTTTGTCACTGCTATTAAAAACAATTACCTCTCATTCTCAGTGGGTAATATCCAAATCTCAATGAAATGGAAAACAATTGCATGATTGGAGTTTTTCTTTTCAATTCACTATCAGAATCCATGAGGAGTGAAGAAGTGGTGGATTAAATAAATTTCAACTGAAATTTTTCATGGTTCATCTTTTATACCAAGCATATCTTGTTATTTCAAAATTCTTGAACTGTCGAACAGAAAGTTTTAATTTAAAAAGTCACAGTACTGGGGAGATAATGAGATAAATGGGAAGCCTCACACATAGCAAAAGTTTATATGAAGTATTCAAGTAAGAAAGCTAAGTATCTTCAAGGACGAGCTCCCCAGAGCAATGTAAAATTTTGGAAGCCACAAACCAGACCACAGACCATGAAATCAAAGTGGCGATAAACATCAGGGCAGTGTGTGAGTCTGTGTATGTAAGAGTGTGTGTAAATGGATTTGCTTCAAGCTTGAAGCTTAATTTTCATCTTAGTCTCTGCAGTTGCAGAAGTAATTATATTTCATTTAAAGTTAACATGATTCTAGTAACTGGTATATGAGACATCTTCAATGTTGACACATTCCCTGAGAATGTGGGACTTTACAAAAGGGCCTATAAAGAGTCTGTACAGTAAAAAATAAATGTACAGGTCACAATGTATGAAAGTGAAAATAAACAGTGTTTTCTTGGCTGACTCCGGGAACAAAGCTAAGACAACTGGAGAAACAATATAGCAGAAGAGTTAATGGTGTGATGTCAAGAGACTGCCCCAGGAATGTGAACAGACACTTTAAAAAGTAATGAGCTCTCTCTCTGGTCCACTAACTTCAGCATTTAAGGCAGAGACTCAATATTCAAACATCTGTGGAGAGTAATTCCAGCATCAGTTTGGAAGCTATACTAGGTTGATCTTTGGACAATCCAGACCCACAGGTGAGTATGTTTGGAACCATTTATCGCCTACCAATCCCTCCTTCATCAGGAAAGCAGGAAGTTTTGACAAATAGCATCCAAAACCACATGGTTTTATGAGATTTGGGCTATTTAGTGCTAAGGAAATAATCCACATGAGGCCGGGAGCAGTGGCTCACACCTGTAATCCTAGCACTTTGGGAGGCCGAGGCAGGCAGATCACAAGGTCAGGAGATCGAGATCATCCTGGCTAACACGGTGAAACCCCATCTCTACTAAAAATACAACAAAAGAGCCGGGCGTGGTGGCGGACTCCTGTAGTCCCAGCTACTTTGAAGGCTGAGGCAGGAGAATGTCATGAACCCGGGAGGTGGAGCTTGCAGTGAGCCGAGATCGTGCCACTGCACTCCAGCCTGGGCGAGAGAATGAGACTCTGTCTCAAAATAATAATCATAATCATAAATCATAATCCACATGAGCTATATAAGAACAGATAATCTATTCAAGGAGAGAGAATGAATGCATGAGATATCCTGTAGCCCTCCAATCCTGATCTATATTATGAGAATTTGGGGGTGCTTGCTAATTTGTTTTTTTGTTTTTTGTTTTCAGAAACAGGTTCTCACTTTGTCAACCAGGCTGGAATGCAGTGGTGCAATTGCAGCTCACTGCAGCCTCAAACTCCTGGGCTCAAGCAATCCTCCCACCTGAGCTTCCCGAAGCACTGGGATTACAAGTGTGAGCCACTGCACCAGCCTAATTTGTAATATTTGCATTGGAAAGTAGAAGCAGCCTGCCTCTCAGTGCCCCAGATTTGAAAAAGCAAGTTACAATCACGTGTCATTACAATGAATTATTTTGGATATGAAAGAGGAAGACAGGACACCTTATGAGAGGAGCTGCAGTGAGGAGGCTGCATTGTGGCCCTTTCTTTTTAAAAATGTGTATATTCAAGATGTACAACATAATATTTTGATGTATTATACATAGTGAAATGATTGGGTGGGGGTGGGGGAGACTGAGGGCAGAGAGGTGTGAGGGACGTCCTTTACTCCTGGAGTATGTGAAATAGAGCACAGGAGGAAATCTCATGCGTAAGAGAGCTGACAAACCAGTATGGACACTGCCCAATTATCACTTAATGTTTCCTTGAAAATAAAAATGATGCTGATGAAAAACTGCTCTGACATTGCTTTTCCAGGTTCTAAACCTTCTATGCCTTATAAAATTAATCTATGAATTATTTGGGATCCTAGCAAGGAGAAGGAAGTTTTTCCTGATCGTCGACAAAGGAATATCCCTAAAACATGCATTTGGGTTCCTTTTAGTTCTAAATTCCAGGACTCAATCACAATGTTAACTTAACCTGCTTCACAGACGTTTCAGTTGCTGCACTTTAAAATGTACTACATCAGATTTTGTCAATTAAAAAATGCTTAGGTTTTCCAATACTGCTCAACAACTTGTTGAGAACAAATTTGTGGGGGCAAGGTGGGTGAAATAAAGTGTCAGTGAAAATACTCAACTTCTCCCTCAGGTGTAAAAATCTCTCAGAGAATTTACAGTTGAGCAACCTTATGAGATATCTTTGTTTGCTCTTTTGACTCAAGTTTATTGTAGGAACAAAAACTTCACTTGCATCATTTTATGGTCAGGTTTCTAAACACTTTCTATGTTTGCATTTCTTAAACCAACAAACTCTGCAATGCATTGTGGACACATTTTGTTTTTGTAAGATCTTTCTCTGCATTTAAACATTTTATCTTTTAGTTATACTTAGCTTTTATATATAAAAGTATTTGGAACTCAACAATATTGCCAACACATATCGCCCAAATCAGCAGTCAGCTATAGCCCGTCTTTTATTTCTGGATGAAGCAACCGAGGGGGCCTGGCGCAGTGGCTCATGCCTGTAATCCCAACACTTTGGGAGGCCGAGGTGGGTGGATCACCTGAGGTTAGGAGTTTCATACCGGCCTGACCAACATGGAGAAACGCCATCTCTACTAAAAATACAACATTAGCCGGGTGTGGTGGCACATGCCTGTAATCCCAGCTACTTGGGAGGCTAAGGCAGGAGAATCACTTGAACCCACCAGGCGGAGATTGCAGTGAGCCGAGATAGTGCCATTGCACTTCAGCCTGGGTGACAGAAGGAGACTCCATCTCAAAAAAAAAAAAAAAAAAAAAAAGCAACGGAGGGGCTATTTAGGAAAGAAGGAAAAATTGTTTTAAGAATAAATGTTTCCCAATAGTTTGCATATAATAAAATACAATGTCAAAGCCAAAGTGAAACTAAGGTTAAAAGGATATTCAGATTGCTATAACAGAAATATGCAGCTGTATATTAAAGCAGTACCATGTAATTGACTTCACTCTGTATTTCTTTCACACTCAAGCTTTATTTTTCCAGTGGTGATGTGAATTTTTACTATTCTAGCCACAAAATTCATTAATAATATATGTGGAGATTCCTGGCCAAGGAAGTTTATATAAAAAGAGGTTGTTGCAGTTTGGGAAAAGGATAATCTGACTTGAGATCAGCTCTGCCACTCAGCTGTGAGAACACAGTAGACTAATAACTAATAGTTATCCTCACAGAGCCTTGGTTTCCTTACCTGTAAACTATGCATGAAAACCATCACAGTGTGATCATGAAGACTGAATTAAATGAGCAGCTCCATGTGGAAGCTCCTTGAGATCTTTAAAACAATACAAATGTTAACTATTTCTGTGGGAATGGGAAAAATAGGGTTACTTTCTCTACAGTCTCAAACTCTTCCACCATCTAGAGCAAACAATTATCCCATTATTTTGTGGTTACCAACTTGTCAAGAAAAATGCATGACTCTAAAGTGGGTGGACAGCTAGTTCAGTTGGAAGAGGAAGAGGAAAAAAAATAGGGATGCTGCTTTCGGAGGAAAGTCAGAACAAAGCTGGGGTTTAGAATCCTGAGCAGTTTATCTGGCTTGGGTATATGCGTGGGGAGAACCTCGATCTCTTAGAGAAGTGCAACAGCACCCAAAGGCAAAGGGGTGTTGGGGGAGGACTGAAGACAATCTTCACTGATAGCCACGTTTTGCTTAGAATTTATCCTATCCTGTTTTTCCTTTCTTCTTGCTTTTGCTACTACTACTGCCATTTTGGGGTGGATTTAAGGAGAGGTAATTTCTTTCTTTCTTTCTTTGTAAATTATAAAATAATATGTAATTGTAATATCTATCTAAGTTATATATAGATAGACATAGAAATAGCTATAGCTATAGATAGATAGACATAGATACAGATAGAGAGAGAGATGTAGATATAGTAGAGGTTTAAGTGCATAGCCTTGGGAGCCAGACTGCCTGGGTTCAAACTCCACCACTACCATTTATTAGATCTATTACCTCAGACAAGTTACTTAGCTCTTCCTGTATCAATTTTCTCATCTGTAAGTTAAGGATAACGTTAGTAAAGCCTTATAAAGTGATTTCGAAGATTAAATTAGTTAATGTCTGTAAAACACTTGTAACAGTGCCTGGCATTATACTGGATATCTTGAAAATGTTTTATTATTATTAGATGCAATCCCTATTTATTAATTGTAATATTATTTTTACTGTATTATTGGTTGTATTCTAGTGTAGTGTATAGGCTTCTCAAAATATCTCCATGCACATACAAATACACATATTTACAGAAGTTCAGTTTTTTGTTTTATTTTTTAACAGTAACAAGCTCATATACATATTCTTCTGCAACTTGCTTTTGCAACTATAACAGTATATAGTGGGGATCTTTTTTGTAACAACAGCATAATTGTGTCAGACACTGCTGTTGTCTGCACAGTATCTATTCTCCTATTTGTTTTTCATGAACTGAACCATAAATAGATAAAAATATTTATTTATTGGGCAATTTTTAAATCAAGAGTGGGAAAAGGGAACATACTCAGGAAACATATCCAGATAAAGGATCAGAAAAGGAAACACACTAAGTAAAAATAATGCTCCAAAGAAAGAGACATCAATAAAATGATTTGTCTCAGCCTTGGTGGTGATCAATAGAAAAAAAAATAGCATCCCTTAACAATTCAAGGACACTAACTGGCTCTCATATGGATTTGAGATCTGAAATTATTGAATGCTTAACAAATAAATAGTAAGGGCTTACTATGAGCCCAAAATCATCTTAGGCTCTGGGGATACAGCAATAAAAAAAAAATTCCTTTCCTTATGGAACTTTACTTCTAGTTGGGGAAGAAGAACATAAATAATTTAAACAAGTTATTTAGTATACTAAAAGGTGATAAGTGATATAGAGAAAAATAATGCTATGAAAGCTGCTAGGAAGAGCTTAAAACGTGTGCAATTTTAAATAAGATGGCAGGAAAGGCCTGAAATAGAGTTGAAAGGTGAGAGAGTCATGCAGATATCTGGGAGAGGTGGTTTTTAGCAGATGAACTGGTCAGTGGAAAACCTTAAGGTGAGCGTGTGCATGGCCTATTTAAGGAACAGGAAGCAGAGCAATGTGTGGCCAGGTAGGAGGACGCTGGGGAGAGGATAAGAGATTTGGTGGACAGGACAGCTTGGGAGAGATTGTGGAGACTTCTAAGTATTTTAAACATTTAAACATTTTTGTGATATTGCAGAAAAGCTAAAGACATTAATGAACTTTAGATGTTTTTAAATTAAGGATATATGTTAAAATTTCAAGGCCAACCATTAAAATAAAATAGCATGTAAAATTTCAAAACCAGTAGAGGAGAGAAAGCAGTTCAAATGAAGAAAGGAGAAAACCGAAAGAGAAAAACAAATATAAGGCAGTCGATTCAAATCTATGTGTAATCATAACTCAAGTGACCATATTATCAAACTGTATTCAAAAAACAACAACTATATGCCATTTATAGTAGAGAACATAAGCACACAAGAAGATGAAAGTACAAAAATATATACTGAGCAAATACTAATTAAAGGAAGGGTGAGATATAGCTATTTTACACAGATAAAATAGACTTTAAGGCAAAAATAAAAGTGGGCACTATATAGTGATAAAGTGTCCCATTCATTAGGAAGATATGAAAATTCTAATTCTGTATGTACTAAATAACATGATTTCAAAACATGTGAAGCAAAAAGTGAAAGAGTTGAAGGTAGAATTTGACAAATCAGTCTTAATAGTGATATTTTAAACATAACTGTCAGTAACTGATAGACTGTTAGGACAGAAAATATTTACTCCAATAATTAGAGATTACATAGTATTTTTAAGGACACTTGAAGAAATACATTATAAATTAAGTTATAACATTTCAAAGAATTAGTAAATTGAGAACCACAACTACCATGAAATTAATGTAGAAATAAATAACAAAAATAAAATGTTAGGACTCATTTGTTTTGGAATTAATAGAGAACCAAAACCTACAAAATAACTGATGGGTCACAGAAGAAATGACTAAAGTGAATAGAAGATATCTGTTATAAGGATAAGAAAAATATTACAAATTAAAACATGTGGAATGTAGGTAAAGCACTGCTTACAGAAAATTTATAGGCTTAAATTCATATACAAGAAAAGAAGCAAGAGTGAAAATGATTTGACTCTTAACTAAATAAGTAAAAAAAAAAAAATACAATAAGCCAAAAGAAAATAGAATAAAGGAAATTAAGAACAAAGCTTAATGAAATTGAATAGAAACTCAAGTCAGGCTTCAACTGTTCCTTGCAGCTACATTGCAAGGAATACGAGATTTTTTTTTTTTTTTTTGAGACGGAGTCTAGCTCTGTCGCCCAGGCTGGAGTGCAGTGGCATGATTTTGGCTCACTGTAACCTCCACCTCCTTGGTTCAAGTGATTCTCCTGCCTCAGCCTCCTGAGTAGCTGGGATTACAGGCGCCCGCCACCACACCCAGCCAATTTTTTGTATTTTTAGTAGAGACGGGGTTTCACTGGGTTGGCCAGGCTGGTCTCGAGCTCCTGACCTCGTGATCCACCCACCTCGGCCTCCCAAAGTGCTGGGATTACAAGCGTGAGCCACCACACCCGGCCATAGGAATACGAGATTTTAAGAAATCCTAAAACACACACGGAAACACGATACCATGAGTCAGATGCAGAAAATAAAATTGATAGCATAATTATATCCACAAAGTCTTAAGTTACTGAAATTATTAGAGATATAAAAAGGGTACTTAATAGGTTTAAAAAACAAGTAATGGTTTGAAATTATAAGCAAGAAACAAGAGAATATAAAAATGATCAAGTGGATTTTAAAAGATAATACAGAATCTTAAAATAAAAGCTCATAATAATTAAAATTTAATTATTTTGTTTAATCAATAAATGGCTAAGTTGAATAAATAGTTGAGTTGTATAATGAACTAAATAGTAAATTATACAAAGTTAAAGAGATTAATGAACAAGCCAAGAAAATTTTATAGAATGCAATAGACATGTAAAATATGTGAGAGAGGTTAGGAGATGTTGAGGATTGAATAAGAAGGTTCAACTAATGTTTACTAGGAGGTCTAGAGGGTATAATAGAGAATGTAAGGAAGAACATTATTTGAAGTGCTCAAAGCTGGGAGCTTTTCAGAATTTTTGAAAGATGCTATTCCTGAGTTCATTCCAAGATGGCCAACTACATGCAAGCAGGAGAAACATCTCCCACCAAGTGACCAAAACACTGGGAAGACTGGTGCACTCCTAGTAAATCTTCAAAGAAAAGGCATTGAGAGGGGACAGAAGGAAGCCACAGATGCTGGGCTCAAGGCAGAGAAAGCTGGGAATCCTGTATGGGGCTACGGGGCACCGGGACTTGTTCTTGGCCTCCAACTACTCCTGCAGGTGGGGTGAGTTAAACAGACAAGGAGTACTTCAAATAATGCTTCTTCCTTACAGTCTCTATTATGCCCTCTAGACCTCTACAGAACTCTCCACCAAAAAACAAACAGAATAGTCCCGGCTTGGTGGCTCATGCCTGTAATCCCAGCAGTTTGGGATGCCGAGGTTGGTGGATCATTTGAGGTCAGGAGTTTGAGACCAGCCTGGCCAACATGGTGAAACCCCGCCTCTACTAAAAATACAAAAACTAGCCGGGCTTAGTGGTGGAGAATTGCTTGAACCAGGAAGGTGGAGGTTGTAGTGAACTGAAATAGTGTCACTGCACTCCAGCCTAGGCAACAGAGCAAGACTCTGTCTCAAAAAAACAAACAAACAAAGACACAAACAAAAAAACCAGAATATACATTCTTCTCATTGCCACACGGCACATACTCTGAAATCAACCACAAAATCAGACATATAATTATGCTCAGTACATGTACAAAAATCCTTGAAATTTTGCCAACCACTCTCTCAGACCATAGTACAATAAAATTAGAATTAATGACCAAGAAAATTGCCCAGAACCACACAATTACATGGAAATGAAACAACTTGTTCATGAATGACTTTTGGGTAAATAATGAAATTAAGGGAGAAATCAAGAAGTTTGTTGAAACCTATGAAAACAAAGACGCAACATACCAGAATCTCTGGGACACAGCTAAGGCAGTGTTAAGAGGGAAATATATAGCACTAAATGCCCACATCGAAAAGTTAGAAAGATCTCAATTTTACAACTTAACATCACAAATAAAAGAGCTAAAGAAGGAAGAGCAAACCAACCTCCAAGCTAGCAGAAGACACAAACTAATCAAAATCAGAGCTGAATAGAAGATCGAGACATGAAAACCATTCAAAAGATCAATGAATCCAAGATCTAGTTTTTTTGAAAAAATTAATAAGATAGACTGCTAGCTAGACTAATAAAGAAGAAAAAAGATCCAAATGAACACAATTGGCAATGGCAAAAGAGGTAATACCACTGACCTCACAGAAATACAATCATCAGAGACTATTCTGAACACACAATGCACACAAACTAGAAAATCTAGATGAAATGGATAAATTCCTGGACATATACACCCTCCCAAAACTGAACCAGGAAGAAATTCAATTTCTGAACAGACCAATAATGAGCTCCAAAACTGAGTAAGTAGTAAATAGCCTACCAACCAAAAGAAGCTCAGTACCAGAGGGATTCACAGCCAAATTCAAACACATGTACGAATAAAAGCTGATATTATTCCTACCGAAGCTATTCCAAAAAATTGAGGAGGAGGCACTCCTCCCCAACTCCTGCTATGAGGCCAGAATCATCCTGATACCAAAGACTGGCAGAGACACAACAAATAAAGAAAACTTCAGGCCAATATCCTTGGTGAACATCAATGCAAAAATCCTCAGCAAAATACTGGCAAATCAAATCCAGCAGCACATCAAAAAGCTAATTCACCACAATCAAGTAGGCTTCATCCCTGGGATGCAAGGATGGTTCAACATATGCAAATCAGTAAATGTGATTCATCTCATAAGCAGAACTAAAGACAAAAACCACATGATCATCTGAACAGATGCAGAAAAGGCTTTTGATACGGTTCAATATCCCTTCATGTTAAAAACTGTCAATGAACTAGGTATTGAAGGAACATATCTTAAAATAATAAGAGCCATCTATGACAAACCCACAGCCAACAACATACTAAATGGGCAAAAGCTGAAAGCATTCCCCTTAAAAACTGGCACAAGACAAGAATGCCCGCTCTCACCACTCTAACTCATCATAGTATTGGAAATCCTGGCCAGAACAATCAGGCAACAGAAAGAAATAAATGGGATCCAAATAGTGAAAGTATTCCTGTTTGCAGATGACATAATTCCATATCTAGGAAACCCCATAGTCCTGGTACTCCTTCAGTTGATGAACAAATTCAGCAAAGTTTCAGGATACAAAATCAACATACCAAAAAAACCCCACTAGCATTCCTATACACCAAGAACAGCCAGGCTTGATATGCACCAAAATAGAACTTCTTGACAGCATAAAATCCACAGGGCTTATAAAACAGTAACATAATGAGAAAAACTGAAAGTATCTAGGTAACAATGACATGATAAATGAAACTATACCTCACATCTCAATGTTACATGTAAGTGGCTAAATGCTCCACTTAAAATATACAGATTGGCATAATGGATTAAAAAAATCACAAACCAAATATCAACTGTCTTCCAGAGACTTACCTAAAATGTAAAGATTCATATAAATTCATGGTAAAAAAGTGGAAAAAGATATTCTATGCAAATGGAAACCAAAGCGAACAGGAATGGTTATTCTTAGATCACACAGACCTTAAAGCAACAACAGTAAAAGACAAAAAGGTCATTTTATAATGATAAAAGGATAATTTCGACAGGAAGATATCATAATCCTAAATTCATATGTACCTTACACGGGAGCTCCCATCTTCATAAAACAATTACTACTAGACCTAAGACAGCAACACAATAATAGTGGGAAAATTCAATACTCCACTGACAGTACTACACAGATCATCAAGACAGAAAGTCAACAAAGAAACAACAGACTTAACTTATATTCTATAACAAATGGACCTAACAGATATTATAGAACATTCTACTCAAGAACTGCAGAATATACATTCTTCTCATCAGCACATGGAACATCCTCCAAGACAGACCATACAATAGGCCACAAAACAAGTCTCAATAAATTTTGAGAAGTCAAAATAATATCAACTATCTTTCAGACCACAGTGGAATAAAACTAGAAATTAACTCCACAAGGAACCCCCATAGCTATACAAACACATGGAAATTAAACGATCTGCTCCTGAATGATTTTGAGGTTACTGATGAAATCAAGATAGAAATTTAAGTATTCTTTGAAATTAATGATCATAATGACACAAGTTATCAAAGCCCTGGGATACAGCAAAAGGAACACTAAAAGGAAAGTTTATAGTGCTAAACGACCACATTAAAAAGTCTAAAAGATCACAAATTGACAATCTAATGTTACACCTTAAGGAACTAGAGAAAAAAGAACAAACTCAATCCAAAGCTAGCAGAAGAAGAGGAATAACAAAGATCAGAGCAGAACCAAAAGAAATTAAAACAAAAAAATACAAAAGATCAATGAAACAAAAAGCTGGTTCTTTGAAAAGATAAACAAAATTGATAGGCCATTAGCAAGATTAACCAAGAAAAGAGAGAAGATTCAAATATGCTCAATTAGAAATGAAACTTGAGACATTACAACTGACACCACAGAAATAAAAAATGATCATTTGAGAGTACTGTGAACATTTCTAGGCACACAAACTAGAAAACCTATAGGAAATGGATACATTCCTGGAAACATACAACCCTCTTAGATTAAGTCAGGAAGAAATAGGAACCCTGATTAGACCGATAAGCAGCGAGATGGGAGAAGTTAACTAGAAATTTGCCAACAACAACAACAACAACAACAAAAACCCAGGACCAGATGGATTCACAGCTGAATTCTATCAGACATTCAAAGAAAAATTGGCATCAATCCTACTGAAACCATTACAAAAGATAGAGGAAGAGGGAATCCTACCTAAATTATTCTATGAAGCCAGCATCACTCTGATACAAAAATCAGGAAAGGATATAATAAAAAAAGACTATCGCAAGAACAAAAAACCAAACACCGCGTATTCTCACTCATAGGTGGGAATTGAACAATGAGAACACATGGACACAGGAAGGGGAACATCACCCTCTGGGGACTGTTGTGGGGTGGGGGGAGGGGGGAGGGATAGCATTAGGAGATATACCTAATGCTAAATGATGAGTTAATGGGTGCAGCACACCAGCACGGCACATGTATACATATGTAACTAACCTGCACATTGTGCACATGTACCCTAAAACTTAAAGTATAATAATAATAAAAAAAATTAAAGAAAGAAAGTAAAAAAAAAGAAAGCTACAAACCAATATTTCTTTTGAACATAGATGCAAAATTCTCAATAAAATACTAGCTAGCTGAATCTAACAGCAAATCAAAAAGGTAATACACCATGGTCAAGTGTGTTTCATACCCAGGTTGCCGAGATGGTTAAACATATACGAGTCAATATGTGCGATACATCACATAAGCAGAATTAAAAACACAAATCATAGGATCTTCTCAATAGATGCAGAAAAAAGCACTCAATAAAATTCAGCATCCCTTTATGATAAAAACCTTCAACAAACCCCAACATCACACTGAGGAAGAAAAGTTGAAAGAATTCCTCCTGTGAACTGGAAAAAGACAAGGATGCCCACTTTTACCATTCCTATTCAACATAGTACTGGAAGTCCTAGCCAGAGCAAACAGGTAAGAGAAGAAAATAAGGGGATCCACTTTGGAAAAGAGAAAGTCAAACTTCACTGCTCACTGGTGACATGACTCTATACTTAGGAAACCCTAAATTTTCCTTCAAAAGACTCTTAGATTTGATAAACAAATTCAGTAAAGTCTCAGGTTACAAAATCAATGTACACAAATCAGCAGTGCTGCTTGCTATATACCAACAATGAGCAAGCTGAGAATCAAATAAAGAACTCAATCCCTTTTACAATGGCTGCAAAAAAAAAAAAAAAAGAAGAAAAGAAAATTGAATAACTAAGAATATACTTAACCAAGGAGGTGAAAATTCTCTACAAAGAGAACTACAAAACACTGCTGAAATAAAGCATAGATGACACAAACAAACAGAAACACATTCCATGCTAATGGATTGGAATAATCAATACTGTGAAAATGATCATACTGCCCAAAGCAATGTACAGATTCAATGCAATTCCCATCAAAATACCAAAATCATTTTTCACAGAATTAGCAAAAACAATCCTAAAATTCATATGGAACCAAAAAAGCCCCCAAATAACTAAAGCGATCCTAAACAAAAAGAACAAATCTGGAGACATCACATTACTGGACTTTAAGTTATACTACAAGGCTGTAGTTACCAAAACAACATGGTACTTTCAAAAGGAGGCAGATAGACTAAGGGAACAGAATAGAGAACCCAGAAATAAAGTCAAATGCTTATAAACAGTTGATCTTCAACAAAGCATACAAAAACATAAATTGGGAAAAGGAAACTCTATTTAATAAATGGTGCTGGGAAAACTAGATATCCACATGTAGAAGAATGAAACTGGATCCCTATCTCTCACCTTATACAAAAATAAACTCAAGATGGATCAAAGACTTAAGTCTAGGGCTGAAAGCATAAAAATTCTAGAAGATAACTTTGAAAAAACTCTTCTGGACGTTGGCCTAGGCAAAGTATTTATGACTAAAACCCTAAAAGCAAATGGAAAAAAAGCAAAAATAAATAAATGAGACCTGATTAAACTAAAAAGCTTCTGCACAGCCAAAGAAATAATCATCAGAATAAACAGACAATCAAGAGTGGAGAAAATACTTTTAAACTATGTCTCTGAAAAAGGACTAATATCCAGAATCTACAAGGAACTCAAACAAATTAAGGAAAAAACAAATAACCTCATCAAGAAGTGGGCAAAGGACATAAATAGACGTTTCTCAAAAGAAGATATACAAATGACCCACAAACATGAAAAAATGCTCAACATCAGTAATTGTTAGGGAAATGCAAATTAAAGCCACAATGGGATACCATCTTACTCCAGTAAGAATGGCCATTATCAAAAAGTCAAAAAATGATAGATGTTGATGTAGATGTAATGAAAGGAGAATGCTTCTACTCTGCTGGTGGGAATGTAAATGAGTACAACCTCTATGAAAAATAGTATGGAGATTCCTTAAAGAACTAGATCTACCATTCGATCCAGCCATCCCACTAATGGATATCTACCCAAAGGAAAGAAGTCATTATATGAAAAAGACACATGTACTTGTATGTTTATTGCAGCACAATTCACAATTGCAAAGATATGAAGCCAACCTAAGTGCCCACTGACCAGTGAGTGGATACAGAAAATATGGTGTGTGTGTGTGTGTGTGTGTGTATATATGTGTGTGTATGTGTGTACATATATATATATGCTATATATATGTGTGTGCATATATATATGTGCTATGGAATATAGCCATAAAAAAGAATGAAATAATGTCTTTTGCAGCAACCTGGATGGAGCTGGACACCATTATTCTATATGGGATACAAAACTACATGTTGGATACAACATACGTTATTCAGGTGATAGGTGCACTAAAATGTCAGAATTCACTACTATATAATCAATCTATGTAACCAAAAAAGACTTGTACCCCAAAAGCTATAGAAATAAAAAATTTTTTTAATCCAACAAACAAGGGATAGAAAGAAACCGCCTTAACATAATAAAAGCCATATATAAAAAATTAACAGCAAACATCATACTTAATGGTGAAAGACTGAAGGCTTCTCTTCTAAGATCAGAAACAAGACAAGGATGCCTGCTCTTGCCACTTCTTTTTTTTTTTTTTTTTTGAGATGGAGTCTTGCCCTGTCACCCAGGCGGGAGTGCAATGGCACCATCTCGGCTCACTACAACCTCTGCCACCTGGGGTCAAGCGATTTTCCTGCCTCAGCCTCCAAGTAGCTGGGATTACAGGTGCCTACAACCATGCCTGGCTAAATTTTTTTTTGTATCTTTAGTAGAAATGGGGTTTCACTATGTTGGTCAGGCTGGTCTTGAACTCCTGACCCCGGGATCCACCCACCTTGGCCTCCCAAAGTGCTGGGATTACAGGTGTGAGCCACCGCACCCGGTCTTTGCCACTTCTTTTCAACATAGTACTGAAAATTCTAGCTGGAGCAATTAGGCAAGAAAAAGAGATAAAGGCATCCAAAGTGGAAAAAAAAGAAGTAAAATTCTCTCTGTTCTAAAATTATATGATCTCATGTGTGGAAAACTAAATGTTCACCCCAAAAACTGTTGGAACTAATAAATTCAGTAAAGTAGCAGAATATAAAGTCAACACACAAAAATCAGTTGCATTTCTTCTATACAGTAGCAATGAACAATCTGAAAAAATATTAAGAAAGTGTTTCCATTCACAGTAGCATCAAAAACAATGAAATACTTATGACTTAACCTAACCAAAGAGGAGAAAGATTTGTACAATGAAAACTACAAAATATTATTAAAGAAATTAAAGATATAAATACATGAGAAGATATGTTCATGGACGGAAAGACTTGATATTGTTAAGCCGTCAATACTACCCAAAGTGATTTACAGATTCTATGCAATCTTTATCAAAATTCCAATTTTTTTTTGTAGAAATAAAAAAAAAAACCCATCCTAAAACTTACATGGCATCTCAAGGGACAACAATAGGCCAAAATAATCTTGAAAAAGAAGAATAAAGCTGGAGGAACTCATGCTTCGTGATTTCAAAACTTACTACAAAGTTACAGGAAATCAACATATTGTGGTACTGGCATAAATACAGACTAATGAAACAGAATAAAGAACCAGAAATAAATCCTTGCATATATGGTCAAATGATATTTTACAAGGGTGCCAAGACTATTTTATGGGGAAAAGACAATCTTTACAACAAATGGTGCCGGGAAAATTGGATATTTGCATGCAAAAGAATGAAGTTAGACCCTTATCTAACACCACATACAAAATTTAACTCAGAATGGATCAGAAATCTAAAAATATAAAACTTGTAAAGGAAAACATAGGGCAAAAATTTCATGATATTGAATTTGGCAGTAATTTCTTGGATATGACAAAGGCTCAGGCTTTTTTCTTCTTTTCTGAAGAAACAGAAAAGTTGGACTTATGAAAATTTTAAAGTTTGTGCATCAGAAGACACTATCAACAAAATAAAAAAGCAGTTTACAGCATAGGAGAAAATATTTGTATATCTGATAAAAGATTAACACCCAGAATGTAGAAAGAGCTCCAAAACTCAACAATAACAACAACAAAATAAACAACCTGAATAAAAAATGAGCAAAGGCACTTGAATAGATTTTTCTCCAAAGAAAATATACAAAGGTCCCATCAGCATATGAAAAGATGCTCAGCATCACTAATCATGAGGGAAAAGCAAATCATAACTACAGTGAGATACCACTTTGCACCCATAAGGATGGCTAATATATTTTAAAATATAAGCCAGAGGTGTTGGCAAGGATGTGGAGAAATTGGAATTGGAATTCTTGAGTATTGTTGGTAGGATTGCATTATTCTCAATAGCTAAAGCATGGAAGCAACCCAAGTATCCATTAATGGATAAATAGATGAACAAAATGTGTAATATTCAGAAAATGGAATATTATTCAAGCTTTAAAAAGAAAGGGAATTATGACATATGTTATAACCTGGATGAACCTTGAGGACATTATGGCAAGTAAAATAAGCCAGGCACAAAGGGCAAATACATATGATCCCACTTGTATGAGGTACTTAGAATAGTCGAAATCATAGAAACGGAAAGTGGAGATGGTTGCCAAGGGCTGAGGATTGGGGGGAAGAGAGAGTTATTGTTTAATAGTTACAGAGTTTCATTTTTACAAGATGAAAAGAGAGCTGGAGGTGGTGGTGATGTTTACAGAACATTATGAATGTATTTAATGCCACGGAACTGTACACTTTAAAGTGGCTAAGATGGTAAATGTTGTTATGTGCATTTTACCACAAATGAAAAATTAGGGGGAAAATGAACCTAATGAGACTATGAAACAAATGCAAATAGAATAGACATAGCAAGGCTTCCTGGGCATACTAAAATATTTTTCCAAAATTTTAACAGTTATATAGTCATTGGAAAAAAAAGAAGAGTTTCAATGTCAGAAGAAGTCATGTTTTAAAATTCATAATAGTTTTTATTTGGAGTGCAAGGCAATTTAAACAAAACAGATCTTCTCTTCTTAAAAAAAAGTCTTCTGTGAGTTTTAAAAATCACATAGAAAGGTAGGTTTATAAAGATGCAGAGTTGAAGTATAAATAGAGTAAACAGCATAACTGAATATATCTTTGTTCCAAACATTATACTGATGATGGAATGACCTTCATAGTTAATGATATCCTTCTATCTCACAGGCTGTTTGACTATATATCATGTACAACACACAGGACTAATGTACTTTCGCCTGGCTTCTTTCTATCAGGCACCATATGTATGCTGCATCAAATTTCCTGGCAAAAATGTTATTCCAAGGTAATGTGTACAATAAAAATGTTCTCTTGGTGTCACAACAATATTATTTCTCCTCTGACAGTATTGTTAGAATCTACATTGATGAATACTCATCTGCCAATTCGAAAAGGAACATATGTGTGGGTAAGAACAGTCATGCACTCCTTCTCACTACTGTGAAATATAAAGACTGAAATGACTTCTTAGAGGAATTCAACGCAAAATATCAAAAATCTTCCTGAAGAGGCATGAGCAGGCAGGGCGCGGTGGCTCACGCCTGTAATCCCAGCACTTTAGGAGGCTGAGGCGGGCGGATCACCTGAGGTCAGGAGTTTGAGACCAGCCTGGCCAACACAGTGAAACCCGTCTTTACTAAAAATACAAAAAATTAGCTGGGCATGGTGGTGGGCGCCTGTAATCCCAGCTACTCCGGAGGCTGAGGCAGGAGAATGGCGAGAACCTGGGAGGTGGAGCTTGCAGTGAGCCAAGATTGCGCCATTGCACTCCAGCCTGGGTGACAGAGTGAGACTCCGTCTCAAAAAAAAAAAAAAAAAAAGAAAAAGAAAAAAAAAGGATGAGGTATGAGTTAATTTTAGGACTGCAATTCTTATTTCAATAATTTTAATAACAAATTTTTCCTCCCGTAGATGGATATATTCTTTTTTCTCCAACTTTTTCATTGTAGTAAAATATACATGACATAAAATGTATAATGGTAACTATTTTTAAGTGTGCAGTTCAGCGGCATTAAATGCATTCACATTGTTGGACAACCATTACCACCAAACGTCTCCAGAATGTTTTCATCTTTCTAAGCAAATTTTATACCTATTAAACAATACTTATGCATTTCTTCCTCCCTCCAGCCCCTGGCAACCATCATTCTGCTTTTTGTCTCTATGAATATGACTAGTATGTACTTCATATAAGTAGCGTCATACAGTATTTGTCCTTTTGTGTCTGGCTTATTTCAGTTAGCGGAATGTAATCAAGGTTCATCTGTGTTGTATCATGTTTCCTCAAGGTTCATTGATGTTATATCATGTTATCAGAATTTCCTTTCCTTTTAAGGCTGATGATGCTCCATTGTGTATATATACCATGATATGGATTGGCTGTGTCCCCACCCAAATCTCATCTTGAATTGTAGATCCCATAATCCCTACGTGTCATGGGAGGGACCTGGTGGGAGGTAATTGAATCATAAGGATGGTTACAAGGATGGTTACCCCTAGGCTGCTGTTTTTGGACAGTGAATTCTCACAAGATTTGACAGTTTTACAAGGGCCTTTTCCCCACTCTTCACTCATAGTTCCCCTTCTCATGTTGCCATGAGAAGGATGTGTTTGCTTCCTCTTCTGCCATGATTGTGAGTTTCCTGAGGCCTCCCCAGCCCTGTGGAACTCTGAGTCAATTAAATCTCTTTCCTTTATAAATTACCCAGTCTCAGGTATGTCTTTATCAGCAGCATGAGAACAGACTAATACATACTGCATTTTGTTTATAAACGTGTATGTTCCCCCAAATTATTTTTGATATTAAAGCATTATACACTATTACTGCAATTATATTTGATTATAATGTATTGTGATAAGCCTATAATAAGAGCAACCACTTTCAAGAACTTTTTATTTACCAGTTTTTAAAATATGCATTATTTATTATCTTTCTCACAACTCTAAAAATGGGATATTATGCTAATTTTAGAGATGAAACTGAATACAGTGAATGTATGTAAATATATTCAGTGATTCATAGAATATGCAGAAGAGCTGGATTCAAACTTTATGTGCTTAGCTCCGAAGCCTGGGCTCTCTCCCTTCACTCCCTGACTGGAACTGTCGTGATCATGGTACATCATGTTCTATGTAGTGGAATTTTGCTGGACAGGGAGGCATAGAGTTCAGTTCTGGCAATGACACCCACTTCCTCTGTGACCTGGACAAAGTCATTTGGATTCACTAAATTGATTCACTGTAGAAAGAGAAAAAGAATAATAGTAATATTAAATGATAATAAAAGCTAACATTTTTTAGTGCAAATACTGAGTTTGTTTTGCATTTTCTCTTCAATCTTCACAAAAACACAATAAGATGTATATATATTCCCTTCCTTTTACGCATGCAGAAGCTGACACACACAGAGGTTAAGCAGTTTGCCCAAGGTCACACCACTGAAAGTGGAGGGCCAGGATTCAAACCTAAGCCAGTCTGGCTCCTGAACCTGCATGTTAACCACTGCTCACTGCTAGGAGGTTGTGAGAATTGAGATAAAGCATGAAAATTGCTTAATTCAATGTCTGACATACCAGAAACCTCTCAAAAAATGTCAGTCATTGTTTTTACGACCATGATTTACTTGCCATTATTCTGTATCTGGTTGTGAATGGCTACACCTGCTTTCCCTCTTTTTCTTTTCCTTGGAAATGTTCCAAGGGCAAGAGGGGAGATTGACCATCTATCAGGAAATTGCCCTCCTTGGCTGGAAAAAGCAAAAACAGCAAAGACTGCTACAAAGTCGGTTCAACACCAGGCCTAATGTGCACTGCTATTATTCAGGCTAAATTCAAATGAGCTAGGGATATAGCCCTGGCATGTTGTTTAGCATAATATAATAACATCTGAATTTTAAAAATCTGAATCATTTACCCCAAAGCTAAATCACCAATGCAAATAAGTTTCTGAGCAGTCACTGAGAATGTGCTTCTCAAACAAGTTTAATGGGCAAGGAGATGATTAAACAGCTGTGTCCTGCTAAAGTACACAGCTTATTATTACTTGTAAAATTCTAAGTCATTGTTTATTTAGATTAAGGTTCCCCTCTGATATTGTTTTTCAATAGCTACCAATAAATAATCCTGAATTTAGATTTTCTTAATTGTATTGAAATCTTACTGATCTCTTAGTAAAGAATAGTTGTAGTGAATAATTTCATATACCAAGCTTAAGGTTTTGTTTAATGCCTTACTTAACAGCACTTGCCCTCACCCTAAAAATAATTTTCAGGAATATGCACTTTTATAAACAAAATGCAGTATGTATTCGTTTGTTCTCATGCTGCTAACAAAGACATACTTCAAGAATGTTGGAACATTCTCATACTCCCAACAACCAACCAGGCAGGCACACATACACCATTTGATACTTACTTATTGAGCAACTTTCACAGTCATTTGACTGTGGAGAACACAAAGATAATACAACACAAGAATCTGGCCATTAACTAATATATAATTTCATCACAACACAAATATGTTTATAATTACATACAAATCAAAGAATATTAGAATTTGAAGGTAAGTTAACAATTTTACAAATTCCATAGTCTTTGGAGTTAAAAAACTTTATATCTTTATAGCAGCATGATTTATAGACCTTTGGGTATATACCCAGTAATGGGATGGCTGGGTCAAATGGTATTTCTAGTTCTAGATCCCTGAGGAATCGCCACACTGACTTCCACAATGGTTGAACTAGTTTACAGTCCCACCAACAGTGTAAAAGTGTTCCTATTTCTCCACATCCTCTCCAGCACCTGTTGTTTCCTGACTTTTTAATGATTGCCATTCTAACTGGTGTGAGATGGTATCTCATTGTGGTTTTGATTTGCATTTCTCTGATGGCCAGTGATGATGAGCATTTTTTCATATGTTTTTTGGCTGCATAAATGTCTTCTTTTGAGAAGTGTCTGTTCATGTGATGGACTGGATTAAGAAAATGTGGCACATATACACCATGGAATACTATGCAGCCATAAAAAATGATGAGTTCGTGTCCTTTGTAGGGACATGGATGAAATTGGAAATCATCATTCTCAGTAAACTATCGCAAGAACAAAAAACCAAACACCGCATATTCTCACTCATAGGTGAGAATTGAACAATGAGATCACATGGACACAGGAAGGGGAACATCACACTCTGGGGACTGTTGTGGGGTGGGGGGAGGGGGGGAGGGATAGCACTGGGAAATATACCTAATGCTAGATGACGAGTTAGTGGGTGCAGCGCACCAGCGTGGCACATGTATACGTATGTAACTAACTTGCACAATGTGCACATGTACCCTAAAACTTAAAGTATAATAATAAAAGAAAAAAAAACCTTATATCTAATTTAATATTAATTTTTTAAATTACATATTGGATATTGAGTTGATATTGTGCTTTGTGTTGTGTATATTAAATGAATAAACAACAGCTCTTACCATCAAGATATGTATAATCTAGAAGTAAAGACAGGGTATTGAAGTCATGAGATAAATCAACATTTTCCATTATCTCCCTTAAATACACAAACTGATGTCTATGTACTTCTCCACTTAACAATCAAGGGGCATATTTTTCAAGACTTAATTGTGTTCAACAGCTGACTTCATTATGTCAGTTGTACTTCTTTGTAATTATATTACTTTAACGAAACTTACATAATTAATGAAATATGAGGGTAAAATACCATGTGTATGTTTCTGTGAAAACTGCTTTAATGTTTTGACATAATTTTATAAAGTCAAGTTGCCAAAGCACTGCTGTTATATTAGGAGTTGAATGAGACAAATTTAAAAGATTAAGAATTATTCCAGAAAGATTCTGCAAACAAATCACTTTGCATTTTAAAATATTGGTCAGTATTTAAAAACTGGTGTAAATGGAGTACTTACTATTCAGCCATAAAAAGAATAATATCCCATCATTTGCAACAACATGGATGGAACTGGAGGCCATTATGTTAAGTGAAAAAAGTCAGGCACAGAAAGACAAACTTTGCATGTTCTCACTTATCTGTGGGTGCTAAAAATTAAAACAACTGAACTCATGAAGATAGATAGTAAAAGGATGGCAGGCGAGGTGTGTAATCTCAGCACTTTCAGAGGCCAAGGCAGGAGGATCACCTAAGATCAGGAGTTCAAGACCAGCCTGACCAACATGGAGAAATCTTGTCTCTACTAAAAATACAAAATTAGCTGGGCGTGGTGGTGCATGCCTGTAATCCCAGCTACTCGGGAGGCTGAGGCAGGAGAATCGCTTGAACCTGGGAGGTGGAGGTTGCGGTGAGCCAAGATCGTGCCATTGCACTCCAGCCTGGGCAACAAGAGCAAAACTCCGTCTCTTAAAAAAAAAAAAAAAAGATGGCTGCCAGAGGCTGGGAAGGGTAGTCTGGAGGATGTAGTGGAGGAAAGGGGGATGATTAACGGGTACAAAAACATAGTTAGAAATAATAAGTAAGTCCCAGTATTTGCTAACACAATAGGGTGACTATAATAAAAAAATAATTTAATTGTACATTTCAAAATATCTAAGAGAGTATAACTGGGTTATTTGTAACACAAAGGATAAATGCTTGAGGTGATTGATACTCTATTTTTCCTGATGGAATTACTATGCATTGCATGCCTGTATCAGAATATCTCATGTAACCCATAAATATATGCACCTATTATGTACCCACAAAAATTAAAAATAAAAAAATTAAAACTGTAGTTAGTATAAATAGAATTATGATAACCTGTGACCCATGCAAGCATAGCACAGCCTGGACATCAGTCCTATGGAGAAGTGACACAGTTGAAATCTGAAACAGGTAGCACAAGGTGAAGAGAAATGCAAAAGTGTCATGAGCAAAAGAAATAGTATATTTAAAGGCTTGGTGGCAAAAAAAGATGCGAAAACAACTTAGTGCAGCTGAAGTACAAGTGATAGAGGTTGTGAAAAGGGGACAAGTCTAGAGAAATTCTCAGGAGACAGATCTCGACAATGAGGAATTTTTTAATAAATGAGGGACATGATTAGATTCTCTTAGCAAGATCACTTTGGCCTCCACTGAACTAGATTTGAGAGGGGAGGGTGAGGAGGAAGCCTGTGGGTAGTGAAGTGGCTCTTCGCATGGACAGTCCAGTCACTAGGGGAAAGAAGGAGGGAGTTAAGCTTAGTCTAATTGCCAAGAAGATAGAAAGAACAGAGCAGATCAAGGGAAATTCAAGAGGTGAAATTAGCATGAACTGGTGAGTAATCAATGCAGAGGGTAAAGGAGAAGTCAAAGCTGACTCTCAGATTTCTGACTTGTTAACTGGGTCATGGTGCCATTTAAAGAAATAGGGAACAACAGGAAAAGAGCAGGTAGAGGAGATAAGGTGATAAGTTCTGCTCAGCTCTATCTCATTATATAAAAAAAGGAAGCTAATTTCTAGAGAGAGTAAGTCTTCTACCTTAAGTAACAAAGCCAGAAATTGAGTTCAGAACTTCTGACCAACACTCCCTCCCTGCCTCTATCAGTCCGATTCCCTTTCTACCCGTATAGTGCAAACACCCACCCATAATTCAATATACAGTTTTATTCCAGACAGATCATTACGAAACCCCCAGATATGATTATAAATGTTCTTTCATCCCTCTCCATGCTGCCAATTTCATATCTGCCCCAATAAACCCAAAAAAATCTTGGCTTAGCATTGCGTCGAGCCCTACCAACATACGTTTCACACAGTAAAATCTTTTATCGTTTAAAATCAGTTTCAATGGAAATCTGACCCACAGAAAGATGAATGGAGCAGACTTCTGTGAAATAGGTTGAAAATAATTGCATGTCAGACAGGGTTTGGAGGGGAGCCAGTGAGGTATTAAGTGAAAATGTGGAGGAACAGACCCTCTGAGACTCTGAATTTGAAAGCTCAAATACTGGGGCTGGGAATATTTTATCTTCATTGGAAGGGCATGTGATTTATTTCCTCTGACTGCTAATTGGCATAGAAAGTAGATTAGTGGATTTCAAAAAGGAATTAAACAAAGCTTACCTGTCTTGAAAAATACTGAAGTGGTATTGGTTTGAATTTACAGGCTCCGACAGTGATCAGCATAGCACAGACAGAGCAATGAGGAGTTAAATAAATGGGTACTTCAGAAAATGTTTTTATTTAAAGTCTTTAGCAGAAGATGAGTGTCCCACCTTTCCTGACCCAAGCTTAAAATGTATAAAACCAAGTTGCTGGCTGACCACCTTGGGCAGATGTTCTCGGGATCTCCAGAGGGCTGTGTCACAGGCCATTGGCCACTCATATTTGGCTCAGAATAAATATCTTCAAATATTTCACAGAGTTTGACTCTTTTCATTGACAAAAGTAACACTGTCCTCCAGGCCAGAGATGAGATAGAGTCAAATTGGGAAAAGCCTTACATTCCATTTTAATATTGTAAACCAAGGGCCGCCAAACTTTTTTATCATTTTTTATTGTGGTAAAATATTCAGGACATAAAATTTACAATGTTAACTATTTTTAAGTAAACAGTTCAGTATCATTAAATACATTCACATTATTATGCAATCATTACAACTTTTTCATCTTCCCAAATTGAAACTCTACCCATTAAACAATAATTCCCCATTTCCTCCTTCCCCCAGCCCCTGGAAACCACCATTCTACTTTTTGTCCCTATGAATTTGACTACTCTCATATAAGTAGAATCATATAGCGTTTGTCCTTTTGTGACTAGCTTATTTTAGTTAGCACAATATCTTTGATGATCATCCATGTAGTAGCGTGTCAGAATTTTACTGCAAATGTTTTTATTGTGTCAGTTAAACTGTTCTGTGTATACACCTCTAATATACGTATCATATTAATGTATCATACATATTATGAAGCATGCACAACAATAAATATTTTCAAAGAGCAATACTGAAAAACAAACCTATTTTTTTCTTTGCACAATAGATTGTCTGTAAAATCTCCTGGGGTTTATATATTCCCCTCTTTGGGTACTGCTGCTAGCTATAGAAAAATGAAAAGCAATGAGGAGTGTTAAGCAAAGGAGCCATGTAGTTTGACATTCTGACCCAGTTTTTCACTGAGTACCCTAATCCAGGTAAGTACTCTGTAGTTAGTGATGACAAGGAGTTTTCAAAGACTAGATAATTCAGATAATCAGTTTTGTATTTTTAGAGCAGAATATTCTAGTGTTTCTGTGAAGTATGGACCTTATTCAATGCAAGTACATATCTTTCTAATTTCCAAGCACATAGAACATTTTGTTGAGAGGCATAAAATAACACAGCTACTGAAAAATACTTGTTGGTCACTGTTCACTTCAAGATTGCCGATGAATGTATTGGCAGAACTTACAGTTCTCTTGATGCTTGTGAGTATTGTTCAAAAGTTTATTAAAATCAGTTGATTTCTTAAGAGCAAACCATAAAACAGGTACTACTACTAAAAACTAAGGTTAGAACAGGAAAACTGCATGATGGTTGAAAAAGCCCTGACTTTGGAGCCAAGCAAACCTCAGGAAAACTCTGACTTCACCAGTTGCTATTAATAGCTATGTGACCACTGGGAGAATGCTTATACCTCTCTTAACCTCTGTTTTATCATCTATAAATATATGGCAATAACTTATTTGCAAAGTTGCTAAGAGCATGAAATGACGTACTGCACCTAAGTGCCTACTACAGATGTTCAGTTGGTGTTTGTACCTGCTCTTCCATTTAGAAATCCCCAAATACAAAAATTAGTATTATTACCTTGTTCCATGTATGAGGACCAGCATAATCCCTCTGCCTGGAATGGCTTCTGCCCCTAAAAGTCCTAATTGGATTTCAAGATTCAGATTTCAGTGTATTTTCTTTTGGCATTTCAGAGGTGCAATTAAGCTCTTTCTTATCATAGCTCCTATATTGCTTTATTTGTGTCTCTAATAATAATAACCACTTAATATGTGGTGGATGCCATGTTAGCACCCGTTCCCCTTAAAGGAAGGGATAAATTATTATTTCAGCTGCCGGGAGTGCAACCAGCAGATATGCCCTCTTTAGGAATTATCTCAGATGAAAGCACCTCTCAGGCCATGCCTTTTCCCAAGATAGCCACATCCCCAAACGTAAAGTGTGATACAAGGGCCCAGGTCCTTCACAACACTGGAGACAACTCCAAAAAATCATCTGTCTTCAGAACTTCCCTCAGAGTTGGCTAAAGCTTCCAATGAGACCACATCACAGCTCGGCCTCTCCCTGTGCCCAGGCTTATGTCCTTCCCTTTTCTTCCCCAGGTGGTGGTCACAGAATGTTGCCTAATAATTCCCCTCCACCCGAATCTCTATTTCAGAATTTGCAAGTCGGAAACCCAATTTGCAGTATACTTCAGGCCCTTGTTACATTACTGCAATAATTTGTTCACAACCTGTCTCACTCAGTGGGCTGGGTGTGCTTCTGATATTTTAAAAAACATTCTTAGGACCTAGTCATACCTGGCACATACGAATACCTAGCAAATATTTGTTGAATAAATTCATTTAAAAAGAGATCCTATTTTTCTTGGCCAGGAAACTCTTTCTAGTCTCTTCTTTAATTAAATTTATTTATTTATAATCTTTCTTTACAGAAAAAGAATGTAAAGAAATTAACTGAAAGTTAACTACCATTACATAGTGGGTAAGTGAAAATGACAGAATTGTAAAAGCAAGTATGTCATAAGGATCAATATAGTTGTAATTATTCACTGGATATTTTAAAGTCATTCAATAAATAGTCATTGAGCAGAATAACTGTATACCAGGCATTGCTTAAATGCTAAGTCTTTTTCCCCAAGGAGAATTATATTCAAATGACAGCAAAAGCCAAAAATAGAATGAAGTAGTATAATTTCATAGAGTAATAGATGGTATGAAAGCCACTGAGGGGGATCAGAACACACCATCCCTAAATATGCCACTTTGGGATACTGATTATTTTGAGCTGGAGATGCTCAATAGCAGATGCAGGAAGGGCTCTCTGCCTTTTCCTTTTTTACTTAAAAGCAGAGTGTAAATTTACCATGAGAAAAGTGCCCTCCCTGTATCACCAAGAAGGGAATATTCTCATCATCAGAGACAGGGAGTTGACACAGAGATGAATCTACACAAACAAATCTTACAAAAATAACCCTTATCTTCCATTAGCTTCTCCCATGTATTTCCTAGTCACTTTTCCACAATTTCTTTCCCCAACCCTAAACTCTTTTACTTTGGCTTTGTCATATCTCCACAATTTATGACCTTTGTTAAAATGTTATGTAAACCCCTAGGTCTAACTGCTTCTTTGAGGTTTTTACTTCTTTCTTCCTACAAAGCCTCCTACGACACATAAAAATGTTAACCTCAAGTAAAATGTGTATGCTTTTTCTTTTGTTAGTATGTCTTTTGTCTATACAATTCACAGGTCCTAGTCACAGAATTTAAGAGGGTAGAGGAAAGGTATTCCCTTACCTACATCACTTTAGGTCGGATGGTCAGGGAGGGACTCCCAAAAAAGACGAACAGAGACTTCAGTGATAAAAATCTGCTCTTGCAGAGATCTGGGGAAAGAAACTTTTCTATTCTATTCTATTCTATTCTATTCTATTCTATTCTATTCTATTCTATTCTATTCTATTCTATTCTATTCTATTCTATTCTATTCTATTCCATTCTATTCTATTCTATTCTATTCCATTCTATTCTATTCTATTCTATTATTCTACTCTATTTTTGAGACTCCAGGCTGGAGTGCAGTGGCATGATCTCAGCTTACTGTAACTTCTGCCTCCCAGGTTTGAGTGATTCTTGTGCCTCAGCCTCCCAAGTAGCTGGGATTACAGGCATGCACCACCAACCAGCTAATTTTTTGTTTTGTTTTGTTTTGTTTTCTTAGTAGAGACAGGGTCTCACCATGTTGCACAGACTGGTCTCAAACTCCTGGGCTCAAGCGATAGACCCACCTTGGCCACCCAAAGTGCTGGGATTACAGGCATGAGCCACCACACCCTGCCTCTATGGGAAAGAAACTTTTAGACAGACAAAATAGTTAATATAAAGGCCAGGGAACAAAAACAAATTTGACCCTAAGCTCCTAGCAGCTAAATATAGTAAATTGCTTGTTTTTATCTGGGAGGGGATGTGTTTTTATTCTTAAGGAGAGTCAGCTTTCCATTGAATAAAATCTGAGAGAGGTAAACAATGTCTTCATCAACCATTTCACAACAAACACAGAAGGAGAAATCTGTGATGGCTTTTTGTAGTGACACTGGAGACCTAACATTAAGAAGCATTCAGGAAAAACAGTTTCTGTGAAGTGCTATAATGACTCACAATACTTAGAGTAGTAGCTAGATGACATGACCTTTAAGTTTTCTTCTTTAAGTAAGAATTGTATGTCAGTCTAAGATTGCATCCTCTATCGAGGGCTTCAGTGCAGGTATCTTAGACTATTCATTTATTCTCTGATTCATTAATCAAGAAAAACATTGTTCAGAAAACCTTGGACAAAGTCTTAAATCATAGCACTCTGTGTTCCTGCTGCATTTAAGTTATGACTCACAATTTAAGCTGACTTCATACAATTCTACTGAAATATCACCTATCCAGATAAAAAGTTGCTTGTTTCCCACACATAATTCCATTCTTTTCATTTGCAAATGTATTCCCTCCTCTCATTGCTGTAGAATAGGACTCTCAGTTATTCTGATATATATTAAGTTTTATTGAGATGCAAATAAATGACAACAGGCATAAAATTAAAGAAAGATGAGTTTCAGTGTCAAGATACGCAATGAAGCAGGAAATGGAGATCATTAAGCTATTACTATAAGACAGTTTTGCTTAACCTACCTTTGTAATTTTGTTCCCCGACAACTAAACAAAAAAAGTATTTATTAAACAGTGACAGTCTGGCAGGGACATGCCACTATAAGTCAAAAGAAAGAAAATATATTCCAAAGTGAAAAACAGCAAGTTAAGCTTTATTATGGTAGCAGAGAAATGTCATCACATTACAAAACATGTGCTGCAACCATCAAATGGCTTTGACTTCTTAGTAAATCATATGTATAAAATACCTACTGAGTCAACTAGTTAAATTCATTCCATTTTGCAAATATTTCAAGCATGTGACATCTCAAACCCAAGGCCTACCACCTATTTTTCTCAATGATAAAATCAGAACTGAACAGAAGAGAAGTTGGGATTCAGTAACAGTGTGTGTGACAGCATCTGGCTAGCATAGCTCCTAGCAGATAACATAACACTAATACTCAATCTCTTCCTTCCCTCCCCTTCCCTCTTACTTTCACAACCTAGTATAGAAGAAGGGTTATATCCTGAAATAGATTACAGTCAAAAACCACACATAGCTGCCTCCTTTGTGGGACCTGGAGCAAGGATACAGATGGAGGCCAGCATACCAGATCTACATATTTAAAAGTTATAAATGAAGCTGGCAAACTATTAAATAAAATGTGATATTTCCTTCTGTCTTGATAAATATATTTTATAACAATCTGAAAGGCCAACTTCTAATTTAGATTTCTCATATCCCTCAGAGTTTTATGCCAAAATTTGGCAGGGGACCATGGGACACACGCACTCCTACCTAATCTTGAGGCTTGAATCCCTACTCTTCTCTCTACCAGCTTTCCCACCCAGAGGAACCTGGTAGACATGATCTGAACACTCCAGCATGATCAAGCTCCAGAAACACCCCCATCATCAATTGTGCCTTAGGCCTAAGAGCATGCACACCAGCAACCACAGTCTGCCCTTGAGAGCATGGGATAAGAAGCGGTCCAAGCAAATGTTGGAGCCAGTACTGAGGCCTGTTGAACAGAAAATTCCACAGTCTCAGAAACAGTCTAGAAGTGAAGGTAGGACTCCCAAATAAGCCATAACTTTGAGTCTTGACTGGTTCTAAGAACGATACTGCTTATAAATTTAGCAACTCTTGCAATAATTCTACTTTTATCAGGAAATCAATATTCATAAAGGTACTGATGCTAATATGATTATGGCATCAAGAAAAAGTAATTCTGTAAACAGAGGTTTTTTTTTTTCTTTTCCTGTGTCAACAGAAACAAAGATGAATGTGGCTTGGGTGCTTTTCTCTCTCCCATCATTTCTCCAACTTTATTACTATTTTAAGGTATATTTCTATTCATTCTTGCTGCTTGCTTGGTTTCTGTCTGTCTCTCCCCTCCCCTTCTCTCTCTCCTTCCTTTCTTTCATTCCTTCTTCCTCTTGATGTCTCATTTTGATAAACCCATAATTTTTATAAACAAAAAAAAAAAGCACAACTAGAAATTGTGTTTGCTACTTTTAAGAAAGTTATACCTAAAGTCATATCGGTCAAACATAGGAATAAATTTGCCCATCACAATATGGTAGTAGTAGAATAGCTCAAACAGTCTCAATTTCTGTGACTCACACATTATTTGACACAAATGGTCCTTCTAAAAACTGCAAGATGTCTCTACTGAAAAAAATAGGAAAGTAAAATACCGTGTTTTACACTGGTTTCTATATATGCAGTAAGACAAAAGTTACTGAGTTTTTAAAGCGTCTTGCCTTTTAGAAAGATTTGCCCTTCAAACTATGACACACACCTGTTTGTACTGGTGTCACATTACTGATTCAAATACTTCCCATTTCACTGTAGAGTGTATGAAGGCAGATAAAGGGGAAGGAGCTACTCACTAATCAAAGAACAGACACGAACAAAAAGGGTTTGTAGCACTGGGATAGAAACATGCACAGGAAGCTGGACAATTTGTTTTACTCCATTCTTCATTTGGCCTTGAACAAAACTCACCAAGTCTTCCAGTGTTAATTTCTGCTCCCTGACAGACTGTCTATATTCTTAAAAAACATTTTAAATTAAATGCCCTCATAGTCTTACCAAGTCTAATTTATTATTTGAGCCACTTGTCCCCACATGGCACAATCTGTTATTTTGTATAAAGTTCATACAGTAGGGTGGTTCATCTTTCGCACCATATTAAGACAACTTTGGGTCTCATAAAGATAACCTTTCTTAATTAGAATGATACAATAGCCTTTGCAAAAATAGAAGGTACCACAGACACACTAAGAAATGGAGACGTAATTTTTGCCTTGTGTTACCGGCAGTGGTAATGGGTAATAGCATTTTACCCATGTATTCTCACCTTTTCACCTGGTGTTGGATAAACAAAAATATGCACTGGCCAGAAAATTAACCAGAAGTTTAGTGTGGCCATAGAGGATAAAGGTAATCGACCCGTCTTGGTTGGTTTGGGCTGCTATAACAAATATATTAGAGATTAGGTGGCTTAAGTTTACCAAAAATTTATTTTTCACAGTTCTGCAGGCTAGAAAATCCAGAATCAAGTTGATCTTATTCCTAATGCGGAAGATCTTATTCCTGCTGAGAGCCCACTCCCTGGTTTGCACATGGCCACCTTCTTGTATCCTGACATGGCTGAGAGCAGAGAGAAGCAAGCTCTCTCTTGCCTTTTTTTTTTTTTTTTAAGGGTCACTAATCCCATTCACCAAAGCTTCACCCTCAATACCTAATTACCTCCCAAAGACCCCACCTCCTAATACTGTCACATTGGGGATTAGGTTTCACATAGGAATTTTAGAGGAATACAAACATTCAGTCCATAGTACCCATACTGAGAGGAAACCTATAATGTCAGTGATATAATTCATATATGGTTTTCAGAAAAGACTCCTGAATGTTAGTAAACTTTTGTTCTTTTTGTTCTTCAAATTTTATAGTAACTTTCAATAAAAAGTCTAATCATTGCAAAAAAGTGTCTCAAGTACACACACGAACACATACAAGTACATACATGTATATCTATATCTACATACTGGAGATATATATATATACACACATATATATACACATATATATCTGCATATGCACAGACACAGTTCTGTATAACTATTTAAATTAGGCATATTTCAAATGTAGAGATCATGTATATAAGTATTTATGAAACCCTTTCTGAGTTTTTACAACTCAACCACTAAATTTCTTGTATTTAGGTAATTTCTATGGCTCCCAGTAGAATGGAAATGAGGAATTGAGCTAGTGGAAGTTAAGATGGCTCTTGTCACTAATAGAAGAGGAATTTTTGAAATATGGTTGTTGTGTGCTCTGAAAGGTCGAGTTGGGAATGAAACAGGCTTCCACTAAGAATTACTTATTATATAAATTCTGTACATTTTAATCTCTGATGTTCATTTAACTGAAGAATCATCTTTCTGATAGAAACATGTGTCCTCACATATTTAGATAAATACAATGGCTCTTATTTCAGGCCATGGTGTCTTTCTTCACACCAGTTTCCTGCTTGGGCCTGATCATTCAAGTCATTCACTCTATTTAACAGTTACTGAGTGTTTACTGTATTCTGGGCTGCTGAGATGCAACAGTTAACAAGACAGATAGGGTTTCTTTCATGGTGTATGAGCGGGGAGGGAGAGAAAAGGGAGGGGAACAACAGTCAATAACAGGTGATAAACAAGGAAACAAAAACCATTTCAGACAGAGCTAAATACAGTGAAGAGGTTAAAATGCCATTCTCTTACCTGTACCTTCCCTCATCCCTACCCTTACCATTTCTTAGAGACACCATTTTCTGACAACCTCCTTCATGCAGTCCTGAATAGACCGTTTCCTCCTTTTGTGGACCCACTGATCCTACCTCCACTTCTATCATGCCACTTTATTGTATTTATTTGTTTACCTGTCTTATCTTTCCCAACCAGACTTTGAGCCTCTTTGGAGTAAAGGTCAGACATGTTTTCTTGATGATTTTGTAGTTGTAATTCCTGGCACATATTCTGTTTTTGCTGTTCATTGTAACCCTCAAGACACAGCATCTAAAACATTCAATAAATGTCAATTTACCAAATGTGTATGATTTTACAATTTGTATTCTTTCCAATGTATCAAGGGCCTTGAGAAAAATTAATTTCAAAGAACAAGGTATAACATATTCAATAAATGCTAGTCAACTGAATTAATCTGTTCAAGGAGTAAGGGAGCCTAAGGGTGGCCTTTCTATTATTATACAACTCCAGGCTTAGTAGGAATGACTATGTTGATGTGATCACAATCTTCTGCAAAGGTTTTAGGATGTCCTGGTTAGAGCCATGTTCTATCGTTTTAATTCAGCCAGTGTACCATTTTTAAAATTGTTATTACAACTTAAGTTTCATGCTACTAAAGTGATGTGAGAAATTGAATTGAACAGATAGACTAGGTATCATGAGTTAAAAGACAAGCTCAAGAGCACCAAAGAAAAATCTTACATTTTACGGAACCCAGAGAACTTGCTTCCCCAGAGAGTTAGAGCAGTGAATTTTACTCAGGTAATATAGCATTGAAGGACAACCAATTAAATAACTAATTAAATAACCAGCTAAATAATTTGAGGAATGTGGTGTTGCCAGAAATTCCAGTATTTGAAAGCACTCTTTGACCTCACAAGAGCTTTAGGCCATCTATCTGAGGGCTCTAACCAGTCCAGGTGTTTATTCAGTGCCTCCCAGGGACCACCAGTTCCAAGAAAGGGAGAGGAAAATCTCTCGGCATTTGAATAATAAAGAGCTTCTTAAGGTGATTTAGGACTCATCTGCATAATAATGGGTATCGTACAGGCCAGAGAACAAACGCACAGAACTGATTGCTTTGAACATTAATGAGAAAATGCCTTCCCTTGTCGCCTTCCCTGTTCTAGTCGAACCATGCTAAAAGCTCTATTAGGCGTTCGATAATCAGACTTGGATTCTTTTAAGGGTTACGTTTTTAAGATGTTACTTCTCAGGAGGCCAGCCTATCTTTATGGCTTATGTGCTCCTCTATACTTCTTGGTGATTTTTCTCAAGCACAGACTAGAAGCATGTATTAACTGCTGAGTTTTGCCTTCCACCTTCAAAGAATCCAACAGAGCACAGGAAAGCCACAAATCAAATGAAGTGCGTAAGAAGTCTGAGGTCTTCTGCAAAGTAACCAACCCATGTCTGCTCTCTTGTGTGGTCATAGACTTATTTTTTTAGGAAAATTTAGTAAGCAAAAATTTGTGAATAGCAAAAATTATTTTCTGTTTTTATTTTGCTAATGGAGACTCTGATAGATGCTGAATTAGTGAAACTCAGACAGAAAAAACATGTCATTAGGGATAAAGCAATGGGCTTTTCCTGAATTTCTAGATGTGGTCTCTTTATCAAAGGACAAAAAAGAATTGAAAAAGAGAAATAAGGTATACAAACTTCGATTAATATTGGGCAAGTTCTGTTTTATCATTATGGTACCCATTATTCCTAAAATTTATCAGCCAGTATACTAGATGTTTTGTAATTATCTAATTTCAATCTCCCAACAACACTATGTGGCAAGTATCATTAGTCCCACTTTCACAGACAGGAAAATTGAGGCTCAGATATTTCAAGTAATTTGCTCAAGTTCTAATTGGTAGTAAGTTGAAGAACCAGGTTTAGAAACTAAATGTGTATGATTTTAAATTCTCATGGTACATATTCATCATGGAATACTACACAGCCAGAAGAAAGAACAAAATCATGTCCTTTACAGCAACATGGATACAACCGGAGGCCATTATCCTAAGCAAATTAATGCTGGAACAGCAAACCAAATACTGCATGTTCTCACTTATGAGTGAGAGCTAAACATTAGACATACATGGACATAAAGGTGGCAACAATAGATACTGGAGACTACTGGAGTGGCGAGAAACGGACAGAGGCAAGGGCTGAAAAACCACCTACTGGGTACTATGCTCAGTACCCAGGTGATGAGATCATTTGTACCCCAAATCGCAGCATCACACAAAATACGCAAGTAACAAACACACATATATACCCCCTGAATCTAAAATAAAAGTTGAAATTTTAAGACATCCATTCTTTCCAATGTATCTATTGCTTGGAGAAAAATTAATTTCAAAGATTAAACAATGCTCTCCCTCATTTTAAAAAAAAAGTATTTGAGGATAAGATTGATGCTGTGCTTTAGTGCTGAACTACTGGTAATTTTTTTTTTATTTTTACACATTAACTTATAGTAATAATTTTTAGATTTAATTTAAATGCATTTAATTTAACTTATTTAACTTAATTAATTTGCATAACTAAATCTAAGCTCATATTTGTGGAAAGAGATTTGTTAAATATAAGCATGTCCTATCGGTCTTTCTGACCTCATCACAGTTTTTAAATCCAAAACGACAGCTCACAGTGGGATGATGAGAGTTCAGACACACCTTGTGCTAAAAGCAGGAGAGGCAAGTTCTGGAGGACCACATAACAAGTACCGAAGAAAAGACTTAAAATGCTGCCCAATATCAACATCAAAATGAAATTTTACTAGAACAAATGACCTTCAGGAAACAGGAGAGAAAGAAAGGATAGATAGGACAGGATATAGATTAAGGCCCTGAAACAAATGATGTGCTATCATAACTGTGCCAAATTATCTTTGTACCATCACAAAATAAACTGAAGTTATTTCCTCAAATGTCATTCAAAATAAGCATGCTAAACATTTCTTACCATATTTGAGTATTATTCAATTTACTCAAAGGAAATAATCACCTAAGTGAATTTCAGCAAATCTTTTTATACCGTCTCTCTGACTATAACATTCCTTCTTTGTCACAGACACGATTATAGTTTCATGCCCCTATTTAAGATAACCACAATCATAGTTCAGTACCATTACCTAGATATATCTCATGGTGTAATATCACATATCTACCCATTGAGATAAACAATCTTTTGTAGGTTTCTAACTCATTTGCTTTCCAGTGTTTCCCACTTCTTAAGTTGGGTAGAGAAGGGAGAAGAAAAGAGGAAGTTAGAAGAAAAATGATTACCCTCACCAGGAAAAAAAAAAGAAAAACACAGCAATATTAAGAGTAATTCGGAATTGACTCTTTAACATTGAATCACGTAATAAATTTTTTTCCCTATAATTTATAGGTCACATTTACTTTCATCTTCTTATTTTGTGGGAAGGAGAGGTGGTATTCAATTTTCCCCTCTGCCTTGTGTGTTTTCTTTGCAATTGGAAACGTAGCAGAAATGGAGCTGGGAGTGCAGTAACTGGGACAATTGATTTCTTTTTGGTTACCTTGTAATTTCTGGTTGTATTCGGTCCTGTCAGATTGGCTCCTCCTCAAGGTGCCAGAGTGGTCCCCAGAAACACTGCTCTCAACCACAGTGTCAGTCTTCCTTCTCTCCAGCATATAGAGTCTAGACCTCAAGAAGGCCAGATTCTTTTTCTTGGTGACCATGTTTTCTTTCCCAGTGGCTTCTTTGGGCTCCATATTAGGCAAAGACAAGCTTTGGAGGCTTGCAGGCAATGGCTGATTGCTAAGGTGCCTCAGGGTGAGGGTTAAAGCTACTAGAGTGACGAGTTTATCTGCTCCCTTCTAACTAAACCGCTTCACTCCAGGGTTACCTGGCTGTGACTGCCACCACCTCTACGAAGTCCCAGAGCTCCACCCACATGAGGTCATTCTTTTTTAAACCTAGAATCCAACAGGGGAAGCTGCCACCTGTTACCTGAGAGACTTGCAGCACAGAGCTAGGCAAAGCAGGGACTGTGCTGTCACATGCTACTGAAGCAAACAAAAATCCTATTGTATGGGGTGAGGGGTGGGGAAAAAGGAAAATGAACAAGGTGAGGCAGTGAGGAAGGAAGTACACGTTAGCATAACCCGCCGTTTATGGGTTTAATGTGTGCCCATGGGTGTGTGCAGGTGCACTCAGGGCACTGTGTTGTGGTCTGCTGCCTGGAGGCAGACCAGGGCTTGTGCGTGGCTTTTGGCTAGAGTTACTCACAGGTGACCCACGGAGTCAGTGCAGGGGCTATGAGAATTTGCATTTGCATCAAAACGGTGAGTACAGAATCATTTTCAGTGATTACTGTGCACACTCAAAGTTATGCTTCTGCCTTTAAGCGTTGAACATTCAGCAATTATTTACTGAAAACATACTTGCCAAACCCTGATCCGCATTCCTGAGGAAATAAGGATTCACATGTGAGAGTCATCTGGCAGCAGGCAGAAGAAGTGGAGGGGAATGCCCATAGAAGCCTAGAGCCTTTTCAGATTTCTCACTCTCCACAGGCTGCCCTTGCCTGAAATTAATCCTTCCATGGTCCCACCCTGTCCTTTTATGTTTTGGTCCTTAGGAAAATAAGCCCCGTGTCAGGGTTCAGTTTCTATAAGATCTTTTCCCTGTCCCTTTCATAGACGGAGTGCCAGAAAAGGGCATCCCACCTTGGGAATTTAAGGAGAGGAAAAATGTTTGAAACTGAAGGGGCACTACACTTCTAGAAAGTAGAAAGGATAGGGCAGGGATTAAAAGAGAGAAAGGCAGACAGTGATAGGCCTTTCATTAATTTTTTTGAAGTTGTTTTTCCTCATATTTCCTGAGATCTCTCAAGGGAAAAATTCTAAGAAGCTCTGGGAATGTGCTGAGTGCTCTGTATGCCTTCGTTAAAGAAAAGAAAGACCCTAAGGAGGAAAATGGATTCTCTCCTATTGTAAAGGGACCACCAAAATCCAGCTCTGTGCTGACCAGTCTGAATCTTGCATAACTTCTGTTGGAAAAGATTTATAAATGAGGAGAAAGATGTAAAAGTCATTTCCCAGCTCAGGATGTGTGTGCTCAATATAGTTTGCATAATTATCTTAAAAGATAAATGACACATCTTCACCCACTATGGAGACATCTATATATAGCTTGGCGTATTGAATGGCTTTTATTTAATATAATTGATAGTCTTTTTTGAATAAATCCTCCCAAGTACATTTAATAAATACTTTTAAAGGCTTATTTACCTCTAAAATATAAAAGGAATTTTTTGGATTTATGTCAAAATGCCTCAATTGTGTTCGAATATTATATATGTATGAATGTATGTATGCATATACACACTTATTTATATTCACCTGGTAACCACCAGGGATTTATTTAGATACGGTATCACTGAAAAAAAAAGTTCAATTAAAACTACAGGACTTAATGGGTAACATGAGGTTTAGGACAGAGCACTCAGAAACTTTGTCAATGGACCATAAAAATCAGATCAAGACCTAATAAAAATGGTAGCAAGAATTTACACATGATAAATGCTTAAGAAATGCATAAATACTACAGCAAATATAACCCTTTATCTTGAAAAAGACACGGCATTTGCTTGTGGAAATGGGCCTCAGAAAGGTCACAGCTTAAGGGTTGTGAAATGGCAGAAGAAGCATTATTTGAAATCGGGGGAAATTTATTACACCAGATGTGGATGGGTGTGGCTCATAACTCAGGCAGTGAACTGAGGTCACTGGTAAGGTTTGAGGATTGTACCTGTGTGAGTTTTGTGTATTCTTATGTGGCTCAGGTCATCTGGGTAGTTTTCTGCATTCGACTAGTGTTTCAAGTAGACAAAATCACACACAAACAAATGCGAAATTGTGTTATGTTCAAACAATTCCCTAATATGTCAATCTTGTTGGAACAAATTTGTATTTTCAAAACAAGTGTTATAGCAGAACTTATTGTAATAGCTTCATTATACAACCCTGTATTGTTTAACAACAAGGATACATTCTAAGAAAAGCATCATTAGACAATTTTGTCATTGTGTGAACATTATGGAATATATTTTCTTTAAACGTAGCTTCATTATACCATCCTGTATTGTTTAACAACAAGGATACATTCTGAGGAAAGCATTATTAGGCAATTTTGTCATTGTGTGAACATCATGAAATGCATTTACGCACACCTAAATGGTATAGCCTACTACATGTCTAGGCTATATGGTACCGCCTATTGCTCCTGGGCTATAAACCTGTTACTGTACTGAGTACCATAGGCTATTGTAATGCAATGGTAAGTATTTGTATCTCTAAACGTATTTAAACATAGAAAAGTACAGTAAAAGTATGGTATTATAATATTATGAGACCACTATTGTATATGTAGTCCATCTTTGACTGAAACATCATTATACAGCACCTGACTATGTTTTTTATTTTCACCAGTTATTAAGATACATAACAGCTACTATGAGTTCAGTGGTAAATACATATTTTATTTATTCACATTATTTTGAATGTAAAATTTAAGAATGATAGATAAATTCTCTCAGAACAATCTTCTATTCAATCAGGGAATCAGGCAGACACTGTTGGTTGCTTACTTGGTCTTCATTTTTACCGCCTCCTACCCCCATGCTATTCTTTGCCAACAGAACCCTTCTCTTGTTCAAGGCAGCATTAGTCTTAGCCAATCAACGATAATCTTTTTTCCTATTTTTTTTCTATCTCCCTTTCTCTTAGGGTTGGCCATGTAACCCCGGTCCTGGCAAATAGGACCTTTATAATAGTCTGAAAGAATAAGGGGTGGATTATTGATCCTGGGAAAGCTTTTGGTTCTCCAATAAAAGGGGCAGTCTCATCTGGCTTCAACCTTCCCCCTTCTTCTAGACTGATCACAGGGGTAATGCACGGAGCAGTCACAGCCCTCCTGTGTCCATGAGAAAAGACCAAGAGATCCATGGGCTCTGATACCATTGACCTATGGAACCAACATCAGTAGTCATTCACCTTTAGACTTGTTATGAGGGTCAAATAAATCTCCCCTCCCTAAGCTATTGTTAATTGGAGTTCTTGTTGCGAATACAGTTCTAGTGGATTTAACAGATGGTGCTTAATTTACATACAGATTCACAGTTCTCTTGCTTATCTCCTTGACATTTCTTAAGCCAGTGTGTTTAGAATCCCTAGCATAAAACATGACTTAATGACTTAGTTTTGCTAGAAATGAGAACAGCCAGGTCAAAGAGATTTTGAGTGCTTTAACACTGGGGCATCTTTCTAGAGCATCAATGAGACTGGAGAAGCAAGGCCTCTAAGCAAAGGTATAAAAATGCTTTAATACAGAAGGTTGATATTACTTAAATAAATAAAATATTGATATTAAGACATTTAAATGTATTTTGCTTGAATAAGGAACAAACAATTCCCGGTTCATTATTAGGAAAAGCACTGGACAGTGAGTTCAAGACTCAGTTTTAGTCTTGACTGTGATGTAAATCAGCTTCTTGATCTTACGGTTCACATAGTCTCCCTAGGTCCCAATTTCTTCATTTGTAAAATATAAGGGAGAATTCATCATTAGTGCTATTCACTGAATATTTTCAGTTCTCTCTTTAGGCACATGGAGGTATTTCACTTCCCTACACCTTTTTGATTTAGACTTGGCCAAGCAACTTGCCTTGGCCAAAGAAATTGATTGAATGTGAAGGATGTCACTTTTAGCGAATGTTTTAATAACACAGTGGGTGTTTTTGCTATAGCTGTTTTTCTGTCATTCTTGGTACTGGCAAGATTCCAGGCAGTGGCTGCTCCATCAGGATGAGTCCTGGAATGTAGATGACTCAGAACAAAACCCCCAGACACCCCATGATGATTGTATAGTTTGATCATGAAAGAATCCTTTGTTGCTTTAGTCTACTGAGATTTGGGGCTTTTTTTATTACCTAGACTTAGCATAACCTAAACTATTCTTATTAATGTTGGATGTGGATTACTTGATACATAAATCTCTTCACGTCTAGCATTATGTGATCTCAGGATTCTGAAATAATCCAAGGTGATTCTAGATTATAACACTCATAATTCCAAAACAGAAGTCACATCTCTTGAATGATGTCATGAATAAACTAAATTGGAGGAAGGAAAGAGAAAAAGTTAGGAGCTTATTGTAGCAGTCCAGGCAAGAAATGCTTGGACTACAATAGTAGGAATAGGAATGAAGAAAAGTTGATGAATTCGAAATACCTTTTAAGAGTTGAACTGACACAACCTGTAGATGATTTGATTTAAGTGGATGAGTAAAAAATTGAATGAAAGATGAATTCTAGGTTTTAGATTGAATAACTGGGAAGATATTTTGTGCTGTGCACTATTATAGGAGGGAAAAAGCACAGAGGAAGAGTAAGTTTGGTGAGATTATCAAGAATTCAATTTAGGATACATTAGTGTTAAGATGCTTATAAGAGATAAAAGAGAAATGTCAAGTAGCCTTCAGATTTATGAATTTAGAGTCACTATTTAGATTTTAGATAAAAACTGGAGTCATCAAAATATACATGTTATGTTAAGTCATAGATTGATGAGGTCATTTAAGAAGAAAATATGTGAAGAGGAAAAGGATCAAAATCAAACCCTGAAGGACTCTGAGTTTAGAATGGTTTTGGAGGAAAATGCATCAAAGAAAGTAGGAGAGCAACCATTGAGGTAGGAGAAAAACAGTGGAATGTGGCATCATAGAAGTCTAGAAGCAAGTTTTTCCAAAATGAAAGGATAGCCTGCCAGGAAACCAAATGAAATGAAAATAATTCCTTTTAATTTGACACAATGTTGATTATTTATAAGTTTTTCCAAAGGAGTTTTGGTAATATGTAGAGGAAAAAGCAGGAATAGAAGGAATTTTGCTAAAGGAGATAAGAACATTGAAACGTGGGAATAACACTGCTGAGAACATTTGCAATCATTTATTATTATTATTTCTCTTATTTTAGTTTCAGGAGGTACATGAGCAGGTTTGTTTTATAGGTAAATTGCATGTTATGTGGGTTTGATGTACAGATTATTTCATCACCCAGGTTATAAGCATAGTACCCTAGAGGTAGTTTTTCAATCCTCACCCTCCTCCCATCCAAAACACTCAACTAGGCCCCAGTGCCTGCTGTTCCCTTCTTTGCATCCATGTGTACTCAGTGTTTAACTCTCACTTATAAGTAAGAACATGCAGTATTTGGTTTTCTGTTTCTGTGTTAGTTCACTTAGGAATATGGCCTCCAGCCGCATCCATATTGCTGCAAAGGACATAATCTCATTCTTTTCTTTGTGGCTGCATAGTATTCCATGGTGCATATGTACCTCATTTACTTTCTCCAATCTACCACTGATGGGCATCTAGGTTGATTCCATGTCTTTGCTATTGTGAATAGTGCTGCAATGAACATATGTGTGCATGTGTTTTTATGCAGTCATTTATTATTATTGGGCAATTACTATATGTAAGGATTATACCTAAGTAAAATAGTGAGAAAGGTAGGATAATATTTATATTTTTAAAATATGGGAACAGTTTCAGGGAAGTTAAATAATTTTCCCAAGATCAAATAGCTAGTAAATGATGGAGTAACTCAAATTCAGGCCCCTCTTACAGGAAAGTCTGTGATCTTAGCCACTCTGCTGTATACCAAGTGCCTAGCAAACTGCCCGACATACAGCAAGCATACAACAAATGTACTTTTCTCCACTAAAGGTATCTAGAAACAATTCCTCATTACCTTTCCTTTATTTTTTGGGATGAGTTCAAGGGATGTGAAATTTTATGACACCTCAAGTGATTTTTATGCACAGTTCAACTTTGAGAATTCCTGCAAGCATTCTCCTTGTCTCCAGTGTCTCTCTACTCCTGTTCATCTTGCCTAATGTCTCTTGAGTGTCCTTTTAAACTATAAATTGGATCGTGTCATTCTTCAGATTAAAAAAGCTTATTGGATTGTTTCCCATTCATGTAGGAGAAAATCCAAATATTATGTAGGCCTCAATTAGACTGTCTAATTTCATTTCCAGTTGCTTACTGTTCTAGTTTTAATTGCTGAATAACAAATCACTTCCAGCACTTAGTTGCTTAAAACAATGCTTATCATTGTATTAGCTCTCACAGTTTCTGTGGGCCAGGAATTTGGGAAAGGCTCAGCTAAGTAGTTCTAACTCAGATCTTTCATGTGGTTGTTGGCAGATATTGGCTGAAGCTAAAATGGCAAGTAGCTAGGACAGCTATGGGTTGATCAGGCATCCTCCTCTCTTGATAGTTTCAGGGCCTTTCCTTTTGATCTCTCCATGGGACCTAGTTTGGGTTTCTTTCCCTGCATAGCAGCTTGAGGGAAGTCAGACATTGATATGGTAGCTCAAGTTTCCAAAGGGTTTTCCTATGAGAGCCAGGCAGAAAATCTATCATCTTTATGACCTATTCTATGAAGTCACATAGCATTACTTCCACTGTTGTTGCAAAGCCTACTTTCTCAATGAGCACAGAATCTCTCTTCTCAATGAGAGGAGTATCAAAGTCACATTATAAGAAGAGCATATGGAATGGGAGAAATTGCTGTGGCTATTTGGAAAAATGCATTCTGACTCACTGTGATGGTTAATACTGAATGTCAACTTGATTGGATTGAGGATACAAAGGTATTGATCCTGGGTGTGTCTGTGAGGGTGTGGCTAAAGGAGATTAATGTTTTAGTCTAGGGGCTGGGAAAGGTAGACCCACACTTAGTCTGGGTGGGCACCACCTGATCAGCTGCTAGCGCAGCTAGAATATAAAGCAGGCAGAAAAACGTGAAAAGGCAAGACTGGCCTAGCCTCCCAGCCTACATCTTTCTGCCATGCTGGGTACTTCCTGCCCTTGAACGTCGAACTCATATATATATGAGCTATGTATATATATATATCTCCTATTAGTTCTGTCCCTCTAGAGAACCCTGATTAATACACTCACATAGTCATTACATACCATGTATTCTATTTTCTTTGGGGATTGATTTTGTTTAAGCTGTTTATTATACATGAAATTGCCTTCTCTATCCTCATGAAATATGACACACCTTTCATGATACAACTTAATGTCCCCTCCTCTGTGACATTTCCCTCCTGCTCCTTGAGCACAATCACTCCCTCCCTCTTCTGAAATCACAAATCAGCATACCTCCATCATAGTAGAGGGAGCTCTGTACATTATGTGACTCTAGTTACATTATGAGTTCTTCAAGGAATTTGCCTTTGAAACTCTTATCATGACTAGCAATATGAGATCAATAAATGTTTGCTGTTGTTGGAAGTCAGGCATAGCAGCTTAAGATCATGTGCAGCCTACCAATGTATGGGGAGAGGCTTAGATGCAAGCTGCTAATTTTTTTTCCCCTCTCTATGATCAGTACCCTCTCTCCTGGAAAGAAAAAATATAGATTTGGAAGCAAAGAGAAATTCAGGGAATATTATTTCCTCAAAGATGAGATCATTAATGTATTTGTGAGACGACCATAAAGCCAGCTTTGAGAGCTCTCTATTCAACTATAAATTGTTCATACTGGCCCTGCTATCTTGTAGCTCTGTTTTTATATTCACTGCTGTGCTTCCTGAAAGCAACAATTTCTGCTAATGCACTGACCAAGCAGCAGCATAATAATCCTGTCAGCCAACAATGGATGGGAGCTGAGGATTGAAAGGAGGTAAACCTTCTAATGTTTTCATCCTCTTGACTGAAGTAATTTTAGCAATGACATATGATAGTACTTGGGCCTTTGTCTCAGCTGTAATGAATCATCCATTACAAGATTTTCAAGGTTGTTGGGGGGAAATTTATATAGGGAAGGGGAAGAATCTTTGCAAGTGCATGAGGTGGCCTGGCTATGATCAAAACCAGCTACATAAGCAAGAAAAGATACCACTGGAATCTTTGAAAACTGCTTATATAATGTTGCCAGGGTCTAAGTCAGATCACTGGCTTCAATTTCCAATAGTTTATGATCTTAGAGAATCCATTTAAGAGTTACTCAGCAGAACAGCAACTTGTATTAAAGCAACCAATACAGGAGATGAACTATTCTTATTTTCCAGGGAGAATTCAGAATTAATTCTTTTGCTCCTTCTGTATAATTTCTCTCATCTTTATGTCCTAAAATTTGCACCTACTTGATTTTAGATCACTTTTGAGACAGAACTACAGGTAAATTTTATTTTAATTATAAGCAGCCAGCTTCCTGTTTCTTTTATTCTAAGTATTTGAATTCAGAAATATTTATTTAAAAGAAAATCTTAATATTATGGTTGAATGTTTAAATGTACATGTTATAGTAATATCATGTTTTATATGCAGGATTATATGTTGCAGACTCATAAAATATGGCCATCAAATGATCCTAGAAGCTCAAGTTAAAACAAATGATCCTTTGTTCTTCCACTTCCCAGGCATTTTCATTTTTATTTCACTTGGTTTTCATTTGTGCAGAAACCTGTTCATCATGACAGCTTGGTATATTGACTCCAAATATATATTTGTGCTTTTTTAACTTCAAGTTGAAAAACAGTAGTTATAGATGACTAGGAGAAAAAGTGTATTTTTAATAAGTGCAGCAAAGTCTCATGTAAATCAATTAAGCTAAGAAGCATTTTTTATGGCTTGAGTGACTTTGAAAAGTACATTGGCTACTGAACTAATCATAGAACTTAGCTTTATAAAATTTGAGATTTTTCTGTGAATCTTCCAATTTCTCTCTTGATATAGGATAAACCACTTACCCTCCCTGACTCAGTTTCTTCACCTTTTAAGGCTGAGCTTCAGATTGATCTCAGTGTTTCATAGAGCTGTATTGCTACTCCTTTTCAGAATATGATTAAATTCAAAATTATAGTATCCATGGTAACCATAACTAGGTCAGTTTGCACTTGGAGTAACAAATAACTGTGGAGAATCTGTATCCTTTTCCAACCATCCTCTGTGTTTGCAAAACCTCCTTAGGCTGCTGCAAGTAAGTAGCTCTGCAGAAAAAGATCTAGTAGCATCCAGGAGAGAGTTACATTCTTATTCATTTGTGATCTACACACCCATCAAACTTCATGCAAATTAGGCAATGTATATGTGATTTTATTTCACCCAACCAACATGAATATTTAAGTAATGATTTTACCAGTAAAGCTTTAATTATTTATTTTAAAATATTGTGATTAATGTCTAATAAAATTAACACCTAGAGAATTTCTGTAAAAAGAATTGCAGTGGCATGCAGATGCCTTCTTTCCACTTTGGTCACAGCTAATTTTTTTCCTTCAGACCTAATATTTTCTTATTGAACCAAGAAAATATTTATTGTTCCTTTCCACTTACCACCCAAATATTTTTATCTAACAGCATATGTAACATGAACTGTTTTTGATAAAATCAATTATATTTATGTACTTTTATTTCACATATAGAAAAAATTTGAACAGATGTGTACATGGACACTGGAACTGGAAGGAAAGTGAGGGGAATTTTCCCTTTCCCTTTAAACACTCTGTGTTTGACATTTTAAAATAATCTAGCAGACACTAAATTTTTTATAGCACTGGATCCTCCTTCAAGTCACCAAGTCAAAATACTGTCCCTTCTTTAAATCAATAAGTAGAACAACAGCTTTAAGAATAACTACCATTTATTTGAGCACCTTACTGTGTCGTGCTATTTATATATTCTTAGGATTGTTCAGGCAATCCTCAGAAAAATTCTGTGAAGCAAATATTATTATTACTGTCTTACAGATGCAGAATCAAGACTGAAAGAAGTTAAGTAACTTCACTCTAGATCATCTGGTAGAGGGTATAAAGGAGATCTAGCCCTGGGAAGTTAGGCTCTAAAACCTGTGCCGTTCCTATGAAAGCACATTTCCTTCATAAAAGGGTAACTTACATCTTGTCTTTTCTGTAGTCTCTAAGTGGTTGATTCCATAAGAAAGTACTCAAAGCCAGTGACTGTTGAACTCAGTTTTAGCATTTTTGGAAACTGAGATCCAAAAAGTGTAAATGATTGTGAAACGGGCTTCAGTGGCTTCGTTGCAAATCTAGAACTAAACATCTTTTTCTTTTGCTACAAAATGTTGTAAATACTGAAAACAATTTCTCATCTAATTCACTATTGCAAGCTGTCGCATAATTTGGCTATAATCTTGAAGCCAAATGGCTCATTTTGCAGGCATTATTTGCACAGCCATTTCCTTTCTTTTTTTGTGGCAGTATATGTGTGGATTAGGAGTAACTCACAGCAACCAAAAGTAAACTAAAAACAAATATGTCATTTGATTTTAAATGTGCTAAATTTTGTCCTGATGTTAGTATAAATAGTGTATAAACAAGATGTGCACACTACTTGGGGTGGGATATAAGGTCATGAATCCTTAATTGTAAAGAAACCAAAAAGTTTTTAGAAAAAGAGTAGGTGGAGAAAACAGAAGATTATTGAACAGGCAATAATAAGAGAGATTTAGTGAGAGACTATAAAAGGCAAAAAAAAAAGAGAAACAGCTCAGAGACTCTGAACTGAGACTATGTCCACCCCAAAAGAAGACTTTATGCAGGGGAATTCTGGAAGCAGACTTTTAAATAGGCTAATATGTAATCAAGTCCTGGGCAGACTATAGGGTAGCAAGTTTAACCTATTGCTGGGAAAAGGAGCTGGATATAAAAAAAAGGAATCTTGACCCCTCTGTGACCAAAGTTTAAGAAAGAAACATTTAGCGTATTATTAGGGTGAGATATATGACTGTGTGTGTCTTGAGTGCAGAGAAAGGAGGCAGGGATACTCAAGGGTTGACAGAAAAATGGGTGTAGCAACACGTGTGATGGGATAGAAAAAGTCACAGGAAAGCCATATGCGATTGCAACTTTGAGATAAGGTGAGTAAACCCACATGTGTCTGTACTCATGTCTTACCGCTTTTACTGATACTCATTTTCATTTCAGTTTCAAGAAATCATTTAAGTCCTTTTTTCTCTGAAGGTAAATCAAAGTGAAAGAAGTCATTAAGTCAGGTAACAAATACTTATCAAGTGCCTGTTGTTTGCTGGACATAGCAGGAGTGCTCCCAGGCAAGGAATAGACACCTATTTTTCAGACTTCTGATCTCTTTGGGGATTGCCAAAATGACCTCAAGTAGTGAAGATATAGTGGAATAATCTGTATTTCTGCTGACCTTGATGACATTTGGTGAGTGTTGTGACCTTGGTGGCACTGATCACATTTTTTTCAAAGATGTATAATCTGTCAAAAGCAAATTGGATCAGGATCATAACAAGGCTTTGCTGTTCATCATTTTCCGTAAATTAAGCCTTGTATGGGGGCAAAAAGTATGCATGGGAAACATTCAATTTACTAGTATTATTGCCTTACCTAGTCTCTTATCTCATTGTTTCCTACTGTTCTTCATGCATCAGGAAACAAAGATGACTGAAGTGCCTCTTGGATGCTGATTAATTCAGTGTTTCCTCCATCGATAAGCACCAATTTCCCATAAAAATATAACAGAGTGCTAATACAGAAGAGAAGGGCAATCTCCCTCAAATTATAATACGTAAGGCCTACTGTACAGTTTCCCCCAGACTTATTTAGGTATAGTCCAAGGTGATTTGAAATACTGATGCTAAACTGTCTCTGTCTGGGTCCCTGTGGCCTACCTCCATGATAGGTCTGAAGGTTTCCTGAAATGCCATTCTCTCTGTAATATTTTCTATATGGGGTTTTATTAATAGCATTTTACATTTTTCTAGTGTTTTTTGCTAAAGTTTATGTCTTGATTTGAATTTTAGTGTTTCTCAATTAAACCACCCATTTATTTAGTATTGCTTAGGGTGAATTTACTTATATAGCTATCAGATTTCATCCATTGTATGTTGAATTTCCCCAGTTTTTAAACAATAACTAATCTGTCTGTTTTAAGTGGACTTTGTACATTCTTCACAGACTAACCATAGCCTTAGAAATACAAGGTATAATTTAAGCAGAGAAGTTACATGTTTTAAAAATCACTACTACAAGTGGTCTTCAAAAGGTTTATGGAAAATGCATATTATAAAAAAACTATGCGTGAATTTCAAAAATGTTTTTGCACCAAAATACACTTGTGCTAACTTTTTGTAACATGTCTGAACAGGATCTCATTTGAGGTACTAAGAAGAATAAGCAATTGGTTTGAAAAAAGCCCTTTTAAGAGCAAAATGAATTCTGCTAAAGTTGAAGCAGGAACAAATATCAAATTTATGGTGAAGCTCAGGTGGAAGAATGATGAAATCACTGATGCTTTACAAGAAGTTTATGGGGACAATGCCTTAAAGAAATCAGCAGTTTACAAATGGATAACTTGTTTTAGGAAAGGATGAGATGCTGAAGATAAATCCTGCAGTGGCAAATTCATCCACATCAATTTGTAAGGAAAAAATTTATCTTCTTCATGCCCTAACTAACCAACATTTAATAGCTTGGACAATAGCCAACACCACAGACATCTCAATTAGTTCAGCTTACACAATCCTGACTAAAAAATCAAAGTTGAGCACCTTCCACTCAATTGGTGCCAAAACCATGGCACCCAGATCAACTGCAGACAAGAGTGGAGCTTTCCATGAATATTTTAAACAACTGGGATCAAGATCCTGTAGCATTTCTCAAAGAATAGTAACAAGAGATGAAACATAGCTTTACCAGTATGATCCTGAAGACAAAGCACAATCAAAGCAATGGCTACCAAGAGGTGGAGTGGTCCAGTCAAAGCAAAAGCAGACCAGTCAAAAGCAAGGGTCATGGCAACAGTGTTTTGGGATGCCCAAGGCACTTTGTTTGCTGACTTGCTGGAAGGCCAAAAAACGATCACATCTGCTTATTATGAGAGTGTTCTGAGAAAGTTAGCCAGAGCTTTAGTAGAAAAATGCCTGGGAAAGCTCCACCAAAGAGTCCTTCTCTACCATGACAATGCTCCTGCTCATTCATCTCATCAAACAAGAGGAAATTTGTGACAGTTTCAATGGGAAATCAATAGGCATCCACCTTATAGTCCTGATTTGGCTCCTTTTAACCTGTTTTTGTTTCTTAGTCTTTTTTTAAAAAAATCTTTAAAGGGCAATCATTTTTCTTCGGTAAATAATGTAGAGTGCATTGACATGGTTAAAAAGACTGCATTGACATGGTTAAATTACCAGAACTCTCAGTACATTAGGTATGGATTAAATGGCTGATATATCACTTTCTCATCAATTTCAAGACATTTTTGTTTTCTCATATGATGCATCATGAAGCAAAGATGACTGAAGTGCCTCTTTGTACCTGATAGTTTCCCAATGTGTTTTTATAATTTTAGGTTCTAAGCTTATTTTTAATATGTATGTGTTTCTCCTGTAGAAAATCTTGGTTGATAATTTGTCCTTTTGCTACTTCTAGGCTTCCCAGGATATCCCAATTTCAGAGCACTTTTTATGTTAATTTCTCACTTAGAGGTTGGCAAACCTCACATATATTACCTATTTCAATTATAAGCCCCCAAATTTATGTGAGGGGAGGCATGGTTACAAACTCATAGGGAAGACATTTTCCTCTTTACTTAGAGCCCAAACCAAGACATTCATTTATGCAATAAAAGCTTACTAAGTTACTGTGCTAAAGACTAGGGATGTCATAAGAAACAGGCAAAATCTCTGCTCTCATGAAAGTTATATTTTGGAAGAATATCCTTGTGCTGATGGGGAAATTTTCTAGTCCTCCAGCAGGAATCTCAGTTTTCACTCCCTGACTCCATTAGGCTCATGGCCTCATTTCATATTCTTTTATGGTTATTATAACCCATTTCCATGATTACCAAGGCTGGCAATATTCTTTCCTCCACCATCTTCAAATTGACCTTACCATTTTATTTTGCCTTCTTCATTTTTGGCAAGTAGGAGCTTGGCTTACTTTATTGTAAGCTCAGCTATACATTTAAAAGTAAATATACAATTTCTTTTCATCATTTCTATGGGTTTGGTGGCACAGGGAGTTACAATATCTGGTCTACCACATTGCAGGAACTAGATTTCCCCAGATGACTAACTCTTCAGTCAAAAGTCTTCTTTTTTCCCCGCCTCAAACACTTTAGATTTACTTATGCCACTGTGGAAAATTATTTCCACTGTCCTTGAAGTCCCCTTTCCCAGGTTTTCCCTCTGCTGTTTTTTTCTAATCTTTCACGGTGTGCTCAAATGTTACCTCTTCAAAGAGGCTTTCCTGGAAAACCTCACCTTGAGCACTCTATCTCACTCACTAATTTCTTTGTTTTTTTTCTTATTTATAACTTTATCAGTATTTTGAATTATTATACTTATTTATTTACTTACTTGTTGATCATGCCTCTATTCCACTGTAATGCAACTTCCATGACAGCATGATCTTTTTTGTCTTGTTTATCATTATTTCTCTAGGGTCAGTCTACCACTACTTTTATTGTCTTGGCAGAATTAGGTGTCTCCTGAGGTGATGCAAAAAGAAAAGACATTATCAGTGATGGCTTCTAACCAAGGATTCAAGGCTTCTGATTTAAATTCTATATTATAGCCATCACAGGGGTGAAGGCACAAAGTAAATGACACCAGAAAGAGGATTTAACACAAAATCCGAAACTTGGGATATTTCACAGGATAAATTGCTGAGCCTCTTCAGCAAATAAGTGTCTAGCAAATCCTGTATTAGTATCTTTAGTGATCATACCTGAATTTGCTCTCCAAAGGCACCATATCTATACATTCTTAGTATCCTATCTGTTTTAAGCAGATAATAAAGTCAGCTAAACCTTCCCTTACTGTTACACACTGAGTAAGTGCAATTTGGATGGTTTGAAGATATTAAATCTTTCAGCCCAGATTTAAGAATACCTGTTTGAGAGAAATTACAAGAGCTTTTAATGCTTGCTACAGAAAGGTAATGTCTTATCTTTTCTGTTTAGTATTTTGCATTCCAAAAAATGAGAAAAGTTATTCCATAAGTTGATAATTGAATAAAAGAATCAAAACATGCATGGAGGTTTTTAAATGTTTCATTTTAAATTTGATGGCAAAGATGCTATGAAAATGTATTAATAGCTAACATTTATTGAACAGAAGGCACTCCAAGTGGTGCTCATAGATTATGGCACTTAATCCTCACAAGAACTTTATGAGATATGTATTGTATCAGTCTGTTCTTGCATTGCTATAAAGGAATACCTGAGACTGGGTAATTAATAAAGAGATTTAATTGTCTCATGGTTCTGCAGGTTGTCCAGGAAACATGGTGCTGGCATCTGCTCAGCTTCTGGGGAGGCCTCAGGAAACTTACAATCATGGTGGAAGGCAAAGGGAGAGCTGGCACTTCACATGGCCAGAGCAGGAGGAAGAGAGTGGTGAGAAGGTGCTACACACTTTTAAACAACCACATCTCATGAGAACGAACTCACGTCATGAGAACAGCACTGAGTGGAATGGTGTTAAACCATTCACGAGAAACCACCTCCATGATCCAATCACCACCCACCAGGCTCCACCTCCAACACTGGGGTTTACAATTCAACATGAGATTTGGATAGGGACACAGATCCAAACAATATCAGGTACAATGCTTCTTTTGTTTTATAGATGGGGATGACTAAGTCAGGGAGTTTGAATAATTTGTCCAACATCATAAATACTAGGTGATGATGTCACAATTAGTACACAGGTATAAAAGTTCCTAATTATTATGCCACATATATCATTGATAAAACACTTACCTTTTTAAAGAAACTACTTTCTAATTGTTTTGGACTAATTATGTTTTCATTATTAGGACACCTCTCTCAGGACCAGTGTGAGACTGACACATAGTAAGCAATGAGTAAATATAGTTATTATTCCTATGATTTTCAACAGATAAATAAGTCACATCCTCACTGACCTCATATTTCTCACTGTGAAAAAAGAGAATAACTTTCTAAATTGCTAGAACTTTATTTTATAAGTCAGAACAGGCACTGGCACTAACAATGACACATTTTAATAGCCTATCTCTAAGCAATATTATTGACAGAACAAAACTCAGCTTTATTGATAAATGCTAATCTGTATCTGGCTGCTAAGCTATAGTAGAAAAAAATTGTCCTTAGACCAATAATAACTCAGTCTCAATTATCCAACAGATAAATCTCCTAAAGTTCATCCAAAGATGAATATAACTCAAAATATGTGTTATTTTTCTAAAGTTGTTTACTCAAAGTCGAGGGCAGAAAAATATTTGAAGTTTTTAGTGCAAGCACAAGTATTCCAATCGGTATTACAGGTCTCACTTTTGTTTTTCAAACATGTATCTAATTGATTAAAATACAAAGACATGGTTCTCCTTTAAGAAACAAGTAGGGAGCATTTCTTATATTTACATTTGACCTATAGTTTACAAACCAAAGACTAAAGTTAAAATACTGTAAGTCCATTAAACTCCTAATGGATATGTTTATTCCCCAACCCCTGCCACTAAAATTTATTGCGATTTGTCTTATGATTATAAAGTGAGAAGCGTTCATTATAGACAGTATTGAAAACATGTAGGAAGTAATTCCAAAACCTAGAAGGAATACTATTTTTTCATATATAGGACATCCTTTCAGTGTTTTCTCTATATGTCTCTCTATGTACATTTCTATGCAAATATAAAATTATACCTTGTATATTTTGTAACTATTTTTAATGGAGAATATGTAGTGATCATATCCTTATGTCATATATTAGTAGGCGTAATTTATGTAACTACTTGTCTCGAGTTAGAATTAGGTATTCTCATTTTTTTCTTTATTACAGATAATAAGTCATTGAACATCCTCGCACATAAATCTTTGTGTACAAGATCTTCTCTCACCTTTCCACAGACAAGACAGATGTCTTCTAGAAAACTAAAATATGATTCCAGAAACATTAATTTGTTAGTTCAGTGATATTTTATAAATTACTTGTTCATATTTACAGTTATAGAACATTTTTCCTCTGAACATTCTGAGCAGTTTTATATTAAAACTTACTTGTTATTGTTTAATGGAACCATTTATTTTAGTGATAGGAATAAAGAATGTGGCAGGAAAGGATCTGGAGTCAGAGGACAGAGAAAGAAAAATGGAAAACTCTTTTGTGCCTCATTCTTTTGCTCTTGCTATTCCTTTATTTCAGAATACTTGTCCCTGCCTTGTCTACCTAAATAACTTTTATTCGGTCTCCTAAATTTACATTCAGCTATAATGTCATTTCTCCATGTGTATGTAGTGGTTCTAAATGGGTGTTTTCTTAGTTTTTTGTTTTTTTTTTTTTTTTTTTTAGAAAAAGAACTTTCTTTTATATATAGTAGAATACATATGAATCATCCTGGCAAATTTATGAAGGTTTTAAACATAGGTAAAAAGTTGTTTACCTGGGTCCTTTGGACAAATTTCTCTTCTTCTTTTATCCTTTTGCAAAGAGAACAAAGATCAGCAAATACTAGCAGCCTAAAGCTACACTATGTGTGGCTTTGCATGCCTACCAATCTTTAGTGTTCCCTTGACTCCTGAAAACAATGGATTCTATCATATCATGGATATTAAGAGGCACATTAACGCTTTCTTGTGGAAACAGATGTTTGGTGGGCTTGTGTTTGTAGATGAGACATATTAAATACATCTATGTTCATACAGCCTTCCCTTATAATGTCTTATTATTTTGCTATTTGTTTTTTGTTCGTTTGTTTGTTTTTTAAGATGGAATCTCGCTCTGTCACCCAGGCTGGAGTGCAGTGGTGCAATTTCGGCTCACTGCAAGCTCCGGCTCCCAGGTTCACACAACTTTCCTGCCTCAGCCTCCCGAGTAGCTGGGACTACAGGTGCCCACCACCATGCCCGGCTAATTTTTTGTATTTTTTTAGTAGAGACGGGGTTTCACCGTGTTAGCCAGGGTGGTCTTGATCTCCTGACCTCATGATCCGCCTGCCTCGGCCTCCCAAAGTGCTGGGATTACAGGGGTGAGCCACCGCTCCCACCCCTGCTATTTGTTTTTATAGATGACCTAACAAATCATGTCTAAAACTAACAGTTTGTTCAAATTGTTTCTTCAGTTGCTAAAATATTTAGCCCTACTCACCATGGAAGTTCCAGAAAAATGACTTATGATCAGTAAGATTTCCTCTCAGAACATTGAGTAGAAGGAATACTAGGGATTCAACTGAGGCAACAATCCCCCTTCCTCTTCTTTAAATCTAAAACACCATGCCATCCTAGAGAAATGGAAATCTCCAGTGAAAACACACGGACATATACAGAATTTAAACAATACTACACAAAACTAAGAAGGCATAAAAAAGCAGGATAGTTTAAATACACAACGATTTTTATACTGTGTTATCCTACCCTTTGCTTTTGCTTTTTACTTTATCAATGTCTGTATTGTTTGTTATAAGCAATGCATATTACATTCATCATGAAGACATACAAAGAAAAAAGGCCCAAAGATATAAAAATAAAACCATAAGTCAAATATTAAACTGGGAGAAAAATTCATCACACATATGAAAAAGAATTATTATCTTTAATAATACTTTGATGGAAAGAGTTAAGGGAAACTGATAAGAAAGATACCAACACCTCAATAATAAAATATGGGCAAAGGTCAAAAAGAGACAGATTTCACAGGAAGGGAAATGGCAAATGGTCATTCTGCTACCACTGTGCTTTTTTCTTTTTTTTCTAAAACAGAATCATATTTATTCTTCTGTTGAAAACATTTGTGTTTCTTTCTCCATTTTCTATGAGGTTAAGAAGGAAGTTGGTATTACATGCTGAAAGAATGTTAGAAAACTGTAGAATAACTGAGTCAAATTAGTATTATATGTAAGTATTAATAATACTCTTTGATATTTTTATTACTACCTTTTAATAAAAGTATCAAAGAGTATTATTAATACTCTTTGACTTAGTTATCCTACTTCTAAAAAACTATCCTAAAGAAAAAGTCTGATAGTTCCAAGTTAGAGTTGTTTAACATGTGGTTTAACAAAAGTTAAAAATTACTATCCCAAGGTATACATCTGGAAAATGATTAGATAAATTACAGCATATAGTATGCCATTCCAAAAATTTTTGTAAAATAATTGATGATATTATCCTCAGTAAACTAGCGCATGAACAAAAAACCAAACACTGCATGTTTTCACTTATAAGTGGGAGCTGAACAATGAGAACTCATGGACACAGGGAGGGGAACAACACACACTGGGGCCTGTCAAGGGGCGGGGTGGGGGGAGGAAGAGCATTAGGAAAAATAGTTAATGTATGTTGAGCTTAATATCTAGGTGATAGGTTGATAGGTGCAGCAAATCACCACAGCACATGTGTACCTATGTAACAAACTTGCACATCCTGCACATGTACCCTGAAACTTAAAATAAGAGTATTAACAGTTTAATTGCTTATTGCATATCGTAAAGCTACTACCCAGAGAGTTCAAATCATTTTTTTTACTTCAAGTTTATTAATTATCTCATCTTCTTTTATTCCCCTCAATATCTTCCTACTTTCAGAACCCCTCTCTGGTTCTTCACGCTCTGTGTATTCTTTTTCCAACTAAAAGGTCAGTCACCAGTTTCTTTGTCCCAATCAATATACATCATGAGGGAGCTGATATCATGCCTTTGTTTCTTCTATTTCTTCTAATGTAGGAAATAATTACGTACTTTTTAAAAAATCACACCTTAATTTAGACCTTTTTTTTCATGGCATGAGAACGTTTCAAACTGCCATCTATATATTCATAGATCTCCACCTTAAAAGTGTAACATTTCAAGCTTTAGTCAGGATACAATTACTCCTTTTTTACATTCACCATTTTTATGCTGCTACCAGGAGCTTTTTCAGCATTTGCTTTGACTTCAGTCATCAGTGTATTTCTTACTACTTTTGCACAGATCTGGGAGTTTTTGACATAGCTGAGCCCAGCCTGTTACCAATACATCCACATGATGTCATGACAGCAGATTAAGATTTGTTATTGGTTCAAATCTTGAAGCTACATTGAATGGTGGGCTGGGTGCAGTGGCTCATACCTGTAATCTTAGCACTTTGGGAGGCTGAGGCAGGAGGATCACTTGAGGCCAAGAGTTAAAGACCAGCATGGGAAACATAGGGAGACTCCTCTCTACAAAAATATTAAAAATTAAAAAAAAAAATTGAATGGCAGTTCAGGTATCGCTGCAGCTAACCTGTTGGAAGGTCACAGGCTGGTCAAAACAACAGCAACAACAACAATTCTTCTTTTGTTGAAGATAATAGAATGATAAATTATAAATGCTTCAGCAAAATGTGATAAAATGACTGATCTGTATTTGTGTCTTTAGTATGTAAAAATTTGATAGTAAGAAAACATTAAAAATTTACACATTGCACATCAATGTCTGCTAACATCACAAAAGGAATGATGAACAGGAACTATGTCTTCCTGATGGAAAAAACCAATTTGCCACACAAAAAAATTTAACATAAATCTGGTTTAATTTATAGGAAATACAGGTGACAGAGAAACATGTTAAATTATATCAGCAATCGGGAAAATAAGAAACTGATTTATAAGAATTATAAAAAAACACAAGTTGGAGGAAAAATCTAATGACTTAAAGAAATATAGAAGATACATTAACTAATGCAATGTTATAAACTTATTTGGATCTTGATTCAAAAGGACTGTTAAAATAATGATATATATGAGATCACTGAAAACTTTAACATTGATTAAGAAATTCATGATGGTTTGTATTTGTTTTTGTTTTTCTGTGATAGTATTACGGTTGTGCTAAGTAAATAGTCCTAAGTTTGTCCCAAAATTTTTAAAATAATTTTTAGTGATACATACTAACATATTTATTGATAAATTACATGATGTTAGGACTCTGAGTTAGATTTTTTGAAGTTTCTTTTGAGAAATTGAAGTCTCAGTTTGCCTTGGGATTAAAATTTACTCCCAAACTGAGAAATTAACATGAAAAGTAGACTTGAGTGACAAAACACTTGAATCACCAACAGGAGCAAATATAAAACCACTTTGCAATTTCTATTTTTTTTTTTTTTTTGAGATGAGTTTTGCTCTTGTCGCCCAGGCTGGAGTGCAATGGCACGATCTCTGCTCACTGCCACCTCTGCCTCCCAGGTTCAATTGATTCTCCTGCCTCAGCCTCCCGAGTAGCTGGGATTACAGGCGTGTGCCGCCACATGTGGCTAATTTTGTATTTTTAGTAGAGATGGGGTTTCACCATGTTGGCCAGGCTGGTCTCAAATTCCTGACCTGAGTGATCCCCTTGCCTCATCCTCCCAAATTGCTGGGATTACAAGTGTGAGCCACCATGCCTGGCCAGGAATTTCTTAAGAGCAGTTCTCTCCACATGGATTGCCAGAGAATTACCTATTTAAAATCAACTGTATCTTTTCACTTATCTTTCCAGTTTAACTCTCTCTAGAGCCCGAACACAACAATCCTTCAACTCCACTAGAATCTCTAATTTATTGATCCTATCACCTTTTCATGATCCTGTACTTTCTAGATATTCGTACTCCTCTCCTTACCCTGCTTAAATTCCATGATCTGGTTTTACAATTAGTATACACTGTCAACTCCATTGCATCTCTGCCTTTATGGTATTCACTTGGTAGAACTGCAACCTTGGTTAAATCCACCTGTGCTCACTGCCCTGGCATGCTGCAGCTGAATATGGCTGGGAAAAACACTAAAACACTGACTGGTCCCACTTTAAATTCATGACCTTAAACCTCAAATGGCCCCTTAGTGCGCCAAGGAATTTAACTACACATCCTGAATCCATTTCCTTTTCTCCTCTCCTACATCAGTGTTCTGTGCGTTCTCTGCTGTCGAATCCTGGGCACCTTCCCTCCCATCCTGTCAGATGACGAGTTTGCTTCCTACTTCTCTGAGAGAGTAGTAGAAGTTAGAAAAAACAAATTTCTACAAAACTTGCATTCTATGAACTTGCATTACCATATATGCTCACACTAGTCAGCTTGCCAGCCTTCATTCTCTGACTATAGATGAACGATTAGCACTTTGACCTCATACTAGCCTTTCAAATTGTGTACAGGACACCATCCCCTCCTGATTACTTGATGACTTCAGCAATTCTCTTTTCCCTCTCCTACACCATCAACTTATCCTCTCTTCTGGGACACTTTGAGTAGTAAATGTGCTGCTATAATTCCATCTTAAAATATGTGTGCATGCATGCACACCCAAACACACACATACCCAGGAGAAAAATGTCTCTTGATTCCACTTCCCCTCCAGATCCTCCCTCATTTTTCTGAACTCTATTGTAATTAAACTCTTAGAAAAAGTTGTCTATATTCATTGACTACAATTTCCCTCTTGCCATCAGGCTTTTGGTCCAGCCACTTCATCCTAACTGATCTCCCTATACAAATCCAAGGGTCAGTTTTCAGTCCTCATGTTACTTTACCTAACAACATCATTTGACACAACTAGTCATTCCCACCTCCTGGAAACACTATCCACTTGACTTCAGAATTCCAGTCTCTCTTGTTTCTTCTCTTGGTATCTCTGGATACTTCTCTTAGCCTCTATTGCTAATTCATCGTCTTTACAGTGAATCTCTCTCTCTTTTTTTTTTTTTTTTTGAGACGGAGTCTTGCTCTGTCGTCCAGGCTGGAGTGCAGTGGCTCGATCTCGGCTCACTGCAAGCTCCGCCTCCCGGGTTCACGCCATTCTCCTGCCTCAGCCTCCCGAGTAGCTGGGACTACGGGCGCCCACAACCATGCCCAGCTAATTTTTTTTATTTTTAGTAGAGATGGGGTTTCACTGTGTTGGCCAGGATGGTCTCAATCTCCCCACCTCGTGATCCGCCCACCTCAGCCTCCCAAATTGCTGGGATTACAGGTGTGAGCCACCGCGCCCGGCCGAATCTCTTAACATTAGAGTGCCCCAGGGCTCAGTCTCTGGACTTCTCTTCTCTTATTTATACATACACCTATGGTGATGACATCCAATCCATGACTTAATATCAGTTATATGTCATGATTGCCAATTTTAATTCTCGAGTTTGGACCTCTCCTGTGAATTCCATATTTATGTAGCAAGTTGCCTATTTGAAATCTCCAGTTGGGTGTATAATAGATATCTCAAATTTAAGATGTCCAATACTGAACGCCTTTATTTTCCCACCCTCAAATCATGCTCTATGTAGTTACTAAATGGAAATTACATTTTTTTAAGATGCTAGGCCCCAAACTTAAAGGCATTGTTGACATATTTTTTTTTCTTCTGTCACTGCCACCCACCTCCCCCGCCCCCCACCCTCCGGGCATATCCAGCACTTTAGGGAATCTTATTGGATCTACCTTCAATATAACATTGGTTTGATCAATTATTATCATTTCTACTGTTTCACCTTGGTTGAAGCCACCATCATCCCTCACCTAGATAACTATAGTAGTTTCCTAAGTGTTCTCCATGCTTCTACCCTTGACTCCTTTAATCTATATTCAAATAATATTCAAATTCAATTGCTACTTATTATGACTTACAAGACCCTATGCAATCTGCCTACCCACTATGTGCACTACACTCTCCTGCTACTTTCCCCAAATTCTATTTTCTACCGCCATACTGGCCTACTTGCTGTTCCTTGAAGATGCCAGTCACTCTCCCTCATTAGGAATTGAAAAGATCTTCTCCTGGAGAGCTCACTTTCTCACCTCTTTCAAGTCTTTGCTCATATAGTATTTTTCCAATGAAGCCAAACATGGCTATTTCATTTATTCTGCAATCACTCCCACTGCCACTGTAAAACTGCCATACACTTGACCTGTTCTGTATTTTTTCCATATGACCTATCATCTTATAATATATAATAAAATGTGCTTATTTTTTATGCTACTTGTGTATCTCCTATCACTACAATGTGGAATCCATTGTGAAGAGAGAATTTAATCTGTTTGCCACTTATGCATTCTCAGCACTGAGAAAAGGATCTGGCACTTACAAGAACTCAATTATTAATATTTGTCAATAGAATAAACAAATCTAAAATTACAAAACATTTGCGGATTTTTTTGTTATACAATAATTGGGTAAAGACTAAAAATATGCATGCTTAAACTGATTAAAGACAAAATAAGGAAAAACAAATGCGAAGAATAAGAAAAGTGACATAGGCTTATCAACATCAAAATGCCAAAAATAGCATTTTAACATGTAAAATATAAATAGAGGGAAAATGCTACACAAAAATAAAAGAAATAATCCAATAAGAAAATGATACTACATGAACTATATACACCGACAGGATAGTTTTGAGCTATTAAAAGCAAAAATGTACAGAATTATAGAAAGAAATTAACAGATGATCACAGAAAGATTTTAATAAATTTCTACCAAAAGAAGATTGGCGAAGGAGAGGAGAAAGATTAGTTAAGATATAGAAGAGTCAAACAATAAAATTATCAGATTTTATCTAATTTTTATGTATTCTATATGTATTATATAATATTTATATTCTATAGTACTCTCATTTATTTATGCTATTTAAATATTAAGTATATCAATATATTTGCCCCATAAAGAAAACCAGATGGTTCATTTTTCTATTTTTTATTTTTATTTATTTGTTTATTTTTGCCAGCCCGAGTTTTCATCGTTTTTTAAAATAACCACATAAAAGGCCATAAAAATTTCTTGAAAAATTAATGAGATGCATGCCATATTCTCTAATTTTGATTCAATTAAATATTTTTAAAGAAACAAACCCTGCTTAAATTTTGGAAACTGATATTTTAAAAACTTAATAATGTGCACAAATGTTTTGTATGGGTTAAAGGCATAAAAACAATTAAAACTACAAAATAGAATGAATAATTATCTGTGAAGTCTTACGGAGTATAGCTAAACTGTAACTAAGGATGAAATTCATAGCCTTAAGTACATTTCTTTAAAAAATGAGAAACACGATGCGTTCGGGCTCGGGTGGGTGTTGGTGGTGTCAGGGTGTAGTGGGCAGAGAAGACTCTTGGCCAGGCAGATGGCTTCCTGGTGGCAGGGAATGGGGGCCTCTGTGCGCCGGAAATCTCTACAGCACCAGGAGCAGCTGGAGGGCAGCAAGGAGCTGCAGCCTTTGGCCAGCCATCAGGAGACCTCTGCCGGGGCCCTGAGTTCCCTAAGCAGACAGCTCCAAAGGAGGCTGCCCCTGAGAGCTGTCAACCTCAGCCTCCAGGCAGGCCCCTCCTGGAAACGCCTGGAAACACCAGAGCCAGAGCCACAGGGCCTCCAGGCTGCAGCTCCCTCAGCTAAGAGTGCCTTGGGTGCCAAGTCCCAGAGAATCCAGGAGTCCTACCAAAGCGGCACCAAATGGCTGGTGGAGACCCAGGTGAAGGCCAGGAGGAGGAAGAGAGGGGCACAGAGGGCAGTGGATCACCAACTCACAGCCTGAGCCATGAGAGCACCCGGCTGTCTGGAGCCGCCCCTGCCCACTCAGCCGCAGACCCCTGGGAGAAGGAGCATCACCGCCTCTCTGCCCCATAGGCTCACCTGCCCACCCAGTAAGGTTGTCGAGGCGGGAGGCTGCCTTCCGGAGCCCCTACTCCTCAACAGAGCCCCTCTGCTCTCCCAGTGAGTCTGACAGTGACCGAGGGACGTCGGGGGCGGGAACTCAGCATCTCCAGAAGCTCTCCCAAGAGCTGGACGAAGCTATTATGGCGGAAGAGAGTGATGACATGACCGTCTCTCTCATTCACCACGGAGGAAGTGCCCTGCAGTTCTGTTCTGCAGGAAACAAGACCTGTCTGACCACCGAGGCTTCATACCCAAGGATGTCTGTGCTTCCAATGAGCTTCCTGGAGGAACCCCCCAGGAGTCATCAGTACCCCTGGGCCATGCTAACAAGGACCTGATTAACAAGGAGCCCTGTGCCCCCCTGCTCCAGCCACATCTGGACCCATCAGTGACTGCCTGCCACAGACTGGGAGTGTCTTGTGGAGATCTTGCAGAGGTGGGGACAATTGTTCCTTCTAGTTTTCCAGGGACTCTTGGGCTTAGAAACTCATCGCACACTTGACCTTGAGTCTTGTATTTGCTTCATCTGTAATGTGAAGTGCCAGCATCAGATGTTTGAGAGCTCTGAGCTGTGTACCTGGGTGCCTGGGTTTTGGGGAGTCATCTGCAGAATAACTCAACCCACTGTGTTTCCGGTGCCAAGGCTCTTGGTAGGGTCCCACTCTCATCCCTGCTTTTCCTACCAGGGACTCAAAGGAAGGCATAGGAGATATTTCCAGGCTTAAGACCATGGGCTCATGGGTACCTATTTATATGCCCAAAGCAGAGTACTGTGGGTGTGCTGGGAGGGGTAGCCCTGTTCAAGAGCAATTTCTGCCCTTTGTAAATTATTTAAGAAACCTCCTTTGTCATTTTATTAGAAAGAAACCTAGATAACATTGCGTTCTCATAATAAAGACTGTTTGCATTTGGAAAAAAAAGAGAAACACTTAAAATAAATTAGTTAAGCATTCAAATCAAGAAGCTGCACAAATAGTGAGAAAACTTGGAAAGAAATTATTTTTCAAGAGATATGAACAGAAATTAATGACTAGTAGACCAACTTAAAAACAGGTGATTCATAAAATCAATCTATTTATTAAAAGATAAATAAAAATACATTATCAAATAAAACTAATCAAAAGAATAAAGAAGCCACAAATAAATAATTTTAAGAAAAATGAAAAGAATGAATGTTTGAAAAGTCACAAGACAGCACCTTGAACAACTTTGTGTCAATAAATTTGAAAATGTTTAAATTTCATTTTTTCTAGAAAATATAAATTATCCAAATTGATTCAAGAAAAAATATGATATAAAAAAGCCAATAACCATTAAAAATTACATCAGCAGTCAAAAATTTCTCCCTTAAAATTGAAACCATACAAAATTAGTTTTATAAGTGATTTTTCAACCAAGTCTATGAGAAAAAAGATATTCTAGATCTTATTTTTAAAACTTTCCAAAAAGAGTAGACAAAGAAAGAAAATTATCTGCTTACAAAATCTAAGGACAGAACCAGAAAAGTACTGAGCAGTTTCACTTATGAACATAAATGAAAAATTCTCAAATAAAATATTAGAAAATAAATGTCACCAGTATATAACATAACACGTCATGACCAAGTAGTGTTTTCTGAGGAATAAAGTGATATTTCAACATCAAGAAATTATCAATATAGTCCACCTCATTAACATACGAAAAGGAGAAAAAGCAAAAAAAAGTTAATCAATGCAGAAAACGTATTTATTGCACTACTCATTTATGCTAAATTATTATTATTATTTATTTATTTATATATATATTTTTGAGACGGAGTCTCGCTCTATTGCCCAGGCTGGAGTGCAGTGGTGCTATCTCCGCTCACTGCAAGCTCCACCTCCCAGGTTCACGCCATTCTCCTGCCTCAGCCTCCCAAGTAGCTGGGACTACAGGCGCCTGCCACCATGCCCGGCTAATTTTTTGTGCTAAATTATTTTTTAGAAACCAGAATTAGAAGAAAACTTCTTTAACTTACTTGAAAAGGTATTTACCAAAAACTCCACAAACACCTTAATTAATGGTAAAATTTTATAAGCATTTTCTTTAATATAAAGAACATCAGAAAAATTATCCAAAACTTAGAATTGGGCAAAAAAGAATACCAGGTGTTCTTTCGGCACAGTTCTGGGTTTGCACCTTTAGTTAATTTTTCTATTGACCGTGCTGTTTTACAGTCTGTAAATACAGAGATTAACTTGCAGATATTTGTCTAGTACAGATGAAAATAATTTCTCTTTAGTGAAAGATACAACCTCAAAGTAAGGTTTATTGCTCTGTAGGGTATTAACCAGTTTTGTATTTAACCCAGCAATCTTATCCTAAAGTTCCTTTATTAAATTGCCTATATTTACTGCCTTAGCTCTAAAGGATTTTGTGTGTGTGTGTGTGTGTGTGTGTGTGTGTGTGTGTGTGTGTTTGAGACAGGGTCTGGCTGTGTCGCCCAGGCTGGAGTGCAGTGGCACCCTCACGACTCACTGCAGCCTCAACCTGCCAGGCTCAGGCTGATCCTCCCACCTCAGCTTTCCTAGTAGCTGGGACTACAGGCGCACACTACCACACCCAGCTAATTTTTGTATTTTTTGTAGAGATGAGTTTTTACCATGTTGCCCAGGCTGGTCTCAAATTCCCGGACTCAATTCAGGATCCGCCTGCCTTGGCTTCTTAAAGTGTTGAGATAATAGACATGAGCCACTGCGACGGGCCTGAAGTATTTTTTGAACTCATTTTAACATGTTCTTGGTTCTCCCATTAATTAATCAATTGAACAAAATCCTTGACACATACCCATTTTATATTTGCATGAGTCATGATTTTACCTTTTGTCAAGTACACTTAAACAAGAACAAGTGAAAGATATCTGTTAACACTGCTTCAATTCATCATATAATAAAAGACCTAAATAAAGTAAAATAAATAAGATGTGTGTGTAAGGATTAGAATAGAAGAGAAATAAAGTTGTGACCGTCAGATGATATGGTTGTCTACATAGAAAATCTAAGAATTTAAAAGACAACCATTAAAGCAATTAAGATAATTCAGCTAACTTGCTGAATACAAGGCCAATATAAAAGAATTGATAGCTTGCCTAAGAACTTAGCAACGATGGTCATAAAAAGTAACTTGAAAAGATACAATTTACAAAACCAACAACAACCAAAAATGTACCTAGGAATAAATCTAATAGAAGGTGTTCACAATCTTTTTGGAAAAAAGTACAAAATTTTATTGAAAGATATGACAGAAGACCTAACTAAATTACAAGACATATTATACCCATAAATAGAAATATTCAATACCAGAAAAGTGTCTATTTTCTGAACTAATCTGTAAATTAAATGAAATTTCATTAAAATCCCAGCAATATATTTTTATGGAAATTGATTGTTTTAAAAAAGTTATATAGGAGAGTAAAGTATTGTGAATAGTTAAGACCATTTTAAAGACTTGTCTTACCATATATCAACAGGATACCATAATATTTACAGGACAATGTGATATTGGTTCATAGACAAATAGATAAGTGGAATAGAATAGGAAGCCCAGAAACAGAGGGAAGTGTACAAGAAATGTGGTGTATCGTAGAGAAAGCTTTACAAATTAACAGAGGAAAGGGTGGGCGCGGTGGCTGCTGTACTATAGCCTGGGCGACAGAGCAAGACCCTTTCTCAAAAACAAATAAACAAACAAAAAAACAAATTAACGGAGAAAAGTGTTGATGTGATTGATTTATTATATGAAAAAGATTTCCCTGATTTACACCTTAAGCAAAATAAATTTCATATGGATTAAAGATTTAAATGTGAAAAATGAAACTTAAAATTTTTAGATTAAAAAATGAGAATACTTTTACTATATTGGGGTAGGGAAGGATGTTTTAACTAAACCCCCCAAAAAGAAAAGACTATTTTGTAGTGAACTTCTAATAGTAAAAGTTTAAGTCATCATAAACATAACTGTAAGATAATTGTCAGACAGGGAAAAGTAATTCACAACATAAAAAAGAGATTTATATCAAATATATGATGAATTATTACAGACAAATTAGAAAAATGATTTAGAAGTCAACCACACCCCCTCTACCCCAAATAGGCAATGGATATGAGCAGGCAAATCACAAAAATAGAAAGCGTAATGATGAGTAAGTACCTAACAGGATAATAATGTCACTAGTAATCTGGGCAAAAAAAAAATGAAAATGAAGAATCATTTCATACCTATCAGATTAGTGAGATGTAAAAATTAATAATACCAAGTATTAAGCAGTGATGTGGACCAGTGATTACTTTTTTAGATTGTGGTGGAAGTATAAATTGGTGCAACCACTTTGGAAAGCAATTTTGTAATACACAAAAATTTCAAAATTTGCAGCCGTTTTTTGAAACAAGAGAGTTTGGCAATATCCAGTATATTTGATAATGTGCATATCCTATGACCATCAATTTCTTGCTTAGTCCTATTATTGTAGAAAAGCTCTCATCAGATACATAAAGATGTCCATTTGATGCATTGTTTGTAATAGTGAAAACTAGAACCAATGCAAATCTCCACTAACAGGTAACTGAAAACGTTAGACATGGTATCTTCCTATGATGCAAAACAACACAGCATTTAAAATGAATAAGCAAAAGCCATGTGAATTTACATTGATAAATGTCAGGAACACATAGGTTGACTGTATAAAATAAGTTTCCAAGTATTAAGTAGAGTATAATTCCATTTGCACATATTTTGGAAACCAGACAAAACAATATTATTTTAAAAATCTAGCCAGCCTATATGGCAGATAACGATAATATTTGGTTTTGGATTCAAAGAGAGGGAACTAGGATTGGGGTGTCCAACTTGATATGCAGTGTAAACATTTATTCATTGTTGGTGTTTCATGCATGCCTCTATGTGCTTTTCTGTATTTATAGTTTTAAAAGAAAACAAATGAATTAAGGAAAATAGTGCATAATAAACGGAAGTTAAGAAATCAAATACACAGCCATAAAAAAAAGAACAAAATCATGTCCTTTGCAGCAACATGAATGCAGCTGGAGGCCATTATTCTAAGTAAATTTATTCAGAAATAGAAAATTAAATACTGCATGTTCTCACTTATAAGTGAAAGCTAAACACTGGGTATACATGGACACGAATATGGAAACAATAGATACTGGGTACTCCAAAAGTAAGGAGGGAGCCAGGTAAGTGTTGAAAAACCTTGGATACTATGTTCCATACTTGTGTGATGGGATCATTACAAGCCCAGACCTCAAAGCATTGTGCAATATACCCATGTAACAAACCTGCACATGTACCTCCTAAATCTGCAAAAACAAAAACAAAAAAACAGTAACAATTCTATCATATAGTAACATTACAAAAAAGAAATCAAATAGCATAATGCTCCTTGATGGCATAGTTTCTTCTCAGACTTTTGGCAAATAGCTAAGGTATCTAGATTCCATTGGACATTGTATTGGGTGTATGGATTGTCTACGAGATAGATACAATTCTGGCTGAAACTCTGAAGAGAACACAGACAAGTTAAATGATAATCACAATAGCATAAAAAGAAAAAGTCAACATGAAGAAGTATACAGCATTAATGCAGTTATATAAGAGAACCACTGTATTGAGTAGAATGCCTCTGGATGTAACAGAAACTAGCTTAAACAATTATAGGAATTTATTGGTTTGAATAACTGGCAAGTTTAAAGATAGATCAGGATAGGTTTGATTCAACAGCTAAAAATCATCATCCACTAGCAAATTTCTTTCCCCTTCTAAATTCTCCAATCCATGGGGGTCAGCTCAGTAAGGATCTACTGTTGGCTCCCTCTTGTGGTGTCGGGTGATTACCAAATTATCACAGTTACATGTTTTTCCTGTGCATGACCAGGGAGAGAGACAAGAGAGGCTGTTTTGGAAGAAATAAGTACAATTCTTTCTTTAGCAGCCTCCAGCAGATTTTTTTCCCAAAGCCTTGATACTGCTGTATTCCCAACACTGGGCAAAGTGAAGACTCTTAATTAAGATCTGCTCAATTGACCTGCATCTCCACCTATGATCAGCTCATAAAACACTCAGCGGAATATCAAAAAGCCCAATGTTTGTAAGGAACAAAATGCTTTTGTCTTTATAAATATTACCAAATATTTATTAATATTTAGTTCACCTGTTTTCGAAATTTGCAGCATTTTTCTTCTGAAAGTATTGTCTTGAGTTCTCAGATGTCGTTTTTTAATACAGTCAGCCCTTTGTATCTGCGTGTTCCATGTCCACGAATTCAACTAACCATGAATAAAAACTATTGGAAAAAAATACAACAAAAAATTTAAAAATATTTTCAAAACCAATTTAGAATAACAACTATTTACAGAATATTTACATTGTACTAGGTATTATAAGTAATCTAGAGATGATTTAATGTATACAGATGGATATGTTCAGATTACTTGCAAATACTATGTCATTTTATACCAGGGACTTGAGCATAATTAGATTTTGGCATCTACGCTGTTTCTGGAAGGAATCCTCTGTGGATCTTGAGGGACAACTGTTTTTCTCTATTCTGAAAGTTATAATCACAAATTATAGAATACGTAACTATGTTACTTAGTATGTATAATGTTGTGCTGGGCGTGGTGGCTCACGCCTGTAATCCCAGCACTTTGGGAAGCCAAGGCGGGCGGCTCCTGAGGTCAGGAGTTTGAGACCAGCCTGACCAATATGGAGAAACCCCATCTCCACTAAAAATACAAAAATTAGCTGGGCATGGTGGCACGTGCCTGTAATCTCAGCTACTTGGGAGGCTGAGGCAGCAGAATCGCTTGAACCCGGGAGGAGGAGCTTGCAGTGAGCCGAGATCACGCCACTGCACTCCAGCCTGGGCCACAGAGCGAGACTCCGTCTCAAACAAACAAACAAACAAACAAAAAACATCATTAGCCGGGTGTGGTGGCGCATGCCTGTAATCCCAGCTACTCGGGAGGCTGAGGCAGGGGAATCGCTTGAACCCGGGAGACGGAGGTTGCGGTGAGCGAGATCGCTGCACTCCAGTCTGGGCAACAAGAGCCAAACTCCGTCTTAAAAGAAAAAAAGAAAAAGAAATGTATAATGATGTAACAGGAAATAAGTGTGTAAGAATGATTATTTTTATCTTGAATATAAAATCATAACTAAGGAACAATAAAAGAGTAAAAAGTAGGGGTAAATATGGATAAATAATTCGTAAATTGATAAAATTCTACATAGCCTTGATATAAAAACCAGAAACTATAAAAAAAGATAAATTCAGCTATCTCCGAAATTAAAATAGAGTACATAAAACTATACTCTAAAGAAGGTGGATATAGAAACAATGAACTAGGAATTAATATTCATAATACACGTGATTTATGGGTTAATTGCTGTAAATTATAAGAAATATTACAATATAAAATAACTACAGGAAATAAAAATGGCAAGAGTCATAAAACATAATCCACAGAAAAATGCAAATAACTAACAAATATGTGAAAAGATGCTACATCTGACTACTAATGAAAAAATATAAATTCAAGCAGTGAGATATTTTTCTTAGAAAATATTAAAACGATGAGCCTAGTGATGAAAACATTCCATTCTAGTGTAAACATTACATTCTACAATGCAAGTTAGCATAACTTTATGGAAAGCAGTTTGGAAATATCTATTTAAAATAAAATTACATTCAAAATTAAAATATTGATGATTTTCAAGTCAAAAATTCTATTTCTAAGAATTTTTCCTGAGAAAAAGTTGCACAAATGCAGAAAGATTTATCTACGTAAGTAGTCATTGCAACTCTGTTTTCATAGCAAAAATTAGAAACCACTCAATTGTTCATCAATTGTGAGCCAATTAAAAAACATACCTATCTATGGAAATTACACAATTATTAAAATAATAAGTTATATCTATACCTGCTGACAAAGAAAGATAACTACCGAAATGATAAAAGTTGCCAAACTATATACTACCTGATCACATTTTTTTAAAATACATCATCTAGGTATTTGAATGTGTATTTTAAAAACTCAGAAGAATGTACATCATAGGAAAATCTGTAATTATCTCTTGGGGGTGGGATTATGAAAAAGTAACACTTTTTATGTAAACATTCTACGTTGTTTAAATATTTTACAATGGGCATGTAACACTTTTGTTACCAGAAGGATATCTAATTTTACATATTTGAATGTATAATTTTTATATTATAATGTTTTCTATTATATTATAAATATAATTTTTACAACTTCTAAATGAAGGGGTAAAAGCAATAGAAATGGAATATTGAAGTATGATGATTATTTTGAGATGGTGAATGGCAGGAGACCATGACATTCTAGGGAGCTTATAACATCAGCACTTGGTACAGCACATTTTGCTTTGTAGGTACAAAAATGCTTACTGATGATTCTCAAAATGTATAAAAGATCATCGCCAATCAGCTTCTGAGGTTTTCTCTGATTATTAACAGTGATCCATTTTGCTTTTATAAAGTAAAATGTTCTATCTAATGATAGTTATAGCAGACAGCCAAAACTACCTGGCTATGAAAAAAAAACTTCCCTTCTCTTTGTCCTATTTTATCATTTATTTACTAAGTAAGGCTAAGGATCTAAAGATAAGTAATAGTGAATATGCCTTTAAGGAACTTGAATTCCAATGAGAAGCCAACCCAATAATAAAGAAACAGAAGATAGGTATTAATACATTGAAATAAAGTGATAGTTAAGTCAGAGTTGAAATAGGATTCTGTGCTTAGAAATTAAGCTGGTCTCCCTGTATTTAATGGTAGATATTACATTTTACTTTTAGGTAGATTTTTACTCTGTGATAAAATACGTAAGATACTCTGTGATAAAATATATAAGTTAGGGTGAATATAGTTTGGGAAATTGGCATTTGGGATGCTTCATGGAGAGCTCAGAAAGACAATATTGTACAGCAAGAGTCCCCAAGCTTTTTACAGTCCCCAGCCTTTTTGGTACCAAGGACTGGTTTCACGGAAGACAGTTTTTCCATGGACTAGGACAGAGAGATGGTTTTGAGTTATTCAAGTGCACTTGGTTATTCAAGTGCATTATATTTATAGTACACTTTATTTCTATTATTACTACATTGTAATATATAATGAAATAATTATACAACTCACCATCTTGTGGAATCGGTGGGATCCCTGAGCTTGTTTTCTTGCAACTAGATGGTCCCATCTAGGGGTGGTGGGAGATAGTGACAGATCATCAGGCATTAGATTATCATAAAGAACATGCAACCTGGATCCTTTGCATGCACAGTTCATAATAGGGTCTGTGCTCCTATGAGAGGCTAATGCCACCACTGATCTTACAGGTGGTGGAGTTCAGGCCCTAATGTGAGCAATGAGGAGTGGTTGCAAATACAGATGAAGTTACTCACCCACCACTCACCTCCTGCTGTGTGGCCTGGTTCTAATTAGGCTACAGAACCGTACAAGGGGATGGGGCCAGTACCATTGCCTGGGGGTTGGGGACCCCTGTTGTACAGAGTACAACAATTAGGAGGCCCAATTATAGGATTAGCAGAGGGAATCACCCTGAGTGGCAAATATCCAAATCACCATGAGGTGGCCCAGTACATAACATGGCCACAGAGTGTAGTTGATGCTGTAAAGTTCCATGGATCCAGCTATTCTGACACAGCAGTATTTTTAAGGAAAAAATATCTGAGCCTAGATATAAGCTAAAAAGTGGTAAGCTGGGTGCGCAACATTGACCCTATGAGGCCTTGCCATCAGTGTATGTCAAATTGACAGAACAAGTCTTCAAATGATGGCATCATGAGCTAATAAGAAGAAACAGCATGAGTGCATGAGATGTAGATTAAATAAATCTCTAGAGTATCTGGACAATGAGGGATAAGAGAGGATAATAGACATATTCTCAAATAGGTGAGGTGGCTCATGTCTGTAATCTTAGTACTTTGGGAGGCTGAGGTGTGAAGATCACTTAAAGCCAGGAGTTTGAAACCAGCCTGGGCAACATAGCAAGACCCTGTATCTACCAAAAAAGTTTTTAAAAAATTAGCTGGGCGCCCAGTCATGGTGGCTTATGCCTGTAATCCCAGCACTTTGGGTGGCCGAGGTAGGTGGATCACTTGAGGTCAGGAGTTCAAGACCAGCCTGGCCAACATGGTGAAACCTCATCTCTACTAAAAATACAAAAATTAGCCAGGTGTGGTGGTGCTCACCTGTAATCCCAGCTAGTCAGGAGGCTGAGACACAAGAGTCGCTTGAACCTGAGAGGTGGAGTTTGCAGTGAGCTGAGATTGTGCCACTGCACTCCAGCCTGAGCAACAGAGCAAGACTCCATCTCACACACACACACACACACACACACACACACACACACGCAAATTAGCTGGACATGGTGGCATGTACCTGTAGTCCCAGCTACTCAGGAGGGTGAGGCAGGAGGATTGCTTAAGCCCAGTCATTCAAGGCTGCAGTGGGCTATGACCACACCACTTCATTCCAGCCTGGGTGACAGAGCAAGACCCTGCCTCTAAAAAAATTAAAAGAAAATAAAAATAAAAATAAAAGGCAGCAAATGGATACCTGGGGAATAAGAAGATAGCAGTGGAGTGAAATAGTTTTGGATTAGAGTTGGGAAATTTAAGACTCTAAATATTGCTTTCTTCATTATCATTATGCCAATTTTAAAAGACAAGGGAATAAAGCAGAAGAAAGAACTTCAGAGCTTGAAGACAAGGTTTTCAAATTAACCCAATCCAACAAAGACCAAGAAAAAAGAGTAAGAAAAAAGTGAACAAAGCCTCCAAGAAGTTTGGGATAATGTTAAATGACCAAACCTAAGAATAATCAGAGTTTCTGAGAAGGAAGAGAAATCTACAAGTTTGGAAAACATATTTGGGGGAATAATCGAGGAAAACTTCCCCAGCCTTGTTAGAGATTAGACATCCAAATACAAGAAGCTCAAGGAACACCTGGGAAATTTATTGCAAAAAGATCATCACCTAGGCACATTGTCATCAGGTTATCTAAAGTCAAAATGAAGAAAAGAATCTTAAGAGCTGTAAGGCAAAAGCATCAGGCAACCTATAAAGGAAAACCTATCAGATTAACAACAGATTTCTCAGCAGAAACCCACCAAGCTAGAAGAGATTGGGGCCCTATCTTCAGCCGCCTTAAACAAAACAATTATCAGCCAAGAATTTTATATCCAGTGAAACTAAGCTTCATAAATGAAGGAAAGATACAGTCTTCTTCAGACAAAAAAATGCTGAGAGAATTCGCCACTACCAAGCCACCACTACAAGAACTGCTAAAAGGAGCTCTAAATCTTGAAACAAGTCATGGAAACACATCGAAAGCATAAGTCTCACAGGACCTATAAAACAAAAATACACTTAAAAAAAAAGCAAGTTATACAGGCAACAAATAGCATGATGAATGGAATGGTACCTCACATCTCAATACTAATGTTGAAATGTAAATGGCCTAAATGCTCCACTTAAAAGATACAGATCGCAGAATGGGTAAGAATTTGCCAACCCAACTATCTGCTGCCTTCAAGAGACTCACCTAATACAAAGGACTCACATAAAGTGTGGAAAAAAGACATTCCATACAAATGGACACCAAAAGTGAGCAGAAGTAGCTATTCTTATATCAGACAAAACAAACTTTAAAGCAACAACAATTAAAAAAGACAAATAGGGACATTATACAATGACAAAAGACTTGTCCAACAGAAAAATGTCAGAATCCTAAATATATATGCACCTAACACTGGAGCGCCCAAGTTTATAAAACAATTACTACTGGACCTAAGTAATGGACCTAAGAATTACTTATAAGTAATTCCCTATAATTCCTTATAAGAATTACTTATAAGCAATTCCCTATAAGAATTCACTTATAAGTAACAATTACTATTGGACCTAAGACAATAACATAATAATAGTGGGGGACTACAATACTCCACTGACAGCACTAGACAGGTCACCAAGAAAGAAAGTCAACAAAGAAACAATGGATTTAAACTATACCCTGGAATAAATGGACTTAACAGATATTTAACAGAACATTCTACCCAACAAACACAGAATATACATTCTATTCTCGAATGCATGGAACTTTCTACAAGATAGACCATATGATAGGCCACAAAACAAGTCTCAATAAATTTAAGAAGATTGAAATTATACCAAGTACTCTCTCAGACAACAGTGGACTAAAACTGGAAATCAACTCCAAAAGGAACCCTCAAAACCATGCAAAGACATGGAAATTAAATAACCTGCTCCTGAATGATCATTGGGTAAAAAATGAAATTCAGATGGAAATTAAAAAATTATTTGAAGTGAACAATAATAGTGACATAACCTATCAAAACTTCTGGGATACAGCAAAGATTGTGCTAAGAGGAAAGTTCATAGCCTTAAATGCCTACATCAAAAAGTCTGAAAGAGCACAAATACACAATCTAAGGTCCCACCTGAGGAAACTAGAGAAACAAGAACAAACCCAAACCCAGCAGAAAAAGGAAATAACAAAAATCAAAGTAGAACGAAATGAAATTGACACACACAAAAAAATACAAAAGATAAATAAACAAAAAGCTGGTTCTTTGAAAAGATAAAAAAAATGATAGGCCATTAGCAAGAATAACCAAGAAAAGAAGAGAGAAAATCTAAATAAGCTCAATTAGAAATAAAATGGGAGATATTACAACCAACACCACTGAAATACAAAAGATCATTAAAGGCTACTATGAACATCTTTACACACATAAACTAGAAAACCTAGAGGAGGTGGATAAATTGCTGGAAAGATACAACCCTCCTAGCTTAAATCAGGAAGAATTAGATACCCTGAACAGACCAATAACAAGCAGAAAGATTGAAATGGTAATAAAAAAATTACCAACAAAAAATTTCAGGACCAGACAGATTCACAGCTGAATTCTACGAGACATTCAAAGAATTGGTACTGATCCTATTGACACTATTCCACAAGATGGGGAAAGAGGGAATCCTCCCTAAATCATTCTATGAAGCCAGTATCACCCTAATACCAAAACCAGGAAAGGACATAACCAAAAAAGAAAAATACAGACCAATATCCCTGATGAACATAGATGCAAAAATCCTTAACAAAATACTAGCTAACTGAATCCAACAACATATCAAAAAGATAATCCACCATGATCAAGTGGGTTTCATACCAGGGATGCAGGGATTGTTTAACATACACAAGTCAATAAATGTGGGGATTGTTTAACATACGCAAGTTAATAAATGTGATACACCACATAAACAGAATTAAAAGCAAAAATCACATGATCATCTCAATAGATGCAGAAAAAGCATTTGACAAAATCCAGCATCCCTTTTTGATTAAAACCCTCAAAAAAATTGGCATGCAAGGGACATATCTTAATGTAATAAAAGCCATCTATGACAAACCGACAGCCAACATAATATTTAAAGGGAAAAAGTTGAAAGCATTCCCTCTGAGAACAGGAACAAGACAAGGATGCCCACTTTCACCACTTCTCTTCAACATAGTACTGGAAGTCCTAGCCAGAGCAATCAGACAAGAAAAACAAATAAAGGGCATACAAATAGGTAAAAAGGAAGTCAAATTGTTGCTGTTTGCTGAGAACTCTAAAGACTCCTCCAAAAAGCTACTAGAACTGAAAAATGAATGCAGCAAACTTTCAGGATACAAAATTAATGTACACAAATCAGTAGCTCTGCTATACACCAACAGTGACTAAGCTGAGAATCAAATCAAGAACTCAACCACTTTTACAATAACTGCAAAAAAAAAAAAATACTTAGGAACACACCTAACCAAGGAGGTGAAAGACTTCAACAAGGAAAATTACAAAACACTGCTGAAAGAAATCATAGATGACACAAACAAATGGAAGCATATCCCATACTCGTGGAAGGGTAGAATCAATATTGTGAAAACAACCATACTGCCAAAAGCAATCTACAAATTCAGTGCAATTCCTATCAAAATACCACCATCATTCACAGAACTAGAAAAAACAATCCTAAAATTCATACAGAACTAAAAAAGAGCCCCCATAGCCAAGGCAAGACTAAGCAAAAAGAACAAAACTGGAGCCATCACATTATCTGATTTCAACCTATGCTATAAGGCCATAGTCACCCAAACAGCATGGCACTGGTATAAAAATAGGCACATAGGCCAATGGAACAGAATAGAGAACCCCGAAATAAACTCAAATACTTACTGTCAACTGATCCTTGACAAAGCAAACAAAAACATAAAGTGAGGAAAGGACCCTATTCAACAAATGGTGCTGGAATAATTGGCTAGCCACATGTAGGAGAATGCAGCTGGATCCCCATTTCTCACCTTATATAAAAATCAACTCAAGATGGATCAAGGACTTAAATCTAAGACCTGAAACTATGAAAATTCTAGAAGATAACCTCAGAAAAACCCTCCTAGACATTGGCTTAGGCAAGGATTTTATGACCAAGAACCCAAAAGCAAATGCAATAAAAATAAAGATAATTATCTGGGACTTAATTAAACTAAAGAGATTTTGCATGGCAAAAGGTACAGCCAGCAGAGTAAACAGACACTTGACACAGTGGGAGAAAATCTTTACAACCTATCCATCTGACAAAGGACTAATATCCAGAACTGATAACCAACTCAACTAAAAAAACAAGAAAAAAACAAACAACCCCATCAAAAAGTGGGCTAAGGATGTGAATAGACAATTCTCAAAAGAAGATATACAAATGGCCAACAAACATATGAAAAAATGCTCAACATTGCTAATGATCAGGGAAATGCAAATCAAAACCACAATGCAATACCACCTTACTCCTGCAAAAATGGCCATATTAAAAAACTCAAAAATTAATAGATGTTGGCGTGGATGCAGTGAAAAGGGAACACTTCTACACTATGGAAAACAATATGGAGATTCCTTAAAGAACTAAAAGTAGAACTACCATTTGATCCAGCAATCCCACTACTGGGTATCTACCCAGAGGAAAAGAAGTCATTATATGATAAAGATACTTGCACATGCATGTTTATAGCAGCACAATTCACAATTGCAAAAATGTAGAACCAACCTAAATGCCCATAAATCAACAAGTGGATAAAGAAACTGTGATATATATATATATATATATATATATATATATATATATATATATATATATACACACACACACACAATGGAATACTATTCAGCCATAAAAGGAATGAATTAATAGCATCGGCATCAACCTGGATGGGATTGGAGACTATTATTCTAAGTGAAGTAATTCAGGAATGGAAAGCCAAACATCATATGTTCTCACTCATAAGTAGGAGCTAAGCTATGAGGATTCAAAGGCATAAGAATGACACAACGGACTTTGGGGACTCAGGGGGCAAGGGTGGGAAGCGGGTGAGGGATAAAAGACTACAAATTAGGTTCAGTGTATACTGCTCAGGTGATGCTCAAAATCTCACAAATCATCACTAAAGAACTTACTCATGTATCCAAATACCACCTGTTCCCCAAAAAGCAATGAAACTAAAAAATTTAAATAAATGAATGAATAAATAAAAGATAAGGGAATAGGAGCTCAGGGAGTTAACAAAGTCAACCAAAGAAACCCACCTTCTAAGCAGCAGGAATGGGAATGAAACCCAGAGTGCTGAGTAACACAGCTGATGTCTCATCATGTTTACCCGACTACCTTCTTGGTGTATCCCTTTGAAGTCTAATAGGTACCTCAAACTGGACTGGACAAAATAGGACTCTTGATTTTTCTCTCTGCTCTCCAAATTCACTTCCCCACAGGTTTTCCCAATTTCAGTTATGACCTTATCCATCCAGCTGCTGAGGCTCCCAACTTGAGAGCCTCCTTAATTTCTTTTTGCCATACAACTCCCTCCGGTTAATCAGTAGATTCTACAGGCTCTATCTCTAAAATATACTGCCATTAATACTGCTCATCTAGCTCTTTTTGCTCTGATGATGGCAATAGCCTCTAAGATGGCCATCTAGTAGAATAAGCCTTAAAATAGTTACATCATATGCTGCTGAGAAGTCATGTCTTCTTAATAATTTATCCTCCACACAGAAGCCAAAGTGAGCTTCCCCTTTAGACATTTGTTGGAATTGAGTGAGGTGTCAGCCTCCATGGCCTTTGGCTGTAGCTTATGGGGGAGCACCCTGTTCTGTTCCCCAAGCAGAGGAGAGGAGAAACGTCCTAACACTCTATCAACTGTGGAAATAAATGAAGGGCACCCAAATGAGAAGTGAGGTTATTTACTTAGAGTTTTGCTATAGCAGATGTGTCAGCCACCATCATTTACATTTGGCAGAGACTCAAGGCAGACAGGCAGGAGAGTGGGAAACCTTTCAAGTATGCTGATTGAAACTGTTGGCCCAAGGAAACCAGAGGAAGGCAAACTAGAAGTGCAGCATTTTATGTGATTGGTTTGAGGAGTATATTTGGCTTTCTCTGGCTGGTCCTGAGTTGAAATAGGGCAAGAAGTAGAGAAGTGGCTGGGCGCCATGGCTCACACCTGTAATCCCAACACTGTGGGAGGCCGAGGTGGGCAGATCACTTCAGTGCAGGAGTTCTGGACCAGCCTGGGCAACATGGCAGAACCCCATCTCTACTAAAAAATAAATAAATAAATTAATTAATTAACCAGGCTCGAAGGGGCTAAAAATTAACCTCCATATACTCAGGAGTCTGGGGTAGGAGGATCACTTGAGCCTGGGAGATTGAGGCTACAGTGAGCCAAGATCATGCCACTACCCTCACAGCCTGGGCAACAGAGTGAGACCCTGTCTCAACAACAACAACAACAAATAGAGAAGCTGGCAGTCATTGATCAAGTCTTGACTGTTCTGACCAATTGCTACAGAGGTTGTGGTTTGGCTTTTCTGGCTGATTGTTGCAGACGTGAGTTAGAGTTCTTTTGACATATACAATCTGGCCATTATTTGTTTTCATATTCAGCCTTTATGATTTTTCCTGTAAAAAAGTCCTTTTTTGTCTTTATGAATCTTTAAGTCTCCCCTCATCAAGGTAGGCTGGGGACAAATCACCTGATTAATTTTTAGGCTGCCTCTTTTGAGTCACTCTTTAGTTATGGAGAGTATGATAAGTCTTTTTATAATTTGTGGATAATAAAACATTTTGTTCTCAAGTTTAGAGCCTCACTCAGAAACTGATAAAATAGTAGAAGCCCTATCATAACATCCTATTACATAAGTGTCAGTAAAGAGGACTCATTTGAGAAGTTTGGCAGCAAAAAGAGGAAGAGAAATTAAATAGTTATTAAATGAGCAATCAGGCAAACCAGAGGACCTCCCCAACCTTCCCCTCCTCTCTCCTGCCTTTCCCTCCTCTCCCCTCTCCTCCGCTCCCTTTCCCTGTCTTCCTCTCCTTTTCCTTCTCCTCCCTTTCCTTCCCCTCCCTTTTCTTCCCCTCCCTCTCCTCCCCCTCCCTTTCCTTCCCCTCCCTTCCCCTTCCCTCCCCTTCTTTTCTCCTTTTTATCCCCTAAGGCATAAGCCTTCACAATAAAATCCACACTCCTTAGCATGGCTAGATCCCTCAGGACTAGGTCCAACTTGTTCCTGCTCATCTCATTTGCTATGACTCCCAGACACAATTATATATTTCCACTACTAGTAGCTGCTGTGAAAAGCAGTGTAATATAGATGACAGAGAGACCAACATGCACCCAGATTAAAAGACTGCCTCAAAAATCTAGGATTGGTGGCCAGGCATGGTGCCTCACACCTATAATTCTAGTACTTTGGGAGGCCAAGGTGGGCCACTTGGGGTCAGGAGTTCAAAAGCAGCCTGGCCAACATGGTGAAACCCCATTTCTACTAAAAATACAAAAATTAACCAGGTGTGATGGTGGGTGCCTGTAATCCCAGCTACTTGGGAGGCTGAGGCAGGAGACTGCTTGAACCTGGGAGGTGGGGGCTGCAGTGAGCTGAGATCATGCCACTGCACTCCAGCCTGGGCGATAGAGCAAGACTCTGTATCAAAAAAAAAAAAAAAAAAAAAAAAAAAAGTCTAAGGTGGGCTGTTAAGAATATGAGCTAGCTTTATTCACAACAGCAGCAATTGCAACAATTTCCATTTTTTTCTATACAATAAAATAATAAAATTGTCCGTTTCTTTTTCAGCCTAACCTCTTACGAGAATGAAGTGAGAGAAAAAAATAACATCTTTAGTAAATTGTTGTAAATACTATACAGAAACAGAGCACTTCACTTGGAATTTCAAATAATAATTTCACTAATTGTCAGTGTTAGTGTTCTGAGTTCTGACTTTGAAATGAAAGGGGAGGCTGGATAAGAGGACATATGATGGCTGAGGAAAAAGGCAAGGCTATAATGAGACAATTTGGTAGGGCAAGGATGTATGCGTGTATCACATGGGCCAAGTGTGGACCACTTTGGCTGTCTTGCAAGGAACCGCTCAAGAAGACTTTCTGGAAATGTGAGATGACACAAACAGAGGGTCTCCTAAGAACTCACAAAACTATCCAATGAGAAAAAGTATCAGTTTTTTTTTTGTTTTGTTTTGTTTTTGTGGGCCAAATGGCAAAACTATACAAGTTAAATGGCAATGTTTCTACTTTCCATTTCTGTTCACTTCTACCATACCATCACTGTAAAAGTCACAAGTAGCATAGTGAGTAGGAGAGAAATGAACTAAATTTTCTTTTCCCCTCAAATTCAGATTTTTTTTATTTCTTTGTGTCAACCTTTATTTTTTGCCAAGACTTCTGAAATAATTGCTAAGAAAATTACCCTGCCTCTCCTCTGCCATAGATGATGACACTCTTGGTTAAATTATGAGTAAAGAAACCATCTATAAAATATTAAATGATTAATATTATAGATAAACAAGTACTAGCCCTTCCATTGAGTTGTAGTTCTAATGAAGCACTTCTCTTAAACTGTTATTCCACTTTCAGAAAACCACAAATTAACTTGAAATTTTGAACAAAGGCCTGTGATTGCTCACTGGACCATGGCTATCCCAGCAATTGGCCTCTACTGATACTAGAAAGGAAAAGAAACAAAACAAACAAACACAAAGGAACACTCTTCCAGAGTTCCATATGGAACCTTGGATCAGGTAGCCCGCCAGTCTTCTCATCTCTCTTACCTTCCACCATTTCCTGAACAGCAGGGCTCTCTGCTGCACCTCCTTCTGAATTCATTACCCATGCTTGTCTTTGTGAACTACTCTTCCCATTCTGTCCCTGGAACTTCTATCTCCATGTAAACACATCCTCTTACAACTTCAGATGTTCTAAAAAAAAAAAAATCTATCTGCTTTCCTTAACTGATCCTGGACATTTCTCATAGTTTCCATCTTCCTTCTGGTTTTTTCATATTGAAAACTCTTCATTCCCTCACTTGCCACATGCCCCAGAACTTGCTGGAATATTAGAACTTTTTCTTCCTCTCTTGCAATTTTTCACCATTATAGCTATTCTGTGTGCTGACCAATACAGTAGCCATTTGATACATGTGACTATTAAGCACTAGGAGTGTGACTAATCCGAATTGAGATCTGTTCTATGTGTAAAACCACCCCAAAGTTTGAAGACCTAGTGTGAAAAATAGAATGTAAAATATATCACAAACACTTTTATATTGATTATATGTTGATAATGATTTGGACATATTGAGTTAAATCAAATAGGAAATCAATTTCTTGTTTCTTTTTACTTTTTTAAAATGTCAGAATTAGAACAGTTTAGATTATATATGTAGCTCACATTATATTTCTATTATAAAGTAATAGGGATTACATAATTTTACAAAAAGAATAAAAACTTATGTGATTAGTTTTTTCATGTACTTTGTGCCTATTGTGTACCAGGCATTAATGTTGAGTCAATGAATAACATTCTTATGGTTTATGGAGCTTACATTATAATGAGGGAAGAGATCATATATAAACTACCACTACATGCAAAGTAAGTAGGATGTTGATACATGCTACGGAAAGTAGGGTAAAGAGAATAGGAAATGGAGATGAGGACATGGGCTTCTGTAATTAGGGATGGTCTCACTGGAAAGGTGGTAATTGAACAGAGAACTTCAAGAATTCAAAGAATAAGCTATGTGGGTGTTGGGGAAGAAATGCTTAGGTCAGAGAAAGTGCAAAGGACTTGAGAAGGACATAGGTGTGATGAGTGTAGCAACAGCAATGGGACAAACATCACTGGAATGGAGTAAGTGAGACAGGAATTATGAAGTAAGAGAGGTGGTATGTGAAACAGTGGGGACATGGAGGATCATATTATATTAGGCAGGGCCTGGTAGGGTATCGGAAGGCCTCTAGCTTTTATTCCTGATGAGATGAGAAACCAGTGGAGGATGTTGAGCAGAGGTGTGACATGCTCTCACTTAGATTTTAAAAGAATGGCTCTTGCTGTCATGTCGATAAGAGAGTAGTAGTAGGTAAGGGCTGATGAGAAAGCAACTATTGCAATAACACCGCAAGAACTGGAAGGTGGTTGGCTAGGATAGGTAGTAATGGAGTTGAATTCAGGATATATGTTGAAGATATAGGAACCTGGATTTGCTGGATATGGGAAGTGGGAAGAAAAAAAAGCCAAGGATGACTTCAAAGTGGTAGCTTGGGAGACTGACAGGATGAAGGGGCCATTTATTGAGAAGGAGCATGTTGTGGGAAGTACAGGAGGGAATCTGTATTTGGCCATCAATTTGAGGGGTAGAAACAAAGTGCTAACATTCAAAAGAAGGAAGGGGAAAACCTATCTCAGGGTGTCAGGAAGTGTTCTTAGAGTACATGACACTTTGAGCTATGCCTTAAAATACAGGTGAGGTTTTTCAAGGCAAGAAAGTAAGAAAGCAGTGTCCTGCCCCTTGAGCTAAGAAGAACACAGGCAAAGGAAATGGGAAAGCCCAGGCTGTTTGGAATGGTGATTCTTATGACTTGGTTGCAGCATATGATACATATAGGAAACTGCAGAGAAATCAGTTTGGAAAAGCATACTGTAACAAGATGGTGATAGCCTTATGTACTCAGTTAAAGGGTTTGGACTTGATTTGTTAGATAAGTAGTATACCCCGAAGAATTTTTAGCAAAGAAGGAAAATGATAATGTTGGTTTCTACTTCAAGAAGATAATAGTAAAATGTGGGTGGATATTTGGGGGGTATGTGGAGGGGGACGGAGAGCTTGAAAGCAGGAAGGCAATTAAGCAATTGTGCTGAACATTTTCTATTTGTTTCTCTAGATTCGCTTTCTATCCTTCTCTACCGTGCCTGGTGCTTCTAATGGCTAACTTTTATGGGCTATTTAAAGAGGCTAATTTTACCCTGTAATTTATTATTGATTTTGACCATAGGAAACACAGCAGGAGAAATGAGAGCAGGTAGAGAACCAGGCCAGAGTGATTATTATCCTGAGTCCTTCCCTGCCAGGAGTGTTACCTTGAAGGCCATAAGAAACTCCTATCAGGAACCTGGGGTCTGCTCTCTCTCTCTCTCTTTTGGCCCAGGGGCAAACAGGCTTCTTTGCTGTAACTAAAGCAGGATGCTTCACTGTCCCTTGTTAATTTGCCTTAACCCTGCTCATACCCCTGCAGAGTCCCTTCATAAAACTGTCCTCAGTGACCCTGTTTGAGCCTGACATCCATTTGCTACTATAACTCCATAGTTTACTTTTATTTCAAGTAAAAGAAATCAGAGAAGTCAGCAGTGGGACTAGCCAGTATGATAGATTCATGGCCATCTGGTGTCTAGAATTCTTTCGTCACACTAGTGCTGGCTTCCAAGATGGCTATTGGCACACTGACCATTACTACCACTCTATATGCAGCAGGAAGGAGGATGGAGGAGGGCAAAATGGGCTCAATTCCCAGTAGATTTCAAGAAGTCTTTCAGAAAGTCTTCTGTAACGTTTTTGTTTCCATCTTCACTGGAGTTCATGAGAGTTAAGTTCATTGGCAAAAACTTCATCACATGTGTATGCCTAGCTACAAGAGAGGCTAGGGAATGATTTTACTAGCTGGGTACCTTGCCATTCAAGATAAATTTGGGGTTCTATTATTAAGGAAGAACTGGAAAATAGTAGGTAGTTACAAGCCTCTGCCATAGGAGGCTAGTTAAATTATCCAGAAAAAATAGTACAGGTAACAAGGGCCTGAGAATGGGGAAAGGAGGAAAAGTGGATGATAGATATTATGAGATATGGACAAACTAGATCTTAATGATGAAAGGGGCCTTCTTAGCATTTGACAATATTTCACTTAAGCCTCTTCTAATCTAATAAAATATTTGTTTTACTGAATATATAACTTCCTGAAAGCTACCTGTTGAGGCAAAAGAAGTGTATTTAAGCAAGTCTGAAGAGAAGTGGCCAGGAAACAAAAAGATACTGGAAATTGTAATTTCAACAACTTTGGTGATGTTGAGTAAGTCTGGAGCCGAAGCAAAGGACAAAACTTGAGAGTTTTTCATTGACCTAAATAAGCTCACCAAAATGGAATGGTCACCATTCTTACAGGTATTGAATTGATTTTATGGATCCCTTTCAGCAAAACTCATCAGCTCCAAAAAAGGCAAAGTTCGGTGATACTAATAAGAATTAACAATTCCTGATGTGTCAAAGGTCTGAACCTAAGAGAAACAAGTTTCCTTGGCGAGCTGAGTATTAGGAAAAATAAAACGTTAATTTAGTCTCTTAAATTTTAATTGATACATAGCATTTTTCAAGATTTTTATGTTTGTTGATTGTACAAAATATGGAAATACTGTGTCTTCTCCCTGTGAGATTTTATATTCTTTGAGATACAAAACTGTATCTCTGAAAGCTAAGTTGGGTATACAATATGTACAATATGCTTGTACATATTTGAAACATATTTTCTTTTCAACGTCTTTTCAAAGTGATTGAGTTAATAACTAACAGAACACTGCTCTAGAGGTCATTATATAGGAAAAAAGAATCGAACTTTTAAATAATTGTGATCTATGTTTGTTCCTGGTTTCTAAAATAAGAAACAAATTTAGAAGTATATGAAAAAATGTAGCCACCTCACTTTTTCATTGCAATATATATTTTAACACAGTCATGGTGACTGGCTTTTTTTATGTAGTGGTAAACGTATATTCTAATCTAGTTTACCAAGTACTAGATTTGGCATTAGGATTCTTTTCTTTCCAAAGAAAACTACTGTCTCTAGATTTTTTGTTACATTTGACTTGTAATTTGCCAGATATAAGTTAGTCAAATTGTGCTTTATTCTTTTTTAAAAGAGAACATTCTAGGTTAGCTTCTCTTTGCTATCCATCACGCTTCTGTGTTGCTATTAGAAAATACATATATTTCCAGTGCTAGGGTAAAGATTACTACAAAAGAAAAAAGAAAACAAATACACACTTGTAGGAACTGTCATGGCTTATATACCCAGAACTCTGTAATTCATTTCCTTTGCCACAGTTTATCTCGTAACATTCATTTAACATTTGTAATATTCATTTAACAAATGTGTATCAAATTCTTACTAACTTGTGCTAGGAGCTAGGTGTTTAGCTTTGAGCTGAATGTATTGGCTAGCTCTACATATTTGTAGTTGATTATATATGTCTCTTTTTGTGTAAGGGTTTTTTGATATATGGAGAGGAACAATCAAAAGTATTTGTACTTTGTTTAATTTTTAGCTTATTAAATTCGTATATTAGTTTACTTACTAAACTCACATATTTACATCAGTGCTAAATTTGGTTAACTAAATTTACTTTAAAAAGATAAATAGTAATTCCACATTTAGTATGACTAAACATCTTAAATAGCAGAGAAAATATACACAAATACAAGGACTATAAAACTTATTATTCTGCATACCTTTAAATTTATTCTAAAATAATAACATGAGTTTGATTAATAGCCTCAATATTTCTTTTGTTGTTGTATAACGTTTTTACTATACTTGATTTTGTATCTTTCTAAAGTTTTACTAATACTGTGCTTAATTAATATTTCTAGAAGTGGTAATCTTTCTTGCTAAACACCAAAAAAACAGAAACAAAAACAAACAAACAGAAATGACTTTTTTCAAACCAAGGTCATAGGATCTGGGTTAGCAATCAATTGGTTATGGGATGGAGACTAGAACTTAATTGTTTCTCCCAAGTAGATTAAAAATCAAAATAATGACGATTTTTTGTGGTTAAATTTTGCAACCAGTTGTCTCTCCTAAAATGATGCACTTCTGAAGTATTCATTGGTTAGTAATGTCATCCATGTCTTCTCATCATAACATATTGACCTGGTCCGTTAGCATTATTACAACTTAAAAAAATTTTTTTATTAGTATTGTAATTTGTAAAGCCTCGTCACAGTTTGATTTCCTGAAGTGCAAGAATGAGACTACACATTTTTCTTTAAGACATTTGGCTAACTCAAAAATTTTTTTATTTTATTTTTTTAGACAGAGTCTGCTCTGTCACCCAGGCTGGAGTGCCATGGCTCAATCTTGGCTCACTGCAACCTCCGCCTCCTGGATTCAAGCAATTCTCCTGCCTCAGCCTCCTGAGTAGCTGGGATTACAGGCACGTGCCACCATGCCCGGCTAATTTTTGTATGTTTAGTAGAGACGGGGTTTCACCATGTTGGTCAGGCTGGTCTCAAACTCCTGACCTCGTGATCCACCCGCCTTGGCCTCCCAAAGTGCTGGGATTACAGGCGTGAGCCACTGCACCTGGCCACTCAAATATTTTTGAGCACGCCTTCTTCTTGGTTATTGTGTGCTCATCTTCTGTTATAGCTACTTTCCACTTGGTATTACATGTGACTACAGGACTAATTAGTTCTCTTTGTTATTAATACAATTTGTACCTTTTATAGACTATATAAAAATTTGACAAACTCTTTATCACAGTGATTATACCATTTTTCATTTCTTCCAGCAATGTATGATAATTTTAATTACTTGTATCTTTTCAATAATTAACATTGTTAGATTTAAAAATTTTAGCCACTTTACTGGCTATGTAGTGATACCTCACTGTGGTTATAATTTGTATTTTCCTGATGACTAATAATATTAAACAACTTTTCATGTGCTCATAGGCTATTTGTATCTTCTTTGGTAAAGTATCTATTTGTATTGGTTTGTTCATATTATTAAATTATGAAAGTTATTTTATAAATTATAAAAGTAACTTATTTATAATTATATAATTTATAAAATTATAAATTTAATTATAAAATTATACAATATAATAATAAAATAATAATATAACAATTATATGTAATTAAATATTAATATAATTATAAAATTATAAAATTATAAATTTAATTATAAAAGTATAAATAATTATAAAATAAATTATAAAATTATAAATTATAAAAGCTATCTATTTCAAATTCAGATCTTCTGTCAAATATATGTAATGTGAATACGTTCTCCATTCTGTGGCTTGCCTGTTTATTTTCCTCACAATGTCTGTTAAAGAGTCAATTTTTCCTTCCTTCCTTCCTTCCTTCCTTCCTTCCTTCCTTCCTTCCTTCCTTCCTTCCTTCCTTCCTTTCTTTCGTTCTTTCTTTCTTTCAACGGTCTCCCTCTGTTGCCAAGGCTGGACTGTACTGCCGTGATCTCGGCTTGCTGCAACCTCCCTGCCTCGGGCTCCCGTCATTCTCCTGCCTCAGCCTGCCCAGTGCCTGGGATTGCAGGCACGCGCCGCCACGCCTGACTGGTTTTTGTATTTTTGGTGGAGACGGGGTTTTGCCGTGTTGGGCGGGCTGGTCTCCAGCTCCTGACCTCGAGTGATGTGCCCGCCTCGGCCTCCCCAGGTGCTGGGATTGCAGACAGAGTCTCGCTCACTCAATGCTCAATGTTACCCAGGCTGGAGTGCAGTGGCGTGATCTTGGCTGGCTACAACCTTCACCTCCCAGCCGCCTGCCTTGGCCTCCCAAAGTGCTAAGATTACAGCCTCTGCCCGGCCGCCACCCCATCTAGGAAGTGAGGAGCGTCTCTGCCTGGCCGCCCATCATCTGGGATGTGAGGAGTGCCTCTGCCCCGCCGCCCCTTCTGGGAAGTGAGGAGCGCCTCTGCCCGGCAGCCCCATCTTGGAAGTGAGGAGTGCCTCTGCCTGGCTGCCACCCCATCTGGGAGGTGAGGAGCGCCTCTGCCTGGCCACTGTGCAATCCTCCAAGTGTGAAGTGACAGCCTTTGTGCAGGTGTACCCAACAGCTCCGAAGAGACAGCGACCATCGAGAATGGGCCACGATGACGATGGCGGTTTTGTTGAAAAGAAAAGGGGGAAATGTGGGGAAAAGAAAGAGAGATCAGATTGTTACTGTGTCTGTGTAGAAAGTAGACATAGGAGACTCCATTTTGTTCTGTACTAAGAAAAATTCTTCTGCCTTGGGATGCTGTTAATCTATAACCTTACCCCAACCCCGTGCTCTCTGAGACATGTGCTGTGTCAACTCAGGGTTAAATGGATTAAGGGCGGTGCAAGATGTGCTTTGTTAAACAGATGCTTGAAGGCAGCATACTCCTTAAGAGTTATCACCACTCCCTATAGCAGCATGATTTATAGTCATTTGGGTATATACCCAGTAATGGGATGGCTGGGTCAAATGGTATTTCTAGTTCTAGATCCCTGAGGAATCGCCACACTGACTTCCACAATGGTTGAACTAGTTTACAGTCCCACCAACAGTGTAAAAGTGTTCCTATTTCTCCACATCCTCTCCAGCACCTGTTGTTTCTTGACTTTTTAATGATTGCCATTCTAACTGGTGTGAGATGGTATCTCATTGTGGTTTTGATTTGCATTTCTCTGATGGCCAGTGATGATGAGCATTTTTTCATGTGTTTCTTGGCTGTATAAATGTCTTCTTTTGAGAAGTGTCTGTTCATGTCCTTCGCCCACTTTTTGATGGGGTTGTTTGTTTTTTTCTTGTAAATTTGTTTGAGTTCATTGTAGATTCTGGATATTAGCCCTTTGTCAGATGAGTAGGTTGCGAAAATTTTCTCCCATTTTGTGGGTTGCCTGTTCACTCTGATGGTAGTTTCTTTTGCAGTGCAGAAGCTCTTTAGTTTAATTAGATCCCATTTGTCAATTTTGGCTTTTGTTGCCATTGCTTTTGGTGTTTTGGACATGAAGTCCTTGCCCATGCCTATGTCCTGAATGGTAATGCCTAGGTTTTCTTCTAGGGTTTTTATGGTTTTAGGTCCAAATGACTATAAATCATGCTGCTATAAAGACACATGCACACGTATGTTTATTGCGGCATTATTCACAATAGCAAAGACTTGGAACCAACCCAAATATCCAACAATGATAGACTGGATTAAGAAAATGTGGCACATATACACCATGGAATACTATGCAGCCATAAAAAATGATGAGTTCATGTCCTTTGTAGGGACATGGATGAAATTGGAAATCATCATTCTCAGTAAACTATCACAAGAACAAAAAACCAAACACGGCATATTCTCACTCATAGGTGGGAATTGAACAATGAGATCACATGGACACAGGAAGGGGAATATCACACTCTGGGGACTGTGGTGGGGTGGGGGGAAGGGGGAGGGATAGCATTGGGAGATATACCTAATGCTAGATGACGAGTTAGTGGGTGCAGCGCACCAGCATGGCACATGTATACATATGTAACTAACCTGCACAATGTGCACATGTACCCTAAAACTTAAAGTATAATAAAATAAAATAAAATAAAAAAATAAAACAAGAGGACCAAGAAAAAAAAAAAAAAAGAGTTATCACCACTCCCCAATCTCAAGTACCCAGGGACACAAACACTGCGGAAGTCCGCAGGGACCTCTGCCTAGGAAAACCAGAGACCTTTGTTCACGTGTTTATCTGCTGACCTTCTCTCCACTATTATCCTATCACCCTGCCACATCCCCCTCTCTGAGGAACACCCAAGAATGATCAATAAATACAAAAAAAAAAAAAAAAAGAAAAAAAGAGTCAATTTTTTTAATTTTAATAAACACTGATTTATTATTTCTTTTTATGGCTCCTGCTTTTTGTTTCTCTTGTCCATCCTGAATTCAAAAACATTTATTTCTATGTTTTCTTAAAACATTTTTAGAGTTTTATTTCTTTCATTTATATCCATGATTGATTTCTAATTAATTTTGGTATGTGGTATGAAGTAAAAGTCCAGGTTAACTTTTTTTCCTATGTGTGTCCAGTTGTTCTGGTACTATTTTTAAAAAGACTGTCCTCCCCATTGGATTACTTTCTACCATTCTTGAAAATCAACTGACCATAGATATGTAGGGCTATTTCTGAACTCTCTATTATGTTCCATATATTTATTTATTTATTTATTCTTTCATCAACAGCTCATTCTTGTTTGATCTATCTTTATAATAAATCTTAGAGTTGAGTGGTATATGTTCTCTAACTTGGCTCTTCTTCAGAATTGCTTTGTCCTTTGCATTTCCATATAAATTTTATAATCAGCTTGTCAATTGCTCACAAAAAACATTTTGGGATTTGATATGGATTAGTTTCAATCTATAGATCAATTTGGGAGGAACTGTCAACAGCATTGGCTCTTCAAACTCATGAATATGGCATATTTCTCTATTTATTCGGGTCTTTAAAAATTTGTCTCTGTGATGTTTGTTGGTTTTCAGAAGCAGATGTTGCACATACTTTGTTATATTTATCTCTTAAAATGTCATGTGTTGATACTATTGTAATTGGAATGTTTTATAACATACTTCCAATTGTTTGTTACCAATATATAGAAATGCAATTGATTTTTGTATGCTAACTTTCATCTGGGGACCTTACTAAAGCCACTCATTAGTAAGTAATGTTTTGTATATATTTGAGGATTTTCTATGTACATGATCATTTTGTCTGCAAATAGCATTTTTTTATTTCTTCCTTTGCAATCTCTATGACTTTTATTTCTTTTTCATGCTTAATGTACAGGCTAGTAACTCCAGTAAATGTTGACTAGAAATGGAGAGAGCAGACATTCTTGTCATGTTCCTGATCTTAGGAGCATAAGGAAATGTTCCATCTTCGTAGGTTCCCTTTATCATGTGAGGAAGTTTTCTCAGCTCCAAGAGACCACTGTGCTTTACTTGGGTCCCCCTACCGGTACCATCATGTGGAATATGTCTTTAGGCAGAAAGTCTAAGTCGTAGGGCTCATTTTATTTGTTTCCCTTCTCTCAGGGATAATAATTCTGCTCTTCCTGTTATGCCGATCTTGAAATACCTTTCTTACATTTAATCCAGTTTTTAGTTTTACATCATGGGCTCATAAATCTGGTCTCAGTTATTTCACTGTAGCCTTACATTCAGAGTAGATAGATAAGTATCTATACATCAATATTCTCTATTTAAATCAATAAAATTTAGCTCATTATATTCATAATATTTTGTATAATGACCGCTTTTTATACACTTCAATTAATTTTTAAACTTCGATTATTATAAAGTCAAGGCTTTTCAGAAACTCAATCTCTTCAGTAACCACAATGGTACTACCAATTATATTTTGGTTTTCAAATTATAAAAACTCGACTAGTAGAATTCCCTTAAAATTCTCAACTGGGAGCAATTTTGCCACCCCCCCCCCCCAACAATGGGGAGAAATTTAGCAAAGTGTAGAGACATTTCCATTTGTCACAACTGGGGGTACTACTGACATCTAGTGGGTAGAGGCCAGGGTCGCTGCTAAACCTCCTACAGTGCACAGGATGCTCCCCATAGCCCTCCTCCAAAAGAACCAAATCTCAGAAAGTTTTGGATCTATTCTACTAGTGAGCTGGATAAGCTTCAGAAGCACTGGAAAAAGCATTCAGGAAAAAAAAAAAAAAAAAAGCCAACAGACCAGATGCTTGAGGTAGAAAGCTGTCAGCTTGTTAGAAAAATGTCCAGTACAGTTGGTAAACTCAATGGTTCTGCTAAATTTCATGAAGCTTAGGACTGTGTCTTATTCATATCTGGATTCTAAGAGTTCCAAGCACAATGCTTTTCACATTGTTGTGCTCAGTACTATTTACTGCATGGAACTGCAAACATTTATAATGTATAACAAAACATCATATTAACAAGAAAACAAATTTCAAATAAATGGCATAATCAAATCCATGATTATCACTCATCCCTTCTGATGATTTATTTCACTAAAGTTTACTAATGTTTTTATTGTCATCCATCTGAGTTGGATACTTCAGATATTGCCTACTTCCTATAGGAGAACAACTATTTGTTCATTACAGTAGAAACTGCCAGTTGCTTCAAAGTATATATTCTCCCCCTTCTTTTTGGTAATAGAACCCCATAATTTTTGTTTAGTGCTTTACTACCCAGCTAAAGACCATATTTCACAGGCTCTTTGCATCTTGGTATAGTACTTAGACTAAGTTCTGGCCGATAAAATTCAGTGGGGACTCTGTGGAATGTTCAGGAAGCCTCCTTAAAAGGAAGAGGATGCATCATTGCTTGCTTTCTTTCTCCTTTATTCTTACTGAATCTTGGATAGGATGGCAGAAGTTCTACTAGCAATCATGGGCCATTAAGGGAAGGCCATATCCTGGGGATGGTAGAACCATGCACTAGAAAGTGCCTACTCTCCTCCTAGATCACTAAACTATATCTAAATTGCCTAACCCTAGACTTTTTTCTAAGACAGTAGTAAAATTCAATTTTGACTAGCCACTATTGTTTGAGTTTTTCTGTTATATGCAAGTAAACCAAATTGCAGTCAATCCAACCATTTGAAAAAATTGTTAGAATATTTCATCATTGCTAATTTTATGAGACACGAGTAGTCAGCTTTTTCACTGTGTTACTATTGCATAGCAATAGCTCCTGAAATCTCAGGAGATTAAAAGAGCAAATTCTTTTCTTCTTTAGGTCTGCATGTTGCCTGTTACTCATCTGATCTTGGACATGATAATGCTTTTGGCTGGGCTTGCCTGGACTCCAAACTCCAGGTTCAGATTAGGTCTGCTCCACATGTTCTCATCGTTACTTTTTTGAGTAGATATGAGTTATCATCATTAACTTTTCAGTCCAGAAGCTACGTGAAATATCTTCTTCTCAAGGTTGAAGAGCAAAAGTGCAAGAGGCTAAACCAAATCATGCAAGCACACTTAAAGTCTCTACTAATATTTTACTGGCCAGAGCAGGTCACATGGCCAAGCCCAACAACAATACGATGGGAAAATATACCTACTCTATTGAGAGGAATTGCAATGACACGTGGTGAATAGTGTGAATGAATAATTTTTGAATGGAGAAAGAGTAAAGAATCTGTTATGGAGATCTTGGACAAGTTATAGAGATCTTAGAAAGGTTACATTTACCTTTGTTTCTCTGTTTTTTAAATTTGTGAAACTATAGTGTCAGGATAGATTACTATACCTTTAGCTTTAAACTTATGTTCCTATTATTCCATATCATTTTGTGTTTCCTTCTTGGTTCTCAGAAAACACAGTTATCAAAGCATAATGCTAGAAAAGTTTTTTTTAATGCTGATTAGGGTGATTGAATTTTAATTTAAATGAGGAAGGGTAAAACCAACGCCAGTGGGCTTATAAGGGATTTTCCTCTACAAAATATTTTATCTTACCTTTAAAAAAACAAATAAAAAAGAATCACAGAGTGACAGATCATGCAAATATTCAGATTCAGATGATAAAATCTTGTTAAAAGGGAGTCGTTAATGTCAACAATCTTGACAGTCATATCCAGCCTGAGGGTATGGATATGGTAAGACTCTTCTCTTTTTTTTAAAATTTATATGTATGTATGTATATATATATATATATATATATATATATATATATATATATATATATTTTTTTTTTTTTTTTTTTTTTTTTTTTTTTGAGACGGAGTACTGCCCTGTGGCCCAGTCTGGAGTGCAATGGCTTGATCTCGGCTCACTGCAACCTCCACCTCCCGGGTTCAAGCGATTCTCCTGCCTCAGCCTCCTGAGTAGCTGGGATTACAGGCGCATGCCACCATGCCCAGCTAATTTTTTGTATCTTTAGTAGAGATGGGGTTTCACCATATTGGCCAGGCTGGTCTTGAACTCCTGACCTTGTGATCCGCCCACCTCAGCCTCCCAAAGTGCTGGAATTACGTGAGCCACTGCACCTGGCAGGATATGGTAAGAATCTTCTAACTTGGGATAAAGAGTGGAACTTCATAGGAGGAAGAATTAATATTCTTTTCCATGTTTTTTGTTTGTTTGTTTGTTTTGTTTTGTTTTGCTGACCGCCCAATACATGGGGCCCTTATCCTTTTTTTTTTAATTGACTGTTTTAAAGAATGCTTAATTCATTTAAATCATGACAGTAGGCTAGGGAGAACTGATGAGGTGTGTGAACAGAAATTAGCCCCAAAAGTCACTTCCCAATACTTACAAATATTTTTCTATATTACTTAATATTCTGCTTTAATAGAAATTTGTAACCTAAAATTCAACATCCCCTCATGTTAAAAACTGTCAATAAACTAGATATTGAAGGAACATACCTCAAAATAATAAGAGCTACCTATGACAAACCCACAGCCAATATCATACTGAATGGGCAAAAGCTGGAAGCATTCCCCTTGAAAACTCACACAAGACAAGGATGCCCTCTTTCACCACTCCTATTCAACATAGTATTGGAAGTTCTGGCCAGGGCAATCAGGCAAGAAAAAGAAATAAAGGTATACAAATATGAAGAGAGGAAGTCAAATTATCTTTGTTTGCAGATGACATGATCCCATATCTAGAAAATCCCATCATCTCAGGCCAAAAGCTTCTTAAGCTGATAAGCCACTTCATCAAAGACTCAGGATACAAAATAAACGTGCAAAAGTCCCTAAGATTCCTATATACCAACAACAGTCAAGCAGAGAGCCAAATCATCAATGAACTTCCATTTGCAATTGCCACAAAGAAGATAATACCTAGGAATACAGATAACAAAGTAAGTGAAGGAGCTCTTCAAGGAGAACTACAAATGATTCCTGAAAGAAATCAGAGATGACACAAACAAATGGAAAAACATTCCATGCTCACAGATAGGAAGACTCAACATTGTGAAAATGGCCATATTGCCCAAAGCAATTTATAGATTAAATGCTATTCCCACTAAACTACCATTGATATTCTTCACAGAATTAGAAAAAATTATTTTAAAATTCATATGGAACCAAAAAAGAACTTTAACAGCTAAGACAATTCTAAGCAAAAAGAACAAAGCTGGAGGCATCATGCTACCCAACTTCAAACTATACTACAAGGCTATAAAAACCAAAACAGCATGGTACTTGTACAAGAACAGACACGTACAACAACGGAACAGAATAGACAGCCCGTAAATAAGACTGCACACCTACAACAATCTGATCTTCAACAAACCTAACCAAAACAAGCAATGGGGAAAGATTCCTTATATAGTAAATGATGCTGGGAGAACTGGCTAGCCATATGCAGAAAATTGAAACCAGACCCCTTCCTCACATTATATACAAAAATCAACTGAAGATGGATTAAGGTCTCAAATGTAAAACCCAAAACTATAAAAAAAAAAAAACCTAGAAGACAACCTAGGCATACCATTAAGGACATAGGCACGGGCAATGATTTCATGACAAAGATGCCAAAAGCAGTTGCAACAAAAGCAAACATTTGCAAATGGGATCTAATTAAACTAAAGAGCTCTGCACAGTGAAAGAAACTATCATCAGAATAAACAGACAACGTATGGAAAGGGAACAAATTTTTGCAATCTATCCATCTGACAAAGGTCTAACATCCAGCATCTATAAGGTACTTAAACAAATTTACAAGTAAAAAACAAACAACCCATTAAAAAGTAGGCAAAGGACATGAACAGACACTTCTCAAAAGAAGACATGCATGTGGCCAACAAACATATGAAAAAAAAGCTCCACATCACTGATCATTAGAGAAATGCAAATCAAAACCACAATGAAATACCATCTCACACCAGTCAGAATGGCTATTAGTAAAAAATCAAAAAATAATAGATGCTGGCAAGATTGCACAGAAAAAGACAAACATTTACACTGTTGGTGGGAGTGTAAATTAGTTCAACCATTGTGGAAGACAGCGTGGCAATTCCTCAAAGATCTAGGGGCAGAAATACCCTTTGACCCAGCAATCCCATTACTGGATATATACCCAAAGGAATACAAATCTTTCTACTATAAAGACCCATGCATGTGTATATTCATTTTAGCGCTATTCACAACAGCAAAGACATAGAATTAACCTAAATACCCATCAATTATATACTAGATAAAGAAAATATGGTACATACACACCATGGAATACTATGCAGCCATAAAAAGGAACAAGATCATGTCCTTTGTAGGGACATGGATGGAAATAGAAGCCATTATCCTCAGCGAACTAACACAGGAACAGAAAACCAAACACCACACATTCTCACTTATAAGTGGGAGCTGAAAGATGAGAACACATGGACACATGGGGGGAAACAACACACACTGGGGCCTGTCAGAGGGTGGAGTTGAGAGGAGGGAGAACATCAGGAAGAAGCAGCTGATAAATGCTGGGCATAATACCTAGGTGATGAGATGATCTGTGCAGCAAACCACCATGGTACACATTTACCTACGTAAGAAACCTGCACATCTTGCACATGTACCCATAAATTTAAAATAAATGTTGGAGGGAAAAAAAAAAGAAATTTATAACTAAAATCTACAGATTCTTAGGCCAATGGACCTCCTAAAATTATAAGCAACTTTGTATGTATTGTGCACTTTCTGGGAGAAAATATCTGCCCCTTTCCTCAGATTCTGAAATGGTTCTGTGGCCCCAAAAACACTAAGTCTCACTCACTTTAAAATAAGACTTGGCTGAGTGCAGTGGCTCACACCTGTAATCCCAGCATTTTGCAAGTCTGAGGCAAAAGGATTGCTTGAGCCTAGGAGTTCAAGACCAGCCTGTGAAACATGGCAAAATCCCACATCTACAAAACATACAAAAAGTTAGCCAGGCATGTTGGCATGCGCCTGAATCCCCAGCTACCTGGGAGGCTGAGGTGGGAGGATCACTTGAGCCGAGGAGGTTGAAGCTGCAGTGAGCCATGATCATGCCACTGTACTCTAGCCTGGGCAACAGAGTGAGACCATGTCTCAAAAAAATAAAAATAATAATAAAATAAAATATGCCTGAAGCAGACATACTTCCTTTCTGTGGGTCTCTTTCTGGCATTCATTATGGCTCAAAACATTAAATTCATTCCTTGCTAAATTTTTATTGAGTCTCTTCTGTGTCCAGTAACATTGAGACACCAAGAACCTGGTGCCTAAATGCCTCCATCTCTGTGGATAGAACACCTTACAGCATTCAAAGGGGGTGGTTTTTAGTAATATGGTGAGATGCTGAAAGTTGCCTGAAAAGGATTCAATTACATGTCAACAGAAAAAGGAAAAAACAAACATAAGAGTGGAGAGACCTCTGCAGTGAAACATAAGACAAGGTTTTATGTGGTGTGGTTTGGGAAAATCAGGCTCCTTAGCAGTGAGTCACTAATCACACCTGAAGAGAATTAGCCCAAAGTAGCCAGAATGAACGACCTAATTTTCATAAATATGGTATATTTTTGTGCCCCACTCTCTCTTCTCACCTTTAAACCTTAGAGGTCACCTTAACCTATGAGGTTAATTCTATAGACATTGACAAGTGAGATTACATTAGTGGATTCCAGATTACAAGACCAAACAGCAGGGTTGTGATGGAAGGCACCAGTTCATATTTGGGAAATTACAGCTGATGAAGATATAAATCTATCCCTATCTCTGTCTACTCCCTGCTACCAACTAAGTCAAAACCCCAACAAGCAGAATTCTCTTATCCTTGGTTAGTGGGTTCCTCAGATAGGTTTCAGGCTTTGGAAAGAGAATATAACTCTTTATTTTCTTCCCACAGATACTCTTAACAGAAAAAACAAAATCAAAAGATTGCTCAGGTATCTGAGGAGAAATTGCTTATCCATTAGTTTTGGTTTGGGTAATGATTGTTAACTTGTGGAAGAATGCATGCCATACTGAGAACTCCTCTAAAAAGCTAAAGTCACTAAAAGAGAAAACAATGAAAGAACTGAAAATTAAGAATGATTTCAGTGCTACTAGGGGGAAAAAAAAAACAGTAAATAACCATTCCTCTCTTCCAAAATAAGGAGCTTATTACAGACAGGAGCCTTAGGATTCACGTTAGTTTTTACTGTGCAAAATGGGGACAATTTCTGGCAGTAAGTGTGGCAGAGACAAAGGCTGGGGCTCTGATGACTCTGGACCCTCACACTGCTTGTTTGAATCCAAGATGGTTATTCATTTCCTAAGAAGTTAGAATTCTTTGTTGTGAGTGAAAGAAACCCAACCAAAATTGGGCAATAAAAAGAGTGTTTTGGAAGGGTGCTGGTGAAGCCCCCAGAGTTAATGCAAGATTAAATAACTCCCTCTTGGAAAGGTAGGGCTTAGGATAGTTCCAGAAATTTCAATAACTGGAACTAAGGACTTGAATGCTGTTAGGACTTACTCTGTGCCTCTTGCTGTTTCTGCTTTTCTTTGTTGCACAGGTTTCCTCATATTGTGGAGGGCAGGGAATGGCTGCTGGTACTTCTAGACTCACATCTTTACTACTTACTGCTCCAGTTTTAAAAATCCCAGGAAGGACACTGATTGGCCTAGTATCTTAGTCCGTTTGGGCTGCTATAACAAAGTACCATAAACTGGGTGGCTTATGAAGAGTAGAAATATGTTTCTCACAGTTTTGGAGTCTGGGAAGTCCAAGATCAAAGTGCCAGCATATTCAGTGTCTGGTGAGGGCTTGCTTCCCGGCTCACAGATGGTATCTTCTGGCTGTGTCCTCACATGGTAAAAGGAACAAACAAGCTCACTTGGCCCTATTTTATAAGGGCACTAATCCCATTCATGAAGGCTCTGCCCTCATGACCTAATCAACTCTCAAAAGGCCTTAACTCCTAATACCATCACCTTGGGAGTTAGGATTTCAATACAGGAATTTTGGGAAGACACAAATACTCAGACCATAGCACCTAGCTTGAGTTATGAGCCCATGTTCATCCTCCCCCAGCCCTGGAGACAAGAGCATATAGTTTGCATTGGACCATATGCTAGAATGGAAATGGGGATAAAAGAATCAGCAACCCCATTCAAAGATAAGGAGCACCAGAGACTGATGACTGGGGAATCACTGTGAGCCAGGCAATCACACCAATTAATGTCTACCATATCAATTTCCCTAAGAAGTAATGAAGGAAAGTAGTAGACAAATAAGGTGGAGATTTATGGGGCTTATTTAAGCATGTTTCCTTCATTACTCATTATTGCCTGAGAGCACAGGGGGAGGAACAATGATCAGGATATAAACCCAGGCATTCAAGCCAGCAACAGCTACCCCCTTTGGGTCCCCTCCCTTTGTATGGGAGCTCTGTTTTAACTCTATTTAATCTTGCAACTGAAAGAAAAAAAAAAACTCTTTATATTGTCTGTAGGTCTTCCAGCAAAAGTGATGCCTTCCAATCCCCAGCTAGGCTTAGGGATTCTTAGTGAGCCTAGAAATCCAGCTAGTCCTGTCTCTCAGTGCCCCCTCTCAACAGGAAAACCCAGGTGCTGTTGGGGAGGTTGGCCGACGACCGCTCTAACTGCTTCCTGCTGAATTGGGGCATAGTAGGGGTTGTGCAGTTGAGATTTCCTCAGGAGCGGTGCCTTTGATGTCATCAACATCGGAGCATAGGCTAGCAGGACAGTCCAGGGGTCCATGGTAGATTTTAGTCATGGACTGCATCTGGGGCTCCATTTGAAGAACATTTGTAGTTTTACAGTTTCAATTCTGGGAGAGAAAAACTTAACAAGGAGGTTAAAGATACAGGGATTGAAATGTATGGCCTGAAGTGCAGGGGATTATTTCTTTGCCACATTTCACAGGCCCTGACTATCTGCTTGATAGTTTTGAAAAGGCCTGGTCCAGTAAATAATAATTTGGCCGTCTGATGGGTGCTATCAATGCCTAAGTGAAAGGTTTGGTGAAGGGTTTTAAGTAATTTCCATTGGTTAGCTGCAGGCAAAAGTATTTTTCCTTCTTCAGTGGCTAGCCATCCTGAGGGGAGGAAACTATGTCCTCGTGAGGTACCCCATTCGATTTCTCCTGCTGAGTACTGGGGCTTGGTTTCCCAGAGGGGATTACCCCATACTAGGGGTCCTTCTATAAGCATTTCTAAATGCTAAAGAGCCTTGCGGCTCTTTTGGCTTCAATATCCGCTTGGTGGTTCCCTTCTATTTCCCTTTCCTTTCCTTTCTGATGACCCCAGCAGTGTAAGACTGCCACCTCTTTAGGTTTCTGTACAGCCAATAATAATCTCCTAATAGCTTCCTGATGTTCCCTCGGAAGTTAAGCATTCCCTTTCTCTCCATATTGCTGCGTGGGCATGGAGGACTAGGTAAGAATGCTTAGAGTCTGTATATATATTTACCCTTTTTTCTTCTCCCAATTTTAGTGCCCAAGTGAGGGCTATTAGTTCTGCCAGCTGAGCACTAGTTCCTGAGTGAGGGGATTACTTTCAAGTATTCCATTATCACTGACCACTGCATACCCCACCTTTTAAAGTCCTTTTTCTATGAAGGAACTTCCATCAGTATACAAGTTGAGGTCGGGATCAGTCAAGGGAACCTCTAGAAGGTCCCTTCGAGCAGCATAGGTTTGAGCAATCACCTGTTGAACAGTTATGTTCTATCTTTTCTTCATTACCTGGAAGAAATGTGGCTGGGTTAGAGTTGCACAAGTGCGCAGTCACAGCACTGGCCCTTCAATTAATAGAGTCTGGTATTTAAGCAAATGGTTGTCTGACAGCCACAAGTCTCCTTTAGCAGTGAGTATGCTGTTTACATCATGAGATGTCCACACAGTAAGATCCCTTCCCTGTATTATTTTAACTGCCCCCATATGACTGGTGCCTACACATTTGCATATTGAACATAGAGTTTTATTTCATACATACAGTTTTATTACAAATTTTTTATACCTTCCTTAATAGTTAGGCATTATGTTGATTTTTTGAAGATTTTGAGTGTAGTAGGTTTTATTATCTATCAGTTTCATTTTGGAAGAATAAAAAAGCTGTTACAAAAGATTTTCTATTAAAATGGAAGTTTTATTTATCCATTCATTTGTTGATAGACACTTAGGTTGTTTACTTCTTTTGGGCATTAGGAATAATGCTGCTATAATCATTGATATATATAAGTTTCTGTGTGGATATATGTTGTATGTTTTCATTTCTCTGTAGTCTATACCTGGAAGAGGAATTGCTGGGTCATATGACAATTCTATGTTTAGCTTTTTTAGGAACCACCAAAACGTTTTCCACAGCAGCTGCACCATTTTATATCCCCACCAGCAATGCCCGAGAGTTTGTGTTTCTCCATGCCTATTTTTTATTTGTTTTTGATTATTGTAGCCATCCTAGTGGCCATGCAGTTTTATCTCATTAGTTGTTGTTGCAGTTTGGTTTTGGTATCTTCTTTTGATTTGTATTTCCTTAATGACCAATGAAGTTAAATATCTGTTTATGTGTTTGTTGACCATTTGTATATTTTCTTTGAAGGAACATCTATTTAAATCCATTGTTCATTTAAAAATTTATATTGTCTTTTTTTTGTTTTGTTTTTTACTTTAAGTTCTGGGATACACGTGCAGAATGTGCAGGTTTGTTACATAGGTATACACGTGCCACGGAGGTTTGCTGCACCTATCAACCCGTCATCTATATTAGGTATTTCTGCTAATGCTCTCTCTCCCCTAGCACCCCCACCCCCGACAGGCCCCAGTGTGTGATGTTCCCCTCCCTGTGTCCAAGTGTTCTCATTGTTCAACTCCCACTTATGAGTGAGAACATGTGGTGTTTGGTTTTCTGTTCCTGTGTTAGTTTGCTGAGAATGATGGTTTCCAGCTTCATCCAGGTCCCTGAAAAGGACATGAACTCATCCTTTTTTATGTCTGCATAGTATTCCATGGTGTATATGTGCCACATCTTCTTTATCCAGTCTATCATTAATGGGCATTTGGGTTGGTTCCAAGTCTTTGCTATTGTGAACAGTGCTGCAATAAACATACGTGTGCATGTGTCTTTACAGTAGAATGATTTATAATCCTTTGGGTATATACCCAGTAATGGGATTGCTGGGTCAAATGATATTTCTGGTTCTAGATCCTTGAGAAACCACCACACTGTCTTCCACAATGGTTGAACTAATTTACAATCCCACCAACAATGTAAAAGCTTTCCTATTTCTCCACATCCTCTCCAGCATCTGTTGTTTCCTAACTTTTAATTTTTTATTTTATTTTATTTTTTCATTAAACTTTTTTAATGGGTCTCAAAATTCTGTGACAAATTTTTGGTCAAGTTGTTTCCAGTAAAAAGTACTGATTTTAAAAACTAATAACTTAAAACTGCCACATGCAAAGAAAGAAAACCAAAGTGGTCCACAAAACATTCTCCTTTCCTTCTGAAGGTTTTATGATGCATTGTTATCATTAACCAGTCTTTTACTACTAAACTTCAATGGCCAATTGAAACAAACAGTTCTGAGACCATTCTTCCACCACTGATTAACAGTGGGGTGGCAGGTAGTAGGGATAATATTTATTTAGCCTTCTGAGCTTTCTGGGCAGACTTGGTGACCTTGCCAGCTCCAGCAGCCTTCTTGTCCACTGCTTTGATGACACCCACCGCAACTGTCTGTCTGATATCATGAACAGCAAAGCGACCCAAAGGTGGATAGTCTGAGAAGCTCTCAACATACACGGGCTTGCCAGGAACCATATCAACAATGGCAGCATCACCAGACTTCAAGAATTTAGGGCCATCTTCCAGCTTTTTACCAGAATGGCGATCAGTCTTTTCCTTCAGCTCAGCAAACTTGCATGCAATGTGAGCCGTGTGGCAATCCAATACAGGGGCATAGCCAGCACTTATTTGGCCTGGATGGTTCAGGATAATCACCTGAGCAGTGAAGCCAGCTGCTTCCATTGGTGGGTCCTTTTTGCTGTCACCAGCAACGTTGCCACGACGAACATCCTTGACAGACACATTCTTGACATTGAAGCCCACATTGTCCCCAGGAAGAACTTCACTCAAAGCTTCATGGTGCATTTCAACAGATTTTACTTCTGTTGCAACGTTGACTGGAGCAAAGGTGACCACCATACCAGGTTTGAGAACACCAGTCTCCACTCAGCCAACAGGAACAGTACCAATACCACCAATTTTGTAGACATCCTGGAGAGGCAGGCACAAGGGCTTGTCAGTTGGACGAGTTGGTGGTAGGATGCAGTCAAGAGCCTCAAGCAGCGTGGTTCCACTGGCATTGCCATCCTTACGGGTGACTTTCCATCCCTTGAACCAAGGCATGTTAGCACTTGGCTCCAGCGTGTTGTCACCATTCCAACCAGAAACTGGCACAAATGCTACTGTGTCGGTGTTGTGGCCAATTTTCTTAATGTAAGTGCTGACTTCCTTAACAATTTCCTCATATCTCTTATGGCTGTAGGGTGGCTCAGTGGAATCCATTTTGTTAACACCAACAATTAGTTGTTTCACACCCAGTGTGTAAGCCAGAAGGGCGTGCTCTCGGGTCTGCCCATTCTTGGAGATACCAGCTTCAAATTCACCAAAACCAGCAGCAACAATCAAGACAGCACAGTCAGCCTGAGATGTCCCTGTAATCATGTTTTTGATGAGGTCTCTGTGTCCTGGGGCATCAATGATAGTCACATAGTACTTGCTGGTCTCAAATTTCCACAAAGAGATATCAATGGTGATACCATGTTCACGCTCAGCTTTCAGTTTATCCAAGACCCAGGCATACTTGAAGGAGCACTTTCCCATCTCAGCAGCCTCCTTCTCAAATTTTTCGATGGTTCTTTTGTCGACGCCACCGCATTTGTAGATCAGATGGCCAGTAGTGGTGGACTTGCCCGAATCTACGTGTCCGATGATCACAGTGTTGATATGAGTCTTTTCCTTTCTCGTTCTGGCTTATAGGTAGGGGTAGTTTTCACGATACCTGTGTTCTGGTGGCAAACCCATTGAGAAAAAAACAAAAAAGTTTCCTGACTTTTTAATGATCGTCATTCTAACTGGCGTGAGATGGTATCTCATTGTGGTTTTGACTTGCATTTCTCAATGACCAGTGATGATGAGCTCTTTTTAATGTTTTTTGACCTCATAAATGTCTTCTTTTGAGAAGTGTCTGTTCTCATATATTTGTTGGCTGCGTAAGTGTCTTGAGAAGTGTCTGTTCATATCCTTCACCCACTTTTTGATGGGGTTGTCTGTTTTTTCTTGTAAATTTGTTTAAGTTCTTTGTAGATTCTGGATATTAACTCTTTGTCAGATGGCTAGATTGCAAAAATTTTCTCCCATTCTGTAGGTTGCCTTTTTATTGTTGAGTGTGATAAACAAATCATAACGTACAATGATATACAATGAAATATTATTCAGGCATAAAAAGGAATGAAGGTTTCATATATTCTAGAATGTGGATGGACACCAAAAGCATTATGCTAAGTGAAAGACACTAGACACAAAAAGCCGCATGTCATATGATTCCTCTTATGTGAAATATCCAAAATAGGCAAGCTGATTAGTGGATGTCAGCGGGTGGCAGGGGGGAACAGGAAGTGATTACTTAAAGGATATGAGGTATTCTTCTGGGATGATGAAAATGTTTTGAAACTAGAAGGAAGTGGCAGTTGTACAATATTGTGACTATGCTAAGTACCACTAAATAGTACACTCGAAAATAGTTGATTGTATATGATGTGAATTTCACCTCAATTTTTTAAAGAGGAGAAAGTTAGGTCTAATAAGGTTGAAAATAACTGCTTTATGGTTCTTGATGACTTTTGTTTCATGCATCCCATGGGCAGCCTTATTAGGCCTATGAAACCCTTCTCAAAATGCCGTTTGTAAATCCATAAATTATATGAAGAAGAAACTCATGATATTGAATTATATTTACAAAAAGATTTTAGAAAATAATTTTGTGATCTAATAACATGCTTCTTCACTGAGGACCTAAATGACTAGATCTAGCAGCAGGTATAACTACCATAATTTTGAAGTAGTGATGGGTGTAAATGATAGAGTCATCTGCAACATCTGGATTACATGCCATTTCTGTTGGAGGCACAAATCATAGGCACTATAATATTAACACTGCTACAGGGTTTGTTGCCTACATTCATAAATGCTATATTTTAGTTAGAAGTTAGTGAAAATAAAAATGTAATCTTTTAAATAAAATCCAGGTTCACTGACCCCCGAAACTCTGCCTCAGAATCACAAACACCTAGCAAACAGAAGGGGCATACATTCTTTTTCCTTTGCCCTTAGGAATACCTTGGCAGAAGTGGTTAAGCAGAGCTAAATAGGAGAATAATGCAGGGTGATGCAAATGAAACAAAACAAAAAGCAACTATGTTGGTGCATTGGATTCCTCTTTAAGACTGTCATGATTAAAGAGATCTATCCTTTACTTCTTTCCAATTTTAGTATATGTGCTGCTGAAGTGAGCACTATCCTTTACTTCTTATCTAACAACATTTTTCCTCCTTATTTTAAAATAAATTTTGATCCAAATTTCAATGAAACAAATGGTCCAAGAAACAGACTGACCTAGAGAATAGAAACTTAATTGGTTGAAAAATGAGAAATTAATTTTATTACCCCTTGTCTGAAAAATAAAAGGAGTGGTTGTCATGTAGAATTTTCTTTTCTGATTGATTTTTTCTATGTGAAAATAAGCTCATGTCCTGAGGCCCATATACTCCTTGGAAATAGGAAAGAATACAATTATGTTGATTTCAACTAAGTCCAAATGACATGAAGAATATATTTGGTCTTAAGCTTTTAGTCTTTCTAGATATTGATGAAATTAGACATAAAATTTATCTGTCATAGAAGAATCACATATGATTTACTATGCATTGTTAAACGACATGAAAAAAACAGAATGTTTTACTTGATTAAGTAGTATTACTGCTTCTAGGCTAAAATAATCATGAGAAATTTCAGCTCCAAATGATACCGTATAAATCCCTTGTAATATTATAAATATAGTACTTCAATTCAAGGGTTGAGCTACTAAATTGGTAATAATAGGTCCTGAACAAAATCTAATGATACAACCCAGTTTCTCTGCCCATTTTCTAGATTTCCCCTTTAGGCCTTCAGCAGTGGGAATTAATTTTGTTTTTAAATGGTTTAACTGTAGAACTATTTTTTTCTCTTTTATACATATTCTAATTACATGGAATAATGGATCTCAAATTGGATTCAAAAGAACCCTGGGTTCCAAAGGCAATTCCTTAAAATAAATCTTATGTAATTCATTGCAAGAAAATATGAACATGTTTTATTTATATTAGACCTCATGCCCACACCAAAAAAGAATTTCAGGGCCCCCCAGAAATAATGTAGAATGGTTCATAATTTTGGTTGATGATGCGTGTGATGAGAAGGGTTAGGAGCTCAGCAGCTGAGAAGTTTTTCTTTTCCTTTTCCTTTTTTTTTTTTTTTGAGACACGGTCTCACTCTGTCACCCAGACTGGGGTGCGATGGTATGATCTCAGCTCACTGCAATCTCTGCCTGCTGGGTTCAAGTGATTCTCCCTGCTCAGCCTCCTAGGTAGCTGGGACTACAGGCAGGCACCACTAAGACAGCTAATCCCAAAGTGCTAGGATTACAGGCGTGAGCCACTGCACCTGGCTGAGAAGTCTTTTCTGCTTGAAAATTATTTTTTTAGGGCCGGGCGCGGTGGCTCATGCCTGTAATCCCAGCACTTTGGGAGGCCGAGGCGGGCGGATCACGAGGTCAGGAGATCGAGACCATCCTGGTTAACACGGTGAAACCCGTATCTACTAAAAATACAAAAAAATTAGATGGGCATGGTGGCGGGCGCCTGTAGTCCCAGCTACTCGGGAGGCTGAGGCAGGAGAATGGCGTGAACCCAGGAGGCGGAGCTTGCAGTGAGTCGAGATCGTGCCGCTCTACTCCATCCAGCCTGGGCAGCAGAGCGACACTCCATCTCAAAAAAAAAATATATGTTTTTAGAAAGAAGATTCTTGTTTTCCCTCCCTCTTTTACTCAACCCTTCATTCATTTGACTAATCTTCACTAAGTAGGCACTGTGTCAGGGGGAATGATAGTGACTGATACAGAATGATTAAAAAAATGGGAAACTTATCTGCCCTTCTGGTGATTAGAATCTAGTAAAGGATTCAGACATTAAACAATCACATAAATCTATTGATAGGATTAAAAACTGTAATAGTGCTGTTACAAAAAATATAAGAAGGTATGATGGAGAAAAATAGACATATAAAGACATATAAAGCAATCTTAACATTTGCATCTCAATGTACAACCACCAGGAACTGAGAGCTATAAATGCAGATCGATAGTATGTAGTATTAGTGACTCAAATAGCATGCACATATAAAAACAATGCAAAAAAAAACTTGGTGTTTATTTGCAAAATGACAGTTTTTAGGCTGAGATACATATTTTTAAAAAACAGGCATTTTTCACCTACACAAATTTCTGATGTGACATCTGAGAGCAATGTGCACACACAACTCTTTCTTGTGTAGAGCTGTCTTTTGAGTATTACAGGGTGTGCTGCATCCCTGGTCCCTACATACTAAATAGAAATAATGCTCCTCAATTATTGTGACATCAGAAACACCCTGACAATTTCCAAAAATGCCTCTTTGGGGGCTCTGACCCAATGACTCCTTGAATCTTAAATTTCTTTGAAGATTTATGCTTATTTCTTAAAATTAAATGCAAGTTCTGTATTTGCCCATACAGTTTATGGGTGATTGTTTAAATGTGCATGTAACCCTCATGTATCTGAACCACATGGAGGCCAGTCTCAATATATTACATCTTCCTGAAAACACAAGACTAACTCCAAAAGCACTAATGAGTAATATTGAAGGCTCTGCAGGCTTCAAAGGGAGTGTTAGAAAAGAGCTGCATTTTACCATATACAGTAAAACTTCCCTAAAATCCATTGTAAGCTTTTCTGTTCCTTTCTCAAAGTCTCTCTCACTCCCCAAATACCTATCATTCAGCTCCACCAGACAAGCTGTCTTCAAATCAAAATAAAAAGCTGTGACAAGGTTTTTTGTTCCCTCCCTCCAGATGGACACAAACTCTTCAAAGAATTATCTTGATATTTGTCCTCTTGTCACTTTTTGGTGAGTGAAATGGTAGAATAAGAAATTTGTCACCTGAGTCTTAGTTTTTAAGGCTTCTGGGTTTAGGAACAGGTGTACGGGAACACATCAGCTCTCCAATTTGCTTTCTCCAGCCTTGTTCCTGGCCTCATCCTAGGTCAAGGCTTCTTCTGACTGTTGAAAGAATTGTAGAGTTGGCAGCTCACAGCATCTTCCTCTAAGCAGCTAATTAAGAATTGCTTTAAAACAAATGTATTTGTTCTCAGGGACTCTTCTAGTAGTGGAAAGTCAGGAAAATAACTTGAAATAATGTCACTTCCAAAAATAAAACAAAATTCACTGTTTGCTGTTAGGCATTTTTAAGCCTGAACCACCAAAATTGAGTTTGAGACCCACCATTTGCTCTCTTCCAGGTGGTTAGAGGCATCAGGCCCATTAGAAATCTCTTTTTCACTATACCAAATATGTATTTTCTTCATTTAAGGTACCTAGAACTATGTTCCAATATTTGAGTTGAGCAGTCTTTTAAAGAGCTTTCACCAAAGACATCCTACTAAATTATCATACAGGTATGGATCTGTCAGGAATATATGAGATCTAAGAAACATGAGAAAATGATTACTAGTGAACCATTGCCTCATTCAGAAACTCAGCCTATTTATATTAAGTGGCCTTGAAATTGGGAGCTAAAATTAGTTGCTATTTAATAGTTGCCTATGTTGAAAAAAGAATTTTGATATTTCAAATTAGGTGTTCAGAAACTTTTCATAAAAGGACCTCTGAGGTTTTAAGCTTTGTTCATTAAGTTAGTAGAGGTGGGGATGGTGAAGGAGACAGGTTAAAGTCTACAAAATGAAAATTAGAAAGGACATTTGCTTAAAAATAAAATTATACAAATTTTTCTCAATAATAATAAAGAAAGATATGTTAGAATCTCTGAAAGAGTAAAACTATCCATAGAAGGCCCTCAGGGGAGCCTAGTTCCATTTAACATAAAATGATTAATGATTTTTCAAACGACTGCAGAAGAGGCAGTGTGTACTGATGCTCAAGCAATGGCAATTCAGGTTAAGAACAGATGCCTGTTATAAATGGGGCATGTAAAGGTACTAATGCCACCCTGACATTCAGATAGGAAGTTAAAATAGAACAATGATTTTCATTAGATGAAAAGAAAATGTGTTTATGGAAAATACAGTTAATGCAAGAGAAAAGAAAAGGAAAACTTTTCTATATCAAATTATCAATACTACATATTGGTTCATAGTTTCTGAATGCAAGTCATTTCCTATAATAGTTTGTTTTTATTGTTGTTGTTTTTAAATAGGCTTTACTTTTTAGAGTGGTTTTAGGTTCGCAATAAAATTGCACAGAAGGTACAGAGATTTCCTTTATTTTCCATACCCTACACACACCTCCTCACCATCCCTTACTATCAACATTCTCCACCAGAGCAGTACATTTATTATAATCAAACCTACATTGACAACTCATTATTACTCAAATTCCTTAGTTTACATTAGGTTTCATTTTTGGTGTTCTGCATTCTGTGGATTTGGACAAATGTATAATAATATATATCCACAAGTAGAGTATCATACAGAGCAGTTTCACTGTCCTAAAAATTCCCTGGGTTCCATCTATCCATCCCTCACTCTTCTCTAACCCCTGGAAACCACTGAGGCTTCTACAGTCTCCACACTTAAACCTTTTCCAGAATGTCATACAGCTGGAATCATACAGTATGTAGCCTTTTAGATTTGTTTTCTTCACTTAGTAATATAAATTTAAGGTTTATTCATGTCTTTTCATGGCTTAATAGCTCACTTCTTTTTAGTGCTGAATAATATTTCATTGTCTGAATGTACCATAGTTTATCCATTCACCTAATGAAGGACATCCTGGTTGCACCAAATTTTGGCAGTCACAAATTAAAACTGTGTGTGTGTGTGTGTGTGTGTGTGTGTGTGTGTGAGATGGGGATTTGTGTACAGATTATTTCATCACCCAGGAAATAGTGCCTGATAGGTAGTTTATGGGTTTCACCTTCCCATCCACTCTCCACTCTCAAAGAGGCGCTGATGTCTGTTATTCCCTTCTTTATGTCCATGTGTACTCAATGTTTAGCTCTCACTTATGAGGACATGCAGTATTTGTTTTTGTTGTTGTTATTGTTCCTGCATTAATTGATTTAGGATAATGGTTTCCATCTGTGTTGCTGCAAAGGACATGATTTCCTTCTTTTTATGGCTGCACAGTATTCCATGGTGTAGCTGTACTACATTTTGTTTGTCCAGTCCACTGCTGATGGCTTTTCGCCTATTTTTTAAATTGGTTAGTTTTCTTTTTCTTGAGTTTCAACAGTTCTTTGTATATTTTGATAATAGTCCTTTATCAGACACATATTTTGCAAATATTTTCTTTCAGTCTATGACATGTTTTCTCATCTTGAAGCATCATTGTTTTAGTAAGAAAAATAAATTAACTACAGCAATAAAAATACACACACACATACACACCTATACACATTTTAAGGCCTAAAGTTAGTCAAGCTCTTATAGTTTCATTGAATTGTGAAAATAATTTTATCAATAGATAATTGCCAGTATTTAAATGAGAAATGGTATAGAACTGTGACATGTATTTATTAGAAAAAAATGTGGTTGATGAATATCGGATGAACATGAACTTTAGGTAACATTCTGAAATATTGTGGAAATCTTGTAATTTGACAAATATTTTAAATGTTTGGTAATGTGAAAATTATTTTTAAAGTCTCCCTTGTGGTTAAAGTCTTCCAAAGGCTAGTGAAATATCAGTCTGTGTGTCTCTGAACTGATTAATTAGAAAATATTCAAAATTGTTTTAAAATTCTCATTACTTCTATTGCATACTGCTCTATTTCTTTCCCCCCACAAGCTAGCTATTGTGAGCAAAGATGAGCAATTAGCAAATTTCTTAATTTGCTTATTTATCATGTTGTAGGTAATAATAATAATTCGTTTTAGGGACATTTACTGCTTTTATAAAAGTAAACACATAAATGAGTACTCCACAATTTCAAAATTATTTTATTTTCTATTAGGATAATCTAGCATTGCAAAAAACAATAACCATAATCATGGTAGATTTTGTGTTATGCTTACCAATACTAAAAACAGAAACAGAACTGGAATTCACTAATTATATAATTTTTCTCTAGTTCCAACTATTATCTTTACTGCAGTTTCACAGTTGTGGTAGTCACTGTGATGTGCCATGGCTTAATGAACTTTTGCTGAACTGTTGGGAGTACAGGTAACAAATAGCATTTATCTGTCAGCTTCTTCAGGGATGGCCATAGCTGCCTTGTCCAAATCATGTCCTTTCCCAGGTCAGCTTATATCCATCCAATCATTGAGGTTATAAAGGCCCGTCAAATTGTGCTCTCCATTGGACAACTGTAACTAGCCTTTTAAACTCCAGGGTATTCTATGAGGTGGGCTGAGGCTATTGGGCTTGCACCACAGCTCGACTTCTCTCTCAGCTCTTTTGCTTTCTTACCTTCATCTTCACATACTGATCCCAAGTGTACAGCCTAATAAACACTGCACACACATACTAAATTCAATCTCAGAGTCTGCTTCTCAGAGAATTCCAGTGGTGAAAATAGTTCCATCTCCAGCAGGAACTCTGCATTGTTTCAAACTTAACATGTCCCAGCTACGTTTATCATCTTAGTGTCAAAATTTCTCTCTCATTTTTATTAACATATATCTGAAAATAACACCACATATCTCTTGGTTATTTATTATGCATAATTTTTTTTAACTCTTCCATCCTCATTTCACAACTTCCAGTGAGATATCAAATTTGGTCATTTCTTCCAAATTCAACATTCCTTTCTATTTCTATTGCCAGAACTACTGTCTGGGTCCTTGTCACTTGGTACCTGAGATACTGTCAATACCTGGACACCGTATCTCTTATTTTCTATTCTGGTCCTTCCTACATATTAGTTATAGTTTTCCTGAGCCACCAGTTTCAATTCTCTGTTGATGAATCTCTGGTGGTTTGGTATTTCATAAACTCTGGAAATGTTATTTCATGATTTTATGTGTATTTGTCTTTATTCTCCAACTTGTAAACTCCTGGGACTAAGACTTTTACTTGCTATATGATGACAACAGGAGATGTCAATAATGGAAATCCAACGTGTTAGACTCCAAACGTCTAAATTTGAATAAGTACATAATTAAACATTATGTAATAAACATTACCCTCAGAGTATTTTTAAAAAGTTTTAAAAGCTAACCTGATACCTATTATTATTTCCTATCATTTATATTATGCATTTTTAATTTTGATTCTCAAATATTCCAGTAAACTGTAGAGAATGAAAGATGGAAATTTAAGTGATTAAAAATAAATGTAAACCTACTTAACAAAAGTCAGCGTTTTCTTTTCTGAATGCATGATAACTTGGTAACATTTTACAATGCAATTTACAAAATAACAAGTTAGTGTCAAGATTTCATTTTAAGTAAACATTTATATTCAGAAACGTTTAGTATCTTTGTTGGTTTCTTCAAATCAGGATGCATATAACTTGTTGTCAGTTACTAATAAAATATGTTGCCAGAGTTAAGAAAAGCTATTAGCAAGAGGGACCTCAGAACTTTATGCTGGATTATCTCAATAGATAACTTTTTTTTTTTTTTAAACAGGGTGTGGCTCTGCTGCAGAAGCTGGAGTGCAATGGCATGATTTTGGCTTCACTGCAACCTCCGCCTCTTAGGCTCAAACCATCCTCCTATCTCAGCCTCCCAAGTGGCTGGAACTACAGGCGTGTGCCACCCCGCCTGGCCGATTTTTGTACTTTTTATGGAGATGGGTTTTACCATGTTGCCCAGACTGCTGGTCTCAAACTCCTGGGATCAAGTGATCCTCCCACCTTGGCCTCCCAAAGTGCTAGAATTACAAGCATGAGCCACCACGCCCAGCCTGGATACTTTAAGTATCCACAGATCATTAGAAATTAGCCTACAACCCTGCCTCCATAGGAATTTGTCTTATTTAAATATCTAATCTTCAAAAGTTAATAGAAAAATTAAGCTTTTTTTCAACATAAACAAAAAAATTATACAACTCTGTGATATATGCACAGAAGAGATTTTCTCTCCTTTTTATGGGAGCATTTGCCTTATAGTTATGCCTATTCAAGTTGACACATTACAAAGGTACCACTGTTGACAAAAACATTTTAGGATCTATAATCTTAGTAGAGTGTCTCTAAGTAGCTAGTCACAATATCTCCTAGGAATCCTTTCTGGAACTTGGGTAGACCAGTATCTCAATTTTAATGATCACACGATAATTGGAGATGCTGAAAGAACCTGGGTGCCCAGTAGGAAAGTAGCCTAGATGATGATAGTCCCAAAGAAGATGGACTAGAAAAAAATAAAATGACACGTGGCAGACTACTGGTTGTTCTACAATATCCATTCTCCTGGATACTGGCCCAAACCATCCTCCTATCTCAGCCTCCCAAGTAGCTGGAACTACAGGCGTGTGTGCCACCCCGCCTGGCCGATGCGCGGTGGCTCACGCCTGTAATCCCAGGACTTTGGGAGGCCAACGCAGGCGGATCAATGGAGGTCGGGAGTTCGAGACCAGTCTGACCAACATGGGGAAACTGTCTCTACTAAAAATACAAAAATTAGCTAGGCGTCGTGACGCATGCCTGTAATCCCAGTTACTCAGGAGGCTAAGGCAGGAGAATAGCTTGAACCCAGGAGGCGGAGGTTGCAGTGAGCCGAGATTGTACCATTGCATTCCAGCCCAGGCAACAGTGTGAGACTCCGTCTCAAAAACAAAACAACAACAAAAAATAATAAAATAAAAGAAAGAATAAATAATCTCTACTGGGTTAGGAAATGGCCTTATGGAGAAGATGGCATTTGAGTAAGCTACTTAGGGTTTTTTGCTCTGTAAGTCGGTGTCAACGTCCCGTTTTCACGTGGTGGCCTGATCATTTTGTCTTATAGTGATGTCTTTGCGTGCATGTGCGCTCATCTCCTATATTGGACAGGGTCTAGAGCAGTTCCTGGCACAGAGTAATCACTCAATATTACATCACTATACTAAAAAATCATGATAGTAATTCTTGACGGGATAAATGAAGGCATGAATAAATGTATGAATTAACGAGTGGCAGTGAGCTCTTCAGGGGTGGTGGGTCTTGTCTCACTCGTCTTTGAGCTGCGGCCTCGCTGAGGGCATAGTGCGCACAACTGGCTGGTGTTCCAGATTCCACTGGCAGGGACCAGGATCGCAGCCCGAGCGCCGGGGCGGGAGGGATGACTCCGGACGGTAGGGGGCACCGGCGTGCGGCCCGGCCGAGCCCCCAGGTAGCTCCGCGCGCACAGCAGGACCGTCATTGACGCCATGAGCGCGCTGCTGCGGCTGCTGCGCACGGGTGCCCCAGCCGCTGCGTGCCTGCGGTTGGGGACCAGTGCAGGGACCGGGTCGCGCCGTGCTATGGCCCTGTACCACACTGAGGAGCGCGGCCAGCCCTGCTCGCAGAATTACCGCCTCTTCTTTAGTAAGTAGCTCCCGGAGGTTCGCCGAGCGGCGCACCGGAGAAACCTGGGTGGGGGATGGAATGGGGGACACTTGGGACGCCCCGCGCGGTCTCCCTTCTCTCTTTTTGGGGCCCTCAGCGGTAGCCGCGCGGTCCAGGCCACCTTACTTCCCGCGGGAGCGCGCACCGAGTCACGAGAACTGCCAGCGAGGAGGCGGCGGATCAAGACCCCAAAGCGGAGAGCAGAGGCGCAGGGCTGCCGGCTGGGGGGTAGATAGCGCCCTGTGCCCTGCCAGCCGCCCTCCCCGAGGGGTAGGCAGAGTGCAAGCGGCCACCCCGCGGCGGCCTGCAGCCATTAGCCGGCCCGGCCGCCGTTCCCGGTTCACACAACTCAGTGAGGAAGGGAAGGCAGAGCCCGCCCACACGCCGGCCTTCCTAGAGGCGTAAGAAACCTCCTACTGCGGGAGCTCCCTGACGTCGGAGAGGCAGGCGGAACTTTGCGGATGCCTAATCCAGCGCGTCTTCTTTTTTTGGAGGGACTCTGATGAAGGTTCTTTCCCCAGAAGCTTGACTTGGTACGCACAAGTTTACACCCTGAGTGTGATCCACCATCCAAAGCCTCGTTGGTTCCGGAGCAGCCCCTTTTCCTCCCCAAGCTGAACAAGCCCAGAAGGCTAAGCGACTTCGGGGGGGTCCCTGAGTTGCCGAGCTCAGAGAAAGGACCCAGGTCTTCGTGACTCATTGTTCCGTGTACCCCATTGTTTCACTGTGTACGTTAACCGTAACAGAAAATAGCGATGTCGGTCGCTTGCCTTCACTCCCCACTGACTGCAGAGCCTTGGAGTGGTAGTATCAAAGTGGGCCTTGCATTATCGCTCCCCTTTTCGGAGCACTGGCTCTGGAGGCTTTCAGTTCTAAGCAGGCCCTCGAGTTCTTCACGTCTTAACTCTGTGACCCCGGACGAGTTTAAGTTGCTAAGCCTTGTTTTTTCTCATCCGTAAAATAGGGCTGCAAGTATTACATGACATTATATATGTAAACTGATTAGTCACAGGGCCTAAAATATAAATTACTATTGTTAATACCGATAATCATTATAGATATTTGTAATTTATGAGAGATTTGCAGTTATGCTACATGAGTTTAGGGTCGAGGATTATTTTGTGGGAAAGAAGAGTTTGCCTAAAGTCGTGTGATTATAATGCAACTAGTACTAGAATTTCTATTTTCTTCAAAATTGGTTGCAGTTTTCACCCTATGCCACATATTTTCTTCTATCTTTGGTTAAGACTGATCAGGTGAACAGGAAGTCTCAAATTTCTGAATGGATTATGTTCTAAAAGGTTACCATGTGATGATTAATGGGAATAGTCAGAAAAAATTATGAAGTGGCAGTTCGCTTTTTAAGCAGATTGAAAAAAGGCCTGTCTACTGCAAGTATTCTAGATTTGCAATAAGTACGGTAATTAATAGATACCCAAATAATAAATATTTATGAAGTGTGCTAGACACTGTTAGGCATAGTACAGAGATTCACAATATTACTATAATTATGGAAAAAGTAAATACACTGGTTGAGCAAAAACAGGCTTGAGAAGCCAGGAGCGCACAGAGTAGTTGACCCAGTACCGGATTTGGAATGGGGAGTCCTAGGCCATAATCTTGGCTCTGCCGTTAACTCGCTGTGTGCTGTTGGGTGGGTGGTTACTTCAGTTCTTTCTCACAGAGCCAGTTTCTTCAGCTGTAAAATGAAGCTTTTGACCTTGAAACGATGATCCTCAAGGTCCTTCTCAGCACTGGTATTCCCTGAAGGCATTGGATGAATAACGGAGATTCTAACAGTCTCTGTTAAGACAGGATGTCGAATGGGGGCATTTTTGGGAGTATGTTGGCCTCTTATTGTTGGTTTGTTTCTTTAGCTGCAAATGTACTTAGGACTCATGATTTTTCTGTAACTAGAGTGCCACAAATAAAATACGTTTTTCATTCAGTTGGATAAACAGGGCAGGAAAGAAGAAAACCCGATTTTACTAAGGTAAATGGGCAAAAACTGGAAGAAAGGGGAGTGTGGTTTTGGAGAGGGTCCCGATGGTAAGATCCTGATTGGAAGGTGTGTTGGTTAAACAATTTCTGAACTAACCGCCAGATGGCATCACTGGCCAGGACTGTTTACTACCTGCTAGAAGGGGTAGGGCAAAGTGAAACGAAGCCACTCTAGGGCGAATGGGGTAAGGGGAAAGCAACGAATAAATTGCCCTTTATAAAGATGATCACAGATTGGATATTTATTACTCAGTGTGTCTGTATGCAGTACTAGGGTGGACTAATGTCTCACTTCAAAAAAAATATGAGTGTAGTATACTTGGCCTAAAATTGTTACTCAGTGTTACTAAAGTGTAATCATTTTCCACATCTCCAAATATATTCCAAGTCTCTGAAATACTAGTGCATTGGGAGGTAGAACATTTTCGAGCTTCATGTCTGTAAATGGTTTCTCTTTACTGTCATTCAGTAAAATCAGAATAAATGATTGATGTAATACTTAAAAAAAAATTGGTGTTAAACTTTGTAGAAAGAGTGAGACAGGATGATTAGGGGAAAGGGTATCCTGATGGGAATCATCAGGCCTCCTTGGTGCCAGCCCTGACCCTGTTAGTATCTTGCTGTCACTTCACCTCCCTGCATCTCATTTTTTAAAACCATGGAATGAGGAGATTGGACCAGATGATCATTTTCCAGACTGCTTAGTTGAACACAAGCATCCCATGGTATATTATTAGGTTTTCGTTAAAACAGAGGGTTTCATGGTTTAATAAATTAGAACACTTCCCATTTTATTACTTTTTTGAAGAAGAATTTGCCTATTTAAGTTCTGGAAAATTCGGATGTAACTTCTCCAAAAACTGAACCACAGAGTACTTATTTCTCAGAACATTTGTTAACATCTTAGTGACATCAGGGTTATGATTTCTGCAACTTCCAGAAGCAACTGTGCTGTAACAGTTCTAAACTAATAGTCAAACCACTTAAGTTGTAGTCCTGACTTTACCGTCTTGGACAAGTCACTCGACTGAATTAACCAGAGGCATCCCTTACCTTCAGATGACATCCGGTAGCTCAGTTTCTCCGTAAATAAAATGGGGATAGCACTAGTAATTTTATAGAATTGCTGTGGCAGTTAAATGAGACTATGTGTGTAATTATCAGTGTCTCACACGTGATAGGTATTTAATAAATGTTATTTATTTTTCCCTTTTGACTTTAAGACATTAGACTAAAATCCTTATTATTAGATTCTGTGAAGGGAGAAAATAAGGTGATGTGATTGATTATTTTGAAGTGTTCCTGTTAATTTATAGGTTTCAGAAGGTTTTTTGTTGTTGTTGTTTATTCATTTTATTTTTATTTTTTTGGTTTGTTTGTTTGTTTAGAGATGGGGTCTCATACTTTTGCCCAAGCTGGAGCACAGTGTGCAATCACGACTCACAGCAGCCTTGACTTCCCCAGCTCAAGCGATCCTCTCACCTCTGTCTCCTGGGTAGCTGGGACTACAGGCATGCACCACTGTGCCCGGCTTCCTAGGTCTTAAAGTTTTAATGGGTACTTGCAGTCTTTTAAATTAACTGTGAAATCATAATGAAGTTAGACTCACTTATATTGAGCCAAAGACCTAATGCTGCATGCCAGTATTCCTTTGATATCTTGCGTGTTTTTGTTTGTTTTGTTTCGTTAATAACTTGAAATTTTATTTTAGATTTCATACTGTTCTCATAGGATAGGGAAAAGCTATGCTTTCCATAATTAGGAATTTTGTTATTATGGGATAGGCAACTGGTTTACTTAGAGAAATAGTGCTGTGGATAATTCAAGTTGCTTTTATTTAGTCTGGGAATGAACCAAGCAGTTCTTTAAAATTAATTTGCTTTGTCACTTATAGTAAGCATGTGCTTGTGTTGAAATTACTGTAGGTTTTCTTTATGTCATTTGGGTAGTAGGAGGAATCTGCCATTGAAAGTGCTGTATCTTTGGACTTAAAAGAGAACTTCCCGTGAATAATCCACAAAATTTGTTTGAGTCTTAAATATGAGTTTCTGTAACTTTTTAAAGTTGGCCTATATCATAGAACTTCAACTGATATAATGGAACACAATGGGTTTTGTGTGAATATAGAAAAAGTATTTTATTTGATTTTTCAGTCCTTAAAACCTTAAACGTTTTCTATATCAGTGCTGTGAAATAGGAATTGTGTGATCTATATGGAACAGAGGAAGCATTTTTATTGAAGTTTTTAGGCTCCTTTACATTTCTTAATCTTTTTATCAGAAAATAAAACAAAGTTAGCTTTAGTCATTGCTGAAGCTTCCAGTAAGAATCTCTATAAGTGGTTTTGTAGTCGTGTGTAATCATATGTTGGTATATGGCATACATTTAGCTGTCTGGTATAGATACATAAAATTAGGTATGGTTTTCACATTCCATTCAATTTTCTCACTTGCTCTAGTGTAAGTAATAAACTTTCATCCTGATACAACTTGCTCTTGTGAGAGAAAGAATCACATAGATAACTTAGAAAATGCTAGAATAAAATCTGATTTCAGACCAGTTGAAGGGAGAATTTTGACCACTGTTTGGCAATATCGTGTAGATTGATGGGCCTGATAGAGGTTAGCAATTAATGCCTAAGGACACAATCTGATTTTTGACGACAGTGAAATACCATGGCAAAAATGACACAGTGACTACAATCATTTATCTCTTTTCCCCTATAATAAATATCCTATTAAAGTGATAGTAAGTGAGGATAAGAAAGGGTAACCCTAAAACAACAGATAAGGAGCCACCAAAGCTTGAGATTTTGAAATATGTATAAAAGATTAAAAAACCAATGGAGATATGGTTATTAATGAAGCAGTGTGGAAGAAGTCCCAGCTTAAGTATATGTGTTCAGGGGACGTAGTTTAGGGAAAAGCCGAGCTGCTGCAGAACCTCAGAGAGGTTGTGGGTGTGTTGATATAAGATAGGATAGAGAGTTAGATGGATGTAGAACTTAACACAGGGGGATTAGTTTAAGTTGTACTACAAATAGTACACAAATGTTTCCCATGCAGGTCTAATGCATGAGGGTTGTGTTAGTTCCAACTGTAAAAGTGAATGAAGAGCTGAGAGGGAAGTAGGACCCCTGATGGTGTTGGTGCCCCAGCAGTACTCTGCATGCTGGTATTTGGGGACCCCAGCATAACAGCCAGCCTCCTACCCATTCATCTCTGTGGGAACACAGAGTTCCCAGTGATTTTTTCTAGTCTTTTTAATATAAACCAAATAGTCAAGGATCACCTAACTTAGGCTTTCATCGCTACTGTTCTACCAACTGCTTTTTGTCAGGGCTACCTGTCACCTCCATGCTGCGACCTTAATGGTCAGTTTGAAGTCCTCATATGACCTATCAGCAGTACTTTTTACAGTTCATCACTTTCTCTTTGAAACACTTTTTTTGTCTTTCCCAGAGGAAACTGCTTTCCTCTGGGATGCACTTTGTCTTAGTTTTGATGCTTCTCCTTCACATTCTCCCTTGCTGAACCTTTGTCATATTTCCGAACTCTAGCCTTTGAAATGCCCAGGGCTCAATCCTCAGCCCACTTCTCTATCTATACTGCCTCTCTAGGGCAGGTGTTGGCAAAGTTTTCTGTAAAGGGCCGGATAAGGAATACTTTAGGTTTTGCGAACCATTCAGTCTCTGTCACAACTACTCAGCTCTGCCATTGTAACATACAGCCATGGACAGTAAAAGTATGACTGTGGTTATGTTCCAATAAAACTATATTTACAAAAATAAAACCAGGCCATGTGACAGATTTGGCCCATAAAGCCAGAGTTTGCTGACCATTGCTGTTGCTCTGGGTGATCCCATCAGGTCCCATAGTGTTAGACGCTGTTTATGATTCCCCAATTTATAACATTAGCCGCATCTCTTCTTGAACTCAGAATTTACACATCCAGCTTTCTACTCTGTATTTCTACCTAAATGTTTAAGATACAACTCAAGATTAACAGCACAAAACAGAACTCCTGACTCCCCACCCTCACCGAACTTGTTTCTCTCTTTAGTTGCTAACCCATAACCTGGGCATTCTTCTTGTCACCTTTTACTCTTATCCCACAGCTAACTCATTAGCATATTTTTTTGAAATGTACCAAAAGACAATTCCTTCTGTCCACTTCCACCCTTCTCACTTTCTGTTTCACCATCATCTTTCCCTTGATCAGTTGTAACCTCCTGATTCTTCACCCTGCTTCCACCCTTAGCCCTGTATAGTCTACTTTCCATACAGCAATCACCTTCATCCTTTTAAAATGTAAGTCAGATAATGTACAAGCTCTGCTGAAAATGCCAGTGGCTTTCCATTTCACTCAAAAAATTTTTTGAAATATGTACCATAGCATGTAAGGTCCTACTGGATCTAATACTGGGCTCCTCTCTGAATTCATTGCTTGCCACTTTTCCTTTTGATCAGTGTCCTCCTGCCATCCTGGCCTCCTTGCTGTTTCTCAGACATGCCATGTATGTTCTTTCCTCTGCACACCTGTGCTTTTTATGCCTTCAGTGCTCCTCCCTAGAGGTCTACTTGATCTCTTCCCTCACTTCATTCAGATCTGTGCTGAACTGTTACCCACCAGAGAGATCTTCCCTGACCATTCAATATCAAATATTACTCCTTCTGTTACAGTAGGTAGCTAGTCAGGCATGAGCAGGGCAGAAGAGGGCTCCCCTCCCTCAACACACACCAGGAATGACAGGCAAACATCAGGTGATGGTCAGGCAGTTGTTAACTGTTTCTCTAAAATATTAATTGGTTGCAGCCTGCACCAGGGAAAGGCAGTCTCCAAATAAACAGAAGCACCTGAAGCTGGTGATCAGCAGCTTCCCATGAGATCTCAGGAACTGGGTGAGTGGGCTCAAGCGTTTGCACTAAGAGGCAAAATGGCAGAGTTTGGTATGTGACCTCCTAGGGACATTCGACTGGTAAGGGAAGAACACCTCAAGTGAACACGCGTACAACTCCAGTAAACACGTTGCACATGGTCCCTTTCCCAAGTGCTGGGAGGCTACTGTGTGTGCAGACAGCCTGCCCCAAGGGAAGAATCAGGGGAGATGGGACACAAGATCCTGGAAGTATGCTAACATATAAAACCCCAAGTTGAAAGGTCAAACCGTGCATTTGTCTTTTCAAGTTGCCCACTTTGCCCTCTTCCAAGTGTACCTTCCTTCCCTTTGTTCCTGCTCTAAAGCCTTTTATTATAATAAACTGATTCCATCTGTAAAATTGCCTCAGCCTCTCCTTCTGCCTTCTGCCCCTCAGTTGAATTCTTTCTTCTGAGGAGGCAAGAATTGAGATTGTTGCAGAGCCATAGGGATTTGCCATTGGTAACGCTTCCATTATTCATTCTTCACTTTCCCTAATTTGTTTTCCTTTATCTTTATAGTGCTTATGATATGTGATAGAATAAACACATAATCATTGCTTCTGCACCCCAACTAGAATGTGATTTCCATAGGAACAGGGAATTGGAATTTGTATCTAGTATCTAGAACCATGCTTAGTACAGTGCATATATTCAAGAAATATTTACTGAATGAATTTAAGGAAAACTTAAAAATTAAATGGGAAAAACAAGAAACTTGAATTTTAGAAGGTCAAGTGGGTGTTCTCTATTACATCTGCTATAAAAAAAAGGAAGAGTTGGCTGTGAAGAAATGGCAATCAAGACCAAGACCTCTTTAGCAAATAACTTGTTAAAACAAGTAAGTCAGTAGAAGGTGTAGTGGGTTGAATGGTGTTCTGAGACACGAAGTTTGTGGTAGTTTCTTGCAGCAGTCCTAAGAAAAAGAATATAGATGAATTAGAAGATAAGGTAAATCTATCAGAAAGTAGAACAAAATGTCAGAGATAGAAAAAGGAGGCAAGAAGAAGTGACGTAGAGATTGAATCCAGAAAGTCCAACATTTGACTCATATGGGTTTCAGAAGGAAAGAACAGACAAAATGGAGAAGAAATTGTAAAAGGGATAATAGAAAAAAATCTAAGAATTGAAGGACCCAAGTTTTCTGACCCCCCCAGTCACATTATTATACAGCTATTGAGAGGATCCCACATGTCTTGCTGGGGGGTGGTCAGCTAACAGGCCTGCAACACTGAATGCTCGAAGACTGGAGTAATGCCTTTGAAATTCTGAGAGAAAAGAGTTTTCCTCCTAGAATTTTCTACCCAGCCAGCTGTCAATCTGGAGTGAGAACAGAGTAAAGACATTTTAGACATTTAACAACTTGAGAAATTGGCCTCACATGCAATCCTTCTTACAGAACACTTATTAGGGATATGCTTCTGCAAGACAAGTAAACCAAAAAAACGTGAATGCATGGGATCCAGAAAATGATAGATCTACACTGGAGAGCAAAGAAGCAGTCTTAGGATGCCCGGAAAGCATCCAGTTCATATTGCAGCCTGAGGATAGAGGGTTCCTGAAGGAGCTGTTTGGGTAAAGAGAGGATTCCATAATTTTGATGATATCCGTGAGGCATTGGAATAACTTATAGACGTGATTATGACAATGTAAGAAAGATAATTAGAAACACGAAGAAAAATAGAAGCTGAACCAAAAAAGGAAATTTAATTATAGCAGCATCCTCACCAAAAATAAACACATAGACAACGCTTCTCACACACCTGAGTGTAAGAATTATTTGGGATGTTTGCTAAAAATACAGATATTCATTTCTCCCTCCTTGAGATTTTGATTCACTAGATGTGGGATGGTGGTTCAGGGATCTGCATTTTAATGAGCATTCCAGGTTTTTCTTATCTAAGAGAAATTTTTGATATATATAATAGGAAATGCATAGAAAATTCAGTATGATTACAGAACATTCTATCAGCCTTGATATGAAAAAATAAATATGCAGAAGACAAAAATTAGAAGAATGAGGAAAGGGAGGTAAAAGTCAGGTTATTGATGTTAAGAAATACTGTATATTTGTATTAGTTTGTTTTCATGCAGCTGATAAAGACATACCTGAGACTGGGTGATTTACAAAAGAAAGAGGTTTATTGGACTTACAGTTCCACATGGCTGGGGAGGCCTCACAATCATGGCCGAAGGTGAAGGGCATGTATCATATGGTGGCAGACAAGAGAGCTAGTGCAGGGAAACTCCCCCGTATATAATCATCAGATCTCATGAGATTTACTCACTGTCACAAGAACAAGACTTGCCCCCATGATTCAATTATCTCCCACCAGGATTCCTCCCACAACATGTGGGAATTCAAGATGAGATTTGGGTGGGGACACAGCCAAACCATATCATTCTGCCCCTGGCCCCTCTCAAATCTCATGTCCTCACATTTCAAAACCAACATGCCTTCCCAACAGTCCCCCAAAGTCTTAACTCATTTCAACATTAACTCAGAAGTCCGCAGTCCACAGTCTCATCTGAGACAAGGCAAGTCCCTTCTACCTATGAGCCTGTAAAATCAAAAGCAAGTTAGTTACTTCTTAGATACAATGGGGGCACAGGTATTGGGTAAATAAAACATTCCAAATGGGAGAAATTGGCCAAAACAAAGGGGCTACAGGCCCCATACAAGTCCAGAATCCAGCAGAGCAGTCAAATATTAAAGCTCCAAATGATCTCCTTTGATTCCATGTGTCTCACACCCAGGTCACGCCGATGCAAGAGGTGGGTTCCTGTGGTCTTGGGCAGCTCTGCCCCTGTGGCTTTGCAGGGTATAGTCCCCCTCCTTGCTGCTTTCATGGGCTGGATTGAATGTCTGTGGCTTTTCTGGGTGCATGGTGGAAGCTATTGGTGGATCTACCATTTTGGGGTCTGGAGGACAGTGGCCCTCTTCTCACAGCTCCACTAGGCAGTGCCCCAATAGGGACTCTGTATGGGGGCCCCGACCTCATATTTCCCTTCCACAGTGCTCTAGCAGAGGTTCTCCATGAGGGCCCTGCCACTGCAGCAAACTTTTGCCTGGGCATCCAGGTGTTTTCATACACCTGAAATCTAGGCAGAGGTCCCAAACCTCAATTCTTGACTTCTGTGCACCCGCAGGCTCAACACCACTTGGAAGCTGCCAAGTCTTGGGGCTTCCACCCGCTGAAGCAAAAACCCAAGCTGTACCTTGGCCCCTTTTAGCCATGGCTGGACCACCTGGGACGCAAGGCACCAACTCCCTAGGCTGCACACAGCAGAGGGACCCTGAGCCCAGCGAAACCACCTTTTCCTACTAGGCCTCAGGGCCTGTGATGGGAAGGGCTGCCGTGAAGGCCTCTGACATGCGCTAGAGACATTTTCATCACTGTCTTGGGGACGAACATTTGGCTTCTTGTTACTTATGCAAATTTCTGCAGCTGGCTTGAATTTCTTCTCAAAAAATGGGATTTTCTTTTCTCTCACATTGTCAGGCCACAAATTTTCCAAACTTTTATGCTCTGAATGCTTTTAACAGCACCCAAGTCACCTATTGAATGCTTTGCTTCTTAGAAATTTCTTCCTCCACTAGATACCCTAAATCATCTCTCTCAAGTTCAAAGTTCCACAGATCTCTAGGGCAGGGGCATAATGCTGCCAGTCTCTTTGCTAAAACTGTCAAGAATCACCTTTGCTCCAGTTCCCAACAATTTCCTCATCTCCATCTGAGACCACATCAGCCTGGATTTCATTGTCCATATCATTATCAACATTTGGGTCAAAGCCACTTAACAAGTCTCTCGGGAGTTCCAGACTTTCCCACGTTTTCCTGTCTTCTTCAGAGCCCTCCAGACTGTTCCAAACTCTGCCTGTTATCCAGTTCCAAAGTTGCTTCCACTTTTTCAGTTATCTTTTCAGCAGCACCGCACTCTACTGGTACCAATTTACTGTATTAGTTTATTTTCATGCTGCTGATAAAGGCATACCCAAGACTGTGGAATTTACAAATGAAACAGGTTTATTGGATTTACAGTTTTACATGGGTAGGGAGGCCTCACTATCATGGCAGAAGGTGAAAGGCACGTCTCATATGGTGGCAGACGAGAGCTTGTGCAGGAACACTACCCCTTCTGTAATCATCAGATCTTGTGAGACTTACTATCATGAGAACAGCACAGGAAAGACTTACCCCTATGATTCAGTTACCTCCCACTGAGTCCCACCCACAACACGTGGGAATTCAAGATGAGATTTGGGTGGGGACACAGCCAAACCATATCAATATATTTGGTGGAATAAAAAGGTGTATTAACATTAGCCAATTAAGAACTTATGTAGAATAGATTGAACTAAACTATCTCTCAGAATTGGAATCAGTAGGTAATTTCTACAATTGATAAACAAAAACTACTAAATATGCTATTTAGAAAGATGAAGGTAACCACTAGGCCTAATACAAAGAGTTGAAAATGGGTTGCTCTCAGGAGTGGAACTAGACTGGGGAGAGGTAGAAACTATTATTTTTTCAGTCATGGACCTGCATTGCTTTGGCTTAACAACAGCAAAATAGATGTTTTAAAAAGCAAATTGGCAATAGCTTGTTTTCAACTGTTAAGAAACAAGCAGCCTGAGCTTCGGATAAGAAAGTTCTAACCTAAGATGTATCACTAATATATTCTGTGGTTCTGAGGAAGGGCTGTCTGATGTGTGCTTCAGTTCTACCACTTTTTTTTTTTTAACCTAGTGCTAGATAAGTTCTACTGTCTTTAAAAATAACGGCATGTGTTGCCACAGCGCTTGTTCCATATACCATATCCCTCTGTCTGTAGCGCATATGTACCATATAGATTATCTCATTCATTTTATAGAGGATCAGGATAGATACTACATATCTTTAAATCCACCTTTAGAGAATTTTAATACCCTTTAAATGGAACATAATAGCATATCAACATGATTGGCCCTGGAAAACTTTTAATGAGTTCTTATCCTTTTGCACTTTAGGGAAATGTTCAGTTTTCTAACAGTGCTGAGAGGATGCCTTTGTGTTTAAACTTACTAGGTGATGATGATGATGACAGTGATGTAACGTGTCTTGTCTTAGCTATGGGCGTGGATCACTGTGTAGCACTTGTCTATTCCAAAATCTAGTACAATTCCTTTTCATGTGAAACACTCTGTAAATACATATTGCTTAATGCAAGAAACTATTGAGAAAATTAAGCTTCAGAGAAATTGAGTGACTGTTGAGAAATAAACTAAAATTCTGAGCCCCTCAGTTGACTGAATGGGTCTCCTTTTGGCCAAGGGAACCCTAGAGAAACCTTGAAAACTGAGTTCTTGGCCACGACTGGAATGGGGAGGTCAACTATGCCTGCTTATACCCTTTCCCTCACTAACTGCCATTAAGTTTTCTTCCCTAAGGGCTAAATAGAAACCAGCCCTTTCGAAAGACTCCACAGATGCTGATACCAACCGAAAGTCTGACTGCTGCCCCTCCCTTTTGTGGTTTCCACAAAACAACTGACCAGCGTTCCCTCCTGATAAGAGTGGTTCTGGCGAATCTATGGAGAATGTGCAGTGAGGGTTTTCATGTTTTCCACTTCACCTTTCGACATCAGAGAGCTGAAAACTCCACCCTCAGATCATGCTAACACCACCGTTTTTTGAACATGGGTCCCGTGGAGAAGCATGAAGCTCAACTGAGCATGCTTGCAGGTTGCAGCCCTTTATGAGAAATAAAGCTCTGCTTTCCAAATTTATGAGCCTCATCATTCAGTTGCCATTTTTATGAAGCTGAGTAACTAGAAGTCAGGTTTTTGGCCTTTCTAGTCATTGCTCCTGTGCAAATTTATAGATATATTGCCCATTAAAGCATTATTATTATCTGAGATCTAAGGCCATATTTGTTTTCTAGAAGTAGTTATATTTTTACTCTTTTTCTTCACTATTACATTTTTATTTATTAATACTATTTCATGAAATAGCTTCTAGTAGGTATGGTTATGTAAGTTAGTAAATACAGACCATTCACTCATTTGTAATCTTTTTACCTTCCAAATGACAATTAGAAAACTATATATATATGTGATCTTACATCTTAATAAGTATTGGGCTTGTCCACAGTTAACAAGAGCATTGGATCTTTGGGGAAATTTAACACCAAATCAGTGTCCTAGATTTATTTACTCTTAATTACAAAGGCAGCCTGGCTTTTCTGTCAAGTTTCTTTTACCCCCATGATAACAAACTTCCCTTGTTTGTGTAACTTCCTGGATTCTTAGAGCTGAAATTATTGTTCATTTCTATCACAATGATAGGTCCCAAATGAACGTTGAAGTAATCTGTTAAAGGATTGTATTTTTTTTCTTTTCAGAATTCTACCTTTTTTACTTTAGTGACTTGAAGAGAGGACAATCACAGATTGATGATTGTTCTTGGAATAAGAGCTTCCATTTATACATTACAGTTGTCCCTCTGTATTTGCAGGGGATTGGTTCCAGAACCCCTTGGATACCAAAATTTGCAGATGTTCCAGTCCCTGATGTAAAATGGCGTAGTATTTACATATGACCTATGCACTCCTCCTATTTTTTTTTCCCTTATGGGTGGGGGAGGGTGGAAAGAAACCAAGAGAAAGGAACCCTCTTGTCTACTTTTAATCCTCTTTGAATTACTTACAATATCTGATGCCTTGTAATGCCATGTAAATAGTTGTTATACTGTATTGTTTTATTTGTATTATGTTTATTGTTGCATTTTTATTTTTTAAAGATTTGCAGAATATTTTCGATCTGCGATTGTTTGAATCTGCAGATGCAGAGGGCTTACTGTGTATGTCTTCTTAACCTCCTCCTAGTTGTCTTTCAGCTCCATATTTACTTATTTTTAAAATTACCTACAGTAAAATTTACTTTTTTTGTGGACACTTCTGAGTTTTGACAGAAAGTAGATTTGTGTAAACAGCATCACAAAGTACAGAACAGGTCTGTCCCTCCCCAAAAAATTTTTTGTGGCCCCCTTTAGGGTCAACCCTACTCTCTTACCATCAGCCCCTGGCAACCAACCAGTGACTGCACTTTATCCTATAGTTTTGCCTTTTCCAGTATGTTATGTAAATGGAACTGAGTTGAGCTTCTTTCGCTTGATACAGTGTATTTAGATGCATCCATTTTATTGTGTGTATCAATAGTGCATTCCTTTTTATTGTGGAATAATTAATAAACATTGATTAAAAGACCACTATATGAGTATAACATAGTTTTTCTCCATTTACCAGTTGTACATTTGCATTGTTTACAGTTTTTGGTGATTCCGAATAAAGCTGCTGTAAACATATAGAGATTTTTGGGTGAACATGTTTTTATTTCTCAGTTAAATACTTAGTGGGATTTCTGGGTCACATGCTAATTGTATGTTTAACTTTACAAGAAACAGCCAAACTGTTTTCCAGAGCAAGTGCACCATTTTCAGTTCCCATCACCATATTTTATTTTAATTGAAAACATGTAAATGTGGCCCACTTTAGTATCTATTACATTTAGAAAAGTAAATAATCATGTAAAAAATTGGTAATTTTGTTTTTTGTGTTCTTGTGTTACTCATAGATAACTTTGAAAATCGGGCAGAGAATTTGAAATCTGATGTAATATATGAAAGAGAAGTTTTTTTTAAGTGCATCCCTTTACTGATGAAAAGAGCTTTATAGACCATAGCCAAAGTTTTATGTACTTGCCATTTGTGTGCTCTTTCTCATTTTTATCCTTACGTTGTGCACACATCCTTCAGGAATTACCTTGTTGCTAGGGTGGGGAAATAAAAATTATGTTAACAGTTTAAAGGGAAAAATAAAATAGTAATAGAGACATTTATCTAACAGATATTTGCTCAGCAAGTATATATTGGATGCCTATTAAGTGCTAGGTACTTTCCCAGATGCTAGAGATCCAGTAGAAAGCATAACAGAACAAACAAAAATGAACAACTACAAAAACTCCAGAACTTAATTCTAGTGATAAGTGCTAAGGTAAAGCACAAAGCATGGTAGGGGGAAATAAAATATTGGTGGGAATTAACAATTTCATTGTTAAGTTACATGCCTTTTTTTTTTTTTTTTTTTTTTTTTTTGGAGGTGGAGTCTTGTGTCGCCAGGCTGGAGTGCAGTGGTGCGATTTCGGCTCACCGCAACCTCCGCCTCCTGGGTTGAAGCTATTCTCCTGCCTCAGCTTCCTGAGTAGCTGAGATTACAGGCATGCACCACCACGCCCAGCTAATTTTTGTATTTTTAGTACAGACGGGGTTTTGCCATGTTGGTCAGGTTGGTCTCAAACTCCTGACCTCAGGTGATCCTCCCGCCTCAGCCTCCCAAAATGCTGGAATTAGCGTGAGCCATCGTGCCCGGCCATGCCTCTGTTTTTGTTGGGCAGAATCCAGGGCTTATTTGTTGTTGTTGTTGTTTAATAAACTTCATTTTGGAATAATTTTAGATTGGGTTAAGCTGCAAAGTTAGTACAGGATTCCAGCATACTCCGCACCCCAGTTTTTCCCTAATTTTATCATCTTAACATCATTTACCATTGCCATTGTACATTTTTCAAAACTAAGAAACTAACATTGGCACATGCCCTTAACTAAACTCCAGATTTTATTTGGATTTCACTAGTTTTTCCACTAATGTCATTTTTCTGTTCCAGGATCTAGTTCAGCATACCAGACTGCATTTAGTCATCATATTTCCTTACTGTCTAACAATCTGTTACGGTTTCTCAATCTTGGATTTGTTTCTTCTCTCTCATTTATTTTATCATTTGTTTGTATTAGTGTGGATTCATGTATATTTGTTTTATATTTTGTTGCTCAAATTGTTCCAGCTTTGGCCTTTGGGGACTCTTTCAGATTGGTTCACATTTCCCTTTACCATACCTCCAGTCTTCTGATGTTTGAGCACTTGGTTGCCTTCTGACCCTACAAGATGCTCCAGGCTCATCTTGGGTATTCTTTGCTCCAGCATTAGAATCAAGCCTTTCTCCAAGGAGGCCTAGTTCCTTTTATTGGAGAATGGCATTTTGAAACCAAAATCTGGGCCAGGTGCAGTGGCTCACACCTGTAATCCCTATACTTCGGGAGGCCCAAAGTAGGTGGATTGTTTGAGCTCAGGAGTTCGAGACAAGCCTGGGCAACATAGCAAGACCCTGTCTGTACAAAAAACTTTAAACTTAGCTGGGTGTGGTGGTGCATGCCTGTAGTCCCAGCTACTCTGGAGGCTTGAGGCTTGAGACCAGGAGATTGAGGCTGCAGTGAGCCATGATCATGCCACTGCATTCCAGACCCTGTCTCAAAAAAAAAGAAGAAAGAAACCAAGATGTGGTTGCTGGTGTGCTCATTGCTATTGGGATTTAGCCAGTCTTTGTTTTATTTTGTTAAATATTCTTGAAATCTAAATTTGAAAATTATGCCAAACAGGTAGCAGGTCAGAAGTAAAACAGCCTGATTTAGGAAATTACAAAGTGAAAATTTTGTAGGGCTCTATTAAGCTTAGCTTTTGGAAACAGATGTATTCCAGTAAAAGTGCATTGTATTTATTTACAAGGCATTGTGTTTATTTAAATATTGAAAGTATTTAAAATACACATTTTGGTATACAACTTTTAAGGTAAGATAGTTTCTGTTATTGAAGTTTGTTTTTGTTCTAAGCTTACCTTAGTATTAGCATCCTTACCACATTGAATGGAAACAATATTTCTTTTCTTTTAATTGAATAGGAACTTTGGACTTTTCTTCCCATGGATAGTAGGTAGAAATTGGGAATACTATTGTTAAGTTTCCCCAAGGGAAATTGACATCAGTTTTAATAGAATTCACTTAGTAATGAGTTTCTTTTTCAAAAGTGATGTTTTTTTTTTTAATATGTATTTTGGGTTTTAGTCTATTGTAGATATTTTCTGCTTTGGATATTTTAAGCCACAGGGATAAGTAAATTATTTCAGCAACCCAAATATGGTTTAGCCGGTATATATTTCTTTTCGGTCCTTAGATGGTGGCAAGTTTTAAAAGTTGAATTAACTTTAAGTTGGGAGTTAAAGTTAGCTTTGTAAAAAATGCGTAAGTTTAAAAGTGGATAAGGATGTTTATTATTGCTGTATAGAACAATGTGTCTATTGCTTTAATTCTGTTTTGTTTTGTTTGTTTGTGTCTTTGCAGAGAATGTAACTGGTCACTACATTTCCCCCTTTCATGATATTCCTCTGAAGGTGAACTCTAAAGAGGTATTGTTTTGACTTGTTTTGGGAATGAAAACGTGTACTGCCAGTATCACCATTAGATGCTTTTTGGAAGCACCTTGAAAGGAAAAAGTGTTGTTGGAAGTCAGGAGGACAAACAGGAGTTACTATAACAGGGTCATAAGCCTCCTATATGAATTAAAAGTTGTATGAGAATAGGATTCTTCCATGAGGAATTGGGAGAAAGGGGTGTTACTGGTACATAAAACTTAGAATTCGGTAGGAAATAAAGATTTAAGGGTAGTAATTTAGGAAATTACCAAGAGGTTTATTTACAATAATCAGCTAACGTTTGTGGATTATTTTTTATTTGCTAGCCACTATGTGAACATGATGTTATTTAATTGTTATGAGTTGCTATTTTTCTTTCCAAGGACACTGAGGCTCAAGGCATTTTTATAGACTTGTCTAAGATCTGGTAAGTGCCAGAGCTAGTTTTGGAATTAGCTTCTGACCACAAAGCTTATGCTCTTTAACCACTCTATGAAACAGGTGTTAGAGAAATAAAGCAGGGGTAAAAATGGTGGTGTTTGAATAGCTGTTCTCTTAGAACTGAAAATCACTTGACAGTTGTCAGGGTGTGAAAGATGCCAGGAGAACTGATGCTATCAAATCAAAATTGTTGGGGTGTTTCGAGATCTCTCATGATTAGTTGGTAATATGGCATATTTGGTAGTATTCATGATCATCATTAAGTTGTAGGTTATTTCCTTAAAATCCAAGTAGTGAATTACCAAATTTTTAAGGGGGTACAACTATTAAGTAAATAACCAGGACCACATTCCATGTTGAAATTATATGTAACTCGTTAATTTGGGGTTGGGTTTTCTAGGATGTGGGGTGATCAATATAGGGGCAGAGGCCACTGAAGAACTGAGGAGGCTACTTCAGATGCAAGGGTTGTTTGACCCTGGTGTTACCTCAGAGGCTGAATATTATGCATCATAGTGAGGTTATGGGATGTGAAGTAGGATTTGTGCTGCTTCCCAGCTCTTCAGAATAAGGAACTGGCAGTAGAATAATATCAATAATTTATCAAGTGCTTGTGGTACTTAGCCAGCACTGTGTTCCCTGCTTGATATGGTTTATCTCAATCCTTCTGGCTTTACATTTAGTACCCTTATTTTGTTAACGAGGCTAAGTACCTTGTCCATCATCACAAATCTCGTGTGTTTTGGAGGTGGGATTGGATTTAGGTGCTCTAACTCCAGAGTTTGTACTCCTCACTTCTCTTGTGTAATGCCTCCAGCTCATTACTTTTAAGTGTGCAGCTCCAGGACAATAGAAGGAAACCAGAGGCAAAAGGAACTCTATGTTACTGTGTGTGTCCATGCGAGTGTGTGAAAGTGCGTGTGTATATGTGTTCCTGTGTTTTGTTTTGGCCACTGAACTTTCAAACCTAAATATCTCATGTCTCCCAACACTTTTCTTTGCTTTTGGCTAAAAGTGCATGCATTCACTTATTCATTAATTTATTCATTCAATCAATAGTCATTGAATGCTTATTATGAGCCAGGCACTGTTCTAGGCACTGTGGGTGTAGTAGTGAATAAGATAGGTATAGTCCACTCAATTGGAGGAGTCAACCATAAAACAAGTCAGTCAGATAATGTTAAGTGCTATAAAAATACAACAGGGAAAGGAAAGATAAAATGTGACTGGTGGGTAGTGTTGTCAGGGGTATGCTATAGCAAAATCTGTATACCTCATCATAACAACAATAATAATAAAGCTGTATTTTTGAGAGTCGTGTAGTAGATAGAGGTAGAGGTGGAAAAGAGTAAGCTAGAAACATGTCAGTGAGAATAACATTTTGTCTAAGGAGGATGGGTTTTGGGAAATGTGAAATTAGAGATTAGGCAAAATTGATGATAGGGCCAGCAAATACAACAGGATATGCCAGTGAATTCTGGAGATATGGAAATGGATACGCATGGTGGTTGTGTAAATAGGTTTCCCTAGATCTCAGCCAGTAATGATTAAAACTCGTGCTTTGTACTTTGGGATGTGGTATATTAAGAATAAAAATAATGGCTGGGTGCGGTGGCTCTTGCCTGTAATCCCAGCACTTTGGGAGGCCAAGGCAGGCGGATCATGAGGTCAGGAGATCAAGACCATCCTGGCTAACACGGTTGAAACCCTGTCTCTACTAAAAATACAAAAAAAAATTAGCCAGGCCTGGTAGCGGGCGCCTGTAGTCCCAGCTACTCGGGAGGCTGAGGCAGGAGAATGGCGTGAACCCAGGAGGCAGAGCTTGCAGTGAGCCAAGATTGCGCCACTGCACTCCACCAGCCTGGGCGACAGAGCGAGACTCTGTCTCAAAAACAACAACAACAACAACAACAACAACAACAACAACAACAGCAGCAGCAAAAACAAAAATAATGTTTCAGAGCTGATTTGGAAAAATGATTTTGTTTGTTTTGTTTTCTTCATTAGTAGTCATTTTGGTGTATAAACGTTACATATGCTGGTTGAGCATTTGTGAATGGCATAATTTTTCTTCCCAACCCACCACGAAGTCAGTTTTAATTTAAAAGTGCTTGGTTTAATGGGAAAAGAAAAAAGAAAAAAAGTGCTTGGTGGAGGCCTAGTAATCACACCTTGGTAGAATTCACAGGCAGGAGGTGCAGCTGAGTACTTTCACAGCTTGTTAGTCATGCTCCCTGGAGCTTCATTTCAATAATGAAATGACTGTTTTAAGCATAATCACTGGAAACTACCAGTCTTTTCTTAAAGACTGAACAGAGCCTTTGCTTACTTTATAAAAACTGGGAAAATATACGTGAAAGAGGTTTGGCTTTTCTGATCATTTATTTTATGAAACACTTTGATGCTCTATTCTGGGGATACAAATGCTCAGGGGAGAACGAAGTGGGCATTTGGTAGGTTCTCTGTTGACTCAGATTTCTGGACAGTCTTTGTGTAGAATGTCTATACAATAGTCATATTTTTATTGCTATGCAGTGCCACTGTATACTTTCATGAAATATTGCAGTCTTTCACCATCTTTTCTTTTATAGGAAAATGGCATTCCTATGAAGAAAGCACGAAATGATGAATATGAGGTATATCCAAAGGTTTTTATTTTTGTGAATCACTTTTATATTGTCTGTTAAATACCTTGATGATAGTTTGCATTTGTAAAATGATTCTAAGGTTTTTACCCCTGCAAGACTTTCATGTGCATTCCGATGTTTTTCTTTAAGGCAGCTAGGGCAGCTATTGCCATTTAACTTTTTTTATTGTGGTAAAATATTCATAACATAAGGTTTACCATTTTAACTTTTTTAAAGTACAATTTAGTGGCATTAAGTTCTTTCACATTGTTGTGGAATCCTCATCACCATCCATCTCCAGAACTTTTTCACCATCCCAAGCTGAAACTCTACACGTTGAGCAACTTCTCATTTCCTCCCTCCCCCGAGGCCCTGGGAAGCACTATTCTACTTTCTGTCTTATGAATTTGACTGTTGCAGGTATTTCATTTCCACTTCATTTTACAATGGGAAAACCTGAGAGAATTAGCACAGGAACCCAGATTTTAATAATAAGTTAATTATCTTGGTAGATGGTCTAAAGTAAATGTACTTCATTATAAATGAAATATTTCACTTTAAATTATAAGAGAGAAGATGGTTTGAGAGGCTGTTTTAGAACCCAGGAACAATAATCTTTTGGGAGTAGAGGAGAAGAAAAACACTTATACCAACCGTATGCTAAAATGAATATATTCTAAATATATATATTCTAAATGTATGCTAAAATGAATATATTCTAAATATATATATTCTAAATATATCTAAACAAATATATGTGGCTGTCAAACCTTTAATAGTTCTTGACTTAGGACCAGAACATTTGATTGATGTCTGTCATTCCATCTCCTGCTACAAGTGTCCTTTTATCCCTCTGATTCTGATGCCAGGCAGCTTTTCCTGCTGCTTTCCTGTCTCCTTTTACCTTTCCAGCTTCATTTCCATTTATTCTCTACCCCAACTGAAACTTACAGCTCCAGCATTTGAATCTACTTCCAAACATACCTGTGGGGGCCTTTAAATTCCTACAACCTTTGCCTGCTATCTGTCTTCTATTTTTCTAAGCTGGTGTGATTCTTGAACCATCTACACTGGAACCACTTAGAGTGCTTGTTAAAAATTCAGATTCCGTGCCCCATCTCCTATTTACTAAGTCAGATTCTCCGCTGGATAGGGCCTGGTTAATCTAGGTATTTCACAAGTATTCTAGGTGCATCCTAAACGTGAAGTTTGAGAACCACTGCCCTAGATGTTGAGTGAACAAGGGTTTCCAGATCCCCAGGGGACTTAGTGTATTAACCTGAAACAGTTATTTCAGGTTAATGAAATACATTAGTGGGAAAAACATATTCTGAGCCCAGACATTCAAATTAAAATTTAATTCTTAGAACACAGTTTTTATGTTAGAGACTGTCTGATTTGAGTTTATTTGAAATTTTCAGGATTAGAGAGGAAAGAAGAGTGATTTCTTCCTGTCTTTTCCCCATGTATATAAAATGTACTGACTGCTTTTTCATACATCTTATTAGTTTTTCTATTTTGACTTCTGCAACAAAAATACAAGGAAAAAAATGGAGAGAAAGAAAAGGACTGAAGGAGTAGTTCACAGTCCTTGCCACATACACAACTTTCTGGTTTGACTTGTGCTCCTTTTATCTTTTTTATTTTCAGATAAAATTTGGCAGACCATTGTTGGTTTATAATTAACATTAATCTTAGGAAAACCAGGCTAACATTGGCTTTAAAAAATTAATTACAGGACAAATGCATCTTAGCTGGAGAGAAGAAAGGCAGGTTGGAAATAAGCTCTTAGTGATTACGAGCAAATGAAGAGGGAGAATGTGGTTTGCAGGCTTAAAATTCAAACCTCATTTATTGTTCATTTGGCCTAATTCAAGTATCTGTGAGTGGTTTTGGTAGGTGTTATTGTGTAAAACGATTGTCACCAGCTTGGTCTTCTTGGTCACCTCTGAGTATTCATCTGCAAGCATTTGTTCCCGTATAGCCAGGCTTTCAGGGATGAATAAATTATGTGGACATCTGCCATTTACTTTGGTTTTTCTTTTTAACAGCTACTTCAGACATATTTAAACAGGTGCAGGGGTACCTCATGAAAGAGCATAGAAAATGAAACATAACAGCAGGACTGTATGTAAGGTTGCTAAGATAGGTATGAGACATACTTCTAAGGAGCAGCTATTGAGAATTTATTCTCAGCTTTGTTGTTTATCTCATTATGGGCTTGCAGCTTTGCCATTTGTAACCTTTAGTCTTATGTAGAAAAACTTAATATAAATCATCATTACTTTTATGGCTCAATATCTATCTACATTTAATTGTGTAAATAGCATTCTTTGAAATAACAGCATTCCATGTTACACTAGAAAACCTCTGTGATACTCTTCAGCAATGCTTTAGTCCAGCTTTGGCTGCATATTAAAATTGCTTGGAGAGCCTATAAAAATAAGCAGTGCCCTGGCTCCACCCAGAGCAATTTAATTCAGATAGATGAGAGACGGGGCTCTGGGAAACTTTCTTTTTTTTAATTGGTTGAAGCTGGTGAGGTGGTATTGATGTGTGGCATGATCGAAAATAAGTATGTTAAATCACTTCTCAAATGATTTGGGATGAAAGACTAGTTTTTTGGCTGGTTTATTTCTAATTGGTTGTAAACAGATACTTAAAAAAAATGCAATCAACATGAATCGTTAGAAAAGTGTTGGCAGGGCGCGGTGGCTCACGCCTGTAATCCCAGCACTTTGGGAGGCCGAGGTGGGCGGATCACGAGGTCAGGAGATCGAGACCATCCTGGCTAACACAGTGAAACCCTGTCTCTACTAAAAATACAAAAAATTAGCCGGAAGTGGTGGCGGGTGCCTGTAGTCCCAGCTACTCGGGAGGCCGAGGCAGGAGAATGGCGTGAACCCGGGAGGCGGATCTTGCAGTGAGCCGAGATTGCGCCACTGCGCTCCAGCCTGGGCGACAAAGCGAGACTCCGTCTCAAAAAAAAAAAAAAAAAAAAAAAAGAATTCCAGACCAGCCTGGCCAGCATAGTGAAACCCTGTCTCTACTAAGAATACAAAAATTAGCAGGCGTGCTGGCGGGCACCTGTAATCCCAGCTGCTCGGGAGGCTGAGGCAGGAGAATTGCTTGAACCCAGGAGGTGGAGGTTGCAGTGAGCCGAGATCATGCTGCTGCACTCCAGCCTGGGTGACAGAGTAAGACTCCGTCTTGGGAGAAAAAAAAAAAAAAGGAAAGTGTAATTCAGATTCCAATTTTTTATTATTAGATTTAACAGATATAAAAATTGCTCTTTTAAATTGCTACAAATGTTTGTAAATGAGCCAGTAACAATCGGTTTGCAGACTGGCCCTGGTCTTTGGCTACACTTGGAGTACAGTGTTTTAAACCATCGTTGTTTCCTTGATAAATTGTTAGTTATTGATGTCAAAATGTGTGCAAATCAACTTTAACCTTAAGACTTTCTCTTTGTAAGGCAAACTGTAGGGAATTATTTTTACTCATCATTGACCTAGGGTCTCCTTTGGTTTATGCATTCTACAAAGTTCAGAAATTAAAAAAAAAAAGTGAAGCCATAGTGAGTTTGTAACTTTAGGGAGTCTGAACTCACCAGATATGCAAGCTAAGTCTGGAATATTTAGTGTAGCTCTTTGTGAACTCTGTAATAGCTGTACTTACATCCTGAATTTTACACTGTGATTGTAACTTGGATTTAATTATTATTTTATCATTTTAAAATATATTTTACTTCATAATTTTCTGTATATTGTCATTGATCTTTGTAACAACCTCATGTGGTGAGTGGGACAGAGATGATCACACTTACTTTACAGATTGGAAAAGTGAGACTGAATCCTTACATGAGGGACTGGTTCTCTCACTTCTATTTTAGTTGGAAAATAAAAATTGAAACACATTTCTTGACTCCATTCTAGTTTTGTCACTACTCATCAAAGATATTCTCAGACTCGTAACCTCTGACACTGTGTGTAAGTGCTCAAGTGACATGGTGGCCTAAATTTGGCTGTGTTTTAGACAACTCTAATTTCTAGAAAAAATTTAAGGCATAGGTAGATGTATGATGGAGACTCAACATTTTTTTTGTCGGGGGAAAACATCTAAGGTATTCTTATAAGGGAGGTAACGGAAAAAATAAAAGGTAAAATTTTTAATGTTCTCTCTTTGTTTTGTTTTTAACTGCAGAATCTGTTTAATATGATTGTAGAAATACCTCGGTGGACAAATGCTAAAATGGAGGTACCGATATACTTTATTAATATGAAACCGAAATGATTATAATGATATAAAACTTTGTTGCAAGTTGTTTGGCATAATATTTTAAATTTTTTTTTTTTTTTTTTTTTTTTTTTTTTTTTTTTTTTTTTTTTTTGAGACGGAGTCTCGCTCTGTCGCCCAGGCTGGAGTGCAGTGGCGGGATCTCGGCTCACTGCAAGCTCCGCCTCCCGGGTTCACGCCATTCTCCTGCCTCAGCCTCCCAAGTAGCTAGGACTACAGGCGCCCGCCACTACGCCCGGCTATTTTTTGTAGTTTTAGTAGAGACGGGGTTTCACCGTTTTAGCCGGGATGGTCTCGATCTCCTGACCTCGTGATCCGCCCGCCTCGGCCTCCCAAAGTGCTGGGATTACAGGCGTGAGCCACCGCGCCCGGCCAATATTTTAAATTTGAGATAGTTCAGAAAAATACTCAAAGCTAAGTATATACGTTATAGTTTTATAGAGAGTTTTTTTTTCAATTTTGCCTGTCAGTTTGTTATATACATATTAATTTTCTTTTTTTCTCCTTTGAAAATGGCAAATACTTTTAAAGGTTGTTTAAGTAGATTCTGAGATATATTTGGTTCATAGATGGAACTGAAACTTTTATTTGGGGCTGATGGCAATTTTAATTTATTAGGACTCAATTCTCCTTTAGATTTTATTCTACCAGGAAATAAATCATTTCCTGGTTAACTCAATTTATGACTATCACAGAGCATCTGCTATTTTTCTGGTTAGCTTTTTTTTTTTTTTTAAATTTTTCCGGGAAATGAACCTATAAGAACTTCCTTTTTGCTATTCAGAATTTTCTTGTTCTTTCTTCAGTTAGCTATAGAAGCTTATATATAAGCTTCCTTATAGTTCTAAGTGAAATTTAATTTACGTTACTTTGTTTAGTTATATAAACCTTCTATAACTTTGGGTGTGATAGCAAATATTATTTTAAGTATTTAAATTAGGCATTATTATGTAGGTGTATATTTTTCAGAATTTATATTTGGAAGAGAATTGTCAGTACTATCACCAGGTCCTGGCAGTATTTTTTGTTAACACTTTAGTAGGAAAAGGTAAAGATATTAGATTATTCTTTTGGTGTTGTTTCATGTATAATGTTTCATCATTCTTGCTAGTCTACCTCAGTTAGGTGGAGGATGCAAGGATCTATGAGAATCTACCTAACTTAAGCAGTGTTTCTTCATTCAACATGGCTTATTTTTTTGTTTCCTATATACATAGGTTTTAAAGATAGCAATGTGAATATACATGATAGAAAACTAACTTTGAGGCCGAGTGCAGTGGCTAACACCTGTAATCCCAGCCCATTGAGAAACCAAGGCGGGCAGATCACTTGAGGCCAGGAGTTTGAGACCAGCCTGGCCAACATGGCAAAACCCCATCTCTACTAAATATACAAAAATTAGCTGGGCACAAATTTTTGCATGGTGGTGCATGTCTGTAATCCCAGCTATTTAGGAGACTGAGGCATGAGATTTGCTTGCTTCCAGGAGGCAGAGGTTGCAGTGAGCTGAGATCACACCACTGCACTCCAGCCTGGGTGACAGAATGAAACTCTGTCTCAAAAAAAAAAAAAAAGAAAAAAGAAAACTAACTTTGAAATAAAATCAGTTGGTGAGAATCTCTTTTTTGGTGATTTTTTAACTTTATTGTATATTGACAAGTTATAATCGTATATATTTATAGGGTACAAAGTGACATTATGACTTATGAATACAGTATGGAATAACTTAAGCTAAATAATATATCTGTCACATCAAATACTTACCATTTTTTGTGGTGAGAACATTTGAAATTTACTCTTAGCAATTTTGAAATGTACGTTATTAACTATACTCATCAAGTTGTGTTGTCTCAACAATAAAACATCTTATTCTTCATGTCTGAGATTTTGTATCCTTTGACTATCATTTCCCTATTCCCCCTACCCTTAGCCTCTGTAACTATAATTCCACTCTCTGCTTTTATGAGTTCAATTTTTTAGATTCCACATATAGGTGAGAACATGAGATATTTGTCTTTCTGTGCCTGGCTTATTTCACTTGCCATAATGTTCTCCAGTTTCATCCATGTTGCCACAAATGACAGAATGTTCTGCTTTTTTTAAGGCCAAGTGCTATTTTATTATGTATATATACCACATTTTCTTTATCCATTAATCTGTTGATGGACACTTAGGTTGATTATATATTATTTCCAATGTTTTTTGATGGAGTCTCTAGAGTTGTCTATATATAAGATCATATCATCAGCAAACAGTGACAGTTTCACTTCTTTCTTTCCTACTTTGGATGCCTTTTACTGTTTTCTCTTGCCTAATTGCTCTGGCTAGGATGTCCAATACTATGTTGAATAAAAGTGGCAAAAGTGGGCATCCTTTTCTTTTTCCAAATCTTAGAGGAAAGGCTTTCAGCATTTCACTATTGAATATATGGTAGGAATCTTTGAGTTAGTTTTATTATCATAATATTGATGATAATAAAGCCTGAGATTAGTAACAAAAGGCAAGTTGATTAATCTTTATCCTCTTGCCATCTCAATCATTTTATTATTTGTGTTAGAAATAATGGAGTACATAAATAATAGAGTGACTAAATATATGATCTGGTGTTTCCTTTCCAAACAATTTTTCTCATATAGTGCTATAAATTAGTAATAAGAGCTGGCTTAATTTCTTTTAAAGCATCTTTGATCATTAAGTTGAAATATGAATGTTTAGTCTGAAAATAGCAGATTTTTAAAAGTACTATTTGGACATAGAATTAATTATTTCTTATCCCATCTCCTTTTCTTCCTTCTGTGATTTGCTTAGATTGCCACCAAGGAGCCAATGAATCCCATTAAACAATATGTAAAGGATGGAAAGCTACGCTATGTGGCGAATATCTTCCCTTACAAGGGTTATATATGGAATTATGGTACCCTCCCTCAGGTAACATTTTTGTTACAATGGTAAAATGTTCCTGTCTTCTGAAAAAATTGCCTTATAAATCCTGTGAACTACTGAATTTAAATTGGTTCTGAGGACATGTCATTTGGAGAGGTTTGTAAATTTGGAATTTATTAACGTGGATGGAGTTTTAGTATATCAATAAATTTTGTTTTAAACCATATATATGTCTATACTCAAGTTCTTGGAGTCAGGCATATGGAATGTTCACATTTGACATTTTGAATACATTTTTTTTTTTCTGGTCTTGCCTATTAAGTGTCAGTGAAAAACTTTTAAGCGAGGCTTTATCTACAGTCATTCCTTTGAACATGACAAGTTATGCTTTTATACACATTCATATATGATAGCACAAATTTTATATTTTAAACTTTAACAGATGAATGTGTTAAATTATTAACTTTTTCCTGGAACTCATTGTAAATTGAATTGCACAACTTATTTACTGTTATGAGTTAATAATTTTTAAGTAGAAAGCAGAGAAAACAAGAGCTAAATAATGATAAGGTAGCATTCCTGTTGGAGAATAACAACTATTTGCTTTTCTTCCTTTCTTTACCTCTTTTGGTTTTCTCTCATGTTTCCTCATTCCCAGGAAGAGGTAACTCTTCCAGATTATTTAGTGAGTAAAACTCAGAATATGCTGAATCAAAATTCTAGGTTTTGGGGACACAGAGAACCATCTGCCTTTATGTTTATAAAAACCATAGACCATCTGTCTGGAAATTTAATTTTTATATTTTTATTTATTTTAATATTTTGCATGAAATTTCAAGATGGTATTGGGGAAATATCTGAGAAGAGAGGTCTTGTTTTATCCAACATGAAAAAGCAGCTGCCCGTGTAGAATAAACATTCACAGGAAAATTTAAAAAAAAATTGTTTTCTAAAGAGTCAGGCTGTCTCTGATTCAGTTAGATCACCCACATGGATACATTCTTGGTTAAAATGGGCACTTCTAAAGTGATATGCTAAGAATGAGAATGCCTGTGGAAACCATGAAAGCAGGTTTTCTAACTCTCCAGGTACTTAAATAGGTATGCTGTTTGACCCAACAGCAAAAGGTTGAAAAAGTTCTGTAAAGCTTAGGGGATGCAGCCTGTAGGAAATGTGTGGATGAGGGTAATGCTGAAGAAGCCAATGAATTAGAGACAGACAAAAACAGAGACGTAAGTAGAGGAGCTAGAGAATAAACTAAGGTGCATGTATTTATTTCTTTAAACATTTATTAAGGATTTATGTGCTAGGCAGGATATTAGGTGTTGGGTATATAAAGACAGATGGGATATAGATGTGACATCAAGGCCTCATAATAAGTGACTGGAAAATGTGGGTTTGGGAGTGAGATTGTCACTTTCTAGTAATGTGACCTTGGGCCTTGGGAAAGATACTTTTCCTCATTTTCTTCATCTGTAAAATGGAGAACATAAAATATCTACTTCTTATCTTTGTGTTGAGATTAAATGAGTTACTGCATTTGAATAGTGTGTAACATGTAGTAATCAATTATTGTTATAATTAAGACTGGTACTTTTATTATCGTATGGTTCTTTCCCTAAAGTTGTTTTTAGTCTGATTGGGGCAATCAAGAACTAAACTGCTGGTTATGATGTGGTATAATAGGCACTACTAATTCATCTACTAATTTAAAATTATGAAAAAAATAAAAAAGCAAACCTATTGACAGGAAAGAGAGAAGGGGAGGAACGGAGGTAAAAACAAAAGAAGCTTCTGTAGTTTTCCATTTAAAGTCCTGCCAAACTTCTGTGCTCCTCTGGATGTGTCTGGATTTCCAGATGTTCTGCAGTGGTATTAATCTGGCAGGTACGGTAGTTCTTCTACTAATAAAACAGAATTAGACTGTGGTAGTCCCTTAATTCATTATTCACCCTGCATTCACCATTGCCTACCTAAGTTTCATACTCCATCCAATATCCAAATTGATATTTTTAAAACACAAATTTGCAGATGCTTTTCTTGTACAAGAACACCTTAATGGTCTCCTGTTGCTTAAAAGATAAAATACAAAATTCTTAACATTGCTACTCAACCCTGTGTGATCTGGCCTCCGCTTACTTCTCTATCCTCATTTTGCAGCATTCCCCCTTTCTCACGTCTATCCACCACAAAGTCTTCTTCAGTGTTTCTAACTTACCTCATTGTGTCCTCACCAGGCCTTCACCAAACTGTTCATTCATTCAGTACATATTTATTAAAGGCCTGTATATTTGCAAGGTGTTCTTGTAAGTACTGCAGGTAAAGCAGTGATAAAAAGTGACAGATATTTCTCTGGAGCTTTTATTTTAGTCAGATAAACAGACAATAAACAAAATAAACCCCAAGTAAAATGTCAGGTGGTGGTAAGTATGTCAAAGAAAAGTTAAGCAGGGAATGGGACTAGGGGATATTAGGATTGTTGCAATTTAGACAGGGAGACGATCTCAGTGAAAAGGTGTTATTTGAGTAAAGATCTAAAGGAAGTGAGGGAACAAGTAGTGTGGACATCTAGAGGAAGAGCAGTCCAACAAGAAACAGCAAGTATAAAGGTCCTGAGGTGGAAATAGGCCTAGCATGTGTGAGTATCAAAAAGGAAGCCAGTGTGGCTAGAATGGAAGTGAAAGAGGAAATAGACCTGCATTCTGTCTGCCATTTTCAATTAGAGATCTGTACTACTTTTTTAAACCTGACTGATCTTGGAGAGAGAGAGAGAAAAAGAGAGAGAGAGTCTGTGTGTGTGTGTGTGTGTGTGTGTGTGTGTGTGTGTGTGTGTGTGAATACACCATAAATTGCATATAAGTTAGTTATTTATCAAAGAAAATAACTAAATTGAATGATGTTTTTAAGAATGCTGAAATCATGCCAATTGCTTATGGGATAGCTTATGGAATAGCTCTACCTGATTTTTTTTTTTTTTTTTTTTCTGCTTGATGGTTGATGTTCAGACATGACCCTGTTAAAATGAAAGCCAGCCCCTGGTCCCATTTATCTTTTTAATCTCATCTCCAACTCTCCTTCTGCCTTCTGCTTCTTCACTTCCACACTGGCACTCTGGTGCTCAAAGCACACTGATGTCTCAAGCCCTCACCTTCACTGTGTCCTTTCCTGGGAACACTCCTTTCCAGGTATGCACATGGCTTCCTTAGGTTGCCTTTAACTCATCTTCTTCATAGTATCTGCCAATCATCCTTTAAAACTTTTAACCCTACTCCCATTCCCCCTCTCATACTTTATTTCCCTTTTCTATAACACCTGCCAAATTGTAACCTGCTGTATAATTTATTTATTATGTTTATTGTTAATTTCTCCCAGCTAGAATGCAGACTTCATGAGGGCAGGTATTCTGTCTCTTTTGTTCACTGATACATTCTGACTACCCAGCTTAATGCCTGCCATGGAGTAGGTGATCAATAACTGTGAAATGAATAAATTAATGCATTGTGTATGTGTGTCACATTTGTTTCATAGGCGTGTGTGGATACTTTAGCTGTTCTATGATTCGTCTTGTAACAGCAAGAAACTTGTTCAGAGCAGTTACTGAGCCAACTGTGTACTTAGAAGAACATTTAAGCAGCAGAATACTGTTTAAGTAGTAGTCTATCCACTTAGCTTGTGATTCATCAGTATACCATCATTATTCAGACCTTCAGCTGTCTAGACCGTTAGCCTGAATAGCATCTCCCGCACTCCTAATAATGCCTTCCTCAAAGTTTGAGCTTCCCTGGGCAAAAATTCATCTCGTCTTCCCACCAGTTTATTCATATTGCCCACATGTAATGGGTTATTTCAGTGTTACATCTCATTGAGTGAATATTTAGAATACCTGTCTGGAAAATATTAAAAGACTAGATTCAGTTTAAATTCAAAATTTCTTCAGTCTTAATGTAGTATTGATATGTTTATTTTGTGCTTAATTATAAATTTGGTTCATTGACCTCCCCAATCAAATATATAGTCCTACTTATTAGCTTTATAACCTGAGACAAGTGACTAAATCTCTCTAGGCCTGTTTGTTTATCTGTATGATCATACTACCTACCCTACAAGGTTATTGTGAGTATTGAATGAGTTGATCAGAGGTGTTTGGCCCCATAGTGAGTTCTTAATAATATTAACTCAATGATGATGATTGCTACTGATGTTAGCTACTAGTAGTAAAAACACTGGTAGAGGCTTTTGCTCCAAATTAAAGCTGGGAAAGCATAGGTGATGGCTCATCCCTGTAATTCCAGTTCTTTGGGAGCCCAAGACAAGAGGATCAGTTGAGGCCAGGAGTTTAAGGTTGCAGTGAGCTATGGTCACACCACTGTTCTTCAGCCTGGGTGGCAGAGTGAAACCCTCTCTTAAAAAAAAAAAAAAAAGTGATGGTAGTGGGAAAGTCAAAGGTCTTCCTTCGACTTGTGATAGGAATGCTGGTTAATCAGGAAGATATTCTTAAGAACCACCTGTATATATGGCTTTGTATGATTCAGGGATTTTTTAAGAGACCTAAGGACCAGAGTGTGGTGATTAGAAATGTATTGGCCATTACTTATAGATTGTAAGGTAATAATCACAAACACCTGCATGAAAATGAGAAGGATTTGTTTTAGGGTATAACAATAATATGTGTATTCTGATTTATTCATTTTTATAGCTTTATAATCATCTTTTCTATAATACTGTTTTCCTGTTGATAGGTTGTTTGTAGCTTTCTTGGGTCCATGCTAAAGTTTTCTGTATAGATAGTAAATATACTTATATACCTGTTAGTCAAATTTTGAGTTGTATAACTATTCTATAGATAGTATATATACTTATATACCTGTTAGTCAAATTATGAGTTGTATAACTATTTTACTTTACTAAGTATTTCCAGATTGTTATAAAAGAAGTTGTGACAATTTATACTCCTGCCAGCAGTATATAGGGTTCCAGTACCGTATATCCTTACTAATATTTTAGATTATAAGATTTTTAGGTTTTTGAAATAGTATCTTATTGTGATTTTAACTAGTATTTTTCTGATCAGACTAGGTATCTTTTCTTAATTTATAAGTCATTCATGTTTCCCCTTCTTTTAATTACCTGTTCATATCTTCAACCCATTTTAGTTGGGTTGCCCTTTTTCTTATTTAGTTGCCAAAACTATTTCTAAAGTCTGGAAGCTAATCTTTTGTCATTTTTGTGAAACCAATATTAAGATTTTGAACTTCTGCTTCTTGATATTTCTTCTCCAGTGTTTGTTCTTTTCTAGTTATTTGTCTGTTAATAGTTACACACATAAGACTCCACAAGAGGGCATAACCAAAGCTTAAATTTGTCAAGATTTCCTTTCCTGTTGAAGTTATACTGTATTTTCAAGTTAAATTAGAGGTGAGTTAGTGTGTCTTTTTGTAGTAAAAACTAAGGCCTGTAGATGCAGAGTATTAAAGGTTGGAAATAAAGAGAACCAGTCTGGTATTTTTGCTGGTAAGGAAAATCATGAAGAATTGGCCCTAAACATAACAATATTGTAGAGTTTAAGAATTTTCTACTTGGGTACTTAATTTCTCAACATATGGAACCATATTGCTAGGTAATGTTGAAATTGGAGTTCTGAGGACCAACCAACCAACAGAAATAGTCACCACAACTAAGTTAATGTCAAGACAGTCTTTGTCTCTGTGTGAGGAATGACTTAAAAAAAATTAATGCTCATCAAAATTGTCATAAGTAGGTCATAAGTATGTGGGCTTCATGTTCACTGGTAGCATTCATGCAGATTGTAAATGAGCACTAACAATCTCAGCATTTTAGGGCTAGAATGTGTCTAAAGATCCTCTTATTGGCCGGCGCAGTGGCTCACGCTTGTAATCCCAGCACTGTCGGAGGCCGAGGCAGGTGGATCACGAGGTCAGGAGATTGAGACCATCCTGGCTAACATGGTGAAAACCCGTCTATACTAAAAATACAAAAACATTAGCTAGGGTGGTGGTGGGCGCCTGTAGTTCCAGCCACTTGGGAGGCTGAGGCGGGAGAATCGCTTGAACCCAGGAGGCGGAGCTTGCAGTGAGCCAAGATCGTGCCACTGCACTCCAGCCTGGTAGACAGAGGGAGACTCTGTCTGAAAAAAAAAAGAAAGAAAAAAAGATCTTCCTATTTAAGCCTTTCTTAATAGCTGAAGAAACAGATCTGGATAGTTTAATCAAGATAGTTTGTGGTAGAATCTAGATGTTTTCCTTTAGGCCAATGGGACTTCTAGCTTGTCGCATTTGTTCTCTTGGGAGTGGGAGTAGGGATAAGCAAAATTATGAGATGGGATTTCTGCATTAGCAAGGAGGAACCTCTCAGATATTTTCTGATTCTGCAGTAGGTTGTTTGATTCTGATTATACCTGGGTGTCCCATCCTGGTTTCCCCAGCACGTTAAGATTATCATTCTCAGCAAACTATCTCAAGGACAAAAAACCAAACACCACATGTTCTCACTCATAGGTAGGAATTGAACAGTGACAACACGCACACAGGAAGGGGAGCATCACACACTGGGGACTGTTGTCGGGTGGGGGGAGGGGGGAGGGATAGCATTAGGAGATATACCTAATGCTAAATGACGAGTTAATGGGTGCAGCACAGCAACATGACACATGTATACATATGTAACAAACCTGCACGTTATGCACATGTACCCTAAAACTTAAAAGTATCATAATAATTACCTTTATTGCATTTGTCACAAATGCCATGCCATTTATTATAATAATAATAATTCTTATTACCTTTATTGCATTTGTCACAAATGCCATACCATTTATTAACATGACACTCTCCATGGTATTGACTGTTTCCTATAAATCTCTGTTACTGGCCCAAAGTAGGTACTCAATAAATGTTTTACTGTATGAATGAATGCCTGTTAATAGAAAAAAAGAAGCAGTAACGGGAAGACTGGGAAAGAACAGAACCTCTCTAGGAAAGTTACTTAGGAGATTGCTCAGAGTAAGAGAAGGTATTTGAAAGAAGAGAACCGTGAAGTAGATGGGGTTATATTTGAAAATAAATGCCATTCAATTGTTATCATAATTTGCACATAAAAAATGATTAGTAGCATGAGTTCTAATACAATCTTTACCATATAGAAACCATGAGTTTGTGCAAGTTTAAACTCTGTGTTTCAATTTACTTATCTATAAAATGGAATTCGTTATGGTATATTATTCATGTGGTATGTATGTATATATGTGTATGTTGTGTGTGTATATATTAGCTAGAAAGTGTTTGTCACCTATGACCAGTATGTAAGATTAACAATTGTGGTTATTCTTATATTTTCTTAGTAGTATTAGTATTTGGGGCAGTGAAATGTTGTTGGACTTCATTTATTGATTTTTTTTTTTAAGATAAAGTTAGGCCAGGTTATTTCTGAATAAACTAATTAGTACTAGAAGGAAAATATTGGAATTTCTCTAATGCTTAGCTGTAAATAAGTTTGTTTGTAATTATCTATATAAAATTAAAGGAAATAAGCTTAGATAACCTGAAATCTTAGATAATAATGATAATCTGATTCTTGGGATGACGGTCTCTGTATCCCTTTTAGTTTGAATTTAAAGCAAATAATTTTAGGGAACTTCTACAGTTCCATTTAGAATCAGGCAATTCTGAGGCTTTTTGGGAGAGATAGTGCCTAAGGGATCTTTAATCTTACTAGCAAATTTCTATTACAGTCTTCATTTATAAAAATTCCTATGTGTATATTTTGTAACCAACAGGGTATAATCTTGCCAGTAAACTAAAGAATTGATGTCTTTTCATGTTTTTATCAAGGTCCTTGAGATTTGACAGGTAGAGGATTTTTTAATGGAATGAATAAGACAAAATAGGTTTTTATTTTCTTTAGTAGTGTTTTGTCCTTTCATTTATAAAGGGAAAACTGGATTCCTTTTAGTAATTTAGATCCATGTGCTGTTACCGGGTCAAAGGAAGCGGTGAATGACGGAAGCCACAGTTGAGGCAGTCAGCGGAAACACAGAAACAAGGGCACAGACAGTGGGAACATCCACTGAAACTCTAAAAGTGAATGTGAATTTATTCCCTGACTGAACTTGGAAGATGAGTATGTCTGCATATACCACCCACTTGCAGATGCAATTATACCAGCAACTGAGAGATGGAGGAAATACTATAAATCTGTTTTAAATATTATGATCCTTAGGGACATACTGGCCTGTTGGCCTTGGGCCTATGTAATTTCTGATAATGTTTTCTTTGGATTATTGTTATCTATAAAACTTTGTGATTATGTGGAAAGATTAAAGTACATTATAGTATTAACTTACATTTCTGCTTTTTTTTAAAAAAAAAATTTTAGACTTGGGAAGATCCCCATGAAAAAGATAAGAGCACGAACTGCTTTGGAGATAATGATCCTATTGATGTTTGCGAAATAGGCTCAAAGGTTTGTTTTATAGACTGTATTAATTCTAACGTGAGTTTTGGTTTATTCATGCCATAAAATTTCATTTTAGCCTCTAGTTCTTCAACTCTTCAGAGTTCAAGCCTATTGATTTCTCTGTTATCAGTCCCTCCTTTTATCTTCACTTTCTTGTCTTAAACCAGGGGTTGGTAAATTATAGCCCTGTAACAAGTCAAAGCCAGCCTAACACCTGTTTTTATAAATAACGCAGGTATGCCCATTCATGTACATACTGTCTATGACTGCTTTTACACTACGACGGTAGAGTTGAGGACTTGTAGCAGAGATTGTATAGTCTACAAAGCCTTTTATTATTATTTTATTATTTTATGTCTACCATCTGACCCTTTATGGAAAAATTTGCCAAGTCCTGTCTTCACCTTCCTTGCCTATTATTTAGATAAAAACTTCAATTCTCATGAAAGTCATCTGATACTTTTTCATTTTTTGTGTGCCTGCTTCCAGGTTGCCACATCCTACTGAATAAAAACAAAATCCACAATTTCAGAGATTGATGCTCCCCATCAATTCTTCTATATGTCTTTGGTCAGTTCTTTCTTCTATTTTCTACTACGTTTATTGTTACTATTTCTTGTTCTCTGCAGACATTCAACTCTTCTCCCTTTTTTCTCACTCCTAGAAGAACATCTTACCTTTAATTTTGTAGAGCTCAGAAACCAGCACATAAAAACTTTCAATGTGGTTTAAATTTGTATTTCTCTGATGATTAGTGATGTAGAGCATTTTTCATGTGTTTCTTGGCCACTTATATTTCTTTTTTTGAGAAATGTTGGTTCGTGGCCTTTGCGCACTTTTTAATGTTTTTCTTGTTGAGTTGTTTGAGTTGTCTTAGTCCTTTGTTGGAGGCATACTTTGCAGATTTTTTCTCCCATTCTGTAGGCTGTTTATTTTGTTGATTATTTCTTTTGCTATGCAGAAGGTTTTTAGTTTAATTAAGTTAAATTTGTCTATTTTTGTTTTCATTCCATTTGCTTTTGGGGTCTTCATCATAAATTCTTTGCCTAGGCGATATCCAGAGAGTTTTTCCTAGATTTTCTTCAGGAATTTTTATAGTTTCAGATCTTAACATTTAGGTCTTTAATCCATCTTGAGTTAATTTTTGTATGTGGTGAGAGATAGGGGTCCAGTTTCATTCTTCAGCCTATGGCTAGCCAGTTTTCCCAGTACCATTTATTGAATAGAGTCTCCTTTCCCCATTATTTTTTTGTTATTTGTTGAAGATCAGTTGGTTATAGGTATGTGACTTCATTTGTTTGTTCTGTGTTTTGTTCCATTGATCTATGTGTTTATTTTTGTACCAGTACCATGTTTATTTTTATACCAGTACTACAGCTATGTGGTATAATTTGTTGCTGAGTAATGTGATGCCTCCAGATTTGTTCTTTTTGCTTAGGATTGCTTTGACTATTCTGGCTTTTGTTTGGTTCCATATAAACATTAGGATTGTTTTTTCCTAATGCTGTGAAAAAATGACATTGGTAATTTGATAGGAATTACACTGAATCTCCAGATTGCTTTGAGCAATATTGGCATTTTAACAATATTGATTCTTCCAATCCATGAGCATGGGATGTTTTTCCCTCTGTGTCATCTATGATTCCTTTCATCAGTGTTTTGTAGTTCTTGCAGAGATGTTTTACCCACTTGATTAAATGTATTCCTGCGGGGTGTGTGTGTGTGTGTATGATGCGTGTGTGTGTGTGGCTGTTGCAAATGAGATTTTTTAATTTTGTTCTCAACTTGAACATTATTGGTATGTAGAAATACTATTAATTTTTATATATAGATTTTGTATCCTTAAACTTTATCGAAGTTGTTTAACAAGTCTAGGAGTCTTTTGGAGGAGCCTTTAGGGTTTCCTAGCTACACTATCATGTCATTAGTGAACAGAGATCATTTGACTTCCTCTTTTCCAATTTAGATACCTTTTATTTCCTTCTCTTGGGTGATTGGTCTGGCTAGGACTTCCAGTACTATGTTGAATGGGAGTGGTGAGACTGGACATCCTTGTCTTATTCTGGTTCTTAGGGGGAATGCTTTCAACTTTTTCACATTTGGTATGATGTTGGTTATGGGTTTGTCATAGATGGCTCTTACTATTTTGAGGTATGTTCCTTCAGTGCCTAGTTCGTTGAAGGTTTTTATCATGAAGGAATGTTGAATTTTATCACGTGCTTTTTCTGTATCTATTGAGATGATCATGTGGTTTTTATTCTTAGTTTTCTTTATGTGGTGAATCCCATTTATTGATTTGCATATGTTCAACCATCCTTGCATTCCTGGAATAAACCCTACTTGATCATGATGAATTATCTTTTTAATGTGCTTTTAAAGGACACAAGAACACCAGTGGAGTGTTGAAGCCTCCCACTAGTGTATTTCTCAGGTTCTTAGGTTTAGTAGTAGTTTTTTTATGAATCCGGGTGCTCTGATGTTGCGTGCATGTATATTTAGGATAGACCTTGATGACTGTGTGCCTTGGTGATATTCATCTTGCATAGCATCTCTCAAGTGTTCTCTGAATTTCTTGTATCTGGGTGAAAAACATGGAACAATTCATGAATTCACATATCATCCTTGCATCTTATAGCCAGAGAAGTTTATTCCTTTAATTAATAAGACCTGAAATAATACTTACTAAATATGAAATAAATATATGACTACCATCTAAAAAATAGTTCTCGGTTAGGGGTATGCTCCTTTCTTTCATGCCTGGCTATGAGATGAGTGGTTGAATCAGCTGTAAGAAACATAGTGGTAGGAAGTCACTTTTAACACCGCATTGTTAATGGGCAGAGGGAAAGAAGCAGAGTCCTGGAAGTTGGTAACAGACTTAGAACCACAGATATAGAAAACTTGAATGTTCTAAGTCCCTTGAGGGATTTTGTATTGTTCATTTGGTGTCTAAGAAAACTAAATGTTATACTTTCAGCACAGATTTGTTGAATTGATTTAGATTGAATTGAAGCGTGGTGGTTTTGTAAGAATTCTACCATTTATTCCTAAGCATCTAGTTTTTGGTTTGATTGAGTTTTCCTTTCCAGTTTTTAACGGTGTTACAGCAAAACACTGCTTTGTTTGAAATAAAACTGTGCCTTTCTGTTGCATGTGAAGTCAAAGAGTGTGTCTCATTCTGAGGCAACTTGGTAATCTGGGCATGCTTCCTTGCTTGCTTTATAACCTATACATGTCTTATCTGTTCTTATGTTGTTTGAAATTTTAAAATAAATTTTGTGAATAAAAATAGATAAAACAATTTAGAATGTGCTTTTTAAAAGCTATATGTGATTTCCAGGAATTCTTATACCCTGCTGCCAGAGTCATCTACAGGATTTCTTAACTTTGACACTATTGATATTACAGATGGATAATTCTTTATGAGAGAGGACTGTCTTCTGCAGCATCCTTTGCCTTTTCCTACTAGATGCTAGTAATACCTCCTCCCCAGTTGTGGCAACCCAAAATGTCTTAGGATATTGCCAAATATCCCCTAGAGGGCAAAATTGCCTTTGGTTGAGAAACTCTCATTTAGTGTATCCAGTGTGAATTAACCAGTATAGCCAACTTTAAACTGGCAATTATGTGATAACTTCAAATTTGAACATTTTTGTTTTATAAAGGATCTTACACATCTTTTGGTCCAATGTGCCATACCCTCCTGAAGACTTCTGTTCTCAAGGCTTTTTATTCTAGTTGTTCCTTATCTGACAGTTTCTAGATTATTTTCCACTCTGGTTCCTTTTCACTAGATCATCTCTGTTAATGCCCATGTTAGAATGGAGCAGTCTGGGTGCAGTGGCTCATGCCTGTAATCCCAGCACTTTGGGAGGCGAGCTAAGAGGATCTCCTGAACCCAAGAGTTCAAGACCAGCCTGGGCAACATGGTAAGACTGAGTCTCAAAAAAATAATAATAAATAAATAGAATACCATACTACCACAGCTAAACGCCCTTCTCTAAATATGATCCAGCCTGTATAAGTTAGCAATTACATATGCAGTTGTAAAATTTTTCTATGGAGTACTTTAGTTTTGATGTATATTCAGAGCTGCAAATATCATCCATATCTTTATAATCACTTGTCATATGTTCCTTTTGGGCTTGAGAATCTAGAATTTAAGCAACCAGAGTCCAAACTTGAGGACATGTATCAGAAATACTTTGTGATTGCAGCTGGTAAGAAGCATGCCGGAGGGCAGGGAATGGGAAAGGAACAGACAGTATTTCAGACAATTGAGACCTCAACTGTAGAGGGAAATTCTTTGTTTATAATGTCTCTTCCCGTGGACAGTGTTGTCATTATATTTCCTTCACAGATGTAGCTTTAGCTATTAACCCCTGGAGGCATGCACAAAGAGCAGCTGAGCTAAACACACAGTGGCTTCTGTGAGTTGGCACCAATATCAGTTCAGAGGAGCCCATATAAATCTGCTCATCTCCCATTTTCCATCTCCAGAGCCATCGTTTCTGTAATTTTTCAAATGGGAGTCTAATTTTGGAGTGGAAGCAGCTTAGTTGTTTACCTGTAATTTGGAGACTAAGGAAGATGAAACTTCTCTTTCTATTAAGAAATAGAAAAGCAGGTTAAGAAATCAGAGGTTTGGTGTTTTTTTAAGAATGCTGTAAACAATGGTTACATGCCCTTTTATAGAATTAGATCACTGTAGGAAATAACATATAAAGTGTCCCTCAGAAAATCTGATTCCTTGTCTTTGATCCTTTAGGATATTCTTCATGAGGTGTATACTTTTCAAAAAAAACTTCTCCTAGCCTTTTTGTTTACTGAGAATGGTAAGGGGAAAAATGAATGATTTCCTTTAGGAACCCAAACCTTAATACTGATGCTTATAGTAAAGTACTAGTCTATAAACCATTATTTGAGGTGCTCTATAAGAATTATCTCATTTATTCTTAAAACTGCTATGCTGTGAAACAGGTATTTTTATTTTCAAATTTTACATAAAATTATATTCCAAGGAAGTTAAGTAATTTCCCCAAACTTACATTGCTAGTAAGTTGGCAGAATTGGGATTGAATCCCAGGTATCTTGTACTGGAGCCTGTGTTCCTAGTCTTTACACCAGGGGTGTCCAATCTTTTGGCTTCCCTGGGCCACATTGGAAAAATAATTGTCTTGGGCCACACATAAAATACACTAACACTAACAATAACTGATGAGCTAAAAAATAAATAAATAAAATCTCATAATATTTTACGAAAGTTTATGAATCTGTGTTGGGCCACATTGAAAGCCATCCTGGGCTGCATGCTGCCCGTAGGCCGCGTGGGTTGGACAAGCTTGCCCTATCCCCTTCTGCCTCTACTGCTAATACTTGTGAGAATTGATCCACATATTTATATCCATCCTATTTATATTCTTTAGAATTTGCAGGTTATAGCCATATGATTTCAACTTTTATTATTCAAAATGACAGAATTCTAATTTTTGAGATTTACTTTATTAAGATATGTTTGATTAAAGTCTTGATTTAAATCAGCTGCATTGCAACAAGTTTTTCTGCATAAAGTTTGTTCTTTTGCTTTAATTTGATAAATGTTTGTATTTTTTTGATTGACGTTTTTAAGAAATTATCTGATCAATTTTGTAGTTAAACACAAAAACGTAAGTATTTTGTTCATTATAGAATAAACTTGAAGGTAGGTATTGGAAAGAAGCGAACCATTCACTTAATGATAACATAGTTTCAGGAGAGAGGACTTAAGGGATAGGAGCTGTTTTATTATGGTTCATTTTGACATGTATATAACAACCTCCACCATCATCAAAAATAATTTGTGATTAATTTTTTAAATTGAGGTACAATTCACATAAAATTAACCATTTTAAAGTGTACATTAAAATTAGTGGCAGTTAATACATTCACAGTGTTGTACAACCATCACCTGTATCTATCTAGTCCCAAACATTTCATGACCTCAAAAGGAAACCCCATCCCCATTAGCAGTCACTCCCCATTTCATTCTCTAACTGGCCCCTGGCAACCACTAATTTACTGTCTCTATACTATAGGTTTACCTATTCTGGATATTTCATGTAAATGGTCTCACATGATATGTAACCTTTTGTGTCTGGCCCCTTTCACTTAGTGTGCTTTTGAGATTCATCCATGTTGTAGCATGTATCAGTACTTCATTCCTTTTTATGGCTGAATAATATTCTGCTGATGGATAATATTACCTTTTACTTATCCATTCATTAGTTGATGGGCATTTGGCTTGTTTCTACCACTTGGCTATTATGAATAGTGCTGCTATGAACATTCATGTATGAGTTTTTGTTTGAATACTCTTATCCATTTTTTTCACCTAGGAATGGAATTGCTGGGTCATATGGTAATTCTGAATTTACTCTTTGAGGAACCACCAAACTGTTTTCCCCAGCATGTTAACTCCAACGAACAATATTCAAGGATTCCAGTTTCTCCAGATCCTCACCAATACTCATTATTTTCCCTTTTTGTTTTTTAACAATCATCCTAGTGGTTGTGAAATGGTATTGTGATTTTTTTAATTAAAACAAGCTTACGTCTGATTTTATCTTAAACAAATGTGGATAATTATTTTATCCAATAAAATAATGCATTTAAAAAAATAGTTTTAGCCATAAATGTGAAGTAGATTTTTTTCTAGCTTTGTTGAGTTATAATTGACATATAATAAACTGTACCTATTTAAAGTGTACACAAATTGATGATTTTTGATATAATTACATGCAAAATTATTATCAAAAATAAGAAAATGAACATATTTATCACCCCCAAATGTTTTCTTACACTTCTTTGTAATCTCTTCCTTTGACACTCCCAACCCTCTGTCCTCAGGCAAGGACTGATCTGCTTTCTTAGTACAGTTTGGCAGGAGAAGAAGCTTTGGCTCAGTTTGGGGTATGAATCCCAGGTCTTCCATTCACTAGTTCTGTGATCTCAGGCAAAAATTATTTAACCGTTGTGAATCCCAGTATCTTTGTTTCCAAGACAGGGATAATATCTACACTGTACACTAGTTTTTGTAAGTGAAGAATAAAATGATACCCATAGAAGACATACTGTAGTGCCCATCACACAGTGTCTGTTTGGTAAATCATTTTCTTTTCTCCTTGTACACTATTTGTTTTTCCTTATAAATATTTCACTACCCTTATCTAGACTATCCACTGTCATGTCCCTAATCTAGATCCAAATTACCTCATATCTATAGTGTTATAGTCTTCTGATTTGTTAGCCTCTATCTTGTCCTTTTATCATATTAGAGAACCTACCTTGACACTCTGTTGCCTAGATCAGGGCAGTGGCATTGGAAATGAAGAAGGCACAGCTATGAGAAATGATGCACGTAGTGTTGATATTACATGTTTAAACTCACATGTGTTCGGTCTTATATGCTGTTCGGCCCTGGGGTGTCTAAGTCACCCAAATAAGATTGTAAATCCTTGAGAACAATTCATTCTTTCTTTAATACACAGTGCCTAATATAGAGCCGAGTACTTAATAGAGGCTAAACATGTGAGTGTCTAATATAATTGTGTATATTCCCTTGGAATTCAGATTTCAGTTTAGTTTATACAATCACTTTAGTCAGTTGTGTTAACTAATTACAATTCCATGCAGATTTATGTTAAGATTTTAGAATCAACTTCCAAATATTCTGACAGGATTTATTTGACTTTATGACTTGAAATTCTAGTATTTTTTCCCTCAAAATAAATAATTTCAGGACACAGAAGTGACTTTTTTCTACATACCTTGTTTTCTAAATGTAAAACTGCATTTTGAATTCTGAGAAATTTATTCTGAAGCATGTGTTCAAATTCCAGGTTTACAGTGAAAATCTATAGCCAACTAAACCTTTAAAAGTAAAAGGATATATACAAAGAATGCATGCATATAAACTTGACGTTGGCAGCTTGAGGGAACCTCACTGAAATAACTTTCTTAAGCACATGGAACATCTGCTTAAGTCACGCTATTTCTGGGTTTCTCTTAAAATATTTTTGAAATATTTTATGAAACCTGTTTTGTCAATATCATTTATTATTTTCTTAAGGCTTTACTCTATTATGTTTTACTTTTCACTAGTAACCGATAAATGTGGTTTGTTAAAAAGGTACTATGAAGCAATGTAAAAGGATTCTCAGGTCTCTTTTCCCCTCAAGCAGCAGGAATCAAGTTTATATTATGTAATGGTACATACAGGTTTATTTTCTATTTAGTGTGAGTGTCTAGGCCTAGTAGATACCTTAAATTTCAAGATATGTAAATAACTTCAGTTTCAGCACAAATTGCAATAGGTTGAAACTGTAAACAGGTCCACTTTCTTGGTGCCTAATTTTTTAAATATATGGATTGCTTTTACTTACATAATGTGATGAGATTTTGATTTGTTAATTAAAAAATTGTCCTTAGACCTTAAAATGACTTTTTTCTTAACTTTTTAATTTTGGAATATTGACCATTATATGAAACTTTGCAGGTAGGCATAAGGGAATAAGTTATATTCGTGCTGAAAATCTCAGACTCATTGATGATAGCTGCCAGTGACAGGAGTAGTGTTGCCACTGTAAGATACGCCATCTTTGTTAGTTACTCTCATCTACTCGTTTCTTGTATTCTGCCTCTTGGTCATCTTTGATTCTCATTTATCTGCAAATTTTCTTGGTAATAAAATAATGCACTTCTAGCCAAACTTGCCTATGCTCTCTTATGTCCATAATTTTGGGGCTTGTTTTGGCAGTAGAATGAAATTAAAGGTTTTGCTTCAACTTCTGATTCCTCTAGATGGAAGAAGAAAAATGATCCCCTTTGTAGATTTAGAGCAGCCAGAGAAATTCCCTCCAGAATAGAGAAAGCAAAATATGGAGGAGAAGGTCAAGATGACAGGCAACTACCTATTGTGTGAGAATTCTGCAAACACTAAGCAGGGATATTAATTTAAACCACAAGGTATTTATATTATGAATGAGCTTGAACATCTTTTTATACCCCTAAAGGCTGTTTTCATTTCTTCTGTGAATTGCCTGTTGTTCATGGTTTCTTCCATTTCAATTGAGTTTTTTTCAGTTTATTTATTTATTTTTTATTATACTTAAGTTCTGGGTTACATGTGCAAAACGTGCAGTTTTGTTACGTAGGTATATATGTGCCATGGTGGTTTGCTGCACTCATCAACCAGTCACCTACATTAGGTATTTCTCCTAATGCTATCCCTCCCCTAGCCCCCCACCCCCAACAGGCCTCGGTGTATGATGTTCCCCTCCCTGTGTCCATGTGTTCTCACTGTTCAACTCCCACTTATGAGGGAGAACATGAGTTCTGGTTAAAGTCTGTTTTATCAGAGACCAGGATTGAAACCCCTGCTTTTTTTTTTTTGCTTTCCATTTGCTTGGTAGATCTTCCTCTATCCCTTTATTTTAAGCCTATCTGTGTCTCTGCACGTGAGATGGGTCTTCTGAATACAGCACACTGATGGGTCTTGACTCTTTATCCAATTTGCCACTCTGTGTCTTTTAATTGGGGCATTTAGCCCATTTACAGTTAAGATTAATATTGTTATGTATGAATTTGATCCTGTCATTAGGATGCTAGCTGGTTATTTTGCGCATTAATTGATGAAGTTTCTTCATAGCATCGATCATCTTTACAATTTGGCGTGTCTTTGCAGTGGTTGGTACCGGTTGTTCCTTTCCACGTTTCTTGCTTCCTTCAGGAGCTCTTGTAAAGCAGGCGTCGTGGTGACAAAATCTCTCAGCATTTGCTTGTCTATAAAGGATTTTATCTCTCCTTCACTTAGGAAACTTAGTTTGCCTGGATATGACATTCTGGGTTGAAAATTCTTTTCTTTAAGAATGTTGAATATTGGCACCCACTCTCTTCTGGCTTGTAGGGTTTCTGCCAAGAGATCTGCTGTTAGTCTGATGGGCTTCCCTTTGTAGGTAACCTGACCTTTCTCTCTGGCTGCCCTTAACATTTTTTCCCTCATTTCAACCTTGGTGAATCTGACAATTATGTATGTTGGGGTTGCTCTTCTCGAGGAGTATCTTTGTGGCGTTCTCTGTATTTCCTGAATTTGAATGTTGGCCTGCCTTGCTAGGTTGGGGAAGTTCTCCTGGATAATTTCCTAAAGAGTGATTTCTCACTTGGTTCCATTCTCCCCATCACTTTCAGGTACACCAATCAAACGTAGTTTTGGTCTTTTCACATAGTCCTATATTTCTTGGAGGCTTTGTTCCTTTCTTTTCACTCTTTTTCTCTAATCTTGTCTTCTCGCTTTATTTCATTAATTTGATCTTCAGTCACTGATATCCTGTCTTGTGCTTGATTGAATTGGCTGTTGAAGCTTTTGTATGCTTCACGAAGTTCTCGTGCTGTGGTTTTCAGCTCCATCAGGTCATTTAAGCTCTTCTCTACACTGTTGATTCTAGTTAGCCATTCGTCTAACTTTTTTTCAAAGTTTTTAGCTTCCTTGCAAAGGGTTAGAACGTGCTCCTCTAGCTCGGAGAAGTTTGTTATTATCGACCTTCTGAAGCCTACTTTTGTCAACTCATCAAAGTCATTCTTCATGCAGTTTTGTTCTGTTGCTGGTGAGGAGCTGCAATCCTTTGAGGAGAAGAGGCATTCTGGTTTTTGGAATTTTCAGCCTTTCTGCTCTGGTTTCTCCCCATTTTGTGGTTTTATCTACCTTTGGTCTTTGATGTTGGTGACCTATGGATGGGGTTTTGGCATGGATGTCCTTTTTGTTGATGTTGGTGCTATTCCTTTCTGTTTGTTAGTTTTCCTTCTAACAGACAGGTCCCTCAGCTGCAGGTCTGTTGGAGTTTGCTGGAGGTCCACTCCAGACCCTGTTTGCCTGGGTATCACCAGCAGAGGCTGCGGAACAGCAAATATTGCTGCCTGAAACTTCGTCCCAGAGGGGGCACCTATCTATATGAGGTGTCTGTCGGCCTCTACTGGGAGGTGTCTCGCAGTCAGGCTACATGGGAGTCAGGGACCCACTTGAGGAGGCAGTCTTGTCTATTATCGGAGCTCAAATGCCATGCTGGAAGAACTACTGCTCTCTTCAGAGCTGTCAGGCAGGGACATTTAAGTCTGGAGAAGCTGTCTGCTCCCTTTTGTTCAGATGTGCTCTGCCCCAGAGGTAGAATCTAGAGAGGGAGTAGGCCTGCTGAGCTGTGGTGGGCTCCGCCCAGTTCACACTTCCCTGCGGCTTTGTTTACACTGTAAGCATAGAACTGCCTATTCAAGTCTCAGTAATGGCTGACACCTCTCCCCCTACCAAGCTCCCACATCCCAGGTTGATCTCAGACTGCTGCGCTAGCAGTGAGCAAGGCTCTGTGGGCATGGGACCCGCCGAGCCAGGCACGGGAGGGGATCTCCTGGTCTGTCAGTTGTGAAGACCATGGGAAAAGCATGGTATTTTGGGCAGGTGTGCACCATTCCTCCAGGTACAGTCACTCATGGCTTCCCTTGGCTAGAAAAGGGAAATCCCCTGACCCCTGGCGCTTCCTGGGTGAGGCAACATCCTGCCCTTCTTTGGCTTGCTCTCCGAGGGCTGCACCCACTGTCCAACCAGTCCCAATGAGATGAACCAGGTACCTCAGTTTGAAATACAGAAATCACCTGTCTTCTGCATCGATCTCACTGGGAACTGTAGACGGGAGCTGTTCCTATTCGGCCATCTTGGAGGCAACCTCCTATTTTTTTAACTATTAAAATAAACTTTAAGTCATTATGTATATATATAAAACATATATTACAATAGAATATACTCATTTTAAGTATATGGTGAGTTTTGACATATGTATACACACACATAACCTCCTCCTTCAATTAAAATATGAAGCATTTCCATCATCCCAGAAAGTTCCCCCTTTCCCCTTTGCAAAGTCTTTATGACTCCCGGCATTCTAGGTTGGTAGCGTTTTTAAGAATTTTAAAGATTTCATTTCTTTGTCTTTTGGCTTACATTGCTTCTAAAGAGAAATCAGCTGTCATTCTTATCATCGTACCCTTATGTAATCTTTTTTTCCCCTCTATCTGCTTTTAAGATTTACTCTCTGTCACTATCACTGGTTTTCAGCACTTTGATTATGATGTGCTTCACTTTGGATTTTGTTTGTTTGTTTATTCTGATGGGTGTGTGTGTGTGTGTGTGTGTGTGTGTGTGTGTGTGTGTATGTGCATGTGTCCTTTCTCAATCTGTGGGGTTTATACTTTTCATCAAATTTGGAAATTTTTTGGACGTTATTTATTCAAATATTTTTTGGCCTCCTCTTTCCCATTCTGGAATTCCATTTATACATGAGATAGAATGCTGAATGTTGTCCCAGAGGACACTGGGATTGTTAATTTTTTCTTAACCTTTTTGTTTCTGTGCTTCACTTTGGAAAGTTTCTGTTACAGTGTCTTCAGGTTCACTAATTTTCTCTTTGGCAATGTCTATTTTGTTGTTAAGCTCATTGAGAGAATTTTTCTTTTCAGATTATATATGTCTTAGCTCTTAAAGTTCTATTTGGTTTTTTTTGTTTTCTATTTCTCTCTTCCATATTGTCATGTTTTTCTTTAAATCTTTGAGCATATTTACAGTAGTTGTTTTGAGGTTCCTATCTGTTAATTCCATCATCTAACATTTCTGGAAATGTTTCTGTTGAATGATTTTTAATTTTTTCCCCATTTAGGGTTTACATTTTCTTGCATATTGACAGGATCTTGGATGTTGTGTTATGTCGAGTGCCTGGATGTTGTTGTCTTCCTTTAAAGAATATTTGTTTTTACAGGTAGTTACTTGTGAGTCAGTTTAGTTGTATCCAGGCACTTTTAAAACTTTGTTAGGACAGGTCTAGAGTAACCTTTGTTTGAGAGCCAGTTTAGTCCTACCATTAATGCATGCCTATTATAGGCTCACTAATGAATGCCCCTTGTGGTAAATGAGGTTTTCCTGGGTGGTTGGAACTCATTTTATAGGTCTCTGGCCATTATTCTTTGCCTTGACTTATAAAGTCTCATCCCATGAATGCACAGGTTAGTGTTTAATCCGTGTCTCAAAGGAACCCCTATGTATATTGCTGTAGTTATTTCTTATTTCTAGTACCATGCCCTACAAATTCCAGCTGCCTCATCCTCCATTTTTTTTTAACCTCAGTGAGATCCCTGTCCTCTTACTGGGTTCCTTTCTCTCTGCTGTGGTTTGGAATGTGTATTGAGCAGAAAACCAGGGCAATCACATCTCTTCTCATTTGTTTACTTCTCTCTGGGATCACAGTCCTGTACTGCCTGTTGTTTAATGTCTGAAACGAGTGATTTCATATATTTTGTCCAGTTTTTTAGTTGTTTGCAATGGGAGGGCAAGTTGTTTATCTGTAAAATAATTCAGTCATTGGTGAAAGTGGAAATTTTGAGAAAGTTAACTCTAAAGGGACATTGCAAGGCAGACTTTGGCTATTTTCATATTATTTTTAATTATTGAGGCTTTGTTACATTTCAGTCTGTAGTTCTTTTAATCTTTTATATGGATTTTGTGATATGTGAGTAAACTCTCCAAAGCCTTGCAAATAGTGAATTTCTTTTTTCTTTAAAGATTCTTTCTTGTGGAGAAGTTATTCATGTGAAGATCCTTGGAATTTTGGCTCTTATTGATGAAGGTGAAACAGATTGGAAATTAATTGCTATCAATGCGAATGATCCTGAAGCCTCAAAGTTTCATGGTAAGACTGTTACTTTCCAGAAAGTGAAAGCAAATTAGTGTGTCATTGGAATTCTGAGAACTTAAAAGAAGTTCACATAGGGGAGTTAAATGTACTTTTTAAAAAAGAGAGAGGAAAAGATGTAGATAGACAAATTATATTTTAAATGAAGAAAGTACATTCTACTGGTTTCCCTCTATTCCCTTTTTCTTCCCTCTCCTGTCACCTCTCTTTCACTTTCTTCCTCTTCCTTTCACTCCTTCCTTCCCTCCTTTCTTCTTTCCTTACTTCCATGATTTTGATGGTCCAACTGCTGTTGGGAACTGTTTTGAAAGCATCCTTTGACTAGGAATAAAAGCATACGATACTGGCATTTTTACCCTGAAATCTCTTTTGTTCATATGACTAACAAGAAGAAACTAAGGAAGGAGTGTTCATCGATGACAAAAGCTATTTCTGCACCTAGTTTTTGTCTCTTCTTGTACAAATGAAGGGAAAAGTAACTGCCCTCTAACGAAATTTTGATGTCCTAGAAATTTTAAGTTCTGGAAATAGCTTGGCATGATTTAATTTTGTTTGGAGTCAGACAGACTTCAGTTTAAGTTCTGGCTGTGCTACTTCCTGGCTGAGTGACTTTGGGTAGATCATTCCTGAATTTCAGTTGCTCATCTCTAAAGGGAGATGATTATACCTACTTGTAAAGTTGTTGGCAATATAAGAAACGATTTATTTAAAGCATCTGGCTTTCACATACCAGTGTTGAATATATGACAACTATTATTATTCTTTGACCAATTTTTCCTCTATTTTTCTTTCCTGTTTTATTCTTGCTCAGGATCCTCTTTACTTGTAAACCTCGATTCTAAACTGGAAGATATTACCATTTCTAAGATGACTGAACCTCATTAACAATGTATTAATCTTAGTTTATGTACCTTTTTTTGCACTTGAAACAGGAAGAGATTTCTTTTTTGTCATTCTTGTATATAACTGAGAAAGGGAGAGGTCTGATAGCGTGAAGTGCATGTAACCTCAGGATCAAAAGTAAAATGTGAAAACTACAATTAAAATATGAGCTCAAGTCTATAAACCATATATATTCCTTATCTCATTATTTTACCCTGATTTTTTCTATTTTTATACTTTTCATATACATATATATGAGAACAGTAAATAAATTTTATTTAGTTAAAAACATTTTTTAGCATCTTAACTGCTCCTCAAATGAGAATTGATAAGGTAATAGTCCCACAGGCAGCCGAAACAAATCATCCACCTAATTCATTTGTGATCTGCTACACTAAAGTCATGAAACTGTGCTAAGGGATGCCCCTTTAAACTGAAAAAGCTGAGCACCTGAATGAAAATGAAAATATTATTTAGAGAGTAGTAGTTCAGTACTGTTGGAGATGTGATTTAACATTTTAAACTCTCTAGCATATAACAAGCGCTGGTGCCTGTTATAGTAGATATTGTTCTTAACTTAGAAGATGGTCAGAGAATGTAAGTGACTTGCCCACCTTTGCAAACATGTAAATAGTACACAGTTTGAACTCATTTCTGTCTGATTCTAATGTGTGAATTGCTCAGTACTGTATTGAGCAATATATAGCCCATCTATAATATTATACCAAGCAATTCATCCTTGATTCTAGTAATTTATATATTTGTAACTAGAGGTATTGAAACTAGATCACATAAGCCTAGCATGACTCCTTGAGTTTCGTAAGTGTTAGAATAAAAAGTTTTAACTCTATTCATTTTATTTCTGTTGCGTACTCAGAATGGAGATGACTTTGCACTTTGGACACCTTTCTAAATTCCTTTCATATTTGCTTTTATGAAGAGATATGCAGAAACACTAAAGCCAGTTGCTGATTTGGGTTGAGAAGAAATTATTGAACTTGAGTAGTTAAAACAAGATGTTATTGTTTTAGAACACCAATACATTTATCATTGTATTAAAAGTGAATACATGTATTATTTTCATCATGAAAAATACAACAATTCTTATTCATAATATGTTTTTGAACTCCTAAAAGAATGAGTAAAGTGTATGGGGAAAATGAAAATTGTTTATTTTAAGGATATTTGTATATTGTTCTCATTAGTTAGTACTTAAAGTACTCTTCTCCTATATCTAGATTTTATAAAATAAGTTTGGTAGTTTTTTTTTGAGGCAGTCTCTCTCTGCCTTCCATGATGGAGTGCAGTGGCACAATCTCAGCTCACTGCAACCACCGCCTCCTAGGTTTGAGTGATTCTTGTGCCTCAGCCTCCTGACTAGTTGGGAGTACAGGCGCGCGCCACCACACCTGGCTAATTTTTTGTATTTTAGAAGAGATGGGGTTTCACCGTGTTAACCAGGCTGGTCTTGGACTCCTGGCCTAAAGGGATCTACCCGCCTCAGCCTCCCAAAGTACTGGGATTACAGGTTTGAGCCACCATGCCCAGCAAGTTTGGTAGTTTTAAGAATCACACATTTTTTTCTCATTCCTTTTACCTACACATTATCGTTAATATATTCTGCATACCTTTGTTGAATTTTCTTCTTTACTTTACAGAGACCGAGGAAAAAAATTGATGTAGGCACAAATTGAAAGGAAGAAGAGATTGTAGTATAAATGTTTTTTATTTTTGAAAAATTATTTTTAGTCAACAGTGTTTAATCCTAAATCAAGCAACTTTTAAAATGTTTTGGTATTTATGTCTTTCATATTTACCATCTAAAATCACAAACACAGGATTTTAGATGGCATTTTAAAAATTATAAAATTAATTTTATACATGGAAATAAAAACTCAGAAGTATAAAAAAAGTACATAAAATGAAAGTAAAGTTTTTCTTCCTACCTCCCACCTCATCTTCTCAGATCTTATCACAGATGTTTTTTGTTCTTTTGAATGGTTGCTTCCTTCTGTAAATGATGTGCTTATATTTCTTAATTTATGCATTTTCCCTGTTGACTCAAATTATTACTTTGGAAGACAAGGAACTTAAATTCTTAAACATTTATCAACTGTGTTACCATATTTCTACTATTACCCTAATAACTCTAAGTTGTATATTTGGAGCTGGATTTATTGCTTCATTGACTTTGAACAATAACTCTTAACTGCCCAGTGTAGAACTTAGAGCATTTGGTTTCTACATTTTTATCCTTTTCTGTCCCTTACAACCTAACTTCTCTCAGCTACACTATCAATTCTACAGTATCAAAATTTATAATGTTTAAATTATGTTAAGTATAATTGTTTTTCCTATTTTGCTTCATGGTTGAATCTGAAAATTAAAAACTAAGTAGCATTTACAGTATTGTTATGTAAATATTCATTTAGTTTATCATACTATTTATTAAGTGATCATCTTTGAACAGACTGTTCTCTGAACCTCCTGCATAGCTATCACCTGCGGGTTTCTTTTCAATGCTTGGTTAGTTCTACTTACTTAAATTCTACCATTCCCTCTTTAGTTTTCCCTTTTCATTGTTGGCTGGTGTCCATTTTCCAAAAATATCTAATGCAGTAACTTTAAATATAAATTGCTGTGTATAAATTGAAATTTCTATTACAAAGGAATAAGTGATTTTATATTTTATGACCGTTTAAACATTTGTCATCTATACTTCTTGGCATATTTGTCAGTCAGATAAACGAGAGAAATTTAAAAACACTTAGGAGAGGGCAGCTATCAGGAATTTTCTTTTTAATTGTGTAGTTTTCTGGGTATGTGTGTAATATAGGAGTATATAGAGATTTTTTAAATTTCCTATACGTTTTTATTGTTATTAGGCATTTAAAAAGTAAATCCTTGGCCGGCATGGTTGCTCGCACCAGTAACCCAACACTTTGGGAAGCTGAGACAGGAAGGTCACTTGAGTGCAGGAGGTGAGACCAGCCTGAGCAACGTAGTGTGACTTCGTTTCTATAAATAAATAAATAATAAAAATTATATCCATCCTATTAGTTTCTACTATCTTTAGAAAAAGAGGCCAAGGCAGGCAGATCACCTGAGGTCAGAAGTTCAAGACCAGCCTGACCCACGTAGAGAAACCCCATCTCTTCTAAAAATACAAAATTAGCTGGGTGTGGTGGCACATGCCTGTAATCCCAGCTATATGGGAGGCTGAGGCAAGAGAATCACTTGAACCCAGGAGGCGGAGGTTGTGGTGAGCCAAGAACACGCCATTGCACTCCAGCCTAGGCAACAAGAGCGAGACTCCATCCCAAAAAACAAAAAACAAACAAACGAAAAAAAAAAAGAAAGAAAAAGAAGCTGTTATTTGGCATGGTTTGTCAGAGTTTTTCTTTTTTGAAAATGAAGCTCGTTTTAGTTCATAGTATGTCCTTATGTATGTGTATTTTCTTTTTACTCTATTCATATAGACACGTTTAAGTTGTGATTCTTCAAAGACATTTTGGGGTTGTTTTAATTTGTGAACAAATACAATAACTTTTATTTTTTTTGATATAAATAAAATGAAATAACTTTTTTGATCCTAATTAACATATGTACAGACTTTGGTAGACTATATATCCCTGTTTTAATACTTACAGTTTTTACCTATGATGACTGAACTTAAACTAGCCATTGCATCAGATAACATTTTTCAATTAGTAAAAAAAGTTTTTCTTGTTATAGTTCTGTAATTTTAACATTACTGTTTTAAGTCTTCTAGTTTCACCTTCTAAAAATGGAGTAGCCACTGTAAAAGTCTAAAAAATGTCCAAATAACATTTGAAATGAAACTCGTTGTATTCCTTGATACAAAATTGGTCACTTCAGCAGGCTCATTAACAAAAAGCCAAACACCACATGTTCTCACTCATAGGTGGGAGTTGAACAGTGAGAATACATGGACACAGGATGGGGAACATCACACACCGGGGCCTGTTGTGGGGTGGGGGGAGCGGGGAGGAATAGCATTAGGAGATATACCTAACGTTAAATGACGAGTTAATGGGCGCAGCACACCAACATGGCACATGTATACATATGTAACCAACCTGCACATTGTGCATATGTACCCTAAAACTTAAAGTATACATAAAACAAAACAAAACAAAACAAAACAAAAAAACAGAGCACTAAGACCATTTTATGCCCTGTAATTAGGTTTCATGCCCTAATGCTCTTATTGGTACCCTAATGGCCTGAAAGAGTTAATAAGACTCCCAGGACACCTAAATTGTTACTAGAAAATACCTTGGCCAGTGTGAATAATAGCTTTGGTTATGAAATAACCAAGTTTAGAGCTTTTTAAGAAGATTGAAATGCTAGGGCATGTGTAATTTTTCTCGTGGTTAAATTAACCACCTTCTATAATGTACAGCTTCAGATACTCACCAAACAGATGTTTGTGCCTCTTCAGAACTGCCACTGATGCCTAAGGACCTTATGTCAGGAGAACTAATGTCACGAGGAGCTAATTTAGGCCTAGATGCTATTTCAACTTGCAGAGCAATGAAGATTTCTTTTGTTTGGCCTTTAAATAAATGAAAACTATTGTCTGTTGTGCTGCAATAACTGTTTACCTGTGCAGTGATTTTATAGTTTTAAAAAATGAAAGATTTAAAACAATCGAAATCAGAATAGTTATATTGATATAGATACATTGTGGATGAATAAATCATATGAGCAATTATTTAAAATGAGACCGTTCTGACATTTTCATAGGCCGGCATCACACTTGTCCTAAAATTATTAAGGTATGTCTTTTGTATATGTAGAATTTCAGCTTATATTTAGAGAAATTTAAAAATAAAAACTACTCTCTTTCAAGGCAAAAATAAATATGTTGAGACACAATCTATTTGGCTTAAATGTTCATTTGCTAAGTAAACACTTCCAGTGCTTCTGTAATTATTATTTAAAAATAAGCAAATTAATGTAGTGTTTGATTTCCTTTCTTCCTAAAACACAACTTAATACTGTCATTTAGGGGAATAAAAAGAATAGCATAGTGATCTTAAGGGAAAATATTCATGTTTTGTAACCAGAAAGAATAGAGTTCAATTTGTGTGTGTTAGAAGACAGCAGAATGTACTGGCTTGGAAAGGGGCTTGCATATCAGCATCATCAACCTAAGAGCTCTAACATTTGTCAAACAATTGCAATATGCCTAAGAAGAAACTATGCTAAGTGCTTCTTTTGGAATATGTTTAATCTTCACACAACTTCAATGAAGATAAGTTATTCTCTTTTTTTAAGGATAGAGAAACTGAGGCACCGCGTGGATGGGGCATGGGGCATGGTTAGTAACTAGCCTAAATCATATGGCCAGTCATTCCACTCCAGTCTGGCTCCAGAGTCCATGTTCTTCATTGCTGCATTACATCACTCTTCTGAAAAATGCCGGGTTAGTCAGCTGTATTTGTGGCCTTGGACCTTGTCGCTTTCTAAGATTGCTGACCATTTGCTCTTAAGTAATTTAGGCATCAGTGGGACAATGATAGAGATTCCAGTGAAAAGTTAGCTCTTTTGATCATATTCCTCTTATTTCATTAATGGGTGTAGGTATGTAGGGATGGGTTGTAGGAGGAGGCAGTTGAGGAACAAGGACAAATCGAGTTAAAAAATTATAATTGAGATGGAATTAAATTACCGAGAACCTGCTGTCTCTTTTTTGAACCTTGACCTCTTACAGTTTTTTTTTTTTGGTTTCAGTCATTCCCATGATATGGTGAAGTATGGGGGAGGCCTAAATTCTAAAATCCTCTTTTTGTTTATTAATTATCTGACCTCGGAAAAGTCATAACCTCTCAAAGCCTTTGTTTCTTTATTTCTTAAAATTGTAGAGTGGATCTTCTGATCACTAAAAGATCCCTAGGGTTTTTCCCATCTCTAAATTTTTGTTATAGGAAATATTTTTAATCTATTATTTTTAGCTTGTTGTCTTCTGTTAGTAAAAAGACCTAAATTATCTTCAAAGTTAGTGCTGTGGGAAACCCAGTTTAAATTAAAGGATTAGATGATTTCTTGGGGACATTGGCACGTTTTTAAGTGCTTTAGGGTAACTGTTAAGTGATGAAGCTGGAAGTTCAATGGAGGTCAGTCTGACCTGAGACCTGTGCATTTAGCCACTTTGTTATATGCTTCAAATCAAAATTAGATTAGAAATATTTGAATTCCTTCCATATACAAGGCAGCTGTATGGTTTTCATTTTACTGGTCATGTGAAATTACTTGTAAACTGGTAATGAATGTCTATATTTTGAGAAAAATCTAAGTCTTTTCTGAGAGGTTTTTCTGCTACAGTGCATATAGTCTCTATGTAGAATTACCTTGTTTGGTAATACTCACTTTGACATGTGTTAATTCCATTATTTTTTCATGATGTTAATACACATTTTTAGTACAGGTTTTGTCTTGGTAAGAGTACAATTTATGAAAAGGAGAATGGAGAAGGAAAGGGCAAGAACAATGAAAGATACTCTTCATTAGCCCATGAATGTTAAACGTAGATATGCAGAACAGTTTGGAAACATGAAAATCTTTTAGAGATTCTGAGTAAGCATAAATTATTAAGAAAATCAGTTCTCTTTGCAGGGACCTCTATTTGTGATACAGAAACTACAATGAATGTTATTAAATGAAACTTGTTTCTTGTGAATGTTTATAAGTCATTAAAAACACATGTTCTTGCTTCCCACAGAGTTTCTTTAGAGGGTACTAGTTGTGCACATGTTTAGTTCTGTGGGAGCAACATTTATAGTACTGGGATGAGAGTGTTGTGCAAATGAATCAACATCACTTCCTTTAGTAAAGTGGAAACTCCTTTTTCATTTTTCTTTTTTCCTCCCCTTTGGACAAAATTTTAGCATAAGGCTATATCCTGGTGTCTTTTTTCCCCTTTTATATAATAAGGGCAAAGAGATAGGGTATTACTTTTATGTCACTGGTTTTTATCTAAAAATAAAAAATTCTCAGCCGATTGTATGCTTTCTTCACTTTGTGTTATGGCTGGGTGGAGATAATCCAGGTAAAGCAGCATTTTAATGTTTTTTCGTCCTAACATTTGTGGAAGTATATGTAGCCCTCAATTTGTGAAAGCGGATGGAATGTTTAGAGATGTGAATTTATATAGTTTGATAAAGCTCCCTGGGTAATTCTGATAGATTTCCTTCAAATTGAGAACCATTCCATTAATTAATTCTTTTCTGCTGGTTGGACATTCTAGTCCTGGATGTAGAATAATTGGTAACAATTTTGATATTTATTCAGTTAGAAGAAGGTCTTAAGATGTAATTACCTAATTAACTTTGATATTTGCCTCACACACACCTGTCACTCCATTTTTAAAGCTAATATTTTGATTCCCTTTGAGATCTTGAGCAAATTACTTAACCTTTTAGAGTCCTAGTTTACTAATTTGCAATAAAGAGATAAATAATACCTCATTTACAAGTTGTGAAGTTTAAATGACATACTATTGTTGGCAGCAGTGGCCCGTCTGGAGCAGCTGCTGCAAAGACTGGCTGCAGCCGGGGAGGCACAGCCAAGGCTGCACACTCCACCGGGCTACAGGAGCCAGGAACAGGTGGGAGCCCCACCCCCTTCCGAGTTGGCAGGGTGGGATCACCACCTTCCTGGACACAGCTGCAGCCACACAGCCACAGCTGTGGACCTGGGCATCCCTGCACTCTCGGGGGCCTGAGAAGCCCCCACCCACCTCTGCAGGCTCGGAAGTGCCTGCTACTGCTGCCTGGCCTCTCCCCACTCTGATTTTGGAGTGAAGTCGAGGCCGATCCTGGGTGCTGTTGCAACGCAGCCAGGTGTGCCCTCACTCATAGTGGCACTGACACACCAGCCCCCTGCCACCTCGGCCCCCTCTGGACTTTTGGCGCTGACGAGCATGGGAGGGAGGCCAAAGAGGTGCTGAGGGTGGCTTGGTGCAGGCCTGTAGGTGCCGCTTGGCACAAACAGCCTGGGTACAGTGGATGATGTATAGATAGCGGGAGGCAGACAGGCTCCTGGGCGGAAAGAGGTGGGTCCACAGTGAAGCCCCACCTTAAAGCCAGGGATGGCCTGAAGCCTGGGGACCAGGCTGTCTGTTCTGGGTGAAATCTGTGGCCTGGAGTGAGAACCTAAGGTGCGTTTTCTGGGCCTAACCATGGCTGCCCATGGGCCAATCAGCACACACTTCCTCCCTCCTGAGCCCATAAAAACCTTGGATTTAACCAGACTCGGGAGGACGGGACAACCTGCCTGCGTTAGGAGCTACCCGCTCTGGATGTCCTCTCTGCTGAGGGCTGTAGTCTCAGTGGGCCTCAGGCTCAATGGGATGACCTACCTGTGGATAGGAGCTACCCACTTCTGATCTTCTGCGAGCTGTACTGTCAGTAAATCACCTTGCCTTGCTCACCCTCCATTTGCCCAGGTACCTCATTCTTCTTCTGTACGGGAGAAGCACTCGGGAACACCCAAATGGCGAAACTGAAAGAACCCTAAGGCAAACAAGGCTGAAACATGCCACCTCCTGATCCTGCTCGCCACATTGCAGGCAACAAGGAGAAGAGAAGAGCTGGGCCCCTTCAGGGATCCCAGACCTAATGGCTCCCTGAGCCAGGGCTGTGACACCCTCTTTGGGGCTCTGCACTTCTTGGTGCCTCCAAGCTTCTAAGTGCCACCGTGTTTCCTGGAGCCTCTAGTGGAAGCCACTTGCGGGGTTTGCCTGGTCCAGCTGCAGCCTCGCAGGGAGCCGGTGCCTGTGCTGGTGCCCGGAGTTGCCTGCCCTTTGCCACTCCATACCTGGCTTGCCCTTGGCATGCGTGGGATCCAGGCTTAGCACGAGCGGAGCGCAGCCTGCCAGGCCGAGTGGGTGGAAGGAGCCCAGCGGGCCGAGCAAAACTCGGGAAAAGGCGCCACTGGCCACAGAGGTTTCCAGCTGGAAAAGCGACAGCTGAAGAATCCTGTGGCACTATTACTGAGCCATAGGTTTAAAGTATTTCAAAATTTTACTAGATATTATCAAATTGCCTTTTGCAGTGATTGTATCATCAGTGTATGAGAGTAAATGCTTCCTAAATAATAGTTTATTATTTTTTTGCCAATCTGATACATAAAAGATGATTATCTTGTTTTAATTCTTTATTTTTCTGCTTACTACTGGGTTGGAACATCTTTCTTGTATTTCTATTGGCTTATTTGTATCTTCTCTTCTGTGAATTGAGTATGTAAATTGTTTGCCCCTTTTCTATTGGGGTTGACATTCTTTTGGTATACCAGAGTTTTTGCATATTAACCCTTTATTATTTAGGTTGCAGACATTCTATTTGCAGAGATGCTATATTGACTTTTGGCTTACAGAGGTTTTAAATTTTGATGTATTCCATTTTATCAGTCTTTTTTAATACATCACTTTAGTGTTTTGATTCCTGTTTAAAGATTTGTTACCTCTTGGTCAGAAAGATGTTTTTATTTTCTTTTCACTCTTGTATTTTATTATCTTTACAATCGAGTCTTGAATTTATGTGGAATTTATTTTGTCTGTGTATACAATTTTTCTAACACTGCTGAACAGAAAAAGTCATTTTCTTCCTCCTGTTTTGGAATGTCTTTCTTACACATTTCATTATACAGGAGTCTGTTTCTGGATTCTATATGGTGTCAGTGATAGAATCCTGTGCCAGCATCATGTTATTTTAATTATGAAGACTTCTAATAAGGCATATATGAGACTAATCTTCCACCTTTTGTTCTACTTTTTCAAACTTGATGTTTCTTATGCCTTTATTCTTTTTTTTCTTTTTATACTTTAAGTTCTAGGGTACATGTGCACAAAGTACAGGTTTGTTACATAGGTATACATGTGCCATGCTGGTTTGCTGCACCCATCAACTCGTCATTTACATTAGGTATTTCTCCTAATACTATCCCTCCCCCAGTCCCCCACCCCCCAACAGGCCCTGGTGTGTGATGCTCCCCACCGTGTGTCCATGTGTTCTCATTGTTCAACTCCCACCTATGAGTGGTGTTTGGTTTTCTGTCCCTGTGATAGTTTGCTCAGAATGATGGTTTCCAGCTTCATCCATGACCTTGCAAAGGACATGAACTCACCCTTTTATGGCTGCATAGTATTCCATGGTGTATATGTGCCACATTTTCTTAATCCAGTCTATCATTGATGGACATTTGGGTTAGTTCCAAGTCTTTGCTATTATGAATAGTACCAATAAACATACGTGTGCATGTGTCTTTATAGTAGCATGATTTATAATCCTTTGGGTATATACCCAGTAATGGGATCTCTGGGTCAAATGGTATTTCTGGTTCTAGATCCTTGAGGAATCGCCACACTGTCTTCTGCAATGGTTGAACTAATTTACACTCCCACCAACAGTGTAAAAGCATTCCTGTTTCTCCACATCCTCTCCAGCATCTGTTGTTTCCTGACTTTTTAATGATTGCCATTCTAACTGGCGTGAGATGATATCTCATTGTGGTTTTGAATTGCATTTCTCTGATGACCAGTAATGATGAGCATGTTTTCATGTGTCTGTTGGCTGCATACATGTCTTTTTTTGAGAAGTGTCTGTTCATATCCTTTGCTTACTTTTTGATGGGGTTGTTTTTTTCTTGTAAATTTATTTAAGTTCTTTGTAGATTCTGGATATTAGCCCTTTGTCAGATGGGTAGATTGCGAAAATTTTCTCCCATTCTCTAGGTTGCCTCTTCACTCCGACAATAGTTTCTTTTGCTGTGCAGAAGCTCTTTAGTTTAATTAGATCCCATTTGTCAATTTTGGCTTCTATTGCCATTGCTTTTGGTGTTTTAGTCATGAAGTCTTTGCCCATGCCTATGTCCTGAATGGTATTGCCTAGGTTTTCTTCTTAGCCAGTTTTCCCAGCACCATTTATTAAATAGGGGATCCTTTCCCCATTGCTTGTTTTTGTCAGGTTTTTCAAGGATCAGATGGTTGTAGATGTGTGGTGTTATTTGTGAGGCCTCTGTTCTGTTCCATTGGTCTATATCTCTGTTTTGGTACCAGTACCATGCTGTTTTGGTTACTGTAGCCTTGTAGTATAGTTTGAAGTCAGGTAGCATGATACCTCCAGCTTTGTTCTTTTTGCTTAGGATTGCCTTGGCTATGCGGGCTCTTTTTTGATTCCATATGAACTTTAAAGTAGCTTTTTTTCCAATTCTGTGAAGAAAGTCATTGGTAGCTTGATCGGCATGTCACTGAATCTATAAATTACCTTGGGCAGTATGGCCATTTTCACAATACTGATTCTTCCTATCCATGAGCATGGAATGTTTTTCCATTTGTTTGTGGCTTCTTTTATTTTGTTGAGCAGTGGTTTATAGTTCTCCTTGAAGAGGTCCTTCACATCCCTTGTAAGTTGGATTCCTAGGTATTTTATTCTCTTTGTAGCAATTGTGAATGGGAGTTCACTCATGATTTGGCTCTCTGTTTGTCTGTTATTGGTGTATAGGAATGCTCATGATTTTTGCACATTGATTTTGTATCCTGAGACTTTGCTAAAGTTGCTTGTCAGCTTAAGGAGATTTTGGGCTGAGATGATGGCGTTTTCTAAATATACAATCATGTCATCTGCAAACAGGGACAATTTGACTTCCTCTTTTCCTTATCGAATACCCTTTATTTCATTCTGTTCCCTGATTGTCCTGGCTGGAACTTCCAACACTATGTTGAATAGGAGTGGTGAGAGAGGACATCCTTGTCTTGTGCTGATTTTCCAGGGGAATGCTTCCAGTTTTTGCCCATTCAGTATGATATTGGCTGTGGGTTTGTCATAAATAGCTCTTATTATTTTGAGACCTCTTTGTAGGTCTCTAAGTACTTGCTTTATGAATCTGGGTGCTCCTGTACTGGGTGCATATATATTTAGGATAGTTAGCTCTTCTTGTTGAATTGATTTGTTTACTGTTATGTAATGGCCTTCTTTGTCTCTTTTGATCCGTGTTGGTTTAAGGTCTTTTTTTTATCAGAGACTAGGATTGCAAACCTTGCTTTTTTTTGCTTTCCATTTGCTTGATCTTCCTCCATCCTTTATTTTGAGCAAAGTGTGTCTCTGCACTTGAGATGCATCTTCTGAATACAGCACACTGATGGGTCTTGACTCTTTATCCAATTTGCCAGTCTGTGTCTTTTAATTGGGGCATTTAACCCATTTACATTTAAGGTTAATATTGTTATGTGTGAATTTAGTCCTGTCGTTATAATGTTAGCTGGTTATTTTGCCCATTAATTTATGCTGTTTCTTCATAGTGTTGATGGTCTTTACCATTTGGCATGTTTTTGCAGTGGCTGGTACCGGTTATTCCTTTCCATGTTTAGTGCTTCCTTCAGGAGCTCTTGTAAGGCAGGCCTGGTGGTGACAAAATCTCTCAGCATTTGCTTGTCTGTAAAGGATTTTGTTTCTCCTTCACTTATGAAGCTTAGTTTGGCTTGATATGAAATTCTGGGTTGAAAATTCTTTTCTTTAAGAATGTTGAATATTGGCCCCCACTCTCTTCTGGCTTGTAGTGTTTCTGCAGAGTGATCAGCTGTTAGTCTGATGGGCTTCCCTTTGTGGGTAACCTGACCTTTCTCTCTGGCTGCCCTTAACATTTTTTCCTTCATTTCAACCTTGGTGAATCTGACAATTATGTGGGTTGGGTTTACTCTTCTCAAGGAGTATCTTTGTGGTGTTCTCTGTATTTCCTGAATTTGAATGTTGGCCTGCCTTGCTAGGTTGGGGAAGTTCTTCTGGATAATATCCTGTACAGTGTTTTCTAATTTGGTTCCATTCTCCTCGTCACTTTCAGGTACACTAATCAAACGTAGATTTGGTCTTTTCACATAGTCCCATATTTCTTGGAGGCTTTATTCATTTCTTTTCACCCTTTTTTCTCTAATCTTGTCTTCTCGCTTTATTTCATTAATTTGATCTTCAGTCACTGATATCCTTTCTTCCACTTCATCAAATCAGCTGTTGAAGCTTTTGCATGCGTCATGAAGTTCTTGTGCTGTGGTTTTCAGCTCCATCAGGTCATTTAAGGTGTTCTCTACACTGTTTATTCTAGTTATCCATTTGTGTAACCTTTTTCAAGGTTTTTAGCTTCTTTGCGATGGGTTAGAACATGTTCCTTAAGCTCGGAGAAGTTTGTTGTTACTGACCTTCTGAAGCCTACTTCTGTCCACTCATCAAACTCATTCTCCATCCAGCTTTGTTCCATTGCTGGCGAGGAGCTGCAATTCTTTGGAAGAGGAGAGGTGCTCTGGTTTTTTGATTTTTCAGCTTTTCTATTCTGTTTTCTCCCCATCTTTGTGGTTTTATCTACCTTTGGTCTTTGATGTTGGTGAGCTACAGATGGGGTTTTGGTGTGGATGTCCTTTTTTGTTGATGTTGATGCTATTCCTTTCTGTTAGTTAGTTTTCCTTCTAACAGGCCCCTCAGCTGCATGTTTGTTGGAATTTGCTGGAGGCCCACTCCAGACCCTATTCGCCTGGGTATCACCAGCAGAGGCTGCAGAACAGCAAATATTGCAGAACAGCAAATACTGCTGCCTGATCCTTCCTCTGGAAGCTTTGTCCCAGAGGGGCACCCACCTGTATGAGGTGTCTGTCGGCCCCTACTGGGAGGTGTCTGCCAGTCCGGCTACATGGGGGTCAGGGACCCACTTGAGAAGGCAGTCTGTCTGTTCTCAGAGTTCAAACGCTGTGCTGGGAGAACCACTGCCTTCTTCAGAGCTATCAGACAGGGACATTTAAGTCTGCAGAAGTTTCTGCTGCCTTTTGTTCAGCTATGCCCTGCCCACAGAGGTGGAGGCTGTAGGCCTTGCAGAGGGGCACTGAGGTCCACCCAGTTTGAGCTTCCAGGCCGCTTTGTTTACCTACTCAAGCCTCAGCAATGGTGGACGCCCCTCCTCCCACCAGGCTGCCGTCTCACAGGCCGATCTTAGACTGCTGCGCTAGCAGTGAACAAGGCTCCGTGGGTGTGGGACCTGCTGAGCCAGACACGGAAGGGAATTCCATGGTCTGCCAGTTGTGAAGACTGTGGGAAAAGCGCATATTTGGGTGGTAGTGTACAGTTCCTCCAGGTACAGTCTGTCATGGCTTCCCTTGCCTAGGAAAGGGAAATCCCCGATCCCTTGTGCTTCCCGGGTGAGGCAATGCCCTGCCCTGCTTCTGCTCGCCCTCCATGGGCTGTACCCACTGTCCAACCAGTCCCAATGAGATGAACCACGTACCTCAGTTTGAAATGCAGATATCACCCATCTTTTGCGTCAATCTCTCTGGGAGCTGCAGACCAGAGCTGTTCCTATTTGGCCATTTTGGAAGTGACTGCCTTTATTCTTGTGTACAGATTTTAGAATCCTAATTGTCAAGGATTTTTGGTATCTTTAAAACATTAATTTTTACATCAGTTGTTGATATATGTTTCCCATTTATTCAGGTATTCTTGTTTATCTTTTATATCTTGTATATCTTTTAGCACAGTCTGAAAATATCTTAAATAGGTGTGTTTTAACTTATTTTAAAGGGAGAAAGCATTCATTTGTACTTGGAATTTTGCCATTTTTAACTATTGCAGTTGTGTTTTAGTCATATATACATTCTAAACTTTGTCATCTTGTTCTTCAGTGATCTTTCTTATTAAGTTGGTACCACAGTTTGTCACCAGATTCCCTCAATTTGACCTCAAATATCTTTCAGTCCATTCCCTCCTTCTTCCTATTGTGTTAAACTATCATATCTTGCTTTTCCATTGAATCAATGTTAACATTTCTCTAATTAGCCTCCTGACACAAAAATCTATCTCCCACACTGTTTACCAGACTTATTTTATTTTAAAGAAAACGTATTTAAAAAAAGGTTTTGACTCAGAGCTTACAGAAAAATCCAGATTCTCTAACTTAGTAAATGCTTTTTTTTCCTAGCCATGCACACTGTTTATCCAAAGTTCTTAACACACTGAGCTTTTCACCCTTTCTTATATATACCAGGTAGTTTTGCACCTTAGTGGTTTTATCTTTTGAGAACCAGTTTAAATATCATCTCTCAGTGAATTCTCTTTGACTCTGCAAGGCAAAGGCAGTTGGTTAATTGCCACTTTTTTCACTCCCACACTGTTTTGTTTGATTCTGTGAAATGTCTTTGATTTCACAGATTTATAATTGTTTGTTTCCTTATCTACCCGCCTATCTAGATTATGAACTCTTTCAGGGCTGGGACTCTCTCTCTCTTTTATATTTTTTAGCCCACTTTGAGGTATAAATTACATCCAGTCAAATTCACCCCATTTTAAGTATCCAATTCAGTGAGTTTTGATAACTATATAGTCTTCTAGCAACTATCACATTCATAATACAAAACATTTCCATCACCCCCAAATTCCCACATACCCCTGTGCAGTCAATCCCTTCCTCCTACCATAGGCCATTAGCAAACACTGATTTACTTTCTGTCACAATAGTTTGCCTTTTCTAGAATTACCTATCAATGGAGTCTGGCATCAGTGATTATTCACATGGCTGGGTATATGACTTTTTTCTCTTGCCTAATGTTTTGGAGATTCATGCATATTGTTGCATGTATCAGGTTAGTTCTTCCTAATTTATTATTGAACGGTCTTCCATTTTTTAGATATACCACAGTTTATCCATTCACATTACTGTTGGAAATTTGGGTTTCCAGTTTTCAGCTAATGTGAATAAAGTTGCTCTGAACAGTGAAATTACAAGTCTTCATGTGAACATGTTTTCATTTCCAGTGGGGAAATACTCAGGAATAGTTTTGCTGAGTAAGATGGTAATTATATGTTTAACATTGTAAGAAACTGTCAAATTGTTTACCAGAGTGGCTCTACCATTTTGTATTCTACTAGCAAGGTATCCAGTTGCTGTCAGAACATGTATTCATTCTTTATACTTTGTTACAGATTGTCTTAAATAACAAAATGTTTTTTAAAGAAAGTAAGAGAAATACATTTGCCTGTGTACATGTGTCTTTTACATTTGCCCACATATTTGCCATCTTCATACCCATGTATTTTGTTTCTTCCTGAAGATCTGTAGATCTTAGTTTCCACCTGGTGTCATTCTCTTTCAGTTCAAGGACTTTCACTATGCTTGTAGTGCACTCCTGCTGGTGGCGAATTTTCTTTTCTTTTTTTTTTTTTTAATATGGAACACTTCACGAATTTGCATGTCATCCTTGCGCAGGGGCTATGCTAATCTTCTCTGTATTGTTCCAATTTTAGTATATGTATGTGCTATTTATCTAAAATAATCTTTTTTTGCCTTTGTTTTAGAAATACAATTTTGCTTGATGTCAAATTTAAAGTTATAGGGTTTTTTAAGCTTTATATTGATGTTCCATTTTCTATCAGCCCCCATTGCTTCTAATGAATGGTGAACAGCCATTTGTATTGTTACCTCATATACAGTTGACCCCTGAACAACATGGGTTTGAACTGTACAGGTCCACTTATACATGGATTTCTTTCAACCAAATGTGGATTGAAAATAACAATATTCTCAGGTTGCAAAACCCAGTATAATGAGGGTCTACTTTTCATATAGCTGGTTTCTGCAGGGCTACTGTGAGACTTTCATATGCATGGATTTTGGGGGAGCAGGTGGTGGTCCTGGAACTAATCCTTCATGTAAACCTTGTTACTAGTGTATAATGTATTATTTTTTCTCAGACTGCTTTAAAGATTTTCTCCTTATCTTTGGATTTCAGAAATTTTTTTTTCTTTGATAAGCTAAGGTTTCCTTTTGTTTGTATTTATTCTGCTTAGGATATACTGAGCTTTGTGGATCTGTAAGTTCATATTTTTTCATCATATTTGGGAAATTGTTTGCCATTATTATTTCACTTTTGCGGGGGCTCTGTTTTCTTACCTGCGTTCTGAGACTAAATACACATATTTTGGACTACTTTTTATTGTCTTACAATCACTAACACGCTTCCAGTCTATTTCATCTTTTTTTTCCTTACTGTTATTTAGACTGGATAATTTCTGTTAATCTATCTTCTACTTCCCTGTTTTTTTGTTTTTTTGTTTTTTTCCTGCCATATCCACGTTCTGCTGTTAAATCTACCTGATTTTTCATTTCATATCCTCCTTTTGGTTCTTTTTTTTTTTTTTTGAAGTTTTATAGTTTCTGTTCCTCATCTTGGATTTCCATATGTTCGTGCATTGTGACCATGTTTCCTGAAAGTCCTGAACATATTCATAATAACTACTTTAAAATTCTTGTTTGCATAGGTCACATAAGGATTGATTTCTGTTAACTGCTTTTTCTCTTGATACAGGTCTCAGAAATATTCCAGTATATACAATAAATCGCATAGTCATCCTGCCTTCACTTGACAGGAGCCAAACTTCCAGCCTGTCCTACCTGCCTGCACATCAGGATTCCTGTGTGCCCCTGGATGCAGCCCTACATGTTGTTTTGTATTTTTGTTCCCTCTTGGGTCTACAAAGTTACTTATCTTGTTTTTGAGTCTTTTTGATGTTAATCTGTTTATAAGGTATCTATTTTAGGTAGGTTAGCCTGAGGGAGTACATTGAAACACGAATTTAGTGCCCCTCCTGTCAAAAGGTCTCTGTTTTTTCCGAAGCAGAATGCTTTGGAAACTTGAGGAGTCTTTTTATTTGCTGATAATTTGGTTAATATGCTTGAACTCAGTGAAAACCTCATTTCAGAAATAAATATTTATAAGTACTTCACTCAAGTAATTCTATTTATATATTCCCTCTCCATTCCAAATGTTTAAAAGAGGGGTTAATTTAACTTCAACACAGTGGAAAAAAATAAATTTATAAGAACTAAATTGTAATAATATTAGAGATAAAAGTAAACGTGTCTGTTGTTAAATAAGAAATTAATTACAAATTCATTTAGGGTCTTTACTATAAGTGAAAAACTATATGTGTATAGCAAAAAGTTATTAATAAGTATGCATGTGTATGTGTATATATGTATACCTAGATACTTTTTATATATGTTATTTTTAGTCTTTGTGTTTGTTTATAACTATGCCTACCTACATTGATTTTTCAGGAGCATTATACAAATTAAAATAACTGTCAATATTAATGAAAATCTGTTTAGTATTTTTCTAAAAAAATTAACTCATGTTTGTGTATTTATTTATTTATTCATTTATTTATTTTTGAGGCGGAGTCTCACTCTGTCGCCCAGGCTGGAGTGCAGTGGCAGGATCTTGGCTCACTGCAAGCTCCGCCTCCCAGGTTCATGCCATTCTCCTGCCTCAGCCTCCCGAGTAGCTGAGACTACAGGTGCCCGCCACCACGCCCAGCTAATTTTTTGTATTTTTTTAGTAGAGACAGGGTTTCACCATGTTAGCCAGGATGGTCTCGATCTCCTGACCTGGTGATCTGCCCGCCTCGGCCTCCCAAAGTGCTGGGATTACAGGTGTGAGCCACCGTGCCTGGCCTGTGTATTTATTTTTGAAAGATAAAAGCTTGTAAAGCTATTAATTTGCCTGTAAGTGTAACTTTGGCTGTGTTCATGGACAAAGTTTTGGGGAATTGGAGAGATAATGATTGATATTTGTTAAGAATTATTCCCTTTTATTAGGTGATTTTCACCCATTATTTAATCCCCATGACAACCTTGATTTCTTCTTCCCTATTCTGGATTTGAAGAAACAGGTAGTACATTTTTCCCAAAGTGATACAATATGGAAGTACCAGAAATGGAATTTAAACTTAGTGCTGTCTGATTCCAAACATGTTTTTCTTTAGTTCTTGTTAGAAACTTCCTGAGTGTTCTCATTGTCATTATTTTCTGAATATTTTTAGAGTTTTGATTTTCTTTTGGACCCGAAAGTTATTTATTTAGTAAGACTTTTTATTCTTTGTTTATTTGCTTTTAATATTTATCTTTTAATTATATTTAAAAAATCAGGGGATTGGGGGTGGTTCTTTTTCAGTAGGCAAGAGTTTTTAAATGTGTTTATTGTTGATCTTTAAATTTATTATATTGTACTTATAGAATGTGTTGTCTTAATTTCCATGTGTTTAAAATTTCTTAACATTTTCTTTGTTTTTGGTATATAATTATTTTTAAATGTTATTGTTTTAATATGTCTCTAGATTAAATAGGTCTCATACTTTCTCTAAATTTCTCTCTCATATATACTGTTCATGGTCTTTGTATATAAAATATACCTTATCAATTTGGCTTTTGAAGTCATATCATTACTATTAACTTACTTCCAAAGTATGTTTAATTCTGAAGTGTGGGTAATATTGAAGTCTTGGCAAACTCATGTGATTAGAAACACCCCTGGTGCAACAGAGTGTGTTTTTGGATTCAAAAAAAAAAAAAGAGTAGAAAGAATTTTCCAATTAGATTTTAGAAACAAGTGAATTGGTTTATATGGAAAGGAAATTTGGTTATATGAAAGATATACAGTATCCCCAGTGAAGGAAAAAAAAGTCATAAACGTTTCTCTTAGAAAGTATTATGTTAGATTTATCTCATGTCTGCAGAGATAAAATGGTAGGTTTTCATTAAGTTATTATAGGTTTTCTTTTATAGAAACATAAACCAAAGTTAGTTAAGAAAAACTAAATTGAAGTGAGAGCTCTGGACTTGGAAAAACCCAATGGAACCTTAAGATTTGTCTGTTATATTGCTTCATTATTACCTGTTTTTCAACTGGAATTTTAGAGAGAAATTTACAATATTTTCAATGTATTTATATAGAACTATGATTATTTATAAAACATATTTTTATAGTTTTAATACAAAAATTCCCTTAAGGAGATTCTATATAATCTTTGTTAATTAAACTTTCAAATTTGAAAGTAAATCATGGCTGCACACTATTTGTCAGAAGTTATGACACTCTTTATAAAGCCTTTTTTAAAAATCTGGGGTGATAGGCTGGGCATGGTGGCTCACACTTGTAATCCCAACACTTTGGGAGGCCAAGGCAGGAGGAACACTGGAGCCCAGGAGTTCAAGACCAGCCTGGGCAACAAAGCAACTAAAACAAAACAAAGCAATTCTACTGGAAAACAAACAAACAAAAAAGATTAGCCAAGCATGGTGGTGCACACTTGTAGTCCTAGCTTCTTGGAAATCGAAAGTGGATGAATTGATTGAGCCCTGGAAGTCAAGGTTGCAGTGAGCCGTGATTGCACAGTGTACTCCAGCCTATGTGACAGAGCAAGACACTGTGTCAAAAAAGAAAGAGAGAGAGAGAGAGAGAGAAAGAAAGAAAGAAAAAGAGGAAAGAAAAAGAAAGAATTTTGAGGACTGCTTTCAGTTTTACATCTCATGTACATCTCATCTTTACTGGTTTATTATTGTTAATTTTTTTTCCATTGGTAATTCCTCTGAGTTTTACTTTCTAAAACATACCCAAAATCTTACCATTTATCACTACCTCCATACAACTACGTTTGTCTAGGCCCTCATCATAGTTCACCTAAGTAGACTCTCTTAGCAGCCCCTTATTGGACTTCCAGCTTCCATTTTTTCCTCTATGTAGTCTTTTCTTTACACAGCAGATAGAAAGATCTTAAAACATTTACTCCTCTGCCCAAAACCATCCCAAAGTTAAAGCTATAATCCTTAGTATGGCCCTTAGAGTCCTCTGTGACTGGCCTGTGACTGCTTCTCTAATCGTATCTCCTAATACTTTCTGTTTTTTCACTGTGCTCTAGCCATGGGACTTTCTTACTGTCTCCCTGAAATGTTAAAAGCACACCCTTAGTTCAGAAGATTTGCATTTACTGTCTTCCTCCCAGACTGCACTCCTTTCAGATACCTGAATGAGTTGCTCCTACAGTTCATCCAAGACTCTACTAAAGTGATTTCACCAGAGGATATCCCTGACCTCTCATATCTACAATTCTCTTCTTTCCTTACTTGCAAAGCAGCCTATATGCATAACTGTAGATTTTTATGGTTTTTTTCCTCCTAATGTTTAACTGTTTTCTTACCCAGGCCTAATTTTTTTTTTCTTTTTTGTTTTTATTTTTAGATGGGGTCTCACTATGTTGCCCAGAATGGTCTCAAACTCCTAGGCTCAAGCAATCCTCCCACCTCAGCTTCCCAAGTAGCTGGGATTAGGGGCATGCCATGGCACCTAGCTCCAGGCTTAATTTGACAACAGATATTTTAGCAATGTTTTATTGAATTCTTTCAGAACATTCAAATTAACTTCATAAAGACAAACACTTTTTTGTACTCATAAATTCACTGGTGTATGTAATATTTAATTACATCTCATAATTATAATAAAAGATACAGTTAGCATAAATGGTTTGGGAATAAACACACCTGATGCTTGGTAAAGCTAAAACTTAACTGATGGAAATAGAAGTGTGGGCTTCATTCTAGAGTACTCTGCCAGAGTCAGCATACATAATATGTGAACATTAATCAGAATGTTCTACAAAAGTAGAGTCTTTACTAATCAGTCCAGTAAGTTGATCAAGTAGAGTTCGATTAAAAGAGCTTAATTTGTAATCAAAATTAGAAACTGAAATAGATTTAGCTTAATTACATATATAGCTTTTCCAGATTATCCTAACTTTATTGGATTAGTTCATCTCTAAAATTCATATAAAATTAATTCCACAAGTGGGAATAAATGACTACTAGAGAACTGCCACTTTTCTTAAAATAACATAGATTGTAAAAAAATATATCTAATCAAAGATGTCCTACAAATGGATAGTGTTGATGGTTGCACAAAATTGTAGACATACTTAATGTCACTGAATTATACACTTAAAAATGCTTAACATGGCAAATTTTATATTATGGATATTTTATCACAATAAAAGAAAACTGAAAAAATACATCTTTACTTACATTTTTTAAATGTAAATAAAACTTTTGGGCAATGTTACTATGCAGTATAGAAGAAAAAGCAGAAGTCATGGAATTAGAAGTCTTGTATTTATATAATACTAGTTCTATCATGAGTGAGTTGGATAGATTTTGGCAAGCCTTTTAAACTATCTTAGCTGTAGTTTTCTTATGTTGAATATAAACATACTTGTTTTTAACTCTCAGGAATTTCGTGAGGAACAAGTTTAAGTTTTATATATATCTATGTATGCTTTTCATAAACTACAAATAAGTTTATACACTTTAGCTGGAACTTTTTATAATTTCAGAGGGGTTATTGAACTGACTGTTGGCATTGGATATAAGAATTTGGCTTCAGGCATTTGCTATTGAGGTTTTAAAAATGTTTAAATATCTTACTGTAATTTTTTTGTTTTGTTATTTGGGACAATGCAGCTGTTTTCTCCTAGGGTATAATTAGTTGAGAATGGAAAAGTTTAGCTTATATTTGGAGAGTTATACTTCTTATTTCCATTATAAAATTTTCAGTTTTTTTCCTAATTTGTGTCTTTGCTTATTGGGTCCTCTTTATGACTTTTGGGGAGAAAGCCTCCTAGACTGAGGTAGATATTAGATAATTAGCTTTCTCTTTCTCCTTGGAAGTCAGTGAGTTAAGTAACAAAAATCATACAAAAGTTATATGATTTGTAAAAGTTATATACAGTGGAAGAGAAAATGTTAGTTTGAGTAAGGTACAACGATGAAGTCATAAATCAGATTTAAGCAACAGAAAATTATTTATTGCTTTGTTGCCCAGGCTGGAGTGCAATGGCGTGATCTTGGCTGACTACAGCCTCCACCTCCTGGACTAATGCATTTCTCCTGCCTCAGCCTCCTGAGTAGCTTGGACTATAGGCAATCACCACCATGTCCAGCTAATTTTTTTTGTATTTTTAGTAGATATGGGGTTTCACCATGTTGGCCAGACTGGTCTCAAACTCCTGACCTCAGGTGATCCCAAAGTGCTGGGATTACAGACATGAGCCACCACACCTGGCCTAGAAAATTATTTATCTTGGGCATTGATTAAATTGCATTTCTAGACACTCGCCGTCAGTAGACTAAAAGATTTTTTTCCCCTCTGAATAAGAAAACCGTTCGTTCAAGGAACTCAATATTAATTAATTTTTGCAAAACATCCCTGTTTGTTTTGTTATAACAAAACAGTATAATTTTAATATGCTCTAATAAATATATTGTATACAATACAATATGCTGTGACAATATACTGTAATAAAATTACCAGCACCACTACTCTCGTGCTTTGTGGCCATTCTGAAGCAAAATAAAGGTTAACTGAACACAAGCACTGCCATATCAAGACAGTGGATCTGCTAACTGAGAAGGCTACTAAGTGACTAATGGTGGGTAGTATATAGAATGTGGCCACACTGGGCAAAGGGATGATTCATGTCTTGGACAGGATGGAGCAGGACAGTGCAAGATTTCATCAGGCTACTCAGAATGGTATGCAATTTAAAACTTATGAATTGTTTATTTCTGGAATTTTCCATTTAATATTTCTGGATTCAGTTGACTGTAGGTAACTGAAACTGCAGAAAACAAAACCGTGGATAAAGGGAGATTGCTGTGTATATGATCCTCAGTGACTGGCTTTTCCTAGGTGTCTCCTCCCTCTCCCCTGCCTCCTAACAGTGATGTTCTATCCATGCAGAACCATCTTTGTATATTCTAAAATATAGTCCCTTGCTTTTATGTGTGCTGTTCCTTCTACCTTTTCCCCTCTTGTCCAGTTAGTGATGTACTTCTCACTTTTATAATGCTTTCTTTTACTCCCTCTTCTATGACATTACCATTGCTTCTGTTTATCTCTGTTAAAACCTCATTGCATTTTAATTGCAGTTTATCTATTTGTCTCTTTCCCTGAGTTAAAAACTGAGTATCTTGATGAAAAGAACTTTGTTGTATCCATCCATTTATTCCCCATACATAGCACATTGTCTGAAGATGCTTTGTAAATGTTTGTAGAGTGCAGGAATAGTATTATACATATGAAAACACAAAAGTCTGAAGGTGATATACATATCAATGATGATGCTGCTCTAGGTATCACAATCAATTGTGCTTCTGGTTAGACTGGGCCCCATGTTTCCTGGCTCCCTCAGTCCAATGCTCTGCCACTAAAGGGAATTAATTTTGGTTCTTAACAAAACATCTTTTTGTTTTTTTCTTTACAGATATTGATGATGTTAAGAAGTTCAAACCGGGTTACCTGGAAGCTACTCTTAATTGGTTTAGATTATATAAGGTACCAGATGGAAAACCAGAAAACCAGTTTGCTTTTAATGGAGAATTCAAAAACAAGGTGAAGATGAGAATCTTTATTTTAAAATGTACCTCCTGATACCTGTACAATATTCGTTTCACTTGGGAAGTTTCTTATGTGAATATGTATATATAGCATGGTTAAAAAAGTGCTTTTTACTAACTTACATATTTAAAAACATTATTTTATTATTTAAATTCTGTTTCAGAAGATCTAAGTGAATCAACAAGGCTGAAAAATATATATTTCCATCTATGTGTCTATAGCTCCTACGTCTTGGAAAATGAAGGAATTTCATGATCAGACTAATTTTGCAAATTGTGTACATAGAAAAACTTTCTATTTACTGTTTTGTGGAGGAGAAAGTTACTCACCCTTAATGTAAATCCATAGGGGACTCCCTCCTAAGTGTTCATTCTACCACGACGGAACTAAGCTGCTTAACAATTGAAAGGACACCTGAATTATCTTACTGTCATAGGATTTTTCTATTAGAATACCACTGAGTTACCACAAAGTATCTCTAATATGACACAGATGGAGAGAATAGACCAAAGAGTTAAAGTCTAAAGCATGGAATTTTTTTTAAAGTTATTACCACTAGGTAAATTGAATATTTGAAACCAACTTTTAAGTGGATACCAGTAAGTATGTTTTATAAGTGAAATAAGGCATGTTAATGAAAACTTAAAATTTATAATGGGTATTTTGCTGTAAAAGAATTGATTGCTGGACTCAGTGTTTTTTTGAAAGCACATTAAAAGAATCCTTCAAATCTTGAGGGCTTTGTCTGGGATTATTAAATGTAAATATAAAATTATTATTTTAGATTAAATTATCTTAAAGGATTGAAAATTTATACATTATTTTTCTTTTAAAAATTTTCATTTTATTATTGAGATAATTGAAATTTTAAACCTATATGGTATTTTTGCCTCAGGGTAAGTCTGCCAAGTCACGAATTTGTAAAGAATGAGGTAGTTTTTTTTTGTTTGTTTTTAACAAATAGTAATTCTTTTCTGTATAAAGATGAGGTCATTTATACAACTTCACCAGAAAATAATTGTTTTATGCATTGCTTTTTACTACTGCTATTTAAAATATAGAGCCTTAGTGCCCTTAGTATTGCTATGAAAGAACTGCTGAGGCTGGGTAATTTATAAAGAAAAGGTTTATTTAGCTCACAGTCCTACAGGCTATACCAGAAGCATGGTGCTGGCATCTGCTTCTGGTAAGAACCTCAGAAAGCTTCCAGTCATGCCAAAAGATGAAGGGGGAGCAGGCATGCCACAGGGTGAGAGAGGAAGCAAGTGAGAGAGGTGGAAGGTGCCCAGGCTCTTTTTAACAATCAGTTCTTGTGGGAACTAACAGCAAGAACTCACTCATTACTCTGAGGAGGCACCAAGCCATTCATGAGGGATCCACCCCCATTATCCATACACCTCCCATTAGGCCTCACTTCCAACACTGCGGATCAAATTTGAACATGAGATTTGAGAGGACAAATCCCCTCAAACCATAGCAGGGTATAACTCAAGAATTGATTTGTGCCTCTTTAACATGGTTGGAAAGATGGCTCCTTTCTTTTATTGTGGGTTTTTCTTGCCACTCCTTTAAACAAGTATTGAAATTGGTTCTAAATAATCACACTTATCCAAATAATTTGATTAAAAATCTATCCTTACATAATCAGATAATGTATTAGATTTCTTGTCCTGTATCTGAAGTGAGATTCCCGCCCAACACTATCTCATTAAGATATAAGTCGTCCTCCATCGCAGGCAATCGTAGACCCGAGAGAAATTCTCTTTTCAGAGGATAAATTTCCCATTATTACTGTACCTCAGTTCCCAAGATTCTTTAGTTTCTTTATTATCATAATGAGTTTAGTTATCATTGAAGAAGAAAGGAGCTACTTTGAACTAACCAGTAAGGACTCTCCTTAAGGAAAACAAACAACAATTTTTGGGAAAAAACTCTAAAGAACTTTCTGCTTTGGAATTATAAAGCAAGTTTTCCTTAGATATTCTTACTGGATGTATATCCAACAAGAGGTATATCTATTGTTGCTTATGCATTTTTAGACAATGTCATAAATGTCAAGGAGATGTACTGCTTTCAGACAGTGGATAGTCTAAAATTACTTCGATTGAAAAAACTACATTTAGACTGCCTGCAGTTTTGATGATGCTGAGATTAATGGGTGCATGCTTACTGACAAGCCGGGTACTGGGTTAAGCACTTTACATATGTCATCTCACTTACTCTTTCAACAACTCTGTGACTTGGATCAGGGGTTGGCAAACTTTTTTCTGTAATGGGTCATATAGAAAATATTTTAGGCTTTGCAGATCGTATGATTTCTGTCACAGCTGCTCAACTCTGCTATCGTAGTACTAGAGCAGCATAGGCCAAACACAAGCAAATGTGACTGTTCAGTAAAACTTTACAGGGGGCAGACTGGATTTTACCCATAGTTCCTAGTTTGCCAACCCCTGATATAGATTATCCCTATTATATTCTACTTCATAGATGAAGAAATTGAGGCTTAGCAAGCTTAAGTAACCTGCCCAAAGTCACACAGCTGACAAATAAGGAAGCCAGAATTTATACCAAGCTTTGCCTGACTCTGGAGCTCATGCTCTTAACAATTAACTGTCATCACAAGATTAGTTTTGTGTTAGTGTAACAATGTGACTGATATTAAATACGTCTTTTTTTATTTGTTTGTTTGGAGCTAGGCTTTTGCTCTTGAAGTTATTAAATCCACTCATCAATGTTGGAAAGCATTGCTTATGAAGAAGTGTAATGGAGGAGCTATAAATTGGTAAGAATTTGTCTTTTCTATGTAAGTAATGTTATATTAATTGGTATTAAACAGCCACATAATAATCAGATTTCAGATTTTTGCATTTTTTTTAATTTAAACAATACAGATTATCTACCTATTCATTGGGCATTACTAAGTGTTGGGCACTATTAAACTAGGAATTGACGTGATCTTTTTTCTCAAGGAATTTATAATTTAGTGGGAATACTGATAAATAAATGGACATTTAATTGAAATACATTGTGCAAAGATGAAAAACGCAATTTTTCAGCATGTAAATCTATGCGGTTTCTTTAAAATCTAATAACTACCATATAATTTCTTAGAAAGTAAAAGCCTCCTTATTCATCATGATCACTAATTGATTGATTAAGAGGAATTAAGTAACAGTAACATAAACATTTAATTTAAAACATTTAAATGTATATTCACCCATTTTTGGATATAGGGCTGAGCCCCTTTTAATATAGATTCCATATAGATTTTATATACACTCTAACATAACACAGGATAGAAAATAAAGATTCTGTAATCCTTAAGCTCCTTGTAACTTAAAATTCCTGACAGATTTTTAGGGTTCTTTTAAAAAAATCATTTAAATTATGTTATCTACACCAAATTTTTGTAGTGATTCACCTTTATTGAGGCTTTTTAGGGCCTCAGTATTGTTTAAAGCCTCGTTAGTTTTATAACCTACTTAATGTTCACAGAAACAGTTCTTCCACACTCTTTTACAGTTCATCTGTGAACATAATTAATACTTAAATTTTGAAATTATAGTAACAAGTACAATTGACGAACACATTTAAGAACTAAAACAACTGACTCTTGGTAAGTCTAAGTATAGGAGGCAAAAGCAGTCCTGTGGGGGTACTAAAGATAACACTATGAATACGATAGAGTCCCTGTGCTCTCTGAGCACAGTCTGGGAATCAAGAGGGTCATTAAATAAATTCTAGACTAAGGTAATCAGATGGAGTAAAGAATTATTTAATATCAAGGAATATTTTACCTAAGTTATCAAGAAGGCCCATTTTGCCTACAACACAAATGCTTGGCATTGAAGATAATTGACTTTGTTTCTCTTGCTTACTAAAGAAACACTGTCAACTCCTTGGCCTTCTCCCTTTTTTCTTACCTCGTATGCAGAGCACTCTTTTTTTTTTAAGCATAATCTTAAAATGCAGGTAATTGTTTCTAATATAAATAATATAATTTATTAACAGCAAAGCTGGATATGATTGAATGTCCTCTAGTCTTGTCTATCCTAGTAAATGGTAGAGTGAGCTATTCTTTGTGGGCTAAAATTAAGACTCCAGTGTAATGAGTCCCTCCAGTATGAAGGAGGAGGGGGTCTGTGATTGTCTGAGGAAATATTTGCTTGCTCTTTGCTGTCTTATCTCCTTCCTAATCACTTTCTAAAAAGCTTATGCAGTCTTTGATGAGACTTGAGTGTTTCCCCAGGTTTCCTCAGCTACACAGCCAGAGACCCTTTGTTTGGTTAGTATATATATAGCTTGAACTCATTCCTTCTGTGCTGAGTCTAATTATCCTTACTGTGAAGGTAACTTTATTTCTAAGCTCTGGAATCATTTTGCTATAGCCTCCTGAGTAATGATAAGGATTACATTAACAGTAAGAGTTAACATTTATTAACTCTATACTATGTTCCACGTTCTGAGTGATTTATATATGTTATGTAATTAATACTCAAGAATCCTATAAAATATGTATTGTTATCTCCATTTTACACATGAAGAAATTGAGTCCACATAAAGATTTAGGTAACTTACCTAAGGTCACACAATGCATTGTGGAGCCAGGATTTAAACCTTACTCTCTTTTTTTTTCTTTCTTTTTTTTTTTTTTTTTGAAATGGAATCTTGCTCTATTGCCCAAGTTGGAGTGCAGTGGTGCAATCTCGGCCCACTGCAGCCTCTGCCTCCCAGGTTCAAGTAATTTGCAATTCTCCTGCCTCAGCCTCTCAAGTAGCTGGGATTACATAAGCCTGAAACCAAGCCTGGCTAATTTTTGTATTTTTAGTAGAGACGGAGTTTTACCATGTTGGCCAGGGTGGTCTCGAATTCCTGGCCTCAAGTGATCCGCCCACCTTGGCCTCCCAAAGTGCTGGAATTACAGGCGTGAGCCACCACACCTGGCCTAAACCTTACTCTGTTAATAGCTATGTTCTTTTACCTCCTCTACATTTTTTATAACAAAATAACTTTTTTTAGTTTAAGAATTTTCAGAATATAAGTTTCAGTATATGTATCATATGCATCTAGAAAATTTAAAGTCAAGAGCTTCAGAATTTTAACTCATTTTAATCCATTTTTCTCTTTATCATAACTTAATTTGGAAATATATTCAGCGTTGTTAGTTTTTATTTCTTTTGCCTTTCTGTAATGAATTGCCTATCTTTCTTAATTCCTTAAACTGTACCATTGTAGATTGGCAAGCTTCCTCTGCCTTCCTTTTTGAAACCCATTTTTCTCACTCAGTTCAGTTTAGGTCCATACTATCATAGACATTCTCTCAATGTATATGTAATACACAGAATTAACTAGGGAAATTGTTAGAGAACTCAGATACATTGTCCCCTTCTTTAAACCTAGTGTATTAGTATCTTTAGGAAGTAGAATCTAAACGTATATGTTTTTAAAGCCCCCTATGTGATTCTGATGAGCCTCTCTGCTTAAGAACCATATTATTATTATTATTATTATTATTATTATTATTATTATTATTATTATTATTATTTTGAGACAGTGTCTTGCTCTGTTGCCGAGGCTGGAGTGCAGGGGCGCGAACATGACTCATTGCAGCCTTGACCTCCCAGAGTTCAGCGATTCTCCCACCTCAGCCTCCCAAGTACAGGCATGCACCACCACACCTGGCTACTTTTTAAATTTTTTGAATGGACAGGGTCTCGCTATGTTGCTAGGGATATTCACGAACTCCTGGGATCAAGCAATCCACCCACCTCAGCCTCCCAAAGTGCTGGGATTACAGGTGTGAGCCACTGCGCCCGGCCTTAAGAATCATAAAATCCAAACTTGTTCTCATGGAAAAACAAACAAGGCCGTCCAAGATTTAGATAACCTTTCTTGCCTCATTTTCCATCACTTCTTGTCTCCTATTTCATGTTACAACAACTGAAGGCCACTTGTCACTGTGCTTGTAGTAATCTCTAGACCTTTACTCATTTTGTTTCCTTTGCCATGATTGTCTTCTCATTTCTTGAACTGGCCATGTTACTCATCTTTTAAGATTTAATTTTTACTTCGTCTTCTCTAGGAAACATTCCCTCATATGCTAGTTGAAATGCCAGTACTCTCTGTATTCCTTGTCTTCTGTGGATTTTTGTCATTACATCTGTCAGTTACTAAATACTTGGTTAATGAATTTATCTTCTTCTCTAGAATATAAGTTCCTCAAGAGCAGATGAATAAAGATGCCTTATTCATCTTTATATTCCTAATGCCTGGCATGTAGTAGCCACTCAATAAATATCTGTTGGAGTAAATTGTTGAATAATATTTTAAAGCCAACCATTTTCTTTTTTTTTTTTTTGAAACAGAGTCTCACTCTGTCACCCAGGCTGGAGTGCAGTGATGCAATCTCGGCTCACTGCAACCTCTGCCTCCCGGGCTCAAGCAATTCTCCTGCCTCAGCCTCCCAAGTAGCTAGGATTACAGGCACCTGCCACCATGCCTGGCCAATTTTTGTATTTTTAGTAGAGACGAGGTTTCACCATGTTGGCCAGGCTGGTCTCAAACTCCTGACCGCAGGTGATCCACGCACCTCAGCCTCCCAAAGTGCGGGGATTACAGGCATAAGCCACCACTCCCAGCCTTGTTTTTGTTTTTTTTTAATCCAGGTAGTGACTCTTCTCTTTTCAGGAGCACTGCTTTTATTAAGTTCTTTTCATTGATACCTTGAAAATTCTCTTTCTCCGAAGTTTTTTTTTTTGTTGTTGTTGTTTATTCTTTTTTTCCACTGCTGGATGTTTACTCTGAAATCTAAATATTATATTAACAGAGAGAATTTAATTTCTAGTCTTACCTAAGAAAACTTTAAACTTGATTCTGGGAGAAATCATTTTTTGACATTTGAGTTTACTCTTCAGTCCTCTCCCACTTTCTCTTCAACCAGTTGATATACCTTATTAAGAAATCAGAAATGTACTATTCTGTTTACTACTTTATTTTATTAATCATTATTTATTTTGATCCATCTGTCTTACATATTTTTCAAGTTTTGATTGATTCTTGAGTGCCTTCTAGTTATAAAACTACACTAATTCAGTTACTTAGCATTTCTTTACTCATAAAGTAATGCTTTATTTCTTTACTCATACTCTTTTTTTATTAACAATCATTCTCCTGTTTAATATATTCTATACAATACTGCCAGAATTATCTTTCAAAAGTATGAATATAACTCATTTTTATGCCTAAAAACGTCTTATGATTCCCTTCAAAAATGGGATTTCATCCAACCCTTCTATTCTTAAACAATGTGTCCAAACCTGCCTTTCCAGCCTCATGGGCTCTTCCTTCCTATCCCCTTGTCTTTCTTTGGTGGACATCTTCATTTTTTCGAGAAGCAGTTTAGATGTCACCTCTGCACAGTTTCATTTCTGTTGGGCTGTTGTATCACTGCTGTACATACCTCTATGTAGAACTGGAGGTGGATTTTTTTTTAATACTTTGTATTGAGTTTTTACCTCAGCACTCAATAGCAGGACTTGATGCAGTAGGTAGTCTAAATATGCTTACTGAATAAATAAATAAATATATTCAATTCATCTAAATTCTTTAGGTCTTAAAGTTGTTTCTTTTTACATTCCTAGAGAAAGGTATATTAACCTGGTACTTCCTTTTTTTTTTTTTTTTTTTGTTACTTTAAGTTCCAGGATACATGTGCAGAACATGCAGGTTTGTTACATAGGTGTACATGTGCCATGGTGGTTTGCTGCACCCATCAACCCATCACCTAGGTATTAAGCCCTGCCTGCATCAGCCATTTGTCCTAATAATCTCCCTCCCCTCCCCCCACCAGCAGGCCCCAGTGTGTGTTGTTCCCTTCCCTGTGTCCATGTGTTCTGATTGTTCAGCCCCCACTTGTAAGTGAGAACATGTGGTGTTTAGTTTTCTGCTCCTGCATTAGTTTGCTGAGGATGATGGTTTCCAGCTTCATCCATGTCCCTGCAAAGGACATGATCTCATTCCTTTTTATGGCTACGTAGTATCCTATGATGTATATGTACCACATCTTCTTTATCCAGTCCATCACTGATGGGCATTTGGGTTGGTTCTGTGTCTTTGCTATTGTGAATAGTGCTGCAATAAACATACGTGTGCATGAGTCTTAATAGTAGAATGATTTATATTTCTTTGGGCATATACCCAGTAATGACATCGCTGGGTCAAATGGTATTTCTGGTTCTAGATCCTTGAGGAATCGCCACACTGTCTTCCACAATGGTTGAACTAATTTACACTCCCACCAACAGTGTAAAAGCATTCCTATTTCTCCACAGCCTCAGCATCATCTATTGTTTCTTGACTTTTTAATAATTGCCATTCTGATAATAATTGCCATTTTAGTAATCGCCATTCATGGCTCAAGATGGTATCTCATTGTGGTTTTGATTTGTATTTCTCTAATGATCAGTGATGATGAGCTTTTTTTCATGTTTGTTGGCTGCATAAATGTCTTCTTTCAAGAAATGTCTGCTCATATCCTTTGCCCACTTTTTGATGGGTTTTTTTTTTCTTGTAAATTTGTTTAAGTTCCTTGTAGATTCTGGATACTAGACCTTTGTCAGGTAAGTAGATTGCAAAAATTTTCTCCCATTTTGTAGGTTGTCTGTTCACTCTGATGCTAATTTCTTTTGCTGTCAGAAGCTCTTTAGTTTGATTAGATCCCACTTACCAATTTTGGCTTTTGTTGTAATTGTTTATGGTGTTTTAGTCATGAAGTCTTTGCCCATGCCTATGTCCTGAATGGTATTGTCTAGGTTTTCTTCTAGGGTTTGTATGGTTTTGGGTTTTACATTTAAGTTTTTAATCCATCGTGAGCTAGTTTTTTGTATAAGGTGTAGGGAAGGGGTCCAGTTTCACTTTTCTGCATATGGATAGCCAGTTTTCCCAGCACCATTTATAAAATAGGGAATCATTTCCCCATTGCTTGTTTTCATCTGGTTTGTTGAGGCTCAGATTGTTGTAGATGTGTGGTGTTATTTCTGGGGTTCCATTGATCTATATGTCTGTTTTGGCACCAGTAATCTGGTACTTTTTTATGTATTGATAGCCTCAGTTGTTTTGGCTTTGTGTACATTTATTCCAAGGTCACTTCCTTCTATAAACTCTGGAGGTTATGGTCTAAAATTATTGTCATTCTGATCTCTTTAAATTTTCTCTTTGCCTTTTTCTTGACTACTTTGATTTAGAATGAAAAGCCTTGACAAATCTTTATCCTGAACACTGTCTTTGAGGATTCTCATAAGTGTGGGCCATTGTTTGATTTGAAATTTACTTGAAGAAAATGGTTTCCCTTCACAAAACACTATTATCTGTCTAGTAATATACTTTATTATTTTTATATGTAATTTGGGCTTGTTGTACACAGCATTTTTGGTTTTACTGATTTTTTGCTCTAATGTCATCTGCTTGTTTTGGTCAACAAGGTTGTATATAGGTCATGTAACATTTATACAATTAGAATATAATATTTAATATCTTAGTATAAAAAGGAAAGCAGTGCATTCTTTTTAGTTTTTTTTTTTTTTTTTAAGTTTCGTTTATAGTGGGCACTAACAGCTTAGTCATCCCTCCTTTAAATGATTATACTGCTTTTCCCCTGGCAGGTCGTAGTAATAGTTTGAGAAGTAAAAAGAATCTTAAAGATTAAAAGTTCCTTGGGGCCTCCATGATTCAATATTGTGTCTCCAGCGTCTAGAAGAGTCCCTGACACATAGTGTGATTTTTTGATTTGGCAAATAAATATGAATCAATGTTAAACAACTATTTTTACATGAAGGCCAGTTCAGAAAAAATAAAAATATTTCTTGGTATCATGCCTTTTATTACACTTTTAAACATTCAAAGTACAAATAACTATTAAATCCAAGAGAGGATAAAGTACATTTAGGTATGTACACACACATATTTACATACATATATGTTCTTACAACCTAGATTACATATATTATTGACTAAAAGGACATCATTGAGGATGTTGGCACTGTTTTTAGCTGATAGAAGAGCCTATTTGATAAATAGAAGGAACTTTGTAATCTTTCATCCTATGTATCGGTTTATCTTACAAGAATCTCCTAAGTTCATTTGTATGTGCTTGCCATTTCATTTTTCATTCTTAAAACAGCTAATTTTTTTTTTTTTCTTTTTTTTTTGGAGACGTTGCCTTGCTCTGTCACCCAAGCTGGAGTGCAGTGGCGCCATCTCGGCTCACTGCAACCTCCACCACCCAGGTTCAAGTGATTCCCCTGCCTTGGCCTCCCAAGGAGCTGGGATTACAAGTGTGTGCCACCATGCCTGGCTAATTTTTGTATTTATAATAGAGATGGGGTTTCACCATGCTAGCCAGGCTGGTCTCAAACTCCTGACCTCAGGTAATCTGCCCACCTTGGCCTCCCAAAGTGCTGGGATTACTGGCGTGAGCCACTGCACCCAACCGCTCATACATTTTTTAAGGTGAAAAAATAGCAGAGTCAATTTACTTTCCCAAGATATCCACTACTGGTTACTTGTCAAGACATTTTATCAGAGATATTTTTAAATTTTTTTAATTTTTAAAATTAAAATAAAATTTTAAATATTTTTAAATTTTACCGTGCTGGCTTAAATATTGTCATTCTTTTCTAATATTCCTATTCATAGTTTCATTTTGTTGTAAGAGTAGGGGATTACTTTAGAAGTAGGGTTATCAGATTTAACAGATGAAAAATACAGGACACCAGTTAAATCACTTTTTCTTCTATTTAAATATTTCAGAATAACAAATATTATTCCATGTAAGTGTGTGTGTCTCTTTCAATATTTGGGACATACTTATTCTAACAAATAGTTTGTTGCTTATTTGAAATTCAAATGTAATTGGTTGTTATGTATTTTATATGGCAACTATATCTAGAAAAGACCTCCCCACCCCCGCCCCCTGTTCTCTCACCTTCATTTTTCCAGAATTTCCAAGGAATGTTTTACTTTGGTTTAGTTATAATGTTAAAAGCATTGTTGTATGCATTGTAATTAGTACTTTGTATATCGTAGTTTCTTCACAGGACCAGCACTTTTTTGCAGTGTCTAATTTTTTGCCTGGTTCTTTTTAAATTCATTTTTGACAGTCATCAAGGAAACATCTAACTTACAGGGCTCTGCCTTTTTCAATTGTCAGCTTGTTTAAACATGAGCTGTAGAAAAGACAAAAAACTGTCTTTTTTTTCCCCCTCAACTTTTAAGTTCAGGGGTACATGTGCAGGATGTGGAGTTTTGTTACGTAAGTAAACGTGTGCTATAGTGGCAAAAAAAACTTAGTCTTAAAGATGTTACTGCTAACTTTCATCAGATTCTATTCATGCCAAGAATGAAAATGAATCCCACATTATGAGTCTGGATAGAAACCAAAATGACCACTTATTATAATCGCTGTATACTCAGTGTCATCAATTACAAACAGATATAGACAGATGTTTTTATCACCGATATCTCGGCATATTTCACACAGCTATTGTGAAAATAAATTTGATAATGTATATCCTTAGGTCCACTTGAGGGGGAATATGTTTACGTGTGTTTTACCTATTATTTTATCTTTTAGGTATCTGCTAATCACTTTTTCTTCTATTTAAAAAAGTTAATTTGGCTTTAACTCCCTTCTCTACCACCTCTTTATCCATTTTAATCTGCCTGTTCCTGTGATGAAATTTTTAAAAATCAGCCTTAATATGTTTCAGAGGAATGATGCTTTTGCTTTCATCTAGAGAGTGGCAGTATGTAATGAGTAGCATGCTTTTAGAGGTATAGGAAAGGCTTTTGACTCTATGGAGGCTTCCCTAGTCAGGGAAGGAGCTGCTATTCCTATGCCTGGCTGAACTTCCCTACATATAAGAAAACAAACTTTACATTCATATAGTTTCCTCTTTAATCTCCTTATCTGTGAAAGAGATTCCGCAAAAACTTTCAGTAGCTAATTACAATGTTTGTTACCTCACTTAGAGGAAAATTTATCCTAGGTCCCATTGTGTGGGTCAAATTTGCTTCCTCTTTTCTTCAATAAAGGTGAAGTGCAATTGTGGTGTAGCTTTTTATATATACCTGGAAATTATTAGGATTTGTGTAATATAATTTTTAAAAATCTTTTATCATTCTGGAGAGTGCTTTGCTGTGGACTACTCTATACTTAGAACCTTGCCTGAAAGAATATACAATAATTTTCATTGTCTTAATTTTTATTCATTCAGTTTCTATTCATTGGTTAAAATTATACAACAGATGTGGAGTATTTGGAGTTAGTTTTTGGGGTTTTTTTGGTAATTGTTTCTTTTTATCCTGTTTAATAATAACATTCTCTTTTCCTCTCCAGCACAAACGTGCAGATATCTGATAGCCCTTTCCGTTGCACTCAAGAGGAAGCAAGATCATTAGTTGAATCGGTAAGGGGCAAACATCCAAGACATCCTTTAATCTTATAAATGTCATAGGAAGTCTAGTAGAAATTCTGAAATCTCTAGCAATGAAATGTGTCAAGTCCTTTTGAGAAGCATAAAGTTTACAGATCACCTTGAAATCTATTTCTGTAATTCAAGGAATTTAAATTAAGAATTTTAAAACCTTTTAGTTGAGTTTTTAAATTTTGTATTTGAAAGTTCATTAACCATTTAGCTAACTTCATATGATGCTGTTTTTCTTATCATCCGTTTATTATTGTTTATATAAATATGCTCTCCTCTGTACTGTTGTATCTCCATGAATTATCCTCTGTCCGTGTCTACATTGGAACTGGCTATTGGCACAGTTCCAGCTTAAGAATAATAAAATTGGCCCAGCATGGGAGCTCCTTCCCGTAATCCCAGCATTTTGGGAGGCCAAGGTGAGTGAATTACTTAAGGCCGGGAGTTTGAGACCAGCCTGGCCAACATAAGGAAACCCCATCTCTACTAAAAATATAAAAAATTAGCTGAGCCTGGTGGTGCATGCTTGTAATCCCAGCTACTCGGCAGGCTGAGGCACAAGAATCACTTGAACCTGGGAGGCAAAGGTTGCAGTGAACTAAGATTATGCCACTGCACTCCAGCCTAGGCGACAGAGTGAGACTCTGTCTCAAAAAAAAAAAAAAAAAATTGAAAATAAAATAAAATTATGTTTTTCAGCTTAAGAAAAATAAAATTGGTGAGACCCTTTGCTTTTTTATTTCTCTTTAGTTTGGCTGTCTCACATGCTTTCCTTCTGTAAGCTGAGATGATATCCTTGGATTTTTATATGTCTTAGTGATAATGCTGCATAGAGGCAACTGAATTTATTAGTAAATTAATGACTGATTTGGAGATCACTAAATTAGAAAATTTATATTCAGATAATCAAGTAATATTACTTGTATAAAGTGTATTTAGGAGTGATCTTAGGCTAGAAATCTCATTTATAAATTAAGGGTTTTTAAGAACGATGAGATTTAAAAGCTAGTGAATTTAGATCTTTACACTAAGAACAACTAAAATGTTCCTAAATGTTAGTTGATCACTGTGGCTGCTTTTAATTTATTGTTTTTTTTGTTTGTTTTTTTGTTGTTGTTTGTTTGTTTTTTGTTTTTTTTTTACTGATGTGTCAGCTATCTAATTATGTTATGTGGTAAGATATAGGTTCTGGGAATGCAGTATTAAAGAAAAGACACAAAAACCTCTGCCCTTGTGTAGCTCGCATTTTATCTGGAGAGATGGATAAGAAGGAAATATGCAAGTAAAATAATGAACGTTTCAGAGAGCAATAAATGCCTTCTGAAAAAATGACAAAAATGAGCAGGGACAAGGGGATAAAATGCCAGAAGTGGGATGGGAGTTGTAGTTATTAAAAAGGCAGTCAGCCACAGCCTCACTAAGAAGAGGGCTGACATATGTGCCAAGAATTGTAGAAGGTAAGGTCAAGCGAAGGAAGAGCATTCAAGGCCACACTCCCAAAGGTCCTGAGGCAAGAGGATGTCTGAGGTATTCAAGAAACACTCAAAGTGACCATAGTGACTGGTAGAGTAGAGAAAGTATGGGGGAGAAAGGAGGAGATGAGATTGGAAATGTTTGGATCTGGGTTTGAAAATGGGAGTTGATTATGGAAGACTCTGTGCAGGCTATTTAAGGATTGCATTTCTTATTCTGAATGAGGTAGGGAACCATTAAAATATTTTCAGCAAAGGAGTGGTCTAATCTGACTTTGATTTTAACAAGATCATTCTGGCTGCATTGGTGAGAATGGGCTGTAGGCCATAATTAGATTAGAGAAGATACAAGGAAGCTGTCACAATAATGCAGGCCACATTATTTTCTCCAAGTTATCAGTTTTGTATCTATGTAGATTATATTCAGAATTTGGTTTTCATTACTTATTTAAGGATGAAAATGAAGGAAATCAAAAACTTTTCATCTTTGTACAAGCAGTCTGTCTCACTAATCTCAGATTAAGTCTATTCCATGTATTTCAGTTTTAGATTCATAAATAATATAGTAGATACTTGTCTTAAAATTAGCGAGAGGCTCAAAGTTTCTATATTAGATCCTGTTTTTTCATTGCTTTCTGTCACATTAGTGGCAAAACAAAAAAATAATTGGAGGACATATATGTGATCTAGTTAGATTAGAGGAATAAGATTAGAATTCAGAAAGGTTAACATACAGCTTTAATTACCTGGCTTGGTAACTTGGTTGAGCTTTATAATAATGAAGAAGATACTCTACTGAATAATTTTTCACTGAGAATACTGCATCAGAAATTCACAAATTAGAGAAACCAGTGCCTCTTCACTAGCTCAGTGGAACTTCATGTATGCCAGTTTTCATCATTCAATATTTGTAAGTCAAAGAATTACCCCATTAGCACCCTCATGAATGATTTCGGATTCTTAGAGCCCAGATTAGTTAACACCTTTCTCATATAGTGTTTAATTTGTTATAATGAAATTCTTTGTCATAAAAGTATTTTGTCTCATTTCCTTTCTTCAGAATCACATTGAAGTATTTGAATCAGAATTATTTAGGTGTATATTTCCATGTCTCTTCATTTTGCTGTATACTGAATATTGTACAGTCTTCAAAGTGCTATCAGGTTTTTTTTTTGTCCTTTAATTGCTTAGAATAATTGAAGACACAGAAGTCATTCATCATACTTGATCAGATTCAGACCGTATCAAGTCCTGGGTTTGTATGAAACAAATTAGAAGACCCAAAATTTGTTAGTAGCTTAGAATGAGCGAATTAACAGCTCTAATATGTACCTAAGTAATATTATCTTGAGACTTATCTGTAGATGTTAAATGAGTTCAAAGTATGGTCATTACAAGGCCAGACAGTAATGGAAGTTTTCACTTTCGAGATGCATATTGCTAGAATACTCAGGGTGTGTTGATTGAGATTTTAGAATATGGTTAACTGCTTTGTACTTTTAAAATAGACAAGGAAAAGAAAAGAAATGGACTAAACTTTTGAGTGGTTGATAGAACTATTGGAGGAAGTATATGCTGGGTGAACATTTATTGATCAAAACACAATTAAGTGTAACATTGAGACGAAACAAATTGTTAGTCATCCAACAATATGTACAAATCAGTCAGGAAATCCAAGAAAAATAAAATATAAACTAACAAATTGATGATTATTATTAAGAACCATCTTAGAAACAAAATAGAAAATATCTACAGAAGTAATTTATCATTCTTAGGTTAGAGATCTTTAGAAGGATAGATCTGAAAGATCTGCAAAGATTTCAGAAGGAGAATTTAAATGATCAAAATGATTATTGGGCTTTGTTTACAAATATAGATGTTTGAACTATACATGATCACAAAAAGCATGACTGTATCATAAACAAGTTTTGTTCATTTGATCCCAACACACTAGGGAACCATAAAAGGGAGAGAGAGTGCTCTGAGTGGGCTACAGCATGTGGACCCTGGCAACAGGACCCTGTATGTAATAGTTCAACTGCAGGACCACTCAATTATTATTATTTTTTTTTGAGACACAGGGTCTTGCTCTGCCGCCCAGGCTAGAGTGCAGTGGCATGATCATACAGTTCACAGCAGCCTTGACTTCCTGAGCTCAATTGATCCTCCCACCTCATCCTCCCAAGTTGCTGGGACTACAGGTGTGTGCCACCACACCTGGCGAAGTTTTTCTAGTTTTTGGTAGAGTGGGAGTTTTGCTATATTGCCCAGGCTGGCCTCAGACTTCTGGCCTCAAGCAGTCCTCCCACCTCAGCCTCCCAAAGCACCGAGATTACAGGTGTAAGCCATCGCACCCAGCCTACATTTCTTTTTGTAAAGTTTTTTTATTTTTTTAACCTTCACCTGATTTTATAGCCAAAAAATATGAGATTCTTCCCCAATACTTGAGAATTTTGTGACTAACAGTTGGATCTTTATTTCAGGGAGCAAGGCTTAGAGAATTTATAGAGAACAAAGAATGTGTGTTTGTGTGTGCATGTGTGTATGTGTATGCAAAGACATGATTTGCCTTTCAGATAATATTAGTTGATAGTCTTTAAAGACTTGATTTGACTATTGGGGGTTAAGATGCTACTTTTAGGACCCTTTAGTTAAATATTATTTTGAGAATGTTGAGAAGATTCAAACAAAATGTACAAGATTAATCTAATGCACATACATAATTAGTGAATACATAATTTTTTCAAGTATATGTACACATTTCCAAAAATTGAGTAGATATTAGGCCACAAATAGAGTTACAAAAGACTTGCTGTCATGCAGACCACATTCTCTGTCTACAATATAATCAATTATGAAAATATTAAAAGAAAAAAGCACAAGTTCATGTGTTTGAAAATTTAAAAGTACTTATAAATAAATTAGGCCTCAAAAAATATAAATAATTTATATTTAAAACTAAAATATTTAAAATTGGAAGACAACTGAGTCAGTGTATGTTAAAACTTATGTAATGCAGCAAAAATAGTTCTTGAGAAATTAAATGTATACAATATAGCAGAAATTAAAGAAAATTATAGAAGTTCAACTTAACAATTACTTGTACATTTTGTTTGAATCTTCTCAACAACTTCTCAAATTGTAACTTAACAATTACTCTGTTCGTTTTTCTGACTTTTTATATTAGAAGAAAATTATAAAGAGTAGAGTAAATATTTAATGAAACAGAAAACAAATAATGACAGGATCAACTAAAACAAAAGCTGGGTTTTCTTTCTTTTAAGACTAATTATACAGACCTGTGGCAAGAAAGATGATGAAATAGAATAGGCACAAGTAAAAATAGCAAGAATTAAAATGAAGACATAACTACAGGCATAAGACATATTTAAATAATCAGAAGAGAATACTGAGAAGCTTTTTGCAACAACTTTCTAAACACAGATGAATTGATAATTTTGTTTAAAATATAAATTGCCAATATTAAATCAATAATAAATAGAAAACCTAAATAAACTTGTAAAACAATACTTAATCATGAAGATGGCAATTTTTCCCATGTTAATTCATGAAGTCAGTCTATTTTTTTCATCAGAATCCCAATGAGGTTTTCACTGAACCTCACAGGGTGATTCTAAAATGTATATGAAGTAGTAAAGGGCCAAGAATAACCTAGAAAGGATTAATAAATTTAAGTAAAGGGGAAAAAAACTGTAAACAACAAAAGAAACCTTAAAATAAGTTACAAGATAAGCCATTGATTGGAAGGAGATATTTTCATGTAAATGATAAAAGGACTGGCATCTAAAATAATAACTTATTCAAACTCACAAGAAAAAGATAACCCAGTAGAAAAAAATTGTGTAAACAACATGAATAGACGGCTCACAAAAGAGGAAACATACAATGACCACTAAACATCATAATTTGCTTTATCTTACTTGTAATCAGTGGGATCAAAATAAAACACAATACAATTTTACAGTTGTAGATTACCAAAAGTTTAAAAGTCTGTTAATACCAAGAGTTTTTAGGCAAGTGAAGAAAGGGAAGCTTTCAGACTTGATGGTATAATAGGAGTATAGATGGCTACAACTACTTTGAAGAACATTAAGTAATTTCTAGTAAACTTGATGCCTATAATTCACTACTCAGAAATTACCCTTCTAGGTACACATCTTACAGAGACACTATACATGTGTTTATGATCAGAAATGGAAAAATTAGAAACTGAATTACATGTCTATTGATAAGAGACTGGGTGAAAAAGCAGGACACATATAGTATGTACCATTTATGTATTTTTTTAAAAGCAATAGACATATTTTTTATGAAAACAAACATATATGGTATTACATTTTAGAAACATAAATAAGAAAAGTAAACGTCAATTTCAGCACGGTGGCCAGAAGTTACCTCTGAGAAGGGAGGGGAGTAAATATGATTTTTATTTTTAATAAATAGGGAGAAAGACTTCAGTTATAAAGATCTGAAACAACAATATTAACTCTTCTAAATCTAGAGAGTAGGTATGTGTTATAATGGTCTCTGCATACAGAATATGTTTGAAGTACTTCGTGATTTAAAAAATTTATATGCCCAGAAAAACAATTTAAAAAAATTAATGAAGCCAAAAGCTAGTTCTTTGAGAAGATGGTAAAACTGGTAAGCCTTTAGGCAGAATGATCAGGAAAGAAAAGAAGACACATTTTCAAAGTAAGGCACAAAACAAGTAATATCACTGCTAATTCTACAGATATTAAGAGAAAAATAAGACAATGTGAACATATTTTATATCAATAAATTTGACAGCTTGCATGAAATTGACAGATGCCTTGAAATATATAAACTACCAAAGCTCACTGAAGAAGAAGTAGGCATAAACAAATTCAATTTGTACTTAAAAACCTTTCTATAAACACGACTCTAAGCCCAGTTGGCTTCTACTACTATTGTTCAGCATTGTACTGAAGGTTCTAGCCAGTGCAATAAGGCAATAAAAAGAAGCAAAAGCCATTCAGATTGTGAGGGAAGGGGCATGAATGTCTCCATAGCAAGTTCAACAAATTCTACCTAAAAACAACTAGAATAAGTGAGCTTAGCAAGATTGTAGGACATGAGATTAATATAGCAAACAATTGCAGACCGGGCACAGTGGCTCACGCCTGTAATCCCAGCACTTTGGGAGGCCAAGATAGGTGGATTGCTTGAGGTCAGGAGTTCAAGACCAGCCTAGCCAACATGGTGAAACCCCATCTTTACTAAATATACAAAAATAAGGCGGGCATGGTGATGCACACCTGTAATCCCAGCTACTCAGGAGTCTGAAGCAGGATAATCGCTTGAACCCAGGAGGCAAAGGTTGCAGTGAGCCGAGATCGCGCCACTGCACTCCAGCCTGGGTGACAGAACGAGACTCTGTCTCAAAAAAAAAAAAAAAAAAAAATTAGCCAGGCGTGGTGGCGGGTGCCTGAAATCCCAGCTACTGGGGAGGCTGAGGCAGGAGAATCGCTTGCACCTGAGAGGCAGAAGTTACAGTGAGTCAGGATCATGCCATTGCACTCCAGCCTGGGCAACAAGAGCCAGTATATAAAAATAGTTGCTTGAGATATCTATCTATCTATCTATCTATCTATCTATCTATCTATCTACACATATTGATAGATACACACATATAGATATATATATACACACACATCTATATATATAGATATATATACATCTGTATATACAGAGATATATATCTCAAGCAAGTATTTTTGTGTACTGGCTACAATTAGAAAATAATATTAAAATTACATTATTTATAATGGTATCAAAAATACAAAAGAAACACTTAGGAATAACTCTGGCAAAAGTATGCAAAGAACCTGCACCCTGAAAAGTATAAAATATTGCCAACAGACATCAGAGAACTAAGTAAATGAAGAGATACATAATGTTCATGCCTTCAACATTGCATGTAATATAGTATTTCAGTATTTTGATATCAGTTCTGCTAAAGTTGATATATAGATTCAGTCCAATGTCCATCAAATTCCAATATACTTTTTTGTAGAAATTAACAAGCTGATATAAATAAATACTAAGGACCTAGAATAGTCTAACCTTGGTAAAGGACAAAGTTAGAATCATAACTTTTCCTGATTTCAAGGCTTTTTAAAAAACACTGCAATAATCAAGAGAATATAGTAATGGCATAAAGATAGATTAGTGTAACCAAATCTAGACACAGACCTACATATATTTGGACAACTGATTTTCAAAATGATATTTTTTTCAACAAATAGTGCTTAAATAATTGGTTATTCATATTTTTAAAAACACATTTCAGTTTTGCACTGTATGTAATTGTCTAAAATGGATCCTAGACCTAAATTTAAGGCACAAAACTTAAACCTATTTTGACTTTGGGTTAGACAGTATTTCTTAGATATGACACCAAAGGCACAATCTGTTCTTTAAAATGATAAATAGGACTTCATCAAAATAAAAAATTTTTGTTCTACAAAAGGCATTCTTAGGAGAATGAAAAGAAGCTACATATTACAAGAAAATATTTGAAAATTATATATCTGATAAAGGGACTTGTATTCAGAATATATAAAGAACTTTCACAACTCAAGAAAACAAAACATTCAGTTTTTAAAAATGTACAAAATATGGCTCTGTAAATGGATGGATGACCCAAAAATAGAATTTTTTAAAAAGTACAAAATATATGAATGAGCACATCACCAAATCTATAAAGAAGGCAAAGAAACACATGAAGTGATGCTCAACTTTAGTTATTAAATGCAGATTTAAAACCACAGTACATGCTAATACACACTTTTAGGATGTCTGAAAGTAAAAGGACCAGGCATACCAACTGTTAACAAGGACGTGGAGGAACTACAATTCTCATTTACTGCTGGTTAGAATGCAAAATAGTACAACCATCTGGAAAACATTTTGGTATTTTCTTGAAAAGTTAAATGTATACATATCATGTGATCCATGTGATCAAGTCATTCCACTCATATATATTTACCCAAGACAAAAGGAAGTGTATGTCCATACAAAGACTTGTACACAAATGCTTGCAGCAGCTTTCTTTGTGATAGACAGAAACTGAAAACAACCCAAATGTTCATCAGTAGATGAATGGATAAACAACTTGTAGTATATTTATGAGGAATACTACTCAGTAATAAAAAGGAATAGATTATTGACACATGCCACAACATGGCTGAATCTTAAAAAAAAATATTGAGTGAAAACAGATATATCATACACATTTTTTCATACCATTTATATAAAATTTTAGGAAATGCAAGCTAATGTATAATGATGCAGACCAGATCAGAGAGAGCCAGGAAGGAGGATTTTACAGTCTCTTTTATAAGAGCCATGGAGAAACTTTTAGGAATAGTGGTGAATATGTTTATTATCTTGATTATATTGATGGCTTCATGAGTGTATATATGTCAAAACTTATCAAATTACAGACTTTACATGTAGTTTATTTCAGGTCAATGTTAGTCTAATGACACATCTTTTGAAAAAAAATTTTTTTTTCTGAAGTCAGATTATCTGAGTCCAAATCTCAGTTCTTTAATTTATAACCTGAAACAAATTTTAATTTATTTACATCTTTGACTTCTTATTTATAAAATGGGGCTTATAATAATAGTATCTTATCAGGCTGTTGTGGAGAATTGAATGAGCTAATCCAGGTAAAAATGTCCAGCAGATAAGGTATTCAATAAATGTTGGGTTTTATTGTCATTACTGCTATAAGTGTAGTTGAGTTAAATCGATCAAAGAGAGAGAAATCCCTTCTATTCCAGCCTCTTCTTTCCAATACTTCTAATGATGAGGATATCACTCCTTTATGAGTTGACCCATTCCATTGTTGGGTATTGGAAAAGTCAGCCTTACTAATTTTTCTAGACATATGAGAATTAGTCCTACTTTCAGAGACTTTAATAGGAAGAAAGGGAGGAAGAAGAGGTGGAACAAGTGGAGGGGAAAAGTAGTTGGTTTAACCACTCTTCCCATCTGGGAATTCTTTTCCCCAAAATTCTCCCATGTGCTTTGTTTAAGCACTTTCCTCTTTGAGGAAATAGAACACTCTAGGCATTATGCAAAGTTGGGGAAATATGAATTAAACAATGTGTGAGGTTCTCTAATACTTGGTACTGTAGTCATTTTACTGGAAAAATGATCGAACTTTATGAGGCTCCACACACAAACTGGTGGCATACAGAACTGAGGAGAGAGCCATATTCAGTGCTAAAGGATTCCCAGACTTGCTTCAGACATGTGCACAGCCTAACTCCAGGGATTTAAAACTCTTACAATCTAGAATTCAGGCCAAGAAGAGTAAGTAGCTATACACTTGCTCAGTTCTAGGGAACCAGACCCATGCCACTGTGAACCTCTAGCTCATAGTAGTGATGGAAGAAGTTCAAAAGCTTAATGACTTCTAAAACTGAGCAGATAGAATGCCTCCCAGAGAGGTCTCAGCACCCTCAGTCTGACTGTTTTTGCCTATTCATCGACAGATTTCCACTAAAACTAGTCTCGGATAAACCTGGAGCACACAAGACTCAGAGATGATAGTGATGATGGTACATAGGATGCTAAATGGATGGTGTTTTGAAGTAAAAAAGTCAAGGGGGAATTGGAACTTCAATATAAATGTATTATTTCTTGCTACATTTGGTAGATCTTATCTCTCAGTAAAGCAACAGTATCCATAGTGTTGTATAAAATTTGGATGGTTGTCTTATAGTTGATGCAAGACTTCTTAGCTGAATTGTAAAAAGCAGTGCATTCAGGAGGCCAAGGCCATAAAGTGAATCCCAGTGACGGTTAACATCAGCATGTAGTGTGGCCATCTATTTCATCCCAAAACGTTATCAGTCATCCCATAAATGCATATTGGCATTGATGTAGAGACTCAAAGATGAATCCGGGTGAAGGACTTTAGCTGAATCCATCAATATAAGCATTTCATGTGAGTCTGAGGCATTGTTATCATTTGGAATAATAGCACTTAAAATCACACCAAAGCCATGTTTTATTTTTCCTAAGGATCACAAGATGGATTAATAAAGCAGTCAGCTTAGAACCACACTCTTAGAGGTTCTGCATTTTAATAAGAAAATAACCAATTAATTAATATTTTAAATAGTTATAAGTAGGAGAAGTAATGACCAGCAGAAGAATGGTGAAGTTCATTGTCATGTTCTCGGATAGGACTTGTAACAGCATGTTCCTCAAATGGTTCCTTTGGGCATCTCCTTTATCTCTATTTAGGGCTTTCCTGATAACATGACAGTAACAGCTTCCTTGCATGGTCCACAAGGAGAAGGCATTCCCTGGCATCTGGTTATTGAAACTGAGTCAGCTCAGAACTAATCTCTGAGGTTAATCTGGCTGGGATACCCTCTTATCACCAGGGTTGCTTTGACCCTTCAGACTACCTATACAAGAAATACTTCCCTCTATGGGCACGCACTTTAATCAAAGCTGTATCTCCATCAAAGAGGACTGCATTTTCTTTTAGAGTAGAACTGATCTTAGGATGTAATTTTCTAGTAAGATCACACTACAATATTTATGTCATACAGATTTGTTTTATTTATGACCCTGAGAATGAACATCCTTATGGGAATTCATTTAAAAATGTTTTAAATAATGCCTTTTCTTCATAAATCAGGGTCTGATTAGAACCAGACCCTGATTTATGAAGAAAAGACATTATTTTAGTTTTATTTCTCCCTCTTCTTTCTCTTTTTGCCCCTTAACAGCTTTGCTGTGCATTACCACCGGATGGTAGACAAAGTTAGTGAAAGTAAAACCAATCATTTACTTAGCTACTAGCCATTTAAATGCATTCTTGAAGAGGAAGTATTAATAGATTAAACTTACATGAACTTAAAATATTTTTATGTCTTCTTTATGAATAACTAAGAATTGAACCTATATTGTTGATTCTAAAGCGAAAAATCAGAAAAGGATTGTGTGAAAAGTAAAATGAATGTAGCATAACTGCTTTATGAAGTGTGGAAATACAATGCAGAAAGACAATGTCCGGCTGGGCACAGTGGCTCACACCTGTAATCCCAGCACTTAAGGAGACCGAGGCGGGTAGATCAATTGAGTTCAGGAGTTCCAGACCAGCCTGGCCAACATGGTAAAACCCCGTCTCTAAAAAAAAAAAAAAAAGAAAAAAGAAAAAGAAAGACAATGTCCAAGGCACTTTAATTCAACTAAAACCTTGCATCACCTGAATGAAAAATTGGGAACCTATTTTTTTCCCTTTAATTTTGAACTCTTTTAGTAAAATGACAGAATGTCAATCCCTTTGTTATATATAGTAAAGCAGGATACTTTATATTGGTTCAGTGTGTCATGTTTGTTCATTTGGACAAATGTAACTTACAGGTGAAAATGCTTATAGGGACCTGGTAGAGTTATTTGAGAGAGAGACACTTAAGTACAGAGCAGTTGTATTAACAGTTTATATTTGTTTAAAATACAGTTTATATATAAACAGAAAAGAAAGGAATACTTTGGCAATGAAACCGTTAGAGTTTTTGAAAGCAATTAAAGATATAAAGATAATGAGAAGGATTTTTGGGATGAGGAAGAGGAGTAGATAGCATTTTTATTAATTAATTATTTAATAAAAGACACAGTCTCACTATGTTGCCGGGGCTGGTCTCAAACTCCTGAGCTCAAGTGGATCTACCTGCCTTGGCTTCCCAAAGTGCTAAGATTACAGGCGTAAGCCACCACACCCAGCCGTGGAAGTAGCATTTTTAGAATGAGACTATAAAACAATACTCATTGTTGGTGGAGAATTTATTTTGGGTGAGTAGAGGATGTCCACATTCTTTTCCTACTAAGAAATTAGATGAGGTAAGTAATTACATTAAAAGAAATTTAGAAGTAAGTAACTAAAAGTTATTTTTTTAGTTTCTTACAATGAAAATGTAATCATAGTATCCCCTGAGAGTGAAGAGTTGGGATTAGTAATCTTTTGGGTACTGCTCCATACATCTCTTTGTTCCATTTTCTGTAAGTAAATGTTATATTTGTTGTTATGTTTAAGCACCAGGAAATCATTGACTGTAGATAAAGAGTCAAATAGCTGATGTTTATCATGAATCCATTATTACTGATGTTTTCAAATTTAAATGACAGTTTCTCTTTTAATATGGTATTTTTTTAAATTACCTTCAAACTTTATCATTATCTCTGAGTGTCAGACTTACCTATGATGGGGTGTGTGTGTGTGTGTGTGTGTGTGTGTGTATTTAAATATATATCATATGGCTTTGTATATTCTGAATATATTCTATCAATTGAGAAATGTATTTTAAGAATGAAGAAATAAAACCATTCTGGAAATTATTTTAAAATAAAATGTAATGATAAATGTTTTAGAGTAGCTTGCCCATTTCTTTACTGTAATACTTTTTAGGTTAACGAGAAGCTGCTCAATTATTCTATTTTTATACACTGTACATTTTATTCCTCTGAAATGTTTGGCACTCCAACAAGAAGCAGCTGCTAATTTTAAGCAGGAAATCTAAACAGCTAATTTGAGAAAAAAAATTTTGTATTGTTATACTGTCCTTAAATTGTGCAGGACACAAATAGGCATCCTGCACAATTTAAGGAGTATATAGCAATTTCATAGAATAAGCAGGTTAACCCGTTTTATGGTCTGTTTAGAAAAACAGAGCCGTCAAATCCCAAATGCCTAATCTCAAGGAGTACAATTTTTATGTTGTGTTACTGTCATACCCAGATTTAAATTCTACCATCCTCAAAACCAACGATGGTTAAGAATTTTTCTTTGTGCACAAACTGAGTAGAGATTTTATTCTTTTTGAAGTACTTGGAAAAACTAAAGGATGTTTTTAAAAATTGTAATTTTAGGCCAGGCACGGTGCTCATGCCTGTTATCCTAGCACTTTGGGAGACCAAGGTGGGAGGAAAGTTTGAGCCCAGAAGTTCAAGACCAGCCTGGGCAACTTAGCGAGACTCCATCTCTAAAACAAACAAACAAAAAGATAAAAATTGTAATTTTATTTACATGGTTACACTATCCTTTTCTTTGATATAAAGAAAATAAAACAAAGTCTGTTTGTTCAGCTTTTTTCTTAAAACAGAGTAGAAAGAGTAATAACTTTAAACTATTTATGATTTGGGGGAATTTATTAGGATTCTCCAGAGAGTCAGAACCAATTGGATGTGCATATACAGAAAGAGATTTATTATAAGGAATTGGCTTACATGATTATAGTGGCTTGGCAAGTCCAAAATTTGCAGTTGGGCTGGTGGGCTGGAGACTCAGGAAAGCAGATGATGCAGTTCCAGTGTGAAGGCCAGCAGCCTGGAGACCCAGGAGAGCCAGTTGAGCAGATGAAATCTGATGGCTGTCTCCTGGAGAATTCCCTTTTGCTTGGGACAGACTAGTCTTTTTGTTCTATTAAAGCCTTCAACTGATCAGATGGGGCCTACCAACATTATGGAGGGTAATCTGCATTATTCAGAGTTCACTGGTTTAAATGTTAATCTCATCTAAAAACACCCTCCAAGTTGACACATAAAATTAGCTATCATAGGGAATATTTTAATATTGCTGAAATATAAATCTTTCTTCTGGTGGAGTGGTGGCTATTCAGTACTGCCCTTAGATTTAAGCACGGAGAGCCTTCCTCAGATCCTGCTTTTTGGAGGGTCATACTTGGCCGTTATTCAGTCACATATCTCACCGTAGGGCAAGAAGACCAAGGGGCCAAAGTTATAGATTCACCAGGAGGCATGCCCCCATTCTAGACCACATCCCCACAAGGGGCCAAAGTTAGACTCACTAGGAGGCATGCCCCCATTCTAGACCACATCCTGGCTACCCAGGACCCTGGAATCCTCTGCCCAGACAGGTTTAAGCCTGTTTCTGGGGCCTGTGTAGAAACCAGGCTACACATCTCCCCAGGTCCACGCTCCTGACTCTATGGACTTTGTACCCACCGTTACTTCTGCAGGGGCCGGTGGGTGGCTGTTTGGAGGTAAAAGGTGCCTAGATATGTGGGCTACTAAATTATTACCCATGTGCAGATGAGGCCCTTGAAATACAGAAAGGAGCCTGGAATAGGGAGAGAAGTGGAGCAGGATGAGGGCCTCTTTTCCTTCCTCTGCTGCATCCAGACACATGTCTCTAAGGTGTCTGGAATCCTAAATGAGAGTTTCCAGGTCATTACAAAGGTATTTGTATCAAGATAGTGAGATGGAACACATTTCATATATATATTCATCAGTTGTTAGCCTGAGTTATTGTAACTTTTAAATATTTAGATATATATTTGTACATTTGGACCTCTGCCTCAGACTTAAATGCTAGAGGCAGGTATTTCCTATCTATTGAAGGTCAGCAAATTCAGAGAATTAGAAGTTAATTATTAAATTTGAAATCTGAAAAGTGTGTTATAAAATCAGGGTAGGGTAGGGTTATTGCTAGGAAGGAAGGGGTCATAGTTGGGGAGGGGCCTGGCATGTTTCATTTCTCTACTTGGATGGTGGTCACATAGATGTAAATTCTAATGATTCTTTAAACTAAATCTTTATGGCTTCTTCCTTATGGAAAATAGATCTTCCAATGGAGTGCTAAAAAGTATTATTCTTAATTATGGGGAAAAAAACTATTGCATAAAAATGTTTCTTCAAACTTGTCTGTTCTCAGAATCTTGGCCCAGCCATCAGAATAAATAGAAACAATAATTTAAAGTTCTAGAAGACAGATAAATTTTTTAGCAAGTGTGTGTTTTATAGCAAGCATGAACAAACATATATTTAAATATGTGTGTGTGTGTGCTTGATTTTAACTTTCAAGACATTAGCTGCGGAAGCCATTGAAAGAAAACCTCTCTTCTCATTCCTAGCTGCAAGACCTTCAGTGGATTCCATGGGTTAAGATAAAAAATATTTTCAAGTATTTTTATTTTACTCTAAGTCTGTTGTTTGTTTATCTGAAAGAATGAACAATGATAATGAAAAGCAAAGGGGAATATTTACCTTTTTCAGGTTAGAGATCCATTGTGTGTAAACTTTCTTCTATAATTTCGTGAAAAAACTTCTGGATGCGCTTTCCACATATAAATATTTATTGTAACAGAGATTCTTTCTCTGTTTTTATTTCCAGGTATCATCTTCACCAAATAAAGAAAGTAATGAAGAAGGTATAGTATATTTTGATTCATTAAGAGTAACATGTATAAATTTATTTGTTTACAGTAGTGGAAGCCAAAAACTAAAACTAAAAATAAAATAGATAAATTGAAAAGCTGTATAAGCTAAGTGAAATATTTTTAAAATAGTCGCTAAAATTTCAGATGAAATATTTTCTAACTCAGAAAATAAGGAGAATGCATTTAACTACTTTTCTAGGTTAGAAAATGATTTGATTGTACGGTGACTTTTTTTTTCGCTGAAGTACTGAGATATTCCAGCCAGTTCTGATACATTTAATTTTAAAAGATTTAATTAAAAAAAAACTCTTACATTTAGATATTTATCTTTTTTTAATGAATCACTTATTTTAGCTGAAGATCTTAAAATCTATAGTTATAGAATTAAAAATAAATATAATATTTTTATTACCATTATTTGAAGCTGTTTTAATAAACAAGTAAAAATGCTCTGTAGTGAATTTTCAGAATTTAAGCATGTGCACACATCATTTGTCTTTCAAAATATTGCAAGATTTTGGCTTTTTGTTTTAATATAAAATATTAGAAGAACATTCAACTTGCAGATTTGGAAGAAATATGAGAACTATTTACTGTGAGTCAAGTATGACATGTTTAGAAAGGAGTAAATCCATAGACATGATTTCATGGGAAAGCAAACTGTATTCCTTATATGGTAAGCTAACAAATTGTTTCTTTGCGATACTATCCCATTTGGGGCATTTTTTGTGTAGTCAAATTTTACAATACAAGCTTTATCTAAACCTTTCATATTATAGCACTTCTATGTTGTCTGCTAGAGACTAAAATGACCCAGAAAGATACAAGAAATAAAGTAGGAAGGCTCTAGAATTTTTAATGTAGCTTTATATAAGGCTTGGGCCAAATGAGAGAACTTGGGACGAAAGTTTGAAGGGAAATAGCTTTAAATAGAGAAATGCAACTTTAGATAGCTTATGACTGTTTGTATCTGCCTAAATACTTCCTAAAAGTCGAAATTAAATTTGATTAATCACTCCCTTCTCCCTCCTCTTATCCCTTCCCTAATACCCTCTTTCCCCATTTTAAATGCAGAGCAAGTGTGGCACTTCCTTGGCAAGTGATTGAAACATCTGAAATTCTGCTGTCAAGATTCCCATCTCTAAGGACTCCAAGTGCTAGAGACAAGGGGGTCTATGAGCATTTACTGACTTCCTGTTAAAACTTCATTTTTTCAAACTTTTTGAGCTATGCAATATATAAATAAACAGTAAGAATTTTAAATTACTCTCCTTTGGACATTTATTGATATAAAAAGAAGATTTTGGCCAGGCACGGTGGCTCATGCCTGTAATTTCAGCACTTTGGGAGGCCGAGGTGGGCAGATCACAAGGTCAGGAGTTCAAGACCAGCCTGGCCAGTATGTTGAAACCCCATCTCTATTAAAAATACAAAAATTAGCCAGGCGTGGTGGTGCATGCCTGTAGACCCAGCTACTCAGGAGGCTGAGGCAGAAGAACTGCTTGAGCCCAGGAGGCAGAGGTTGCAGTGAGCAGAGATTGTGCCACTGCACTCCAGCCTAGGCGACAGAGAGAGACTCCGTCTCAAAAAAAAAAAAAAGATTTTGTTTCATTTCATAGCACAAATTTAGAGGCATTGAGTTGACCATTTCTAGTTTCTATACCTGAAGGAACCCATTGATTTTACCAGTTTTTATTTCTGTAGATTGGATGTAAAAATCACAGATTCAATAAATTAATAAACTTTGTGTAGACAACTGTTACTTTCATTTTCATACTATATTATTCCTTTTCAAGTCCATTGCTGGTAGAGGCTTTAAATATTTGGCCAACCTCTACTCTCTTATTAGTGCCTGTGTAAATGTGTTACATTTATTAAGGCTCCTTCCTGTAATTTATTGTTTTGGAAATCCTAATCTCTTTTTGATTCTCATTCATTCCCCTTATGGTGATGACTCTGGGGATGACCCTCATCATCTCTACAGGATGACACTCTGTAGTGACTACTCCCTCTATGATGGTGACCTCTATAACGATGACTCCCAAATCTCCATAAGCAGCCCAGGTCTCTTTCTGGTGTCTACCTATTGGTCATCAGTTTAAATGCCTTTGACTTCTCTTGTCCAAACCTGAATTCATCTTCACTTACACATATGCTCCTTTCTCCTTATTCTTGAACAATGGAATTGACTTTCTCTAAATCTTCCACTTGAAGCCTTGAAATCTTATGGAACTTCTCTTTATTCATGAAGATGATCTAAATGGTTATTTGTTGTCCTCATTTGTTGACATCCCTACTCTCTTGAGTTTTCCCTTACTTCACTAGACTCTTGTTAACAGGCTCCTATCTCTTCTCCATGACTCTGAGATCCAGCCCCTCTGCCTCATCCCCATGCTCAGTATCATGCACTCTTACCTCCTAACCAAGTGGTTGTCTTGCCTCCAGTTTTTCTCCCTTCATACCATCTTCCACATTTCTAAACAGTGATTTTCTTACAGCATAGATCCTATCTTGTTATATTTTTCTCAAAATGCTCTCTATGCATAGTTTTCTATATTCTTGACAATAAAAATCAGACTCTTTCCTTTTGTCAGGAAACCCATCCTACAGCCATGCAATGCTACTCACTCCTCAAACATATCTTATACTCACACTCCAAATACTGCACTTCTGTCTTACCAGTTTTGTTCACTACTTTTTCTCCCTTTTTCTATATATCATCATTAACAAATTGCATTTATAGTGCTTTGTGGTTTACAAAAGACTGTTTTGATAACAGGTTATTATTTATTGAGCACCTATTGTATATCAAGCACTGTTTTGGATACTATGTGTACATAATACCCTATATGCCTGTACTTGAGAAGTTCTATAACTTGCCCAAGGTCACACAGCGAGTTCAGTTTCAGAGCCAGGATTACATAGAGCCCATTACTCTGTGCTGTAAATCCTATGGTTTTTCCATCCTTCTATGCATTCAGTTTCTCGCATACAACCGCCTTGTAATGTAGGCAAAGCTCAGAGCTCTCCTCTATTTTATAGACAAGAAAACAGGCACAGAGAGTTTAAATGATTATTCCAGGAGTAAATATTCTGTTGAAGTGTCTTTGGTCATGTATGAACCTCTTTGAGGGACAACAAAGAGTGTAAGAGAAGAGTGAATTCTTTTTACTTTTATAGATATATTGTTTAAATTGTGAAAATAAAACTTGTAGAAAGGTAGAAAATAGAGTACTATTATTGCAATAGTTGTAACAAGTTAGCTGGAATTATCAAGAGATAGATAGTGGATTTATGGCATGTGACATGTTAGTCTCTCAGAAGTTGGAAGAGGTAAGCTATGTCTGGTGGTCCTCTTGTGGGGCAAGGCACACCTAGTATTTTTCCCCCTCTCCTTCTAGCAGTCAGTAGTACTCAGATGCTACCTAGTGAGCCTTGCTAGGGAGGTAAATCCATTTGATATGGTTTAGATGTTTTGTCCGCTCCAAATCTCATGGTGAAATGTAATCTCTTTGGTAATGAGTAAGTTCTCTCTGTATTAGTCCATTTTCATGCTGCTATAAAGAACCGCCTGAGACTGGGTAATTTATAAAGAAAAGAGGTTTAATTGACTTCCACATGGCTGGGGAGACCTCAGGAAACTTAAAGTTACAGAGGAAAGGGAAACAAACATGTCCTTCACGTGGTGGCAAGAGAGACAAGTGCAGAGCAAAGAGGGGAAAGCCCCTTATAAAAATCATCAGCTCTCACGAGAACTCACTCACCGTCACAAGAACAGTATAAGGGAACTGCTGCCATGATCTAATCACCTCCCATGAGGTCCCTTCTCCAACACTTTTGGATTACAATTCAGATTACAATTCAAGATGAGATTTAGGTGGGGACTCAGAGCCATGCCATATCATTCTGTCCCTTGCTACTCCCAAATCTCTTCCTTCTCACATTTCAAACACAATTATGCCTTTCCAACAGTCCCCCAAAGTCTTAACTCATTCCAGCATTAACCCCAAAGTCCAAGTCCAGAGTCTTATCTGAGACAAGGCAAGTCCCTTCCGCCTATGAGCCTGTAAAATCAAAAGCAAGTTAGTTACTTCCTAGATACAATGGGGGTACAGGTAGTGGGTAAATACAGCCATTTCAAGTGGGAGAAATTGTCCAAAATAAAGGTACTACAGACCCCATACAAGTCCAAAATCCAATAGGGCAGTCATTGAGCCTTAAAGTTCCAAAATGATCTCCTTAGACCCGATGTCTCACATCGAGGCCATGCTGATGGAAGAGGTGGGCTCCCATGGCCTTGGGCAGTTCCACCCCCTGTGGCTTTGCAGGGTACAGCCCCCCTCATGGCTGCTTTCATCATGGGCTGGCATTGAGTGTCTGTGGCTTTTCCAGGCACACGGTTGCAAACTGTAGGTGGATCTACCATTCTGGGGTCTGGAGGATGGTGGCCCTCTTCTCACAGCTCCACTAGGCAGTGCCCTAGTGAAGCCTCTGTGTGGGAGCTCCAGACCCACATTTCCCTTCTGTACTGCCCTAACAGAGGTTCTCCTTGAGGGCTCTGCGCCTGCAGCAAACTTCTACCTGGACATCCAGGGATTTCCATACATCCTCTGAAATCTAGGCAGAGCTTCCCAAATCTCACTTCTTGACTTTTGTACACCCCCAGGCTCAACACCACATGGAAGCCATTAGGGCTTGGGGCTTGCACCCTCTGAAGCCATGGCCTAACTGGACCTTGGCCCCTTTTAGCCATGGCTAGAGCAGCCGGGATGCAGGGTACCATGTCCCAAGGCTGCACAGTGCAAGGGGGACTGGGCCTAAACCACAAAACCTTTTTTCTTCCTAGTCCTCCAGGCCTGTGATTGGAGGGGCTGCTCTGAAGGTCTCTGACATGCCCTGGAGAGATTTTCCCCATTGTCTTCGTGATTAACATTCATCTCCTTGTTATTTAAGCAAATTCTGCAGCAGGATTGAATTTCTCCCCAGAAAATGGGTTTTTCTTTGTGCATCATTAGGCTACAAATTTTCCAAACTTTCGTGTTCTGCTTCCTCTTGAATGCTTTACCACTTAGAAATTTCTTCTGCCAGATACCCTAAATAATCTCTCTCAAGTTCAGAGTTCTACAGATCTCTAGGGCAGGTGCACAATGCCACCAGTCTCTTTGCTAAGGCATAGCAAGAGTCACCTTTGCTCCAGTTCCCAAGAAGTTACTCATCTCCATCTGAAACCAACTCAGCCTGGACTTCATTGTCCATATCACTATTAGCATTTTGGTCAAAACCATTCAACAAGTCTCTAGGAAGTTCCAAACTTTCCCACACCTTCCTGTCTTCTTCTGAGCCCTCCAAACTTTCAACCTCTGCTTGTTACCCAGTTCCAAAGTTGCTTCTACATTTTTGGGTCTCTTTATAGCAGCACTCCACTCAATGTACTATATTAGTCCATTCTCATGCTGCTATAAAGAACTGCCGACCGGGCGTGGTGGCTCACATCTGTAATCCCAGCACTTTGGGAGGCCGAGGCGGGTGGATCACGAGGTCAGGAGATTGAGACCATCCTGGCTAACATGGTGAAACCTCGTCTCTACTAAAATACAAAAAATTAGCCGGGCAAGGTGGCAGGCACCTGTAGTCTCAGCTACTTGGGAGGCTGAGGCAGGAGAATGGCGTGAACCCCGGGGGGCGGAGCTTGCAGTGAGCCGAGATAGCACCACTGCACTCCAGCCTGGGGAACAGCAAAACTCCGTCTCAAAAAAAAAAAAAAAAAAAAAAAAAAGAACTGCCTGAGCCTGGGTAACTTATAAATGAAAGAGATTTAGTTGATTCACCATTCCACATGGCTAGGGAGGCCTCAGGAAACTTACAATTGTGACAGAAGGGGAAGCAAACACATCCTTCTTTACATGGCGGCAGGAGAGAAAAGTGCAGAGCGAAAGGGAGAAAAACCCCTTATAAAATCATCAGATCTCATGAGAACTCACTCATTACCAGGAGAACAGCATGGAGAAACCACCTCCATGATCAAATTACCTCCCACAAGCCCCTCCCTCAACACATGGGGATTACAACTTGGATTACAAATCATTATGAGATTTGGGTGGGGACACAAAGCCAGGCCATATCACTTACTCTGATAGCTCACACGAGAGCTCACATGAGAGAGCCTGGCAACTCCCATTCTTGCTCTCTTGCACCCACCCTCTCTTGCCTGCTCTCTTGCCATGTGACACACCTGCTCCCCTTTTGCCTTCTACCATGATGTAAGCTTCCTGAGGCCCTCACCAGAAGCCGAGCAGATGTTGGTACTGTGCTTATACAGCCTGCAGAACTGTGAGCCAAAATAAACCTCTTTATAAATTACCCAGCCTCAGGTATTTCTTTATAGCAACACAAAAACAAACTAATATACCATCTGTCTACATTAGTCCAGTTAATGATTATCTTCATAGTGTGTGATGTTATGTAATTATAATCTTAGTATATAATTTTGAAATTTTTAAAATTATAGGCATCTTTCTATGTTGCTACATAGTCATCACTATTATTATGATGACAATGTGGCTCTTTCATGATTGTTTCAGAATGTCTTCCATACTAGCTAATTTAATTTTTGCCAGTCCAATCCCATGAAACAAATTGAATAGACATTATACTAAATACTTACAAAGGAAAACTACTGGGAAAATTCAGAGTGAATTATTGTTAAAACTGCCTAAAACAAATTAGGAAACTAAAATTGATCCATAGATGCAATTTTAGGTAATACCCACAGCCAGTTCCCATGGATGTGAAAAAGTAAAGGGGGTGGACTATCCAAGAATCACTCTCAAACTTGCTATAAGTACAAAATCTGAAATTTTTATGAGCTTTCATTTATTTTTCACATAAGACAAACATTTCATATACGATATATTTAGTAGCATTTCTTCAGTCTACAGAGGAGCACTTAAAGTCTGTTCCTCCACCAATGACTACATGCCTTTTTAGCAGCTTATATGCTTATTAATAATATGATGATTTAGTTTCAGAAGGGGCATCATTGTCTTGCCATAGGTCAAGGTATGTCTTGCCACTACTAGTTTATCTTTACTCATTATACTGTCTTATAATGTCTTACATGGTGAATCAAATCTTTAAATTCCTGTTGGCTTCTATTATTTTCATCCTTCTTTCCATATTCTGTTTTACCAGTGGGCTGTATGAAACACCAGCATCAAAATCACCAAGAATGCTTCTTAAAGTACAAATTCCTGGTGTTCCCTAAAGATCTATTCATCAGAATTTCTGGGGTAGAGCCACAATCATTTTTCATTTCCCCCATGAGTCTTAGATTAGACTTAGATATTCACAGGATAGATCATATTGGGAATTTTTCAGTGTTAATGTTCTGTTTGAGTTTATCTCCCCACCAAGAAGAGGAGAAAAAAAATGAGGTGTCTGCCTGTGTAGTGGATTCATACATAGAATATTATTATTACCTCCTGTTAGAAAAAAAAAGGAGTAAAAGTTACTCTAAGTTTAGTATTAAACATTAAATGTGGTTTGGGTTAAAACTTAAAAATTTACTTGATGAGAATAACTTGTTATCTAAGTTAGCAAACTGTGTTAAAGTATCAGCCCCACATGTAGACTTATGTCTTCCTAGAACGCAATGAGGGATAAGCCTCTGCTTCTGATGTGGCAGCTTTGGAGGAGTTAGAATAGTGAAGAAGTAGCTCTGCTTTAATGGGTGGGAGGGGACAGTGGTGGCCACAGAAAATAGAAGAGCTTTGTAAAATGTGCGAGTCCTAGCCACAGATCAAGGTTTCTGTGGTTGACCTGACACTTACCCTGTTCTGATGACCTGTTAAGAGCAGACTCCCCTTCTCAAATTATGCCCCTCTATACTATGACTAGTAAACAAGACTCTAAAAGGATCCTTGTTCACCCCGAGAGCAAAAATGTCAACGTTGCTTCTCCATTCAAGAATACCCAATATATAGATAGTTGGGGCTCTTTCTCCTCTTTTGAGTACCTGGCCGCAAAAGATTGAATCAGGCAGAAAGATAAGAGGGATCCATCCAGAAGCCATGCCACTACAGTGATTTTAATTAGCAAGTCTGCTGTTTTAGACATGATTTCTCATTTACGTTTTTCTATAATTCATTCAACCATTACTTATTGACTGCCTATGTGTATGTGCCAGGTGCTATTATTTTACGTTTTTAGCGTGCATGAGTACAAAACAGACAAAATCCCTGCTGTTGTAAAACTTGCATTTTGTGTGGGGAAGACATATCATAAACATAATAAATAATTTGTCTAATATGTAAAAGGAAAAACAGAGTAAGGAGAAATTGGGAATCCAGGTTGAGTTCAAGGGTAAGAGCAGCAAATTGAAATTTTGAATTGAGTAGGTCAAGGCAGGCCTCACTGGGAAGATAACAACTGAGCAAAGTGGTGAAGGGAAGCAGGACTGAGCCCATGTGGGTCTGGAGCATTGAAGTAGCAATGCCAAGAGCAAAAGTCCTAAGGCAGGAGTGCAGCTGGTTTGTTCCAAGAACAGCAAGGAGGCTTGTGTGGCTGGAGTGTAGGGAGCAGGGAAGAGAAGCAGAGATGAGGCCCAAGAGGGAGCAGGGAAACACATGGGGCCTATGGGTCATCTAAGGACTTGCCCTTTTACCCTGGTTAAATGAGAAGCCACTGGAGGGTCTTGAACAAAGAAGCAGATCATTCCCACTGTGGTTTTGAAAACCGATTGTGCTGGGGGCAGGAGCAGGGATGGAAACCAGAAGATTATGAGATTTCTATAAATTTCCTAAGGTGGAAATAGAGAACATTTTATAGCCAAATAGGTTTTTGTAAGGCTTATTCCAAGGTATATTGCCACCGGCAATATATGAGATTTCTAGTTTCTTCTTTCCTATTCTTCCCAGGATAGAATATTTTATTATTGTTATGGTCTTCTTAATAGGTTTAATTTTTTTCCCTACATATTTACTAGTCATGATGTTTTCTATGAATGTCCTTTGTCTTTTCTTTGCCAGTTTATCCACTGGATCTTAATGTTTTTATCAATTATAATGGTATTCCTTAGTTCTAGGTGCTAAGTTTGGATCCTCAATACTGGATCCAAGTTTAAAGAGATTAGCCCACTTTTAAGTCAGAAATCTAAATTTCAGCCTTGAAAATATTATGCCAAGCTAACTAAGGAAGCCAGGGTGGGAATATACTAATTTTCTCTGCTTGAGGCAGGACTAGCTGTAGGACTGTCCCTATTATGTTATTGCTTCCTGTTCTCTTTAAAGGTTAAAAATGAAAATAAGATAAAAATGTTTAAGCTTTTAATAACACTGTAAATTGAAAATGGCTAAATAGTAGTACCAGTACAGTTTTGAAAGGAATCATGCAGAATGCCAAACAATGAGTCTTACCTAATTAAAGCAGCTAAAATTGGATGGCTGATTTGCATCTGTAGCCTTCTAGGAGAACTTAGTAGTTGGCAAGACCAGGGATTACCATCCTAATGCAGGAATTCTCCCCAGTTGGAGAGTAGAACATGAATACTAGGATTCAGGCCAGAATCTCATGCATCAGGAGCATTCTGTCCACAGGTGGACAGAAACAGCTGAGCCTACTGTGAAATCAGCAAGTAGACTGAGCTGTCCCTTCTTGTGTGAACAACAGCAACTCAGACAAGACCACATGCTCACAGCCTCTTCTGTGCAAGGGATTCCTGCTAGTTTCTAGTGAGTGGTAGAGGCAGAAGTAGAAAAGAGCTCTGGCTTTTGATTCAAGGATTAATGTCCCTTTCACTCTTATCGTGTTGCTTCTTGAACTGTTACTTATCCTCAAAGTCCAGCTCAAATGCAGCCTTTTCTGTCCCCAGCCCTTCACATTGAAATCAATTATTTTCTTTTCTGTGAGAGGTGAATAGCACTATATATTTATTCCTCCATTATAGTCTTTAGGTCATTCTGACTTGTATTAGAATTGTTCATATTATCTCTTTTACTAGATTATAAACTCACTGAGAACACAGATTGTTTTATGACAATGTTGGCATTATTGTTTTGCACATTAACAGTTCATGTTTATTGAATTTAATAGATACAACATCCTGTGAGGAAAACAAATATTCTTTCCACTTTACTTACTGCATTAAGTAAAGTTTAGAGAGAAGTTAAGTGGATTCCTGGAAATCACAGGCCTTCTGCATCTTGTCAGCATTCTAATACTGCATTTGAAAGCACTTTGAGGGGTGTCTCTCTGCTCTGTTCCAAAAGCCCATGTAATATCTTTGAAATAAAAGAATATATTTGTTTTAAGGATCTCCAAAAAAGGAGACTTAACATATCTAACTTAAATACCAGGTTTTTAAAATTTAGCTTACTTTTAACATATATGTACCTGATCATTGTATTCAGAGAGCTTCTCATAAATCTTACGGTATAAAAAGTAATACATTTCTTTTCAAAATAGAAATAAATTTTATAATAAATTAACTTTTTGCATAATTCTTGCCTCCTAAAATTCTACTAATCATTGAGATTTTTACTTAAAGTCCTTTCTAAATTATTTTATTATGTTGTTTGCTATGGAGCCTCCAAATGAATATAGTAAAGATTTGCCTCATGTCAAAACAAAAACCAGTACCTCTTTATTTATGCATTCTATATACCTTTTAATGCAGCCTAGAATGTTTTGTGTTTTCTGAAACAATGATTAGTGTTACCAGTTATGGGTTGCTTTTTTTTTCCCCAAAGTGAATAAATGATACCAAGAAAGTAAGATTCTCTGGGTAACATCTTAGTCGTAGCAGTATGTAAGGCATTTTGAGAGTTCTCATACAAAATTCCTCTAATGCCCCAGGGGAAAAAGTTTAACTGACAAAGGGCTGGTCATCACATGTTTACTGCTGCTTTTTTGTAGAGGATGAGAAAAAAATAAACATGAAATACTTAACAATAAAAATAGACTCAGGGCTCAAAGGCTAAAAATCTTGTTCCAGAGTGACTTCTTATATGGGTTTTTGTGTAATTATTGATATTAACTTCTGTGTCCAGAATTTATTCCTTCTGGTGGGTTCTTGGTCTTGCTGACTTCAAGAATGAAGCTGTGGACCCTCACAGTGAGTGTTACAGTTCTTAAAGATGGTGTGTCCAGAGTTTGTTACTTCAGATGTTCAGATGTGTCTGGAGTTTCTTCCTTCCGGTGAGTTCATGGTCTTGCTGACTTCAGGAGTGAAGCCACAGACCTTTGCAAGTGAGTGTTACAGCTCTTAAAGGTGGCGTGTGCAGAGTTGTTTGTTCCAACCGGTGGGTTCATGGTTTCGCTGACTTCAGAAGTAAAGTCGCAGACCTTCGCAGTGAGTGTTACAGCTCATAATGGTGGTGTGGATCCAAAGAGTGAGTAGCAGCAAGATTTATTATGAAGAGCAAAAAAAGAAAGCTTCCACAGCCTGGAAGGGGACCCACAGGTTGCTGCTGCTGGCTCGGGTGGCCAGCTTTTATTCCCTTATTTGGCCCCACCCACGTCCTGCTGATTGGTCCATTTTACAGAGTGCTGATTAGTCCATTTTTACAGAGTGCTGATTGCTGCGTTTACAAATCTTTAGCTAGACACAGAGCACTGATTGGTGCATTTTTACAGAGTGCTGATTGGTGCGTTTACAAACCTTTAGCTAGACACAGAGCACTGATTGGTGTGTTTACAATCCTTTAGCTAGACAGAAAAGTTCTCCAAGTCTCCACCAACCCAGAAGCCCAGTGGCTTCACCTCTCACTTCCATGTTTGAAACTTGACCTCCTGAACTTGAAAGTAGCAGTAACATATTTTGATTTTCTGATGAGAAATACCATGATTTGACCACAGTCATAGAAGACCTAAATAATGTGAAGAGAGTGGTAGAACAAATAAGAATAATATATAGTGAAAATGAGAAAAACGTAATCCACCTGGATGTAATATAAATTAGTTCAGTTGATACACTCTCATGAAAAATAGTTTAAAGGTCACCTGTTGCACTTAAAACCCCACTTACTCGAAACTACTATGTTTTAGGGGATATTTTTCTCAAAGAAAAGTTAATTTTTTTCCTTTTCCTTCTATAACATCACATGTCATTCCTTTGACTTCTCATTTTCTTTAGTTTTTTAAGAAAATTTTTAAAACTCTTGATTTATTAAGATTTTAGAACTCTTGGTAGGCTCTCAAACCATAATTTCATTTTTACCAATACCTACTCCAGCTTGTATCTTGCCCCACAAAACAAAGTACTATTAATGTAATTTACATTAATGTCTGTTAATTTGTCTCTAGAATATACTTAACCATTTACAGATAGATTTTATTTAATACAGAAATCTGCAGAAAGTACAACAGCTATAGACTGTAGGTTGCTTTTCTGAATCTGAAGGAGGATTTCGAATTTAGAACTTTGTGAACTGGAAAGAATCTTGCTTATTGGAAGAGGAATGTAGAATCTACAGAGGTTAATTTTTTAAAGCCACATGACTAGCAAGTGATGGGGACTGGCTTGAAACTAGATCTTAATCTAAACTTGTTTTATTTTTGCTTTTGCTTTTTGTCATGCTTTCTTGTGTACTTTGCCTCCTTTAATGTAGAAACATAATTATTTGCCCCTTCATACTGTATGTGGTTAAAAATTATTGTGTTGTCCTGACTAAGGAAAAGAAGATATACATCATTTACTATTCTTTGCTGTAAATTTCTTTCTGACTGACAGCTGTTTAAAACTGATAGTTTTAATACAAAATAATATTCTTCATACAGAGATCTTTTTTTGTAATAAGAAGTTGGTAGACTCTCAAACCATAATTTGATTTTTACCACTGCCCAACCTGATAATATTGCTTGTAAATGTGACTATGAATTAAAGATCAAATGTAAATTCAGGAATACTGTGTGACTTAACATTTTAAATTTTAAAATATTACTTGTGATTGACTCACAGCAACTTTTTTGGGCAAAATTATGTTTAATTATTATGTATGAGTCCAACAGTAAGCTCTTTTTGCTCATCCTTGGAATGTTTCCAATCTGTGGCTCCTAGTATCCTATGCTGGGAACAGGAAAGAGATGAATGCAAATCTGTGGCTGTCTTTCCCTTAACACTTATGTTGGACAATAAAAGTGTGTGTCAATCTAAGTTTTTCAGTGTTGAATGTTAATGATGTGTTAGTACTTTGAACAAATGGGAGGAACATAAACCAACCATTCTATTAAAAACACTGTCTTTATATTAGCATCTGTTTGTGTAGATATTTTCCCATGGTATAAAACAAAAAGTGCAACAAATTAGGTTTGCCACTCCTTAGTGCCTCTTTCTAATGTGCATTGAAAGAATGATTTAAAACAGAGACAGAATTCCAAAGATAACAGGTGGTGTGGGAGCTGGAATTGATGTTGGCCAAATACTCTGTGGCACAGATTAGATTCATCCTCTCTAACCAATTGTCCATCCCATGAAAGCTTTTTGCAATTTATTACAAGGAATATATTTTGTGAGGAGTGTTAAGAGTTGGTCTCAGGGTTGGATACTTGGGGTGACTGAGACAAAGAATTATTTAGTGAAACCTGCATGCATACTAAAAGGTATCTGGCGTTAAAGTGCAGTTTCAAGTTAGATTTCTTATTTTTTGGAGAAATAAAGAACGTTTTACATGCAGATGCTATTTGGCTTCTGACCCTTTTTTCTCCCCTAAAAAGGATCATCTAACTGGCCAGTATTACACTTGATGGTTTATGGGGGTGCACAGATATATATGGCTTAAGGTGGTGCTTCTTGGAGAAAAAAGGGAGAAACAGTAAATATTTGTTTATTTTCTCCACAAACAAATTTGGCTATTGCTTTATATAGAATACAAACCTTTGAGGCAGGATCAGTGTAAAAATTCTGTTCCCAAGAAAATAATTCACAAAAACAATTGTCTTTCTGTAATCTGTGAAAATAGGAGTACAACACTTTACATCTAAGGAAATAGGTAGTGGGTGCCCCTTTGCTCTTTGTTATCACAGAGAATATGGTCACTAAAGCCAAAGTTGTCATCACATCATAAAAAGGAGTTGGTAATTTATTCACTACAACTGATAACTAATAGATTATTTGGCAGCCTGAATTGTATGCACTTTGGGATTAATTTTGGAATCATTTCAGATTATAAAGATATTTTTCCCTACTGTTCTCATTAGTTTTCTAAACTAATATGCTATATTTTTAAGTTTTGAAATATAAATTTTTAGTGTGTGTTTAGTATTTAGTAAGAAGAATATTACATGAAGAAATTGACGGTAGAAAGAATGTTAGTTGAGGGACCTTGGATTGGCAAGAAGTCACATTGAAAGGCTCACATAATTATGTTGGAAGTGTACTTGCTGCAGCTTCTCAAATGTTGGAGTGTTAACAGAAAAGGAGCCACATGTTTGCATTTGCCTCTTTCCCTGTTCCTAGCATAGGATACTGGAAGTCATCAACTGGAAACACTCTAAGGATGGACAAAAATAGCTTATTGTGTGACTCAAATAAAAGTTAAACAGTTGTAAAAATAATTTTTCCCAAAAAGTCAAATATATGATTACATCAGTTTAATAGAGGAAAGGTTGATGTTTTGAATTTTGTTATATTATTAATCTGTTTCTGAGTAAAAATCCATAAAACCTAGTGGCCTAAGACAACAAACATTATTATCTCACAATTTCTGTGGGTCAAGGAATCCAGGAAGGGCCTAACAGGTTTTCATATTTCCAGGGTCATCTCAAGTCTTGACTGGGGAAGGATTTGCTTCCAAGCTTACATTGGTGGATAGGAAGATTTGGCTTCTTGCTCATCCCCTTACTATATGTGCCTCTTTAACATAGCAGCTTGCTTCATCAAAGTGTACAAGCCAACAATGAAATAGAGTCTCCTAGCAAGACAGCAGTCACCATCTTTTGTAACCACTCTTGGAAGTGACATCTGTCAACTTTGCTGTATCCTATTGTGTAGAAGCAAGCCATGAGGTTTAGCCTACACTTGAGAGAAGGGATTAAACAAAGGAGTGAAGATCAGGAGGAGAGGGTCATTGGGCACCATTTTAAAGTCCCCCTACTATAACTACTAACTATAAGCAATAGAAATTCAACATAGGCCAGCAAATGTTTATATGTGAGAAGAGATCTACACTGCCATGTTCCAAGGGAAAATGTGCCCTGGTGAAGGATTTGCAAGGTTCGCCAGACTTGAAAATTGATGCACATTATGGGAAGGTCTTTCCTAGGAATAGTCTTAACAGTGAGATGCATCTAGTCAAAGAAAATATGATATATTCAACACATAGGCCAACAATAAGTGGTTATATCCATCTAAAGCATTTTATGCTTTGGAATTTTTGCAGGTGTCCATTGAGTCATGAAAAATATAGAAGATAGCAGAGGAATGAATGATTTAAAGGGAAATAGAACAAGCTAATACATTTCACTACTTTAAAAAAACAAACAAACAAACAAACAAAAACTGGCAGGGCATCGTGACTCATGCCTGTAATCCCAACACTTTTGGAAGCCGAGGCAGGAGGATTGCTTGAGCCCAGGAGTTTAAGACCAGCCTAGGCAATGTGGTGAAACCCTGTCTCTATAAAAAAAATACAAAAATTAGCTGGGAGTGGTGGCATGTGCCTGTAGTCCCAGCTAATCGAGAGGCTGAGGTGGGAGAATCACCTGAACCCAGGAAATCAAGGCTGCAGTGAACCATGATCACACTACTGCACTCCAGCCTGGGTGATGGGTGTGAGACCTGTTTCAAAAAAAAAAAAATGAACACATTGTTTTAAAAATTAACATATAATGTCAAGGAACATAGCACTGCAACTCCTGAAAAAGTCTGGACTACTCACACTTGACTCTAGCTTTCCAGCTGTAGGGGAATGGCAGTGCCAGGGCTGTTTGTGTGGGTGTACAAGCTGATTGGGGAGGGATTTGTAGGGTACGAGATATCAGAAATATTATGTAACAAAAATGTTAGAGAAGCGATAAGACAGTATCGCATGATTGTTAAAATCTTTGGCTTAGGCCGGGCACTGTGGCTCACACCTGTAATCCCGGCACTTTGGGAGGCTGAGGCCGGCAGATCACCTGAGGTCAGGAGTTTGAGACCAGCCTGGCCAAATGGTGAAAGTCTGTCTCTATTAAAAATACAGAATAAAAAATAGCCGGGTGTGGTGGCACATGCCTGTAGTCCCAGCTACTCGGGAGGCTGAGGCAGAAGATCACCTGAACCCAGGAGGCGGAGGTTGCAGTGAGCCAAGACCAAGCCACTGCACTCCAGTCTGGGCAACAGAGTGAGACTTGGTCTCAAAAAAACAAAACAAAACAAAACAAAAGCTTTGGCTCAGAGTTTGAACAGACTTAAATTTATTTCTAAGTCCCATTGCTTTGTAGTTGTATGATCTTGAGCAAGCTAACTTTTTTAGTTTCTTAATCTGTAAAAATGGCTTTACCAATAGAATCTATCTCAGGGGTTTGTTTGAGAATTAAAGGAGATAATACATGTACCATTTAGTGGTATACAGTAAATATCCACTAAATATTAATCAGTACTATTTTACAAATTGATGACTGCACTCAGAAGAGAAAGAGATGAGGCAGGATGATTCAAGGTTTGGGCCAAGGATGGTGAGAGAATGATAATACTATTCATTCACAAATAGTAAAGGTGGCCTATAGTTTGGGTGGGAAATTATGAGATCAGTTTCAGGCTTGTTAAGTTGGAGATGGCAGCATGTGATAATATCTAGCAAATTCTTTATGTGCTCAGATGGGAGGTTAAGTCTGGAGGTGACATTAGGGACACCATGTTCTTATGACCACCTAGCCATGGTTGATTGATCCAAGGTGATCACTTAACCTTTTCCCTTGACTGTACCCCCTGCTGAAATTGATTTATTCGAGACCTAAGCCTAAACTGAGCCAATCAAAAGCCTTACTTAGAAATCTGGAATTGAGACCAAGACATTACAACCCAGTCTTCCTGCTCTCTGGAACAAAAGAGATATAAATTCAAAATGGTCTGCACACAGGAAAATGAAACAGTCACACAGAAAAAGAAAACAAAATTGGTAGAAAACTCACATGTTTGAGTCTCTGATCCCAAGTATTCCTTATTTAGGCAGCTTCATTCTTGCCTAAGATCCTTAAATATGTTTGTAAAATTTATGCTAGTTCAAGTTAGGTTTCTATTACTTGCAACTCCCAACTAATACCAAGAAACCACATGCAGGTGATAACTGCAGACACTCGTCATGAATAAACTACCTGAGGGAGCAGGAAAGGAATGAGAGCAAAACTAACTTGGCATTGTGGGTGTCAGAGAAGCCAGGATAGGAACGGAAGGTTAGAGGGACAATTGTATCAAATGCTAGTCTCTCTCTCTCTTTCCTCTCCTCTCTCTCCTGGAGCTGGACACACTTCATCTCCTTCTTTTGGACATCAGAACTTCGGCCCCTCCAGCCTTTGGACTCTAAGGCCTAGTGGTCAAGGAAGATGAGGTCAGAGGAAAGCCTGCCGAATTGAGTTTTGGGAGTTCACTAGTAGCTTTAAAATTGTCTACCATTCTCAACAGACTAACTGTAATGAAATTTCAAAGTTAAAACTTTTTTGAATCTTGGCAAACAATGTTCCATCTTTTATAAGTCTCTTTTACTCAGAACACATGTTTAGTATGCCCGTATTTAATTTATACCTGTCTGTTAAACGGGTTGACTGCATTAAGTCTATGGTGGTGGTGGTGGTTCAAAATAGTCTGACCTTTTAAAGACAAGGTTACTGATTCCAGCTGAGTCATTCCCTTAGTCTTGAGGTTAGGAACCAGCTTAGAAACAGCTGAGAGTGACATCACTGTGGCCATTTGAAAAGGCAGAGAAAGAAGGGTACATCGGGCTGCTTCAGGAAGACTGGAATAGAGACCTTCACAGAAGAGAGAGGCCCCATATCAGAAGGAAGTGTGACCCAGAAGGATGGAGCTCTTCAGAGACAGGCTTCTTTGAGAATCAAGAAAGATTCAGAACAGGTGAATTGAGTAGATTGTGGCTTTTGGAAACTGAGTAACACAGTAGCAAATTGCATAGCGTTTTAAACACTGCAACCTGACTTAAGAGAGAATCCCCCTGTAAAGGTAAGGCTGAGGGATGGTCAGTATAAATACCTTAGGAAATGTAGGTTACCTCTTATCTACCCCCGGTCTCTTTGCTTTTCTTGTTACTGTGTTGTTCCATGTATTTGTGTTTGATAAGAAAATGAACCGATATGTGTAAAAGTGTGTGTATATGTGTTTGAAGGATAGACGGGAGGTTGTTGGTTGCCCAGATTTACATTTCTCCAGGCTTAAATCACCGTGCCTTTTACAGTAGCCAAAAGAGGCACACAGTTCTAGAAGCACTGACTGAGGGTCCAGAGGAGAAAAATTCAAAGATGTTCACTAATAGTACCAGAAAGACCTCAAGTCCCTCTGAGTCTCAGCTGTGGTCAAAGGAGGAAAATGCCATCCTAGATTTTTCTGTAACATATTTGGGACCTATTTGGAGAGAAGATAGAGGCATACAACTTTGAGTGCTTATAGAAAACACTAGTTTCAATTTGTACTGCATGTCACCTACTGACCCGTATTGCCCTCAGTATGAAATGTGTTGTTGCAGTGATCTCTAGCTGCTTTTTTGTTGTCGTTGCTTTTGAACCCCAAGTTAAGTATGATGAAAACCTTCCAAATCTGCCTAGATTACTGCCAAGAAAGAGATGGGTGCATACTGATCCCATGCCAGGCAAATGAAAAACTGGCAACATCCTGGGATGAGCTCTCCTGCTGCCAGTTTAGTTTTTGCTTACATGTGGCCAATGGTTGTCAACACTCATGATGAGGGGGTATAAGCATGAGCTTGTCACCTCAAAGGCTAGGTTACCAGATTTAGCATTGTTTAAAGAAGTAACAAGAAACACTAAAAGTTTAACATCTGACATGGTTGAATGTGGCTACTCAAACAATAATTTAAAAGAATTAGCAGTTCAAAAAAGTGATTCCTGACAAATTATATGAAGGAAAGCTAACTAAAAGTGCCATCTGTTATGATTAAAACTAGGTAAAATGTATACATGTATACAAACAGAACACAAAATAATACAGGAAAACTAATGAAGGTGATTTCTTGGAGTGATGGACATCTGGATGATTTTTACTAATTCCTGTTGATGTTATAATGTTATGGGTATAACAAATTTAAAGTAACCAAAATTGGTGGATTTACAGCAAGTGATGGTTTTTTGCTTGAAATACAATAAAAACGTCTTAACCTAAACCATTCTCATAATCATTGAATCAGAGTGGCCCAAGTCCAGATTCTTGTAAGCTAAGCAGTTATGTAGGATGATAGAGTGGTGAGGCCCCACATCCCAGGACAAAAACCAAAACAGCTCAGATATGGTAATAGGATTGCTTAAGTGGGGTTTTTTTCTCCATAAAGAAAGGCTAATAGCTAAACTCCAGAGCTGAGCTGTTGAAGAGTTACATGAGTAACTCTAGCCTTGTGGCTAGTTAGAAAGAGAAAAAAATATATGTCAATTTCATCTGGGAAACCATCCATAAAGATAAACAATAGGAATGGTCTAGTGATGACAAATTGTGCATAGCAAATTGACCAGAAAAAAGTCAAATTTTTCCTTGGGAGCAGATGAGTCTAACGTATTGGAAATATACATGTTCTGCAAAAGCAATTAGATCTGGAGTCCTTGAAAGGAGGCCAACTCAGCTAGAAAGCAGGAAGTTTCACTTCCCTAGACTTAATGATGTAGATGAAAATATGGATACTCTATGTCTGTCTGTTTACAATGAGCAGTTGTTTTGAGTATTAAACTCTAAGAAGACATGGCAATAACTTCTGTAAATCATAAAGCCTCTAGCTTAGATTTAGACAGCTTTAACAAACAGCAAGGTACATTAAAATTTTTGGATCTAAATTAATCTAGTGGTGAAAGGCACAAATTTTGGAGTCATGTAGATTTGGGCTTGAATTCCACTTTTTCCTATCTGCATGATCTCGGGTAACTTGCTTAAACTCTCTGAGTATGTTTCCTCATCTATAAAACAAAGATAAGGATAGTCTCTTAGAGACCATTGGGTTGTACTGAATGTATTCAGTAGATGACCTTATCTATTCAAGGTAATTTAAGAAGAAAGGAGAAATAATTGTAAAGATACAGGGTGCCTTATGAACCCCCAAGGACATGAAATGCGGTAGGCCTCAGAAACAAGTCAATCTAGGAATTGAAACATAGGCATCAGTGAGTACTGAGTGAGTTTGTCTTAGAGCCAAATGGTCTTTTGTCTCTACATCGTTTTTTATTCGCTCTAAAGACTTACAAATGGATCAAATATAGCCTATTACAGCATTTATTGGTTTTAATATTTTATATATCCAGCTGCAAATTCCTACAGATATAAATTTGATTAGCACAGTTTACTTGATATCAGGTGTCAACCTCTGGTCTAGTCAACTGTGACCTGGTGGATCAGGGTCTTGTCATATGAAGGTCTACCCCTTCCTGGAATGTGATGATAAGGTGGGAATAAAGAAAAAGTGATACCCATCTCTAAATTGAAACTTGACTTGCTAGGAACAGTATGAGGATCAAATGAGATAATGTATGTGAAGCATCTAGAATAGTGTCTACCTGATACATAGCTCTAAAATAGTCTGTGAAATAACGGGGCTGATGGACAAAGGCCAAAAAATCTCATTGGCTTAATCTTTGAAACCATATTTTGCTGCACCTGTCATCAGAGAAAGAAGCTCATAGAAACATTAGTCATGTCATACCTATGAACAATTATTTTCTTGTCCAAAGTGGTCACTCTGAGAAGGAGGCGTACCAGCAGCTGATGTGCTCAGGTTCTCCAACCTGGAGAATGCTTACATCTGCATCAGAGGCAAGACAGGGCACAAATGAAAGCTCCTTGCTTTAACATTGAAATTTTATTTACTCTTTTTCTTTTTTTTTTTTTTTTTTTTTGATATGGAGTCTTTCACTGTTGCCCAGGCTGGAGTGCAGTGGCATGATCTTGGCTCACTGCAACCTCCGCCTCCCGGGTTCAAGCAATCCTCCTGCCTCAGACTCCCGAGTAGCTGAGATTACAAGTGTGTGCCACCACTCCTGGCTAATTTTTGTATTTTTAGTTGAGACTGGGTCTCACCATGTTGGCCAGGCTGATCCTGAACTCTTGACCTCAAATGATCCACCCTCCTCAGCCTTCCAAACTGTTGGGATTACAGGCGTGAGCCACCACGCCCAGCCTGAAATATTACTCTTAACAAGCACCTCTGCTCTGGCTATGAGAAAGTATCTCTCCCAGGCAGAAAGAAGCAGGCAGTCTCCCAATGGACAAGCTTAGCTAAAACGCATGCTACTACCGAAGATAGGCAGTTTCAATCCTGCTTGAATTGGACTGTCAGTTTTTAGATTTTAAATATCCTCTTTAAGTAATGAAATTTTATAAAATGGGTATAATGCAGCTTTTCTGCTGCATCTGCAGCAGTTGTGGTGTTTAGAGGTGGTGCTGTCTATAAAAGCAAAATTATCTCAATAAACCTAAGTTCTATAATTGATATTGTAGGTAACTTTTTGAAAAAATTAAAAAATTCACTCACACTGAGTAGTTTCTCTTTTGTTGATTTGAATTTATTAATGTACCAAATTTTAAAAATGTCTTCTCTTGCTTAACTGTCAAGTTTTAAGAACAAAAATATAAAAGCAAAAAAGTTAGCTTCTCTCTGAAATGTTTTTAAGTGATATACTTGTGGGAGACATTACCTAATATATTTCCTTCTTTTCTCACTTGCAGCTTTCCAGTCTTTACCCTTTGGGTCTAAGTTCTACTTTAGTCTAAAATCAATATTTATTTTAGAAGCAAGGGCACCAATGCAGTTGTCAGGAAATGTCTCATAGAAAACCATGATGCACAGGTTCTGAGGGGAAATGTACCTTCTTGCATATGTTAGTGAATTGGCTATGGCAACTTATGGTTATAGGCTGGAGAATTTGGGGAAGAAACCCAGTCTTCCGCCTGGTTTAGAATAATATCAGGCATCTGTATTCTTCCTTCTGGGATCCAGTCCGCTTTGGTACAGACTTCCTGAAATTGCCCCAGATGAGCTTGATAAGACTGTACCTAGAGGGCCCTCCCTGCGGGGGAGTAAAGATAACTATGGTTTCATGGTGGATGCATCAAGTCTCACTGAGGTCTCAGAATTGCATGGGCATTGTGGATATGGACATCAGAAGTGCTCCTGTTAAACGGTTAGGGTTGGGTCAAGAGAGAGTGAAGGTAATGGCTTTACTGCAGATACTGGAGGAGCCTGCTCTGGGCCTTGCATAAGAGGCCCACTGTTTTATCAATGCAACCATCTTTCCTGAGCCTCACCCATGTATCCAGCTACCTTTCAGACTTTTCCATCTGGAAAATCCACAGGCATCAGCATGTCCAAAAATTGGACTTATGGTTTTTCCTACCAAAACCACGCGTCTTCCATTGGTGAATGGGGCTTCAGCCTTCATCCACTTACCAAGACCGGAAAGCCCAGAGTTATTCTTAGCAATTCCTCTCACAGTTGTCTTGTCTCCACATGCAGTTTCTTTCTCTCTCTCTTTCTTTTTTCTTTCTCTCTCTCTCTCTCCGTCCCTTCCCCTTCCTTCTTTCTTCTTTCTTTTTTTTTGAGACAGATTCTCACTCTGTCACCCAGGCTGGAGTGCAATGGCACCACCTTGGCTCACCGCAACCTCCACCTCCCGGGTTCAAGCGATTCTCCCGCCTCAGCCTCCCGAGTAGCTGGGATTACAGCTGCCCACCACAATGCCAGGCTAATTTTTGTATTTTTAGTATAAACGGGGTTTCACCATGTTGGCCAGGCTGGTCATGAACTCCTGATCTTAAGTGATCCACCAGCGTTGGCCTCCCAAAGTGCAGGGATTAGAGGCATGAGCCACTGCATCCAGCCTGCAGTTTCATTAGGACATGTCAATTCTACCTCCTAGTAAATTTTTGACTTTGTAATTTGCAGTATTCTTGGGCTACCTTTAAAGTCCACCTATTACAGTATTTTTTTTCTGTCTCAATTTAAGTCATGGTTAGTTTCCTGAAAGTGGGTCATTTAAAAAATAGACACATTAGTTTTCCATAGGAAAACACAGCATTTTGAAGTATATGTTCAAGTAGTTAAAATAAAATAGCCATATAGTACTTAGTAATGTAAATAATAAAAACAATTTATAGAAAAATAAATATATGAAGTTGTTTAATGAGAAACAATGTTAATGATAGTGCCCATACCAGCCACTGATTTAAGCTGAGATCTCCTCAAACCTTAATGTGCTTCCAAATCACTGTCAATCTTGTTAAAATGCAGATTCTGATTCACTTGGCCTGGGGTAGGGCCTGAGATTCTGTATTTCTGACAGGGGTCAATGATGCTGATGATGCTGCTGATGGTTAGAAGACCATATTTTCAATCGCAAGGCCCTAGCCTTACAACTCGCACTTATGCTAAATGTATCTCAAGGAAGTCTTGCCCCCAGACTATCTTTGTCTTACTGGGGAAAGTTTCAAATCTGTCTCTTTTTCTTTAGTATAGGGAACACTGCTCTGATGCCTTGGGTCTGGTGAAGCAGCACCTCAGAGAGATGACACATTCACATTTTTCATTGTAGGTGACAACCTTTATTTTTATAGCAGAGGTAAAAGCTTCAATTTGCATGAATCCCAGTGACATTAAGTGACATTTTACAGACATGTAAACTCTTGAGAGGTTTAAAAAAAACAACACTCTAGAAATTCGTGTGTTTACAGGGAATGAACCTTAAAACACCTCAATAGCAACTGAGAAATCACTTTGCAGCGTGCTTAGCCACTCTCAGCATGTGAACTTTTATTGCCAGCAAAAGACCCCCAAAATGTCAGATGATATGAATCATGTTATCCTGAAAACAGCACATGAATATTTTTCCCAGAATAATTGTGAAATTTTTCATTACTTTATTCTGAAAATACAGAGATATTCTAAAAGTTGTAAAAATTTGTTATTTTCCTAAGAGAAAATCTTTTTAATTGACACATACTAATTGTATATATTTATGGGGTACATAGTGATGTGATATATATAATGTAAAGTGATTAGATAAGTGTAATTAGCATATTCATCATTTCAAACATTTACCATTTCTTTGTGTTGGGAACATTCAATATCCTTTATTAGCTATTTTGAACCTATGTAACATAGTATTGTTAGCCATAGTCATCATACAGTGGTATAGAACACTAGAACTTATTCCTCCTGTCTAGCTCTAGATTTATAAAAATTTTTACACAAGATAATGCAATTTATGTGTTTTCACTTTGCTCTTTTTTAACTTAATGGTCTTTGGTTTTCTCATGTACTAGCGTGTATATATGTGTGTGTGTGTGTGCATATGTGTGTTAGTTTTTAGCATATGCAGTAATACCTACATAATGCTTATTTTCATACCTTTGTATGTATTCTGAAATTGTATGTAAAATTTTTTGGCCTGAGGTAGAGAGTTCATATCCATTAAATTAAAAAAAAACAATTCGATACCTGCATTAAATTTCACTATATTACTAACATTTTTTGAATGCTTCCGGTATACTAGATATAATATTAACTACCTTATATGCATTACTTCATTACATCCTGAGGCAGTATTTAATGTAGGATGATGTATAGCTAAGGTACAGAAGTGAGTCACTGCTTCTAGCTGTCATAGAAACCCATCCTGCCTCCATATTCAACTCTGTGGTTCCTTACTTGTCCTAGCATATACAGTGACAAAAACAAAACTTTATTTCTTATGAAACACAATTCTATAAAGAACTTATTACTTGTTGCTTATGGCAGAGGTGAAAAGAAAGAGAATGCAGACTAAGAAAATCATTTGGATAAATTGAAGTGAAATGTCATATTTGGCAGTGGTTTAGATGAGCATCATAATAACCAACTTCGTCATTGCAAAAGCACTTCAATGGTCATTCCAGTTTGAGTGCAAAAACTGCTCAAGTGAAACAGAAAGATACGATGAAAAATTAATAGTCATTTAACTGATGGTATCAAGACAGGTACAGGAAAGGAATCTCTAAGTGGCAATGGAAAGTTGTTTGAGAGAAAGCCAGGCCCTTCTATAAACACTTCCATGGTCATCAGATAGGGGGTTTGCAAGGACAAATCTCTTGTGAAGATCAAAGGCCAGCTGTACCAGATTGTTTGAATTGCTTCTCTTCTCTCTGTACTCTCTGGCACTCACCTAGTTCAAGCTTTTTTGGCTTCTCGTCTGGACTAGACCAGTAGACTCTCATTTGGTCTCACTGACACTAATCTCACTGCTCACATCCACCCTAACCCAACTCATGTTATGCTGGTAACAGAATCATCTTTCAAAATGCAGATCTGACTGTCATTCCTCTACAAATCCTTCAGTGAAGCTACATCAAACATAGGGTAAAGTCTAAACACCTTTTTGTGCGTTCAAGTTCCCCACAGCCTGGCTTTGCTTCCCTTTTCACTCCCTCTAACCCTAACCCTTAACTCTATGCTCCAGAAATACCTTATTACATCCAGTTCCTCAAATATACTAGGCTATTTCATCTCTTATGGGCATGTGCTACCCTTTTCATCTGGAGTCACTAGACCACCATGGGCATCATGAGCACAGGGGCAATCTGCCTTGCTTCTTAGTCTCAGAGCCTAGCACAGCCCTTAGGAGGTGCTCTACAATGTATGTTGAATAAATGTCCCTTTAGTTCTTCTCCCACCTCCTGTGTTACTGCTGAACCTAGCATATATCTCAGATGATGTGCTTATTACATCACATCGTGATTATTTATGCTCCTATTTTCTCCCACTAGGTAGTTTGTAATTTGTAAATTTGTAATTTAGCAAAGAGACAAATAAGAAATTGTCTTCAATTCCTTATTTGTCTCTTTGCTAAATAAGTATTTTGCATAGGGCCAATATAGAGCCCAATACTTTTTTTTTTTTTTACATAAATTAAGTATGTGACTTTTTCTTCTATTCATTTATTTATTTTGGGATAAATCCTCAAGCTGGCATTCCTCAGTCAAAAGGTATAAACATATTTTTGGTTTATAACACATATTTTCGGGTTGCTCTTAGGGTTTTATCTTTTAGGGGTGTTATTACTTTAGGATGTCAGCAGCCACACATGAATGCATTTTATTTTACTACCATGTCACTCATATTGGTTATATCAACATTCATTTTTTAAAAATTAATCTAGGAGGATTATGTGTGTGGCAAATGGTGTGGCAGATTGTTTCAAGATATATCTCTGCAGTTCTTGTAAACTGCTTACTTCTAAAAGAGAAAAAAGTAATGTGTCTGTTTGTTCAGAGTAGCAGGAAGCTCTGGGGTCTGCTGGATTGTATCCAGAAATTGTCTTCTCCACTTCCACTGTATTGGACTTATTTTAACCATTAAAAGTCAGTTCCTATGCATGTGTAGAACAGGTCCCTATTCCAAAATAATCTGAATATTTTTTACATAGGAGGTCAATCTAGGGGATAAGTTATTCTTCATTTCAATGAGTAAAGGAAGCAAAAACTCCTCTCCACTTTTCCTGATCTTATTAAGCAGTTTTCCAAAGATTTCTCATGCTCATTGATGGCTTCTGACTTTGGAACATTTTAGCATGATTAACTGATGTTTATCTAGTATTAAAGTCTTCTGGGTCTCATTTCTTCATTGTCATCTTCTACTTTGTGAGCTCTTTGGGGCAAAAACATTTCTAGTTGAATTAATCTAACACACATGCTGAGAACATACTTTCGAGTAACTGAATGAGGTCGGAGTTCTTACGAACAGTCTCTGCAGTGAAGCCTCTCACTGTTTCTTTCTGTAGGAATTTTGTGCTTGTAATAAAGTGCATAGGGGGCGGGGTGGGATGAGAGAAGCGCAGAGAAGGGGTAAAGGAAGCGCATGTGTTAGCTATTCCAGCTCTCATCATACTTTCTGTTTGGATAGCATATCACGTTTGGCTGGGGCTGAAAAACAAAATCCTATATTTAATGAGCCAATAAAATGCCTGGAGCAGCAGGGTCCTGGGGATGCTTGACTTTTCACCAAGCTAAAAGCCGATAATTGAGCCTGTGTGCCAGCTGAGACCTGGAGATTTCTACTGAAAGAGCCCTGGCTTTTACATTTTTTTCCATCTCCTGTGCAGCCAGCTTCTGATGAGGCCTCAGGTCTCAGATTCTCCAGAGAGTTAACTGCTATCACCTAAATTATTTTGATTAACCCTTAACTCTGAGAGTCTCAATTTACTGACATGCCACATTAATACTCTTGTGTAAATGTCTGCAGGGGAAAGTGATAAACCAGGTCTAATGCCAAGGGGCTGAGGGTGAGCCTTTGTAAGACATTTTTTTTTTAAGCTTGAAATAGAATTGTAACAGTTTCCGCTCAGAAATACACAAGGGAGAAGAAAAGGTTAGCAAGAAAGACCATTTTGTCTTATTCTAAACTAATCTCCCCCTCAAGTGACAAGTTTAACAGTGAGGTTGCTTAAGTGGAGATATATTTTAAAACACATTGAAGGGAGCCCTCTCCTTTATCATATTTTTAAACAGTTTTCGTAGTCTAATCCTTCTAAGAAAATGTTTAAAAACTAACAAAACATAGGCTAGTTCAATTAAATTTGTGGACTTAGAAGGCTAGCATTGTGATGGCTTTTGAGCTTGATCTAGAATCTGGATCCCAAGGAGGGAGATATGATAAAAGAATCAATCATATGCCCATAGCCCTCTGAGGTTTTGATAGATTTTTCAAGGAGTATAAAATGAACTTAAAAAATTATCAGATTCATATGTCAGGTTTACTGTGTAGCTGTGATTGCACATCCCCCAATTTTAAAAACAATAGGCAATGTATTTGAAGATGGTTCATTACAAGTTGGGTAGGTATATGACATTATGGGCTAGAGCAGCTATGTCAATCTTTTGCCATTTCATTTGCAAAGAGGTCTTATGCCACTTTATTCTTCTTTCATTTTAAAACATCTCTAAAGCATGTAGTATAGTTACGTAGCATTAAAAGTTGTGTTTAAAATAATTTAGTCAGGAAATTATTCCTCGCTAGCCTTCATTTGCAAACTATGTGTACACAAGCTGGCCAGTTTAGCAACTAACTCTAAAGACTTGTTTTCTAGAGCCAGTTTTGTCTTCTGTCCTCTTTGGTCCCTTGTAGTCCCTTTCTTCTGTATCAGTCGACTCTCATGTGAGTGTTGAAAGTCAAAAAACGCGACGCAAAAAAGCTACGCAAGGAGGTGAATGATAAGAGATGAGTGGCACCTGGAAAATCCTTCTCGGCTACCTCTAACTAACCAGGATTGAAGGAGTGTCTAGGCTGTTTTATGGATTTTCTCAGGTGCTCTTAATTACATGTTCTCCTCCATGATTGCAAAACTTTCCCCTTAAATTAGCCTCTTTTTCAAGAAGGTAGATATAAAAAACGTTTTTTCTTTGAGGAAGCAAAATTTTCATTGGCATCAGTTAAAAATTAAACTGAAATCTATCACCACTGAATAAAACAAATCAGTAATGGTTAATATAATGTAATTAATATAGTCATGTATTATAAAATAATTTATTAAAGTGAGTTCCTCTCAGAGATTTCCTTTAAAATTAAGAACAGATATCCTTGGCTTAGCTTTAAGTTTTGAAATCAAACGGCATGCCCCAACCCGTCCACTATTTCAATGGTTCTCAAACTGTGGTGTGCACGAATCAGACTCAGCTGAATTACATTAAAACACAGGTTTTTGGGCCTTCCTCTGGAGTTCCTGATTCAGCAAGTCTGGGATGGGGCAAGAGAATTTGAATTTCCAAAAATTCTCAGGTGTGAAAGGAACAATTCTAAAGATGCCTCACCAAGGAATCCCATCCCCTGGTTATTTAAGCAGCAATCTAGATGCTGCTGTGGAGGGACTTTGCAGAGGGAATCAATGTTACTAATCAACTGACCATAAAATAGGGAGATTAGCCCAGATTGCCAATGTAATCCAATGAGCCCTTGAAAGCAGACGAGGCAAACAGGAGAGGCGAGGCGGAAGGAGAGGTCGGAGCCATTTGGGGCATGAGAAACATTCAGTCTGTCCTTGCTAGCTTTGAAGAGGGAGGAAGGAGCTGTGAGCCAAGGAATGTGGTTGGCCCCTAGAAACTGAGAATGACCCCCAATGGCTCAAAGAAACAGGGACCTTGGTCCTATATGGAACTGGCTTCTGATACCCTGAATGATCCAAAGTGGATTCATCCCCAGAGCTTCTGGAAAGCAGTGCAGCTCTGCTGAAACCTTGATTTTGGCCTTGTAAAAACACTAAGCAGAAAACCAAGCTGGGTTCAGACTTCTGATCTACAAAAACTGTGAGGTAACAAATTTGTGTTATGTTAAGTCTTACTTAATTTGTGGTCATTTGTTACAGCAGCAATAGAAAATCAATGTCTGGTAATGCTGAGGCCGCTGGTCCCAGGGTTACAATTTAAGCATCACTGGCTTATTTTTTGAGAGTTTTGTATTACCAATTTAAACACTTCTGAAAAAGTTCAGCTATTTTCTTAGTGTCATTCTCTGAAACAGGGCAAACAAAAGTGAAGAGTGATATTATTTTGAATGAGATAGTATAAGTAAAATATGTAGAACAGTACTTAGTCCTTGCTGAATGTTCAATAGTAGATATAATTTCTAATAGATATCACTTATGAAAATGCTCCATGCCGGGTACTGTGCTGATTATTTACCATGAATTTTCCCAGTTAATTCTTATAATAACCCTATGAGGTAGATACTGTCATTCTTCTTGTTTCACAGATGTGCAAACTAGGACTCAGGAAACTTGCCCACAATCAGGCAAGTCAGTAAAATGGAGGTAAGATGTGAACCTAGGCAGTATGGCTCTGAATCTAAACTCTTAGTTGCTATTAACTTCTTATACGGTTATTTCATATCTGCTTATGCATTCTTATCTTACTTGCCACTTGAGCTACACATTTCTATATAGTTTCACAAAACAATACAATGTAAGCTATACAATTTATTTTTTTTTTTTTAGATGGAGGCTTGCTCTGTCGCCCAGGCTGGAGTGCAATTCCAGGTGGCAGAGGTGAGCAGAATAACCTGAAAAGAATATCCTCCATAAAAGAATTCAAACTGACAGAACTCTACCACATTTTCAATGGGTCTGCAGATCATGGAAAGGTTTTGTGTCAGAGGCATGGGCATTTAGAAGGTGGCAGAGTCTAAAGGTGCAGGCAAATGTTGGAAGACTGTGATGTCATCTCTTCCTACAACCCTTCACATTTTCAATAACATTACCAAATTCACAAAATCATTGACTGGACTTTCATGGAAAATGACATAGTGAACGTCTTCACGTTGGCTGGTGTAGGCTGGATTGTAATGGTATCAACATGCTAAGATTGACGATGATTAGAGGTGACCATAAGAAAATGGAATTGGGAAGTCATAGAAGTTATGTGGTGAATTCACATACACAAAAAGTGGCATATTCAGCACTATTCACAATAACAAAGATAGGGGATCAACCCAAGTGTCCATCAATGAATGAATGAAGGAAATGTGTTATATATACACACAATGCAACACTACTCAGCCATAAAAAATGAATGAGGTGTCATTTGCAGCAACATGGATGGAACTGGAGTGGTGCCATCTCAGCTCACTGCAACCTCTGCCTCCCAGGTTCAAGCGATTCTGCTGCCCCAGCCTTCCGAGTAGCTGGGACTACAGGTGCGCACCACCATGCCCAGCTAATTTCTGTATTTTTAGTAGAGACGGGGTTTCACCATATTGGTCAGGCTGGTATCAAATTCCTGACCTCGTGGTCCACCCACCTCGGCCTCCCAAAGTGCTGGGATTATAGGCGTGAGCCACCATGCCCAGCCAACTATACAATTTCTTTCTTAAACTTTGCTAACATGGTAAAGCATATTTATCACTTATCCAGTCAATATCTTTTAAACATATACTGTATATCGGGCATGGTGCTGGGACTGTGCTTACAAACTTGTGAGTGGTCTCTGGTCCTGTTGAACTTATAACTAAAATTAGGAGCTATTAACATACTTGACAGAGAAACACTGTAGAGTCATTTCTAGTAAAACAGAAATAGTACGGCAATGCTATCATCATTATTTGGCACAATTCTTGTAGTGCTAGCACCACAACCAAACTTGCCAGATTTACCAAATAAAAATACAAGGCACTTAGTTAAACTTGAGTTTCAGATGAACAACAATTTTTTAGTAATAGTACTCTAAAGTATTGCATAGAAAAAACTCATACTAAAAACTTATCAGTTTACCTGAGCAAACAATTTTTGGTCCTATTTCATCTGGCTACCCTAAATGCCACTACAGAAATGGACTACAGCTATCTATTATTTGCAAATAATCACCTGGAAAACTATTAGTGCCAATAAAATTAAGTTAAATGGCTGGCTATAAGATATTAAAGTCAATGGTTTTTACATATACTAACTGGTTATACAGTAGGAAAAAATAAATAACAATAAAAAATACAGATGAAACTTACCAATAAACATGTAGGATAATATGAAAAAGACATATGAGGGCTATGAAAAGATTCTTGCAAGAATGTATGGGAATATGCTGTGGATTCAGGCATCAATGCTTTTCAAATTAAATGGCATATTTAATGCAATCCCATTGAAGATTCTACTGGTATTGAGCTTGGGAGTGAGATGAGGGAATATTTGCGAAATGACTCTAAAATTTTTTGGACAAGTAAAGTATGATAATAGCTTGAAGTCTGCAAAAGAGGAGTAAAAGGGGTGAAGACATGGGCAGACTGAATTTGGTTCAGGAGAGCCAGGTCTTGATAAACAGAAGTGGGATTTTAAGTTCAGCAACTGTTTGTATAAGCCTTTTGGAATTGGGATGTAAGTTCCAAGTATAAAGGGTTGTGGTGTAGCACAGGGAAGCCCCAGAGTGGACAGGATAGTGTTGCTGGGCCACAAGCCCCTGCCACTGGCATATTGAGGTGTAGGCAAAGAAAGCTACACTGAGGTATGAAACGTTTGCTCAGCTACCTTACGTCAACCAAATTGGATAACTCAATTAGGAAGAGGGGGGTGCAGGTGTACTCTTCCTGCCAATTGATGGCCCACCTGAATATCTGCAAAGATATGTCACTATGCACTCATTTTAAAGGGGAGAAGACATGACATCGAGACAAAAATCTCACAAAGCAAAATATTTTTATATTTGACTTTAGAAAAATAAAACACATACTTAGGTTGAAAAAAAGTCAATATCTAGCAGACAAAATGCCAATATTTCTAATATAGAAAAAAATGTTAAATTTTGTACAGAAAATACACAATAGAAAAATCGATGTTTACAAAAAAAGCTATAGGAATGGCCAAAAAACAAAAAGTTGTAAATACAACAAGATTCTATTGATTTTTTTTTCCTAAGCAATCAGCCTAATAAGGGAGGAGGTAGATAATCCCTTATCTGCAAAGGATAAAGGACACTGTAATAAATTGTTGGATTTTAAAATGTATGTCAAGAGCTGGAAAGCACCTGAGATTTTTACATTCCTGGCACAGCCAACAGGTTAGGCCATAACAGTTTCATGGATGCCTGGGCCAGAGACAAAAACTTTATTACTCACAACAACAGCAATAGCCAGAATAGCAACATCTTCTTAGGCCAATTTCCTAAGCCCAAAGGGACAAGGTGACTCTTTACCTGGAATATGCTACAAGGAAATTATTAGAATAGGGTACAAACGTAAGTGCACATAGGCATAAATATATTTGCATTGCAGCATTATTTAGAATATTAAAATTTAGAAATACATGTGTCTTTTTAAATGATGGTATATCCATACAAGAGAATATTAGGAAACCATTAAAATGATCATGTAGGTCTATATTGACATGAATTTAAATATCTGAAATGTTTATGGGAAGGTGTTGTGAACTGAATCATGTCCATCCAAAATTTGGTCTAGCCCCCAATGTGACATAAACATTTATAAAAACAAGATTCTATTGTTTTAAAAACTATCAGGCTGGGCACGATGGCTCACACCTATAATCCCAGCACTTTGGGAGGCCGAAGCAGTGGATCAGGAGTTTCAGACCAGCCTGGCCAACATGGTGACACCCTATCTCGACTAAAAATACAAAAAATTAGCCAGGTGTGGTGGCAGGTGTCTGTAATCCCTGCTACTCGGAGGCTGAGGCAGGAGAATCACTTGAACCTGGGAGGCGGAGGTTGCAGTAAGCCAAGATTGTGCCATTGCACTCCAGCCTGGGCAACAAGAGCGAAACTCCATCTCAACATTTAAAAAAAAAACTAAAACTATCAGTCTGATGTGGGAGGAGGTAGAGAATACTTGATTTGCAAGGGATAATGGGCACAATCATAAATTGTTCGTGAAAATGTGCATCAAGAGCTGGAAAGCACCTGAGATTTTTACTGTATTTGGAGACAAGGCCTTTAAGTAGGTAATTAAGGTTACATGAGGTCAAAAGCTTGGGGCCCTGATCTGATAGGATTTGTATCCTTATAAGAGGAAGAGAGAGACACCAGAATATTGACTTTCTACAGTAAACATATGTGTCTTTTATGGTCAAGCAAAAAAAAAATAAAGTTTTCATTTTAGGGAAAAAAGGAAGTGCCTCTTGAAGCTAACCTCAGTATAACTCCATTTTTCTTTACCTTTCTGGTTTGTCACATTTCAGCTACTGTTATGATTGTTATGAGATCCAGAGATAATTTCTTTTTTAATCATAGTTAGTACTTTGGAGTAGGTATAAAAGCAAAGGCAGTCTTGCACATCCTGTTAAGGCAAATTTTTTTTTTTAGTTAGTACACAGAGAAGGCTTGTGGGTTTTGTTTGTTTTTTGTTTGTTTGCTTGAAATGGAGTTTCACTCTTGTTGCCCAGGCTGGAGTGCAATCTCAGCTCACTGCAACCTCTGCCTCCCAGGTTCAAGCTATTCTCCTGCCTCAGCCTCCCAAGTAGCTGGGATTACAGGCATGCCCCACCACGCCTGGCTAATTTTTTGTATTTATTAGAGATGGGGTTTCACCATGTTGGTCTGGCTGGTCTTGAACTCCTGACCTCAGGTAATCCACCCGCCTTGGCCTTCTAAAGTTCTGGGATTGCAGACGCGAGCCACTGTGCCCAGCCCAAAGGCTTGTTTTTTTATGAGCTGTATCACTAAACATCCTGCCTTATTCAAAGGAAGTATTTCCATTATAATTGGTGTTGGCCTAATTATAGCATCCTACCATTTCCATGTAACTTTGATATATTAATTTCTTTTATTTTATCACATTTATAATAGTCCAGTTATGCATTTGTGGCCCTAGTTGTTGGCAAGGAATGAGACATGTAACCTAGATGTCACTTGGGATTTCAGTTTCTTGAAGGTTTAGGTGACTTGGGCTCAAATTCTCAATATGCTAGGTTTTCTTGTGGCATGTATAGAATGCGCAATGATTACGTCAGGGTATTTGGGATATCTATCACTTATTTGTGTTGTAAACATTTCAAGTTCTCTCTTCTAGAGACTGAAATATACAGTATGTTGTTGCTAACTTTAGTCACCCTGCTCTGCGATGGAATGTCAGAACTTGCACCTTCTATCTCATTGTATGTTGTACTCATTGACCAAACTCTCTTCATCACCCCTCCCACCCATATATCCTCCCCAGACCCTGATATCTATTACCCTACTTTCTACATCCATGGGATCAAGTTTGTAAGCTCCCATATGAGTAAGAAAATGAGAAATCTGTCTTTCTGTGCCTGGCTTATTACACTTAATAACCCCCAGTTCCATCCATGTTGCTGCAAATGACAACTCATTCGTTTTTTATGTCTGAGTAGTGTTGCATTGTGTGTATATATAACACATTTCCTTCATTCATTCATTGATGGACACTTGGGTTGATCCCCTATCTTTGTTATTGTGAATAGTGCTGAATATGCCACTTTTTGTGTATGTGAATTCACCACATAACTTCTATGACTTCCCAATTCCATTTTCTTATGGTCACCTCTAATCATCGTCAATCTTAGCATGTTGATACCATTACAATCCAGCCTACACCAGCCAACGTGAAGACGTTCACTATGTCATTTTCCATGAAAGTCCAGTCAATGATTTTGTGAATTTGGTAATGTTATTGAAAATGTGAAGGGTTGTAGGAAGAGATGACATCACAGTCTTCCAACATTTGCCTGCACCTTTAGACTCTGCCACCTTCTAAATGCCCATGCCTCTGACACAAAACCCTTCCATGATCTGCAGACCTGTTGAAAATATGGTAGAGTTCATCAGTTTGACTTATTTTACGGAGGATAGTCTTTTCAGGTTATTCTGCTCACCTCTGCCACCTGGAATTATGGAGAATGTACATTTTTCCATTTTGTTGCACTGGTGATAATGAAATGTAACATTACCGAAGCTCATGCCACAAATCAGTGCCAGGGGTGATAGGCTCATTTAACAGATGTTTATTAGGCATCCTCCGAATATTCAGTATGAAGTACTGGAGATACAAAGATAAGACATAGTCATGGGAGAAATATTTTAAAAAGCTTTTTCCTTTTGGAAGAAATGTTATAAAGTTACAGAAATTAAGAAGGAAGGCTTTTGGAGATCACCTGTTTCAACCCTTCATCATTGTACAGATGAGAAAAGTAAGGGATAAGATCATACAACTGGTGGCAGAGCTGGGATTGATACATGTGCCTTCAGTCTCAGTCTAGTTCATTTTCCTGGACATCATGGAATATGGAAGATGTCGATCACATTGAGGATACAAATAAGGATACAAAAGTGGGCTGGAGAAACACCAAGGGGGAAAACGCAAGATGTTTACAGAGAAGAAATAAAACAAGCAGGGCCTCCTACTAAGAAAAACTAAAAGAGGACATGACAAGTAACAAGACAGTGGTGGGTTCATTTGAGTAGGAATGGTTCACCAGCCAAATGAGGCGTGATGCAAAGACAGCGAACATAGGTATGTGTGTTAGCAGGTGGGAAAAGAAGAAACATGAAATCAGTGCTTCCCCAAGCTTGATAATGTTCCATCTTGATTGTACCCAAAATTTCTTATGTCAGTCTTCTCAATATGGGCCATGAAAGTAGAAGTTGGTAATTTTTGAGAGATTGAGCATCTTTGTGAGATTTCTTTTACTTTTTTTCTTTCTTTTTGAGACAGGGTCTCACTCCTGCCACCCAGACTGTAGTGCAGTGGTGATCATGGCTCACTGCAGCCTCGGCTTCCTGAACTCAGGTGATCTTCTCCCTCAGCCTCACAAGTAGCTGGAACTACAGGTACATGCCACCTTGCCTGGCTAATTTTTTTGTATTTTTAGTAAAGATGAGGTTTCACCATGTTGCCCAGGCCGGTCTTGAACTCCTGGGCTCAAGCAATCTGCCTGCCTTGGCCTCAAACTCCTGGGCTCAAGCGATCTGCCTGCCTTGGCCTCAAACTCCTGGGCTCAAGCGATCTGCCTGCCTTGGCCTCCCAAAGTGCTGGGACTATAGGCATGAGCCACCATGCAGGATTTCTAAGGGTTGAAAAAATGAATGGAATGATTTAAAAAAAAAAAAGACTTCACTTTTTCTCAAAAGATTTGTTGGAATCACGGGAGTAGGTGCCAGAGCTTCAACTAATAAAGTTAAATATGACTGTTAATCCAGGCACTTTAGAGACATGTATAGTATATGATTTATATGGTCCAGAAGTTTCACAACACTGGAACGCTTGGAAGTGGTGATAGGGAGAAATTGGAAATGTGGTTAGACTTTTGTTTACTCCCTAGTGCATTAAAAATGGGGAACACCAATTATGTGAAGGATATTTCTACCTCTAGTTTTGTAGTAGTTTCATTCTCAATTAGTACACAAGTTGTCCTTATATGAATTGGTAACTTGGGCCAGTTATAATCCAATTTTTTAAAAAAAGATTTATTGCTTGTAGGGAATAAAAGCCCACTTAAAGTAGAATGCATACATTTAGGAATAGAAAACAAAGTAGAGCAAGGTCATGCAGAAACTAGAACTGGAAATTCAAAAAGTTAAGATGCTTCCTCTGTCCTTTAAGTCTACGTGTTTTTTTTTTCAACTGCTACATAATATTTGTACATGTTTAGAGGGCACATGTGATATTTTGATACATGCATAGAAAACATCAAGTGAGGTTATTTATTATATTGAACACTTTTATGTTGGTAACATCTCAAATCTTCTAGATATTTTGAAATATACAATATATTGTTAACTATAGTCACCCTACTGTGCTGTCGAACACTAGAGCTTACTTTTCTATCTTAACAGTATGTTTGTACCCATTAACCAACTTCTCTTCATCCCTTCCTCCCAACCACACACCCTTCCAGCCTCTGGTAACTATCATCCTACTCTCTACTTCCATAAGATCAACTTTTGGTTCCCACATATGAGTGAATACATGCAATATTTGTTATTCTATGCCTGGCTATTTCACACAACATAATGACCACCAGTTCCATCCATGGTGCTGCAAACGACAGGATTTCATTTTTTATTATGGCTAAATAATATTCCATTGTATATATGTGTGTGTGTGTGTGTGTGTGTGTGTGTATATAACATTTTCTTTATTCGTACATACATTGATGGACACTTAGGTTGATTCCATATTGTTGCTATTGTGAATAGTGCTGCAAAAAACATGGGAGTGCAGGTATCCCTTTGAGATACTGATTTTTCTTTCCTTTCCTTTGGTTAAATCCCCAGTAGTGGGATTTCTGGGTCATATGGTAGGTGGCTTGTGTGGTTTGCAGCAGTGGCAGTAGCAGGCCAGCAAGGCCAGTCCCGAAGTTGGTAGGTTGTGTGGGTGGTGATGGTGGCACCAGGCAGTGGAATCCTATTCTCAGGCCCCCAGATAGTGTGCCTGTTCAGACCGTGGTGGATGGGGAATCTTGAGTGCAGGTGGCAGGTGTTCTGGTCCTGTTGTTAGGTCCTCTGATGGTCCACATGTGAGCCAGAAGCCACAGGCAGGGCATGTCAACTCCTAGGCCCTTGGGACAGTGTTCTTGGATGCCGGTGGCAGGCAGGCTGGGACTTTTGTCCAATCTGCATGTTCATCAGTGTTTATCAATATCTCCTACTAAACCTAAATGGTTTCATCAGCACATGCCCATTATGGCTGCATGACCCAATTCCACATGCTGCTGCTTCCAATTCTTGTACCCGTCATCATATTTTTTATTTAGTCTGCCTTACAGCTCAAATTCTTGAGGGAGAATCTGGCTCACTGTGCTCAGTTTACATCTTCATTTCCTTTTATAAAGTTGCCACTGTTGGTCAACTCAGTCGTGACTACAGAGGAGGAGTTATAATCAACCCTTTGCTGGTTTTAAGCCCTTTTCTCCAAGGGAATATGGTTTGCTGTTTCTAAGGAAACTCCATGTGATTGGATCTGTGATCTAAGTTATCTTTTTCAAGCTTGTAGTTTTGGATAAAAAAACTCATGATGCTTTCTAATTCATTAAGCATTTCTAAGCAGTCTTTTGGTCTGGGATTCAGATTCAGGCTCTCTTTAGTGAGCACTTAAGAAATTTAGAATATGAGATCTCACAAGGGAAGGTGAAAAATTGAAAGCACTGGAAATGTGGGACTTTTTCTCCTTAAGCTATAAAGAGCCACAGTGCTGCATAATATACTTAATGTTGCTGATTCTTTAATGTGGCACCAATTTAAAAGAAAATCAGAATGGATTTTTTTTATTATACTTTAAGTTTTAGGGTACATGTACACAACATGCAGGTTTGTTACATGTATATAAATGTGCCATGTTGGTGTGCTGCACCCATTAACTTGTCATTTAACATTAGGTACATCTCCTAATGCTATCCCTCCCCCAGACCCCCACCCCACAACAGGCCCCAGTGTGTGATGTTCCCCTTCCTGTGTCCATGTGTTCTCATTGTTCAATTCCTATCTATGAGTGAGAACATGCGGTGTTTGGTTTTTTGTCCTTGCGATAGTTTGCTGAGAATGATGGTTTCCAGCTTCATCCGTGTCCCTACGAAGGGCATGAACTCATAATTTTTTATGGCTGCATAGTATTCCATGGTGTATATGTGCCACATTTTCTTAATCCAGTCTATCTTTGTTGGACATTTGGGTTGGTTCCAAGTCTTTGCTATTGTGAATAGTGCCGCAATAAACATACATGTGCATGTGTCTTTATAGCAGCATGATTTATAATCCTTTGGGTATATACCCAGTAATGGGATGACTGGGTCAAACGGTATTTCTAGTTCTAGATCCCTGAGGAATCGCCACACTGACTTCCACAATGGTTGAACTAGTTTACAGTCCCACCAACAGTGTGAAAGTGTTCCTATTTCTCCAAATTCTCTCCAGCACCTGTTGTTTCCTGACTTTTTAATGACCGCCATTCTAACTGGTGTGAGATGGTATCTCATTGTGGTTTTGATTTGCATTTCTCTGATGGCCAGTGATGGTGAGCATTTTTTCATGTGTCTGTTGGCTGCATAAATGTCTTCTTTTGAGAAGTGTCTGTTCATATCCTTTGCCCACTTTTTGATGGGGTTGTTTGTTTTTTTCTTGTAAATTTGTTTGAGTTCATTGTAGATTCTGGATATTAGCCCTTTGTCAGATGAGTAGGTTGCAAAAATTTTCTCTCATTCTGTAGGTTGCCTGTTCACTCTGATGGTAGTTTCTTTTGCTGTGCAGAAGCTCTTTAGTTTAATTAGATCCCATTTGTCAATTTTGGCTTTTGTTGCCATTGCTTTTGGTGTTTTAGACATGAAGTCCTTGCCCATGCCTATGTCCTGAATGGTATTGCCTAGGTTTTCTTCTAGGGTTTTTATGGTTTTAGGTCTAACATTTAAGTCTTTAATCCATCTTGAATTAATTTTTTTATGAGGTGTAAGGAAGGGATCCAGTTTCAGCTTTCTCCATATGGCTAGCCAGTTTTCCCAGCACCATTTATTAAATAAGGAATCCTTTCCCCATTGCTTGTTTTTGTCACGTTCGTCAAAGATCAGATAGTTGTAGATATGCGGCATTATTTCTGAGCACTCTGTTCTGTTCCATTGGTCTATATCTCCGTTTTGGTACCAGTACCATGCTGTTTTGGTTACTGTAGCCTTGTAGTATAGTTTGAGGTCAGCTAGTGTGATGCCTCCAGCTTTGTTCTTTTGGCTTAGGATTGACTTGGCAATGCGGGCTCTTTTTTGATTCCATATGAACTTTAAAGTAGTTTTTTCCAATTCTGTAAAGAAAGTCATTGGTAGCTTGATGGGAATGGCATTGAATCTGTAAATTACCTTGGGCAGTATGGCCATTTTCATGATATTGATTTTTCCTACCTATGAGCATGGAATGTTCTTCCATTTGTTTGTATCCTCTTTTTCTTCATTGAGCAGTGGTTTGTAGTTCTCCTTGAAGAGGTCCTTCACATCCCTTGTAAGTTGGATTCCTAGGTATTTTATTCTCTTTGTAGCAATTGTGAATGGGAGTTCACTCATGATTTAGCTCTCTGTTTGTCTGTTATTGGTATATAAGAATGCTTGTGATTTTTGCACATTGATTTTGTATCCTGAGACTTTGCTGAAGTTGCTTATCAGCTTAAGGAGATTTTGGGCTAAGACGATGGGGTTTTCTAGATATACAATCATGTCATCTGCAAACAGGAACAATTTGACTTCCTCTTTTCCTAATTGAATGCCCTTTATTTCCTTCTCCTGCCTGATTGCCCTGGCCAGAACTTCCAACACTATGTTGAATAGGAGTGGTGAGAGAGGGCATCCCTGTCTTGCCCAGCACCATTTAGTAAATAGGGAATCCTTTCCCTATTTCTTGTTTTTGTCAGGTTTGTCAAAGATCAGATAGTTGTAGATAAGTGGCATTATTTCTGAGGCCTCTGTTCTGTTCCATTGGTCCATATCTCTATTTTGGTACCAGTAAATCATAGATTTTTAAAGAAGTATGTATTTGACATGACGCGCCTCCCAAATAAAAGCTAGTTTGAGAAGGAGATGAAATGAAATAAAATAGGTCTGTAGTAGGAGGTTGTGCCAACTTGGGAGTGGGGGTAGGTTTTTTCCCCTTGTCTATAGGTTTAGTAAGTGGTGAAATCAGAGAATTCCATTTTCTCCTTTGTGGAGATGTTAGAGTCTAATGCAAGGCATCATTTGTGCCTCTTAGTAATGTCTGCAGGATTTGATGGGTCATGATGAAGCATTTTATTGATTACATTATGAGAAATGGATTCAGAAGTCATCAAGACTTTTAGTTCCAGGATGGTTCCTGTACATGCAATGACAGGCTGGCTGTTCACTGCAGCTAACACTGAGTACTGTGGCATGCCCAATTACAGTCCTGGTGAGAGATCTTCAGGGAGGTAATTGTGGTTTCCTTCATTGCCTTCATGTGGCCTCTGAGTGAGGAGCCTCACAATTCCTTTCACAGTCTGGAGCAGTAAGTGCACTAATGTAGCTAATGGTAATTTTGACTTCTCTTGTCTACTGAATTGAATCAATGCTCCCCAATCTCTTGAATAAAACAATTTCCCACAGATGCCGAGCAGCTGTTGTTGTCCAAAGATGCTCTGAGAAGGACAATCAGGGGCTAGAAACTCTGTTTTTCTTCATTAATTGAAAACAAAACTCCCTCCTAGGAAGGGGAGAGCAAGAAGAAGTAAATGAAAGAGAGAGCCAGAAAGGATGGAGGAATGTAAGGAAGGAGGAGTATTGTAAGCAGCCTGCCTACAGAGGCTGTATTCGAAGACCATCCAGCTCTCTTGTGCATGCTACAATTGAAAATGGTTAATGGAGTACTTTGCATCAAATAGATTTCTTAAAGAGGACATAGGAGATAAGCATTATGGCTATTGGAATTTAATCCATTTGCCAAAAAGAACAAAAGTGATCAGAGCTGTCTGGGTGGTTTCTGATATCTTAACTACTGCTTATTATTTGCTCTGCTAATAATTTTCTGCTTTCACATGTAGAGCCCCTATGTGTAGAGGATGAGGTAGAAGTAGCATGAGTTGTATAATTTTTTAAAAAACATCTTCTATCAAAAAAAGCTTTTGTTTTACCTTATATTCTCCTAATTGTCTCCCTTAGTCATTGCAAGAGGAGGGCAATGGGCAACAGTGCCAACCAGCTGTGCTGGGGAGGTAGCTGGTGGGAGACTCAGTGAAAGATGGTATGCTCAGACATCCAGTTTAGTTACAGTGGACTGATAGGTCTGTTATTTTGGGAATTTGATAGTCTAAAGGTAATAGTACATGATGTATTTCTACTAAATTTTTCCAACTGTAGCTCATCTTTTACATTTTGAATCCTCACAGCAAAAGAGACATCTTCAATGACTAAGTCCTGAGTGTTTTTATCCCACTCAAAGAGTAGAATAGGCTTTCCTGCTGATTCTGCCATAATATATGGGAACCACTCCTGTAATGGAATCAACACCTCTTTTGCATTAAAATAAACCACAATCCCAGTTCCTAACAGTGGAAATAGAAAACAGCTGGTGAAAACAAAGTGGTATGTGCAAGCCAGCTTTGAGGAATTATTCATATTCATTTTCAGAAGCAAACTTTCCTGCACTTGTTTTTCTTTTATTGCAATAGAGCAAAAATGTGTTTAGGAGAAAGGCTGTTATCTTAAAAGTATGAAAAACATTTAAGCTACACCATCCTAGCTGTGACAAGTTTTGGTGATGACTGATGAGCATAATACTGACAACTTTATTTCAAGAACAAATTGTCAACCTAGAGTGTGGAAGACAAAATTATTGGCTCTGGATGAGCAAAATTATTGGTTGTGTCTCTGGAAGGTGAAAGTCTTTGAGTGTAAGAGAAACTGGTCAGATGCATATTTTTAAGACAGGATTGTTGTCCATGTTGGTTAAATAACAGGGTACTATTGTTTTACTGCTGAACTGTGAAATTTACCATTTTTATCCCCTTTGCCATTTGAATTGACTAAGTGAACTCCTCCCAAATTGTCATCTGCATTGGTACTTAGTAAGGACATATTTGCCACATGTGTGTTTGTGTTATGGGTAGGAAGGTAGATACATATGGCCAACCAACCAGATAGTATATGATAAAATGTTGCTAGTGTTAATGGAGAAAGAGCCCTTCTGGATTCCTTAATGGGTACTTCAATTCAAAATGAAAGACAGCAAGGTTAGTGGGAGGTGGGATGAAGCCTCAGGAAGTGGGACAGTCATTACTAGAGCGGTGCATTTAATAACATGGCTGGCAACAGCTTTGTGCCAAGTCAATTCACGTCTGAATCACATTGGTGCTGTGTGTATGTGTCAGTCTACACACACTACATTTCTACACTGGATCCCATTCAACTGGTAAGCAGTTTCTGACAGGCTTCAGAATAAGGGGAAAAAAGATTAGAACATCTTGTGTACATCTATATAATGAGTTTTCAAATTCATATTTGAGAAATTAGCTTGAATGCCACTGCCAACATCAGGTATATCTAACTCCATTACTGGAAGGATTTGAAGACCCTTCCCAATTACTGAGCTGTTAACACTGTGTGCATTTTTTTAAGACTAAGATGATACTCTTCAGCCTCCTAGGAATTTCTGGGCATCTATAGAAATTCATTGTCTAGTTTTTATTCTGGGGGTGTGATTGCGATTATGGAAGGCAGACCCAGCTGTGAGTCTAAATTGAGGAAGTATTTGTTAGAAATGTAGAGCTTCAGGATTTCCAGTTTGTTCTTTATCAAACTAAATCTAGTTAGCTGTATTGTAAAATGCTGACCCACAAATTTTTAGTGACTTCCCCATGCCTACAAGATAAAGTAAATGTCTTAGACTGGAATCCAAGACCTTCTACAATGGGGCCTCACTGATCTTTTTCATTATGTTCCAGGCCCTTTCACATACTCTGCAGGCAAGCTGCTCCAATCGTTACGTATGTCCTGGGCCCTACCCTATTGAAATCTAAGCCTAACCTTAACTCTGACACTGACCCTTCCTATTTGAGCTCCTTAGGATCTAGACCAAATATATCTTTAGTGAAATCTAGTGGGTCTAAAGTGTACTCTTACTCCTCTGTACTCACAGCAGTTATTCTCTCTCTATACTACTAATTTGGCACTGATTATATGCTGTCTTTTATTGTCATTCATGTATGTAAATAATATTTTAAGGGCTAACTATGTGGACTATATAGTTGTATAATGGTAAGTAAGACATGTCTGCTTTCTTGGACACTAGTTAAAACAGAAGGATCAGAAAAGAACACAGGTTAAATTCCACTAGAGAGCAGTGAGTGTTAAGAGCGGGGAGCACAGCAAGGAGAGATGGGAAAGACTCCTTACTCATTCTTGCAGTCCAGAAGGTATTCCCTGAAGAAGTTACATTTGGCCTGATACCTGAAGGAAGGGGAAGAGTCAGCCAGGCCCACAGGCAGATCTTAGATCTTGCAAGGAAATAACGGCAGGATAGCTTATTAAGGAAATTTAGTTAGTTCCCCCTGTACTACTATGTTTCTCCTTATTCAGAGAAGGTGAACTCTACTATGTGAGGTGGGGATGGCAAGTGATGAGGAAGTACATTTCATGAAGAACGTCATAGGCTATCCCAAAGGTTTTGAACATTAGCTTAGAAGGAGCCATTGAAGGAATTTAATAAGGACAAGATCAAATTTACATTTCAAAAACATCACACTGGCTTCAGTGGGAAAAGATAAGTTGGATAACAAAACGGAATAAGTTGCCTGTTCTAGTGTCTTATCTATTTTTAGCATTTGTCTTAGATTTTTCATTTTTAACAAATTAATAACTCTGTATTTCTGGCTTCTACCAGGATCTCTTTTTGTAGCACTTGAGATGTTTGTCAGTGAACAGAATTCTCACCTGATCATGTGGTTAACTCTAAAAGGCATCTTCCTTTCAAGGACAATATGCAGGGTGCTTACCATAAACTAGCCCAGTAGGTAACTATGTCTGAGCCCTTTAAGTTTTGGGCAGTGGTGGGAGAAGTATTTGAAACTTCTCTATCTGATGTGCCAGCCAGTTATGCCAGTCTATGAGACACAGGAAACCATCATGGTCAGTAAAGGTTAAATGTACATGAAATAATGAGCAGGAAGTAGCAGTTGGGTGGTCTTTCTGTAAAGCATAAAAAGAGAAATCTCAATATTTACTACAGTGGGTTTGCCATTTATTAGAGGGTATAAGTCTACAATTATTTACTTAGTTTCATTGTTTGATGGTGCTCTTTTATTTAGCAAAAAATGCTTTCAGCAGCCATGAGTTTAAATAGTCAAAAACCTATGTTCAATGAAGAATTAAGTAGTGAATTGTTTCTTGAGAAAGTAGATGGTGATTGGATAACTTGCATAAAATGATATCACTAACCAAATGAAAAGTCTGCTGAAAAATCTATTACAAAATTTAATATTTATAAGAAAACTGTGTAACAATTTAATTTGTACAGATGCAGAAAGTGCATTTCCTTATTACTCCATGAAACATGACTTTGTATTACAGCAAATAACTACTCTGCTCATCTTCATTTCCAAGTTTTCTAGTGAACTTACCAAGTGAAGTGAAAATTCTTAATATATTGGCTCCATTAATAGAAGAAAAATTCTGAGTCAAATGATACCAGTTTATGCTGGTATTATCAGATGCTTTAAATAATAGAAACCAATTCCAATAATGTTCCCTTTTTAAAAAATATATAATTCATGGAACCAAAGTAAACTTTTTTTGGAAGTTCATTTGGTTGGCATCATTGTGATTGCTATTGCAAATTTAGTTTAAAAGTTCAACTTTGTACAAGGAATTATTTTGTGATAAGAGAAATACAAATTTGGTGAAGGACAACAGGCATGGTATAAACCATTATTTTTATAGTAAATTTAAGAAACTTATGGAGCTGAAATATATGTACTTGGATTTTCTTGTGGTGCATACATACTTTATAAATGCAACTGAACAAGCTGCTATTCTACCAAATAAATACATTTTTAATATATTCAGAGTAGCTAGAACTCTGAATATATAAAAATCAATATGTAAACAGTCTATACGAGTTCACGATGCTGATAATGTTAAATACACAAAACTACTTTTTCATGGCACAATTATTTTTTTCTCTTCTCATCAACAATTGGATTTTATTTATTTTTATTTTATTTTATTTTATTTTATTTTATTTTATTTTATTTTTTATTATTATACTTTAAGTTCCAGGGTACATGTGCACAACATGCACAGTTGTTACATATGTATACATGTGCCATGTTGGTGTGCTGCACCCATTAACTCGTCATTTACATTAGGTATATCTCCTAACGCTATCCCTCCCTCCTCCCCTAACCCCACAACAGGCCCTGGTGTGTGATGTTCCCCACTCTATGTCCAAGTGTTCTCATTGTTCAATTCCCACCTATGAGTGAGAACATGTGGTGTTTGGTTTTCTGTCCTTGCAATACTTTGCTGAGAATGATGGTTTCCAGCTTCATCCATATCCCTACAAAGGAAATGAACTCATCCTTTTTTATGGCTGTATTCCATGGTGTATATGTGCCACATTTTCTTAATCCATCTATCATTGATGGACATTTGGATTGGTTCCAAGTCTTTGCTATTGTGAATAGTGCCACAATAAACATACATGTGCATGTGTCTTTATAGCAGCATGATTTATAATCCTTTGGGTATATACCCAGTAATGGGATGGCTGGGTCAAATGGTATTTCTAGTTCTAGATCCTTGAGGAATTGCCACACTGTCTTCCACAATGGTTGAACTAGTTTACAGTCCCACCAACAGTGTAAAAGTGTTCCTATTTCTCCACATCTTCTCCGGCACCTGTTGTTTCCTGACTTTTTAATGATCGCCATTCTAACTGGTGTGAGATGGTATCTCATTGTGGTTTTGATTTGCATTTCTCTGATGGCCAGTGATGATGAACATTTTTTCATGTGTCTGTTGGCTGCATAAATGTCTTCTTTTGAGAAGTGTCTGTTCATGTTCTTCACCCACTTTTTGATGGGGTTGTTTGATTTTTTTCTTGTGAATTTGTTTAAGTTCTTTGTAGATTCTGGATATTAGCCCTTTGTCAGATGGGTAGATTGTGAAAATTTTCTCTCATTCTGTAGGTTGCCTGTTCACTCTGATGGTAGTTTCTTTTCCTGTGCAGAAACTCTTTAGTTTGACTAGATCCCATTTGTCTATTTTGGTTTTTGTAGAATTTCCTGGTTTTTTTATTTTTTTTTCTTTCTTTTCTTTTAATTATTATTATACTTTAAGTTTTAGGGTACATGTGTACAACGGGCAGGTTAGTTACATATGTATAGATGTGCCATGCTGGTGTGCTGCACCCATTAACTCGTCATTTAGCATTAGGTATATCTCCTAATGCTATCCCTCCCCCCTCCCCCCACCCCACAACAGTCCCCAGAGTGTGATGTTCCCCTTCCTGTGTCCATGTGTTCTCATTGTTCAATTCCCATCTATGAGTGAGAACATGCAGTGTTTGGTTTTTTGTCCTTGTGATAGTTTACTGAGAATGATGATTTCCAATTTCATCCATGTCCCTACAAAGGACATGAACTCATCATTTTTTATGGCTGCATAGTATTCCATGGTGTATATGTGCCACATTTTCTTAATCCAGTCTATCATTGTTGGACATTTGGGTTGGTTCCAAGTCTTTGCTATTGTGAATAGTGCCTCAATAAACATATGTGTGCATGTGTCTTTTAGCAGCATGATTTATAGTCCTTTGGGTATATACCCAGTAATGGGATGGCTGGGTCAAATGGTATTTCTAGTTCTAGATCCCTGAGGAGTCGCCACACTGACTTCCACAATGGTTGAACTAGTTGACAGTCCCACCAACAGTGTAAAAGTGTTCCTATTTCTCCACATCCTCTCCAGCACCTGTTGTTTCCTGACTTTTGAATGATCGCCATTCTAACTGGTGTGAGATGGTATCTCATTGAGGTTTTGATTTGCATTTCTCTGATGGCCAGTGATGATGAGCATTTTTTTGTGTGTCTTTTGGCTGCATAAATGTCTTCTTTTGAGAAGTGTCTGTTCATATCCTTCACCCACTGTTTGATGGGGTTGTTTGTTTTTTTCTTGTAAATTTGTTTGAGTTCATTGTAGATTCTGGATATTAGCCCTTTGTCAGATGAGTAGGTTGCAAAAATTTTCTTCCATTTTGTTGGTTGCCTGTTCACTCTGATGGTAGTTTCTTTTGCTGTGCAGAAGCTCTTTAGTTTAATTAGATTCCATTTGTCAATCTTGGCTTTTGTTGCCATTGCTTTTGGTGTTTTAGACATGAAGTCCTTGCCCATGCCTATGTCCTGAATGGTATTGCCTAGGTTTTCTTCTAGGGTTTTTATGGTTTTAGGTCTAACATTTAAGTCTTTAATCCATCTTGAATTAATTTTTGTATAAGGTGTAAGGAAGGGATCCAGTTTCAGCTTTCTACATATGGCTAGCCAGTTTTCCCAGCACCATTTATTAAATAAGGAATCCTTTCCCGATTGCTTGTTTTTCTCAGGTTTGTTAAAGATCAGATAGTTGTAGATATACAGCGTTATTTCTGAGAGCTCTGTTCTGTTCCATTGATCTATATCTCTGTTTTGGTACCAGTACCATGCTGTTTTGGTTACTGTAGCCTTGTAATATAGTTTGAAGTCAGGTAGCGTGATGCCTCCAGCTTTGTTCTTTTGGCTTAGGATTGACTTGGTGATGTGGGCTCTTTTTTGGTTCCATATGAACTTTAAAGTAGTTTTTTCTAATTCTGTGAAGAAAGTCATTGGTAGCTTGATGGGGATGGCATTGAATCTATAAATTACCTTGGGTAGTATGGCCATTTTCACAATATTGATTCTTCCTATCCATGAGCATGGAATGTTCTTCCATTTGTTTGTATCATCTTTTATTTCATTGAGCAGTGGTTTGTAGTTCTCCTTGAAGAGGTCCTTCACGTCCCTTGTGAGTTGGATTCCTAGGTATTTTATTCTCTTTGAAGCAATTGTGAATGGGAGTTCACTCATGATTTGGCTCTTTGTCTGTTATTGGTGTATAAGAATGCGTGTGATTTTTGTACATTGATTTGTATCCTGAGACTTTGCTGAAGTTGCTTATCAGCTTAAGGAGATTTTGGGCTGAGACAATGGGGTTTTCTAAATATACAATCATGTCATCTGCAAACAGGGACAATTTGACTTCTTCTTTTCCTAATTGAAAACCCTTTATTTCCTTCTGCTGCCTAATTGCCCTGGCCAGAACTTCCAACACTATGTTGAATTTTAGACATGTCCAAGCCTTTGGAGGACTCTCTGCAAATCAGCCTAAGTGGCCTACTGTGGTTTTAAAATTTTGTGGAAATTCCTTGGACTGTTTTGTTTAAAATAAGTTGAGAATTTTTAATGCAAGTTTTTAATAAATGGAAACCCAAAAAAATTATTTAACAAATTATATTTACTGGGGGTGACAAAGGAAAGCTTAGAAGTAGGAAGACATTCAAATTTATCTCTGCAATGTAAGAGAAGAATGGAAATACCTAATGAGGACTTAAGTCGTATGTAATATCTAATTCTGAAGTTCTAAATTTTGCCTTGCAATATTTCCATTAGTGGGAATAACCTTTTAATGGAGCTCCTGTTTTTACCTGGATGAATCAGTATTCCATGCTAAGACTGCTAAGACGGAAGGACGTGAAAAGATTTATGATATTTAGCATCTAAATTTGATGTAGCATTCAGAAGGATCATAAATAGAGGCAAATTTTTGAACAAATTTGTTTTGTAAAATTATGTATTGCAGAAAAGCACTCTAAAGAATGGCAGAAAGATAGTATCTGTGAAAATATTTGACCTGAAATACCTATAATTTCAATATACAACATTCAATTTTGATATGGGCTTACCAGATACTGTGAAGAGTGCTTTCTCAGCTGGGCATGGTGGTTCACGCCTGTAATCCCAGCACTGGGAGGCCGAGGTGGGCGGATTGCAAGGTCAGGGGTTTGAAACCAGCCTGGGCAATATGGTGAAACCCCATCTCTACTAAAAATACAAAAGTTATCTAGGCATGGAGGCGCACACCTGTAGTCCCAGCTACTTGGGAGGCTGAGGCAAGAGAATCGCTTGAACCAGGGAGGCGGAGGTTGCAGTGAGCCGAGATCGTGCCACTGCACTCCCATCTGGGTGACAGAGCAAGATTCTGTCTCTAAGTAAATAAATAATAAATAAGAGTGCTCTCTCAGTGAAACATAATGCGGACTTCAGGGAAGAGTCCATTAAAGGTGTAACAACTTCAAATTTTTTAACCGTAAAATTCAGCTATAAAAAAATTCAGATAATTTAATGAAAATTTTAATTTTTTGGGGAAAATAACATTCACATAGTGTAATTTACAGCAAAGAAAGTAAATATTACACATAAATATGTACCAAGAATAATTATTCTAATATAATTTTAAATTTCAGATAATCCATATAAATAAGGATTTTTTTTTGCTTTCATGTACATGAACGTTATTTCTGGAAAGAATTTTATTTATTGTGGTAAAATATAGCACAAAATTGGGCATTTTAACCATTTTAAAGTGTATATTTCAGCAGTATTAATTACATTCACTATGTTGTATAACCATCTCCACTATCTACTTCCAATATTCTTTTATCACCCAAACAGAAACTCTGTACCCACTAAGCAATAACTCTTTACTTCCCTCTCACCCCAGCCCCTGGAAATCTCTAATCTGTTTTCTGTGTCTATGATCTTGCCTGTTTTTCTTATTTCATGTAAGTGGAATTGTATAGGATTTGTCCTTTTGTGCCTGGCTACTTTCATATAGCATAATGTTTTTGAGGTTCATCCATGTTGTAGCAGGTATCAGAACTTTCCTTCTTTTTTATGACTGAGTGATATTTCATTGTATACCTAGATACACTGGATTTTCTTTATCTATGTATCTGTTGATGGGTACTGGAACTGTTTCCATCTTTTGGCTATTGTAAGTAATGCTGCAAACAAACATTGGCATACAAGTATCTGGTTGAGTCCATTTTCATTCCTTTGGGTATGTACCTAAGAGTAAAACTGCTAGCCCACATAATTTTATAGTTACCTTTTTTGAGGAGCTGTGAAACTGTTTTACACACTAGCTGTGCCATTTTACTTTCTCACCAGCAATGCACAGGGGTTTCAGTCTTCAAATCCTTACCAACACTTTTTTCTTTTTCTTTTTTTCTTTTTCTTCTTTTTTTCCTTCTCTTTCTCTTTTCTTTTTTTCTTTCCCTTTTTCTTTTTTTATTTCCCTTTCCCTTTCCCTTCTTTTTCTTCACAATCATGGCTCACTGCAGCCTCAACCTCCCAAGCTCAAGTGATCCTCCCACCTCAGCCTCCTGAGTAGCAAGGACTACAGGCATGCACCACCACACCAAGCTAATTTTTCTATTTTTTGTAGAGACAGGATTTTACCATGTTTTCCAGGATGGTCTCAAACTCCTGGGCTCAAGTGATCCACCTGCCTCAGCCTTCCAAAGTGCCAGGTTTACAAGTGTGAGCCACCATGCCTGGCCTGTTTTTTTTTTTTAATTAAAAAAACTTTGAAATTATAGCCACCTTGGTAGGTATAAAGTGAGATCTCATTGTGGTTTTGAGGAATTATAAAAGCAGTTTTTGAATATAACTATTTTATCAATTTACCAATATAAAACAGAATGAAAACTTTTCAGTCAAATATTTCAAGATATCCTGTATCAATTAAATGTAGGTGGAAGGATAAGGAGGGAAAATAATAAAAGTAGAGAGACTGAATGACAAGTATAGTCCAGGCAATAGATGGGGATGTCCTGAACTGGGGGTTGGAGAGGTGGTTGGCAATATGAGGAAATGAATAGATTTTAAAAGTAAATATCAAGAGAGACAGCTGGTAAGATGAATAGACTCAAAGATTGATATGGGAGATAGGAAGAAGAAAGATTGAGGCACAGTGGTCACATTTCTGGCTTGAGTAACAAGGGAAATGGTGCAGCCATTTACTACAAACCCCAAAAGGAGGGAAGGAAGTGATGAGGTGAAGGTAGATAAAGATAAGCTGGGCATGTTGAATTTGAGATGTCCATGGGGCATTCAGATGAAGATGTTTATCCAGCAAGCAGTTGGAACTATCGCCTGAAGCTCAGGAAAGAAACAGGCATGAACATGGAAAGTTTGGATTTATCTCTTTTCTGGGTTCTTATTTCTATAATGACAACAAGCTACTTGGAGGCATTTTTCTTAATCCATTTTGCACTGCAATAAAGGAATACCTGAGACTGGGTAATTCATAAAAGAGGTTTATTTGGCTCACAGTTGTGTAGGCTATACAAGCATTATATCCTCATCTACTCAGCTGCTGGTGAGTCCTCAGGAAGCTTTTACTCATGGCAGAAAGTAAAGGGGGAGAAGGTATGTCACATGGCAAGAGAAGGGGGAGAGAGGGGGCAGAGGTGCCAGGCTCCTTTAAACAACCAGCCACCACTAAGTGAACTAAAAGAGCAAGAACTAACACATTAGCATGGGGTTGTCACCAAGCCATTCATGAAGGATCTGCCCTTTGACCCAAATGCCTCCCACCAGGCCCACCTCCAATACTGGGGATCACATTTCAACATGATATCTGGAGGGGACAAACATCCAAACCATATGGGCATTTTACATATTTCCTTATTTGTGATTTTCAGGCATGCAGCAATTTTAATTGAGAATCTTCCATATTTGGACCATTGTACTAGATTTAAGAGGAATTAGATAAAAGATAAATAAGGTACAGTTGTTGTCTACAGAATTTATAATTTAGTAAGGACAGAATTTAAAAACACATACAGAAATATAGAGATAAGTGAAGTATTATAAGGCATGGAGAAAAGTATAATCTACACATTCTAAGGAGATCTTAGAAGGATATCTACACTTAAAAGGTACTCCTTTGCTGATTGAAAATCAGTCAAATCATGGAGGCTGCATAATTTGAGGGACCCAGTGTACCATGAAAATTTGAGGCGTCTTGTTCAAAAAGCAGGAATATATTATCCAATAAGGATTCACATAAACTTCCTTTCTTCTGTGGTCTCTCTTGACTTGGCCTGGTGTGTTCTATTTGCTATTTAATGTTTTAAGTTAAAAAAATTAAAAATTTATTAACATGAGTTTTACCATTCATTTATACTGTGCAGTGCTAGTTTAAAATTCAAATATCAGAGCATCTAACTCATATACAGAAACACTGAAATTACACAATTTGAATTTGGTGGCTCATCCCCTTCAAAGAGTGCCTAAGATAAACACCAGATTCAGGGAAACTATAAAGAAGAAGATAGGATCCTTTTCTCTTCACAGGCGCTTGGGCATGACGATATTTGAGGAACAAGTATAGACACTGGGCATGAGGATATTCTGTGGACAAGTACGGACCTTCATATTTATCTGGGGCCATGACCTGCCATGCAGGTCAGGTACCAATTCCCACCAGCAGCCAAACTGCGAGCTGTGCCTTGGTTGGGGGTGGGGTTTGGGATGGTCAAGCCAGGCATATCCCCTTCCTATGGGCACATTCCGCAACCCATGAAAGACAGGAGAAACCCAAGGATCTTTCAGCTTCCATGTCACTAGAAGATTGGTTCTTGGATCAGGGATGAGCGGGTGAGAGACTTCCTCTTCTGAGATACAGACTGGTCAGCTGCTCACCAGATGCACCACAGTGTTGCTAGTGTGGCTGCCATCCAGTGTACTTGCCTGACCCCATCCCATCTCTACTCCCTGCAGGGGATGGAGGGCAGCTGTGGTAACAGGGAGGGAGGAGCCTGGGCAGACCAGGCTAGGTTTTAAGCCCCACGTGCATTAGGTGTTTGTCATAATGCTCTCCCTCCCTTTGCCCACCACCCCACCCCCCGACAGGCCCTGGTGTGTGATGTTCCCCTCCCTGTGTCCATGTGTTCTCATTGTTCAACTCTCACTTATGAGTGAGAACATGCAGTGTTTGGTTTTCTGTTCCTGTGCTAGTTTGCTGAGAATGATGGCTTCCAGCTTCATCCATGTCCCTGCAAAGGGAACTCATTCTTCTTTATGGCTGCATAGTGTACCATGGTATATATGTGCCACATTTTCTAAATCCAGTATATCATTGATGGGCATTTGGGTTGGTTCCAAGTTTTTGCTATTGTAAATAGTGCTGCAATAAACGTGAGCATGTGTCTTTATAGTAGGATGACTTATAATCCTTTGTAAATACCCAGTAATGGGATTGCTGGCTCAAATAGTATTTCTGGTTCTAGATCCTTGAGGAATCGCCACACTGTCTTCCACAATGGTTGGACTAATTTACACTCCCACCGACAGTGTAAAAGCATTCTTATTTTTCCATGGCCTCACCAGCATCTGTTGTTTCCTTATTTTTTAATCACCATTCTAACTGGTGTGAGATGGTATCTCATTGTGGTTTTAATTTGCATTTCTCTAATGACTAGTGATGGTGAGCTTTTTTTCATATATATGTTGGCCACATATGCCATCTTTTGAGAAGTGTCTCTTCATATCCTTTGTCCACTTTTTGATGGGGTTGTTTTTTTTCTTCCTGTAAATTTAAGTTCTTTGTAGATTCTGGATATTAGCCCTTTGTCAGATGAGTAGATTGCAAAAATTTTCTCCCATTCTGTAGGTTGCCTGTTCACTCTGATGAGGGTTTCTTTTGCTGTGCAGAAGCTCTTTGGTTTGATTAGATCCCATTTGTAGATCTGGGCATTTGTTGCAATTGCTTTTGGTGTTTTAGACATGAAGTCCTTGCCCATGCCTATGTCCTGAATGATATTGCCTAGGTTTTCTTCTAGAAACTGGACCTCTTCTAGTGTTTTTAAGGTTTTGGGTTTTACATTTAGGTCTTTAACCCATCTTGAGTTAATTTTTGTATAGCATGTAAGGAAGAGGTCCAGTTTTAGTTTTCTGCGTATAGCTAGCCAGTTTTCCCAACACCATTTATTAAATAGGGAATCGTTTCCCTATTGCTTGTTTTTGTCAGGTTTGTCAAAGATCAGATGGTTGTAGATGTGTGGCATTATTTCTGAGGCGTCTGTTCTGTTCCATTGGTCTATACATCTGTTTTGGTACCAGTACCATGCTGTTTTGGTTACTGTAGCTTTGTTGTACAGTTTGAAGTCAGGTAACCTGAGGCCTCCAGCTTTGTTCTTTTTACTTAGGATTGTCTTGGCTATATCAGTTCTTTTTTGGTTCCATATGAAATTTAAAGTAGTTTTTTCTTTCTCTGTGAAGAAAGTCATTGGTAGCTTGATGGGAATTGCATTGAATCTATAAATTACTTTGGTCAGTATGGCCATTTTCACGATACTGATTCTTCCCATCAATGAGCATGGAATGTTTTTCCATTTTTGTCCTCTTATTTCGTTGAGCAGTGGTTTGTAGTTCTCCCTGAAGAGGTCCTTCACATCCCTTGTAAGTTGTATTCCTAGGTATTTTATTTTCTTTGTAGCAATTATGAATGGGAGTTCACTCATGATTTGGCTCTGTGCTTGTCTATTGTTGATGTATAGGAATGCTTGTACTTGTGATTTTTGCACATTGATTTTGTATCCTGAGACTGCTGAATTTTCTTATCAGCTGAAGGAGTTTTTGGGCTGAGATGATGGCATTTTCTAAATGTACAATCATGTCATCTACAAGCAGACAATTTGACTTGCTCTCCTCTCTTCCTATTTGAATAAACTTTATTTCTTTCTCTTGCCTGATTGCCCTGGCCAGAACTTCCAATAGCATGTTGAATATGAGTGGTGAGAGAGGGCATCCTTGTCTTGTGCTGGTTTTCAAGGTGAATGCTTCCAGCTTTTGCCTATTCAGTATGATATTGGCTATGGATTTGTCATAAATAGCTATTATTATTTTGAGATTTGTTCCATCAATACCTAGTTTATTGAGAGTTTTTAGCATGAAAGGGTGTTGAATTTTATCGAAGGCTTTTTCTGCATCTATTGAGATAATCACGTGGTTTTTATCATTGGTTCTGTTTATGTGATGGATTATATTTATTGATTTGTATATGTTGAACCAGCGTTGCATCCCAGGGATGAAGCTGACTTGATTGTGGTGGATAAGCTTTTTGATGTGGCGCTGGATTCGGTTTGCTAGTATTTTATTGAGGATTTTTGCATTGATGTTCATCAGGGATATTGGCCTGAAATTTTCCTTTTTTGTTGTGTCTCTGCCTGGTTTTGGTATCAGGATGATGCTGGCCTCGTTAAATGAGTTAGGGAGGAGTCCTTATTTTTCTATTCATTGGAATAGTTTCAGAAGGAATGATACCAGCTCCTCTTTATAACTCTGGTAGAATTTGACTGTGAATCCATGTGGTCCTGGGCTTTTTTTTGGTTGGTAGGCTATTAGTTACTGCCTCAATTTCAGAACTTATTATTGGTCTATTCAGGGACTTGTAAGTCTAGACTAATCTTTTTATCTGGTTCTGATTATGCTTTGATGTGGTGGAATGCCAGACGGGAAGGTGTAGGAGGCTTTATTTGGCATTGGAAAAGAAATATCTAAAATAAGAGCCACTTTTACTATGTGTTGGCATTCAAATACATCATATCATTTAATTCTATTAATCTGCAAGATAGCTATTACAATATTTTTCAGACTGAGGACATTAAGGCTTAGAAAGGTTAAATTGTTCAAGTTCAGACATGGCAGAACCAGAGTTTGAACCCAGGCCTGACTGCAGAGTGACTGCTTTGCCTTTGATATTAGGCTCTTGTCCTTATGCAGCAGGCTATATAGTCTCTCGCCTGAGTCTCAAGAAGACTGTAAGTGACATTTTTTTTCCAGGGGTTCTAATCACCAAAACAGGTAGTTTGCCCAACAACTTTTTACTGGCCAAGTCAGATGTAGAAACATTTTGTAACAGAGTAGCAAGTATGAGGGTGGGGGATGCGAAGGATGAGGGGAGAGAAAGAGGAATAGGAATAGTTCCTTTCCCTGCTCCAAAGTTTTAAACGTTCTAACTTACTAGTAGAGAAAGGAAAATAGTTCTGTTCTTCCGTCTCTCCTTCCCTTGTTCCCTCATTAATCCTGGAAGGCATAACTGATATAATGAGTCCATGTGTATGAGATAGAGGAGGATTTTTCTTGCCTAGCCCAGCTTTTCCCTACTGATTTTCAGATGTCAATGCCGTACACACTGGATTGTGAGGGCAAGCTTTTTTTTTTTTTTTTTCCCTAGGCTAAGTCTCTTAAAACTCTGAGGTAGTGGGGGTGGTTCCAAGATGGCTGAATAGGAACAGCTCCAGTTTACAGCTCCCAGCATGAGCGATGCCGAAGACGGGTGATTTCTGCATTTCCAACTGAGGTACCGGGTTCATCTCACAGGGGCTTGTCAGACAGTAGGGGCAGGAAAGTGGGTGTAGCCCACCCAGCGAGAGCTGAAGCAGGGGTAGGCATCGCCTCACCCAGGAAGTGCAAGGGGTCAGGGAATTCCCATTCCTAGCCAAGGGAAGCTGTGACGGACAGCACCTGGAAAATCGGGTCACTCCTACCCTAATACTGCACTTTTCCAAAGGTATTAGCCAATGGCACACCAGGCGATTATATCCTGCACCTGGCTCAGAGGGTCCCACACCAACAGAGCCTCACTCATTGCTAGCACAGCAGTCTGAGATTGAACTGCAAGGTGGCAGTGAGGCTGGGGAAGGGGCGCCCGTCATTGCTGAGGCTTGAGTAGGGAAACAAAGCAGCCAGGAAGCTCGAACTGGGTGGAGCCCACCACAGCTCAACGAGGCCTGCCTGCCTCTATAGACTCCACCTTTGGGGGCAGGGCATAGTCAAACAAAAGGCAGCAGAAACCTCTGCAGACTTAAATGTCCCTGTCTGACAGCTGTGAAGAGAGTAGTGGTTCTCCCAGCACGGAGTTTGAGATCTGAGAATGGACAGACTGCCTCCTCAAGTGTGTCCGTGACCCCCGAGTAGCTTAACTGGGAGGCACCCTCCAGTAAGGGCAGACTGACACCTCACATGGCCGGGTACCCCACTGAGATGAAGCTTCCAGAGGAACGATCAGACAGCAACATTTGCTGTTCAGCAATATTCGCTGTTCTGCAGCCTCTGCAGCTGATACCCAGGCAAACAGGATCTGGAGTGGACCTCCAGCAAACTCCAACAGACCTGCAGCTGAGGGTCCTGACTGTTAGAAGGAAAACTAACAAACAGAAAGGACATCCACACCAAAACCCCATCTGTACATCACTATCATCAAAGACCAAAGGTAGATAAAACCACAAAGATGGGGAGAAAACAGAGCAGAAAAACTGAAAATTCTAAAAATCTGAGCACCTCTCCCACTTCAAAGGAGTGCAGCAGCCCCTCACCAGCAACAGAACAAAGCTGGATGGAGAATGACTTTGACGAGTTGAGAGAAGAAGGCTTCAGATGATCAAATTTCTCCGAGCTAAAGGAGGAAGTTCGAACCCATCACAAAGAAGCTAAAAATCTTAAAAAAGATTAGATGACTGGCTAACTAGAATAACCAGTGTAGAGAAGTCCTTAAATGACCTGATGGAGCTGAAAACCATGGCACAAGAACTACGTGATGAATGCACAAGCTTCAGTAGCTGATTCGATCAACTGGAAGGAAAGGTATCAGTGATTGAAGATCAAATGAATGAAATGAAGTGAGAAGAGAAGTTTAGAGAAAAAAGAGTAAAAACAAAAAAACAAAGCCTCCAAGAAATATGGGACTATGTGAAAAGACCAAATCTACGTCTGATTGGTGTACCTGAAAGTGACAGGGAGAATGGAACCAAGTTGGAAAACACTCTGCAGGATATTATCCAGTAGAACTTCCCCAATCTAGCAAGGCAGGCCAACATTCAAATTCAGGAACTACAGAGAATGCCACAAACACACTTCTCGAGAAGAGCAACTCCAAGACACATAATTGTCAGATTCACCAAAGTTGAAATGAAGGAAAAAATATTAAGGGCAGTCAGAGATAAAGGTCGAGTTACCCACAAAGGGAAGCCCATCAGACTAACAGCGGATCTCTCGACAGAAACTCTACAATCCAGGAGAGAGTGGGGGCTGATATTCAACATTCTTAAAAGAATTTTCAACCCAGAATTTCATATCCAGCCCAACTAAGCTTCATAAGCGAAGGAGAAATAAAATCCTTTACAGACAAGCAAATGCTGAGAGATTTTGTCACCACCAGGCCTGCCCTAAAAGAAGTCTTGAAGGAAGCACTAAACATGGAAAGGAAAAACCGGTACCAACCACTGCAAAAGCATGCCAAATTGTAAAGACCATCGATGCTATGAAGAAACTGCATCAACTAATGGGCAAAATAATCAGCTAACATCATAATGATAGGATCAAATTCACACATAACGATATTAACCTGAAATGTAAATGGGCTAAATGATCCAATTAAAAGACACAGAGTGGAAAATTGGATAAAGAGTCAAGACCCATCAGTGTGCTGTATTCAGGAGACCCATCTCACTTGGAGAAACACACATAGGCTCAAAATAAAGGGATGGAGGAAGATCTAACAAGCCAATGGAAAACAAAAAAAGGCAGGGCTTGCAATTCTAGTCTCTGATAGAACAGACTTTAAGCCAACAAAGATCAAAGGAGACAAAGAAGGCCATTACATAATGGTAAAGGGATCAATTCAACAAAAAGAGCTAACTATCCTAAATATATATACACCCAATACAGGAGCACCCAGATTCATAAAGCAAGTCCTTAGAGACCTACAAAGAGACTTAGACTCCCACACATTAATAATGGGAGACTTTAACACCCCACTGTCAACATTAGACAGATCAACGAGACAGGAAGTTAACAAGGATATCCAGGAATTGAACTCAGCTCTGCACCAAGTGCACCTAATAGACATCTACAGAACTCTCCACCCTAAATCAACAGAACATACATTCTTCTCAGCACATCACACTTATTCTAAAATTGACCACATAGTTGGAAGTAAAGCAGTCCTTAGCAAATGTAAAAGAACAGAAATTACAACAAACTGTCTCTCAGACCACAGTGCAATCAAACTAGAACTCAGAATTAAGAAACTCACTCAAAACTGCTCAACTACATGGAAACAGAACAACCTGCTCCTGAATGACTACTGGGTACATAATGAAATGAAGGCAGAAACAAAGATGTTCTTTGAAACCAATGAGAACAAAGACACAACATACCAGAATCTCTGGGACACATTTAAAGCAGTGTGTAGAGAGAAATTTATAGCACTAAATGCCCACAAGAGAAAGCAGGAAAGATCTAAAATTGACACCCTAACATCACAATTGAAAGAACTAGAGAAGCAAGAGCAAACACATTCAAAAGCTAGCAGAAGGGAAGAGATAACTAAGATCAGAGTAGAACTGAAGGAGACAGAGACACAAAAACCCCTTCAAAAAAATCAAATCAATGAATCTAGGAGTTGGTTTTTTGAAAAGATCAACAAAATTGATAGACCACTAGTGAGACTAATAAAGAAGAAAAAAGAGAAGAATCAAATAGATGCAATAAAAAATGATAAAGGGGATATCACCACCAATCCCACAGAAATACAAACTACCATCAGAGGATATTATAAATACCTCTATGCAAATAAACTAGAAAATCTAGAAGAAATGGATAAATTCCTGGACACATACACCCTCCCAAGACTAAACCAGGAAGAAGCTGAATCCCTGAATAGACAAATAACAGACTCTGAAATTGAGGCAATAATTAATAGCCTACAAACCAAAAAAAAGTCCAGGACCAGATGGATTCACAGCCGAATTCTACCAGAGGTACAAGGAAGAGCTGGTACCATTCCTTCTGAAACTATTCCAATTAACAGAAAAAGAGGAATCCTCCCTAACTCATTTTATGAGGCCAGCATCATCCTGATACGAAAGCCTTGCAGAGACACAACAGCAAAAGAGAATTTTAGACCAATATCCCTGATGAACATTGATGCAAAAATCCTCAATAAAACACTGGCAAACCGAATCCAGCAGCACATCAAAAAGCTTATCCACTATGATCAAGTGGGCTTCATCCCTGGGATGCAAGGCTGGTTCAACATACACAAATTAATAAGTGTAATCCAGCATATAAACAGAACCAAAGACAAAAACCACATGATTATCTCAATAGATGCAGAAAAGGCCTTTGACAAAATTCAACAGCCCTTCATGCTAAAAACTCTCAATAAATTAGGTATTGATGGGATGTACGTCAAAATAATAAGAGCTATTTATGACAAACCCACAGCCAATATCATACTGAATGGGCAAAAACTGGAAGCATCCCCTTTGAAAACTGGCACAAGACAGGGATGCCCTCTCTCACCATTCCTATTCAACGTAGTGTTGGAAGTTCTGGCCAGGGCAATCAGGCAGGAGAAGGAAATAAAGGGTTTTCAATTAGGAAAAGAGGAAGTCAAATTGTCCCTGTTTGCAGATGACATGATTGTATATTTAGGAAACCCCATCATCTCAGCCCAAAATCTCCTTAAGCTGATAAGCAACTTCAGCAAAGTCTCAGGATACAAAATTAATGTGCAAAAATCATGAGCATTCCTGTACACCAATAACAGACAAACACAGAGCCAAATCATGAGTGAACTCCCATTCACAATTGCTACAAAGAGAATAAAATACCTAGGAATCCAACTTACAAGGGATGTGAAGGACCTCTTCAAGGAGAACTACAAACCACTGCTCAACTAAATAAAAGAGGACACAAACAAATGGAAGAACATTCCATGCTCATGGATAGGAAGAATCAATATCATGAAAATGGCCATACTACCCAAGGTAATTTATAGATTCAATGCCATCCCCATCAAGCTACCAATGACTTTCTTCACAGAATTAGAAAAAACTACTTTAAAGTTCATATGGAACCAAAAAAGAGCCCGCATCGCCAAGTCAATCCTAAGCCAAAAGAACAAAGCTGGAGGCATCACACTACCTGACTTCAAACTATACTGCAAGGCTACAGTAACCAAAACAACATGGTACTGGTACCAAAACAGAGATATAGATCAATGGAACAGAACAGAGCCCTCAGAAATAATGCCGCATATCTACAACTATCTGATCTTTGACAAACCTGAGAAAAACAAGCAATGGGGAAAGGATTCCCTATTTAATAAATGGTGCTGGGAAAACTGGCTAGCCATATGTAGAAAGCTGAAACTGGATCCCTTCCTTACACCTTATACAAAAATCAATTCAAGATGGATTAAAGATTTAAACGTTAGACCTAAAACCATAAAAACCCTAGAAGAAAACCTAGGCATTACCATTCAGGACATAGGCGTGGGCAAGGACTTCATGTCCAAAACACCAAAAGCAATGGCAACAAAAGCCAAAATTGACAAATGGGATCTAATTAAACTAAAGAGCTTCTGCACAGCAAAAGAAACTACCATCAGAGTGAACAGGCAACCTACAACATGGGAGAAAATTTTCGCAACCTACTCATCTGACAAAGGGCTAATATCCAGAATCTACAATGAACTCAAACAAATTTACAAGAAAAAAACAAACAACCCCATCAAAAAGTGGGCAAAGGACATGAACAGACACTTCTCAAAAGAAGACATTTATGCAGCCAAAAAACACATGAAAAAATGCTCATCATCACTGGCCATCAGAGAAATGCAAATCGAAACCACTATGAGATATCATCTCACACCAGTTAGAATGGCAATCATTAAAAAGTCAGGAAACAACAGGTGCTGGAGAGGATGTGGAGAAATAGGAACACTTTTACACTGTTGGTGGGACTGTCAACTAGTTCAACCATTGTGGAAGTCAGTGTGGCGATTCCTCAGGGATCTAGAACTAGAAATACCATTTGACCCAGCCATCCCATTACTGGGTATATACCCAAAGGACTATAAATCATGCTGCTATAAAGACACATGCACACGTATGTTTATTGCGGCATTATTCACAATAGCAAAGACTTGGAACCAACCCAAATGTCCAACAATGATAGACTGGATTAAGAAAATGTGGCACATATACACCATGGAATACTATGCAGCCATAAAAAATGATGAGTTCATGTCCTTTGTAGGGACATGGATGAAATTGGAAACCATCATTCTAAGTAAACTATCGCAAGAACAAAAAACCAAACACCGCATATTCTCACGCATAGGTAGGAATTGAACAATGAGATCACATGGACACAGGAAGGGGAATATCACACTCTGGGGACTGTGGTGGGGTCGGGGGAGGGGGGAGGGATAGCACTGGGAGATATACCTAATGCTAGATGACACGTTAGTGGGTGCAGCGCACCAGCATGGCACATGTATACATATGTAACTAACCTGCACAATGTGCACATGTACCCTAAAACTTAAAGTATAATAAAAAAAAAAAAATTAAAAAAAAATGCAGTAAAAACAAAGAGGCATTAGGCTCAAAGCAGCATGAAATTTGCCCTCTGTTAGTCATCCAAATCCTGCTGATGGTCCCACAAGGGTCTTTGCTCAAGACAGGGTAGTACTATGAGAAGGTAGTGCTATGAGAAGGACCTCTGGGCTGCCCTTGGCTGTCCCAGCCCAGCTTGACCTTGATGCCTGCAAACACCTGCTTTGATTGGAGTTGTCTTGTTACTGAGTGGGTCCAGCTTTCCAGCGCTTTCCAATTTACAAACTGGAAATTCCTGCGGTGAAAGATGTAAAAATTGTTTTTAAATATTAAATATAAAAGATTAAATATGCAAAAAAAACCTGAGGTAGGTGGAACCCTGCCACTTTTGAGACCTTCCGAGAATACTGATGACACCCTTGAGAAGAGTAAATAACTGAGAGGAGCATCAACTTTGAGGAAACACACATCTCATCTTTCTTCCTCCTTCAGTCTCGCCCACAACCAGTTCCCCCACCATACCTGCTTTGACCCCATTTCCAGGATAGGTAGTACTCTCTTGAGTCATTCTTTCTGTTTCCAGCTGGCTCACATTAATAGTGACGCAGAAAAGCTGAACGGCCCTCTTTTCTCTGAAAGAGCTCATGGTTAGATTTAGCAAGAGGCTTCTGCTCTTTCTGTCCTTCCATTGGAGAGTGTCACGTGTCATTCTGTACAGCCCTGGGGTTTTCCCCTCTTCTAAAATTCTAGTTATGAATGGTTATCATAAGTGTGAGTGACTCACCACTCTTTAATATACCAAGGCATAGGCAAGGCTGTGTGACAGCAGTGGCTGGCATGTGCTTGCAGCCAGACACACACCCACCTACACCCACACTGTTTTGCTTTTGTCCTTCAAGGTTGGAAGTGCTGAACAGAGCAGAATCCCAGGTATTGTAGCATCATGGCATAATGTTTTCCACTGAGGCTTTTCCGAGTCAGAAGTGGACAACCTAATTAGGGGGGTTTTAATGTGTATGTGACATATACTCACCATCCTAAGCTGTGTCATTGGAACTGAGGATGTTTTTGACTTTTCCTTCCCACTCTCTTTCTCACTGACCCAGACCCCTTTCTGTGGAACAGAGAAATGGTAGGCAGTGTATCTTAGCCATTTATTAACGGGGCCCAGACATGATCCCCAGGACTTTGCTGACAGGTCTAAATAAGGCTAATCTACATGTTGCCACCAGGAGCTCTATTAAAAAATTGGACAGCTGGGGGAAAGGCTGGCCTACTGGGCTTTTCACTGTTCTGACTGGGCAGCCCAACATCCTATTGCCCTGATAGAATAGAACTCCTCATATCTGCCTTGCTTTCTACCAGGCTCTGGAGCCACTTATTAGCTCTGTTTTAAGAAAATTATTGATATTCTGTGTCTCAGTTTTCTCAAGCATGAAATGGAGATAAAAATTGTACTTCCCTTAAATTGTGGTTATAAGGATTAAAAGAATAAATACATGTAAAATGCTGAAATCAATATTTAGCCCACAGTACTCTTAAATGTTAGTGATTAGTAATATCCATAGCAAGCCTCTTGCTTCAAGCCCTCTTGGGAACTTCCTAAGCTGCAAATATGTGAGTAATATCACAGCCTGTATGGCAGATGAAAGCATAATCTTTGGAAAGTTGTGTGCCTTGACCTGAAAATACTTGGACTGACCATCACTGCCATCGCAAACCATAAGCAACTGAGCACTTATTGAATATGATTTTCTCAACCTGCAGCTATACTTGAAGTCTGTAGGGGCTGAAACTTACCGTTATTTCCAACGCTGTTTGTAGTTCTACCACAAAGCCTGGCCTGTTGTAGATGCTTAATTGAGTTAGCATTGAGGGGCATCATTTTGAATCTTTATCATGAAAAGGACACTTTTGCTTGGCTGAACCTACATTGACACATAATTATGCAGAGCCCACAGTTTACACATGGGTTTGCTCGATTTGTACATTCTATGGATTTAAACAAATATATACCTGTATCCACCATTACAGTGTCATACCAAGTAGTTTCACTGCCCTAAAAATCTTCTGTGCCCTATTTGTTTCCTCACCTCTAACTCTGACAATCACTGATGTAATCGTTTTCTATTTCTGTAAAATTGGTAGTAATATCCTCTTTCATTTCTGATTTTAGTTACTTGAGCTTTTTTTCTTAGTCATTCTAGCTAAACATTTTGTTGATCTTTTCTAAGAGCTTACTTTTGGTTTAATTTTTTTGTTTTTTTTTTTTTGTATCCTGTATTGTATCTTTGTTGTAATCTTTCCTTCCTTCTTCTGGCTGTGGGTTTAGTTTTTTCTTTTTTTAGTTCCTAAAAGTGTAAAGTACATTGTTAATTTGACATCCTTCTTTTTAATGTAAGCATTTACAGCTATACATTTTTCTCTTGGGTCTGATTTCTGTACATGCCATAAGTGTCGGGGGGTTGTGTTTTCATTTCTCTCAAAATATTTTCCAGTTTCTCTATAGTTTCTTCTTTAACCCATTGGCTGTTTGAGTATATTGTTTAATTTCAATGTGTGTGAATTTTCCAGTTTTCCTTCTGCTACTCATTTCTAGTTTCATTCCATTATAATTGTAAGGGATACTTTGTATGATATCAACCTTTTAACATTTGTTAAGACTTTTTTGTTAATAAATGTTTAACATTTATTAAGACTTTTTTGTTAAGCTTCAGTTGCTTAACATTTCTATTCTGAAGAATGTTCTATGTACACCAGAAAAAAGTTGACTTTGTCTAATATAAATATGGTCATCCTTGCTCTCTTTTGGTTGCTGTTTGCATGGATTACCTTTTCTCATTATTTCACACTCAATCTGTGTGTATTCTTAGCTCTAAAATGAATCTCATAAAATTGTATCCTGCTTTCCTTAATCAGTTTTGCCAATCTATGTCCTTTGATTGGAAAATTTAATCCATTTACACTTAATGTAGTTATTCATTGGTGAGGACTTACTTTTGCTATTTTATTTGGTTGCTGTATACATTCTAGCTTTTTCTTCCTCTTTTTCTCCATTACTGCCTTAGTTGATTTCTTATCATGACAAGTTTTGATTCCCTTCTCATTTCCTTTTGTGTACATTTTGTATATTCTTTATGGTCACCATAGGGACTACATATAATATTCTAAAGTTTTAACAATCTTTTTTGAATTTATACCACTTCAGCTTCAATTGCTTACAAAAAATCCTGTTCTTTCTTCTCCTTCACTTTATTGATGTCACCGATTACATCTTTATACATTATATGCCTATAACCACAGATTTATAACTATTTTTATGCATTTGTCTTTTAAATCATGTAGAAAATTAAAAGTAGAATGAGAAACCAAGTTTATAAAAATATTGATTTTTATATTTGCCCATGTGTTTACTTTCTCCAGAGATATTTATATATTCATAAAACTTTGAGTTACTGTCTAATTTTTTTTACTTCATTGCAAAGGACTCCCTCTAGTATTTCTTGCTGGGCAGATCTAGTGGTTATAAACTCCCTCAGTTTTTTGTTTTTCTGGGAATGTCTTTACTCCTCCCTCATTTTAAAGGCATGGTTTTGCCAAATATAGAATTCTTATCTGAGTTTTATCTTTCAGCACTTTAAATATATCATTCCAGTGCCTTCTAGCCTTCAAAGTTTCTGCTGAGAAATTGGCTAATAATCATATTGGGACTCCCTTGTACATAATAAATATTTTATTGGGTTTATCATAATTGATTTTTCAAGCTTATTGGATGTATATTTGTGTCTTTCATCAAGTTTAGAAAGTTTCTGGCCATTATTTCTTCAAAGAAAGTCTCTGACCACCCACATTTCAGAGACTCCATACAGCTTATATTGTTCAGCTTGATGGTATCCCATAAATTCCTTAGGCTCTGTATACTTTTCTTGTCTTTTGTTCTGTTTTTAGACTTGATAATTTTAAATGTTGTATCTTCAAGTTCACTGTTTCTTTCTTCTGCTGGCTCAAATCTGATGTTGAACCTGAATAGTGACTTTTTAAAAAAAATATTATACTTTAAGTTCTGGGATACATTGCAGAACCTGCAGGTATGTTACATAGGTATACATGTGCCACGGTAGTTTGCTGCACCCATCAACCATCATCATCTGTATTTCTCCTAATGCTATCCATCCCCTAGCCCCCCACCCCCCAACAGGCCCTGGTGTGTGATGTTCCCCTCCATGTATCATGTGTTCTCGTTGTTCAACTCCCACTTATGAGTGAGAATATGCGGTGTTTGGTTTTCTGTTCTTGTTAGTTTGCTGAGAATGATGGTTTCCAGCTTCATCCATGTCCTGCAAAGGACATGAACTCATTCTTTTTTATGGCTGCATAGTATTCCATGGTGTATATATGCCACATTTTCTTTATCCAGTCTATCCTTGATGGGCATTTGGGTTTGTTCCAAGTCTTTGCTATTGTGAATAGGGCTGCAATAAACATGTGTGTATGTGTCTTTATAGTAGAATGATTTATAATCTTTTGGTGTATATACCCAGTAATGGGAATGCCAGGACAAATGGTATATCTGGTTCTAGATCCTTGAGGAATCACCACACTGTCTTCCACAATGGTTGAACTAATTTACACTCCCACCAACAGTGTAAAAACATTTCTATTTCTCCACATCCTCTCCAGCATATATTGTTTCCTGACTTTTTAATGATTGCCATTCTAACTGGCATGAGATGGTATCTCATTATGGTTTTGATTTGCATTTCTCTAATGACCAGTGATGATGAACTTTTTTTCATATGTTTGTTGGCCGCATAAATGTTGTCTTTTGAGAAGTGTCTGTTCATATCCTTCGCCCACTTTTTGATGTGGTTGTTTGTCTTTTTCTTGTAAAATTAAGTTCCTTGTAGATTCTGGATATTAGCCCTTTATCAGATGGATAGATTGCAAAAATTTTCTCCCATTCTGTAGGTTGCCTGTTCACCCTGATGAGAGTTTCTTTTGCTGTGCAGAAGCTTTTCAGTTTAATTAGATCTCATTTGTCAATTTTGGCTTTTGTTGCCATTGCTTTTGCTGTTTTAGTCATGAAGTCTTTACCCGTGCCTATGTCCTGAATGGTATTGCCTAGGTTGTCTTCTAGGGTTTTTATGGTTTTAGGTTTACGTTTAAGTCTTTAATCCATCTTGAGCTAATTTTTATATAAGGTGTAAGGAAGGGGTCCAGTTTCAGTTTTCTTCATATGGCTAGCCAGTTTTCTCAACACCATTTATTAAATAGGGAATCCTTTCCCCATTGCTTCTTTTTGTCAGGCTGTCAAACATCAGATGGTTGTAGATGTGTGGCATTATTTCGGAGGCCTCTGTTCTGTTCCATTGGTCTATATATCTGTTTTGGTACCAGTACCATGCTGTTTTTGTTACAGTAGCCTCGTAGTATAGTTACATCAGGTAGTGTGATGCCTTCAGCTTTGTTCTTTTGGCTTAGGATTGTCTTGGCTATACAGGCTCTTTTTTGGTTCCATATGAAATTTAAAGTAATTTTTTTCTAATTCTGTGAAGAAAGTCAATGGTAGCTTGATGGGAATTGCGTTGAATCTATAAATTACCTTGGGCAGTATGGTCATTTTCACGATACTGATTCTTTCTATTCATGAGCATGGAATGTTTTTCCATTTGTTTGTGTCCTCTCATTTCCTTGAGCAGTGGTTTGTAGCTCTTCTTGAAGAGATACTTCACATCCCTTGTAAGTTGTATTCCTAGATATTTTATTCTCTTTGTAGCAACTGTGAATGGGAGTTCACTCATGATTTGGCTCTCTGTTTGTCTATTATTGGTGTATAGCAATGTTTGTGAATTTTGCACCTTGATTTTGTATCCTGAGACTTTGCTGAAATTGCTTATCAGCCTAAGGAGATTTTGAGCTGACATTATGGGGTTTTCTAAATATACAATCATGTTATCTGCAATCAGAGACAATTTGACTCCCTCTCTTCTCTTCCTATTTAAATTCCCTTTATTTCCTTTTCTTATCTGATTGCCCTGGCCAGAACTTCCAATAATATGTTGAGTAGGAATGGTGAGAGAGGGTATCCTTGTCTTGTGCTGGTTTTCAAAGTGAATGCTTCCAGCTTTTGCCCAGTTAGTATGATATTGGTTGTGAGTTTGTCATAAATAGCTCTTATTATTTTGAGATAAGTTCTACTGATACCTAGTTTATTGAGAGTTTTTTTAGCATGAAGGGATGTTGAATTTTATCGAAGTCCTTTTGTGCATCTATTGAGATAATCACATGGTTTTTATCTTGGTTCTGTTTATGTGATGGATTATGTTTATGATTTGTGTATGTTGAACAGCCTTGCATCCCAGGGATGAAGCCGACTTGATCGTGGTGGATAAGCTTTTTGATGGGCTGCTGGATTCAAATTGCCAGTATTTTCTTGAGGATTTTCACATCGATGTTCATTAGGGATATTGGCTAGAAATTTTCTTTTTTTGTGGTGTCTCTGCCAGGTTTTCGTATCAGGCTGATGCTGGCCTCATTAAATTAGTTAGGGAGAAGTCTCTCTTTTTCTCTTGTTTAAAAGAGTTTCAGAAAGAATGGTACCAGCTCCTTTTTGTACCCCTGGTAGAATTCAGCTGTGAATACGTCTGGTCCTGGGCTTTTTTTTGTTGGTAGGTTATTAATTACTGCCTCAATTTTAAAACTTGTTATTGGTCTATTCAGGGATTTGACTTCTTCCTGGTTTAGTCTTGGGAGGGTGTATGTGTCCAGGAATTTATCCATTTCCTCTAGATTTTCTAGTTTATTTGCATAGAGGTGTTTATAATATTCTCTGATGCTAGTTTTTATTTCTGTGGGATCAGTGTTGATATCCCCTTTATCATTTTTTATTGTGTCTATTTGATTCTTCTCTCTTTTCTTCTTTATTAGTCTGGCTAGCAGTCTATCTATATTGTTGATGTTTTCAAAAAAACCAGCTCCTGGATTCACTGATGATTTTTTTTTTTTGAAGGGTTTTTGGTGTCTCTGTCTCCTTGAGTTCTACTCTGATCTTAGTTATTTCTTGTTTTCTGCTAGCTTTTGAATTTGTTTGCTCTTGCTTCCCTAGTTCTTTTAATTGTGATGTTATGGTGTTGATTTTAGATCTTTCCTGCTTTCTCCTGTGGGCATTTAGTTCTATAAATTTTCCTCTAAACACTGCTTTACCTGTTTTCCAGAGATTCTGGTATTTTGTGTCTTTATTCTCCTTGGTTTCAAAGAACATCTTTATTTCTGCCTTAATTTCATTATTTACCCAGTAGTCATTCAGGAGCAGGTTGTTCAGTATCCATGTAGATGAGTGAGTTTCTTAATCCCGAGTTCTAATTTGATTGCACTGTGTTCTGAGAGACTGTTTGTTATGATTTCTGGGTTTTTTTGCATTTGCTAAGGAGTGCTTTACTTCCAATTATGTGGTCAGTTTTAGAATAAGTGCGATGTGATGCTAAGAGGGGTGCGTATACTCTTTTGATTTGGGGTGGAGAGTTCTGTAGATGTCTACTAGGTCCACTTGGTCTAGAGCTGAGTTCAAGTCCTGAATATCCTTGTTAATTTTCTGTATTGTTGATCTCATATTGACAGTAGAGTATTAAAGTCTCCCAGTATTATTGTGTGGGAGTCTAAGTCTCTTTGTGGGTCTCTAAGAACTTGCCTTATGAATCTGGGTGCTCCTGTATTGGGTGCATATATATTTAGTATAGTTAGCTCTTCTTGTTGCACTGATCCCTTTACCATTATGTGATGCCCTTGTTTGTGTTTTTTGGTATTTGTTGGGTTAAAGTCTGTTTTATCAGAGACCAGAATTGCAACCACTGCCTTTTTTTTTCTTCTTTGCTTTCCATTTGCTTGGTAAATATTCCTCCATCCCTTTATTTTGAGCCCATGTGTGTCTTTGCACTTGAGATTGGCCTCCTGAGTACAGCTCACCAATGGGTCTTGACTCTTTATTCAATGTGGCAGTCTGTGCCTTTTAATTTGGGCATTTAGCCCATTTACATTTAAGGTTAATATTGTTATGTGTGAATTTGATCCTGTCATTATGATGCTAGCTGGTTATTTTGCCCATTAGTTGATGCAGTTTCTTCATATTGTCAATGGTCTTTACAATTTGGCATGTTTTTGCAGTGGCTAGTACCGGTTGTTCCTTTCCATGTTTAGTGCTTCCTTCAGAAGCTCTTGTAGGGCAGGCCTGGTGATGACAAAATCTCTCACCATTTGCTTGTCTGTAAAGGATTTTATTTCTCCTTCACTTATGAAACTTAGTTTGGCTTGATATGAAATTCTGGGTTGAAAATTCTTTTCTTTAAGAATTTTGAATATTGGCCCCCACTTTCTTCTGGTTTGTAGGGTTTCTGCCAAGAGATCTGCTGTTAGTCTGATGGACTTCCCTTTGGGGGTAACCCAACCTTTTTCTCTGGCTGCCCTTAACATTTTTTCCTTCACTTCAATCTTGGTGAATCTGACGATTCTGTGTCTTGGGGTTGCTCTTCTCGAGGCATATCTTTGTGGTGTTCTCTGTATTTCCTAAATTTGAATGTTGGCCTCTCTCTCTAGGTTGGGGGAGTTCTCCTGGATAATATCCTGCAGAGTGTTTTCCAACTTAGTTTCCTTCTCCCTGACACTTTCAGGTACACCAGTCAAACATAGGTTTGGTCTTTTCATATAGTGCCATATTTCTTGGAGGCATTGTTCATTTCTCTTCATTCTTTTTTCTCTAATCTTCTCTTCACATTTTACTTCATTAAGTTGATTTTCAGTCTCTGATATCCTTTCTTCTGCTTGATTGATTCAGCTATTGTTACTTGTGAGTGATTCATGAAGTTCTCGTGCTGTGTTTCAGCTCCATCAGCTCATTTATATTCTTCTCTATACTGGTTATTCTAGTTAGCAATTTGTCTAACCTTTTTTCAAGGTTCTTGGCTTCCTTGCATTGGGTTAGAACATGCTCCTTTAGCTCAGAGAAGTTTGTTATTACCCACCTTCTGAAGCCTACTTCTGTCAATTCGTTACATTCATTCTCCGTCCAGTGTTGTTCCCTTGCTGGCGAGGAGTTGTGATCCTTTGGAAGAGAAGAGGCGTTCCAGTTTTTGGAATTTTCAACCTTTTTGTGCTGTTTTTTTTTTTTTTTCTCATCTTTGTGGATTTATCTACCTTTGGTTTTTGATGTTGGTGACCTTTGGATGAGGGTTCTGTGTGGATGTACTTTTTGTTGATGCTTTTCCTTCCTCTTTGTTAGTTTTCCTTCTAACAGGCCCTTCTGCCACAGGTCTGCTGGAGTTCACTGGTGGTCCACTTTTTGTTGATTTTGATGCTATTCCTTTGTTAGTTTTCCTTCTAACAGGCCCCTTTGCTGCAGGTCTGCTGGAGTTTGCTGGTGGTCTACTTCATACCCTGTTGCCAGGGTATCACCAGTGGAGGCTGCAGAACAGCAAAGATTGCTGCCACTTCCTTCCTCTGGAAGCTTTGTCCCAGAGGGGCACCCGCCAGATGCCAGCTGGACTTCTCCTGTATGAGGTGTCTGTTGACCATTGCTGAGGAGGTGTGTCCCAGTCAGGAGGCATGGGGGTCAGGGACCCACTTGAGGAGACAGTCTGTCCCTTAGCAGAGCTTGAGCGCTGTGCTGGGAGATCCACTGCTCTCTTCAGAGGCAGCAGGCAGGAATATTTAAGTCTGCTGAAGCTGTGCCAACAGCCACCCCTTCCTCCAGGTGCTCTGTCCCAGGGAGATGGGAACTTTATCTATAAGCCCCTTTATCTATAAGCCCCTGACTGGTGCTGCTGCCTTTCTTTCAGAGATGCCCTGCCCAGAGAGAAGGAATCTAGAGAGTCAGTCTGGCTACAGTGGCTTTGTTGAGCTGCAGTATGCTCTGCCCAGTTCGAACTTCTGGAAGCTTTGTTTACACTGTGAGGGGAAAACCACCTACTCAAGCCTCAGTAATGGCAGATTTCCCTCCCCCCACCAAGCTTGAGCATCCCAGGTCAACTTCAGACTACTGTGCTGGCAGCGAGAATTTCAAACCAGTGACTCTTATCTTGCTGGGCTCTGTGGGGGTGAGATCCTCTGAGCTAGACCACTTGGCTCCCTGGTTTCAGCTCCCTTTCCGCGGGAGTGAATGGTTCTGTCCCACTGGAGGTCCAGGTGCCACTGGGGTATGAAAAAATACATCTGCAGCTAGCTTGGTGTTTGCCCAAATGGCCATTCAGTTTTGTGCTTGAAATCCAGGGCCCTGGTGGTGTAGGCACCTGAGGGAATATCCTGGTCTGCAGGTCGCGAAGACCATGGAAAACGTGTACTATCTGGGCCGTAGTGCACTGTTCCTTGTGGTACAGTCCCTCAGGGCTTCCCTTGGCTAGGGGAGGGAGTTCCTCAACCCATTGCACTTCCTGGGTGAGGCAACACCCCACCCTGCTTCAGCTCACCCTCTGTGGGCTGCATCCATGGTCTAAGCAGTCTCAATGAGATGAGCCAGGTATCTCAGTTGGAAATGCAGATATCATCTGCTTTCTGCATTGATCTCGCTGGGAGCTGCACACCGGAATTGTTCCTATTCAGCCATCTTGCCAGCCACCTCTGAATAGTGACTTTTTCAATTCAGTTATTGTTTACAGCTCGAGAATTTTAGTTATAATTTCTTTTTCATATTCTTGTTTTTTTCTGATTTTGTTTAGTTCTTTGTCCATGTTTTGCTTTAGCTCTTTTAGCAAATTTAAGGTTTTTTTAATTGTAGTAAAATATACACAATAATTTACCATTTTCACCAAAAACCAAGGTTTTTTTTTTTTATTATTGTGGTAAAGTATACACCACAATTTACCATTTTAACCATGGACCATCACCATCATCCATTTCTAGTATTTTAAAAAAAATTTTCCAAACTAAAACACCATACCAATTAATCAGTATCTCCCCCTTTCTTCCTACTCCCAGCCCCTGGCAACCACCATACGACTTTCTGTCTCTCTGAATTCAACTACTCCAATTATCAACTACTCCAATTACCTTGCATAGGTGCAATTATACTGTATCAGTCATTTTGTGTCTGACTTATTTAACACAATGTGTTCAAGGTTCATCCATGTTGTAGCATGTGCATGTATTTCCTTCCTTTTAGAATAATTTTCTTCCTCTTTGAAGAATTTGAATAATATTCTAGTGTGTGTATATATATGTGTGTGTGTATATATATGTGTGTGTATATATGTGTGTGTGTGTGTATATATGTGTGTGTATACACACACATATATACACACACACTATTTTTTGTTTATTCATTCATCTGTCAATGGACATTTGGGATTCTTCCACCTATTGTGAACAATACTACTATGAACATGGGTGTATATATCAAGCATGACTGTTTGAGTCACTGCTTTTTAATAATTTTGGATATATACCTAGAAGTAGAATTGCTGGGTCATATGGTAATTCTTTGTTTCATTTTTTGAGGAACAGTCTTACTGCTTTCCACAGTGGCTGCACCATTTAACATTCCCACCATTAATGCACAAGGGTTCCAATTCCCCCATATCATCACTAATACCTGTTGTTTTCTTCTTTCTTTTTTTTTTTATAATTGCCATTTTAACAGGGATAGAATGACATCTCATTGTGAATTTCTTTTGTTTTTTTGAGACAGAGTCTCACTCTGTCACCAGGCTGGAGTGCAGTGGCACAGTTACAGCCCACTGCCATCTCTGCCTTCTAGGTGGAAGTGATTCTCCTGCCTCAACCTCCCTAGTAGCTGGGATTACAGGCATGCACTACCACGCCCAGCAAATCTTTGTATTTTTAGTAGAGACGGGGTTTCACCACATTGGCCAAGCTGGTCTCAAACTCGTGACCTCAGATGATCCACCTGCCTTGGCCTCCCAAAGTGCTGGGGTTACAGGCATGAACCACCATGCCTGGCCATCATTATGGATTTTATTTGCATTTCCCAAGTGACTAGTCAGGTTGAGCATCTTCTCATATACTTATTGGGCATTTGTATTTCTTTTTTGGAAGAATGTCTATTCAAGTTCTTTGTTCATTTTTAATTGGTATGATTGTTTCATTGAATAACACAGTTATTTTAAAGTCTTTACCTAGTAAATCTGTGTTTTGGGGAGGATGGGAAAGGAATTTATTTCTGGAAATTTATTTTCTTGTTTGGAATGGGTTTTACATGTTTTCCTGTTTCCTTGTATGCCTTGTGAATTTGTTAAAAACTGTTTAAAAATTGGGCATTTGGAAAAATAGCCATGTCTCCCAGTCTTTATGGACTGTCTCTGAGCAGGGGTAGTCCTTCTTTTATTAGCTGGGTGTTCTCTAGGCCTTGGGACCAGCCTGAATGGAAAACAAATTCTTCTCCAGTCTTTTCTGCATATGGGTCTATTCTGAGCCTTTGTGTGACTTTCTCAATTTTCCCCATATACAAGGTGGTTCTTGAATATTTTACATTTCCAAAGTCTCACCTTTAGCTTCTTAGGACCTTACATGGCCTATTGTAGGTCTCTACCCATAACCTTTTGCTCCAGGCATCTGCTGGTCTTAGTCTCTCTGTAGCTTTCATAAGCGGCACCCACTGCTTCTGTTTATTTGAGATGTAAGTTAGGCAAAACAGACTAGACCTTCAGGTAGCCCCCAGACAGGTTAGAACTTTGCAAATAAGGTCTTCTCTGCCCCTCTAGTTTATGGGAAGGAACTGGAAACTGGGAAGCTTCCTCTTCCAGACCAAGACTGCCTTGCCAGAGAGGTGGTAGGGCAAAGGTAAATAAAAACAGCGCATGATTTTTTTTTTATCATTTTGAATACAGCTTTTTCTTGATTTTTGCATTTGCTTGATTGCTATAGACCTGTGATTATTTTTCCAGAGCTTCTGTAGGGTTAATTTAGCCAGCAGTTTCTTCTTTTTTTTTCTGTTTTTTTTTTTTTTTCTTTTTTTAAAAGTGTTTCCATGGGGAAGTGAAGACTTGGAGCTTCCTAGTCTGCAATTTTGTTGACAGTACTCCTAAACTCAGATTTTATGACTTTCTTTTTCTGCTCCTGGATGCCATGCTGGAGGTTTTATGACATTTTGGGGGAGTTTATGAGTAGTTTGGGGGATACTGATGGAAATTGATATTTCTGAATGATCTCTCCACTGAAATTGCTCTTAGGTACTATTCCAAATTTCTGGATTTTGAAACTAACAGTAACTAGAAACTCCCACTAGAAGGCAAAGTAAAGAAGGCTTGGAGGGCTATATTTAGAGTTGAGAAAAATATCTTAAAAAAAAAAAAGAAAAGACAGGGTAGGGTCTTTCTCTGTTGCCCCAGCTGGAGTACAGTGATTACCCATGGACTCCATCCCCCTGCTAATCAGCACAGGAGTTTTGAACTGCTACAGTTCTGGCCTGGGCTAGTTTACCACTCCTTAGGCAACCTGATTGTCCCCTGCTCATGAGAGGTCACCATATTGATGCCAAATTAGTGCAAATACCTGATCAGCCTAGTGCACTACAGCCCACAACTGGACTCAAGCAATCCTCCTTCCTCAGCCTCCCCAGTAGCTGAGGCTACAGGCCTGAGCCTCAGTGAGAAAAATACTTTTCTCTCAATCTCATTTCCTCATTCTCTCAATGAGGAAATCATTGAGGGTACTACTCACAAGATCAATGTGTGTTGTTTATGAGATCTTGGGGGAGAAGATTTTTCTTTTTCTGATAGGTTTTAGAATACATAAGTATACTCTGAAAAGTAGACAGGATATTTATCATCTTCATTTGCCTCATGAGGAAATTGAAACTTAATTAACAGGAGTTTTAGCCAGGTTTTTTCTTCCTCTTTTTTCCCTTCCTGAAAATGGAGGATTCTTTTTTTTTTTTTTTTTTTTTTTTGGAGGGGGGAGGCTGTATTTTTTTTTCTAGTTTTTTTAAAAATTATTATTATACTTTAAGTTTTAGGGTATATGTGCACAATGTGCAGGTTAGTTATATATGTATACATGTGCCATGCTGGTGTGCTGCACCCATTAACTTGTCATTTAGCATTAGGTATATCTCCTAATGCTAACCCTCCCCCCTCCCCCCACCCCACAACAGTCCAAATGGAGGATTCTTATTTGCTGATGTGCCTCATGCATCTAGAATTGTGCCTGGAACATACAGAGTAGGCAGTTAATAAGTATTTGTAACATGAATGAATGGGAGGAGCTAGTTGTCCATAGTAGGAAAAGTGATGACTTTGTTATCTTTTTAAAACTTTATTTAGTGAACTTTATAATGAAGTCTAACCTATATCAGAAAAGAGTACCAATCATAAGTATAAAGGTCAGTGAGCCTTCATCAAGTGCATACACTCATGTAACCAGCTTCCAGATACAGAAAAAGAATATTATCAGCACTTTAAAATCAGAAATTCCTCTGTCTCAAGCCCTCTGCCGGTCACTACCCACTACCAACCCCCATCTTCTCTAAAGTGTAGCTACCCTGATTTTCAAAATACATGGATTTGCTTTGTCTATTTTGAACTTCATACGCACTAAATAATACACTATGTACTCTTGTGTATGGCTTCTTTTGCTAAATATTTATTAGATTCATCCATATTATTGAATGGGTATAGTTGAACTTTGTTACATTTTCAAACTTTATAAAAACATTTTACTTTGAAATTAATCAATGCCAAGTGAAACTCAGATTTATAGAAAATTAAACTCCAATAACTATCATTTTTGGAACACATAATGACAGAAACTATACCAAGGACTGACATACACGAGTGATCTCACTTAATTCTCTCAAGTTTCCTGAGGTGTAGGTGTTATAATCCTCATTTTACTGACAAACTCATAGAGAAGTTTACTAATTTGCTAATAAATAACAAGTTTGTAGTTGATGAAACCCTGTCTGGACCCAGGTCCCTCAGTCAACCATGCTTATGCTTTATTAATCACCACTCTATTTGTCTCTGTCACGTGAGACTCTTTTAAGAAATTTTTAATTGAATATGCATTTAGGTGAAGAATGGGGAAAAGTGAGGCTGGTATTAACTTAGAGACAGCTGTCTTCTATCCATGTGCACCACGTGATAGAACAGTTTGCCAGGGCCTCTTTGCTGTCATAAACTGTGTGTTTGCAGACTCCTTTAGGTCTTGTTCTTTCATCACAACAGGCTAACTCAGGAACTCGGAGCCTAGGAGGAAAGAGGCATGGACCTGGCCTCCTAGCCTCTGTATTATAGATGTGGGTCTCAGGAGAAAGTCAGGAAGGACTGTGTTTATTTGCCTCATGAGGAAATTGAAACTTAATTGACAGGAGTTTTAGCCAGGTCTCTTCTGCCAAATTCAGCCAAATTCTCCTTTTACCTTTATTTTTTTTTTTAATTTAAAAATGCTTTATTTGCCGATTTAATAGATTTGACCAACATTTAACTCTTGGTTTAGATCTTTCACTTTCCCAGTTCAGTAGGGGAAAAAAGCATATCCTGTCTTCTAGTCCTGTCCCTTTTAACATACTCTGCCTTAAAAATACTTTATTCTGTTTATATAAATAAACAATATAAATAAATAATATATCTGTTTCAGGCACAGATATTATAAACATTAAATTTATGAAATGAAAATACAAATATTGTCATTTCCTCACTTTTTTCTCTTTGATTTTTTTTTTCTGCTGCTAGCTCTTAAATTGTTTGGGCTTTTTATTAGTGTTTGATATGTATTTGGTAAGTTAGAAACTTGTGATGTCTCTCCAACTACTAGAGTTTCCACAGTCACTGGGGGACAGTAACCTCATCTAAGAGCAATTTAAGGCATTATGAGATTATAGACAGGGAATTATTTCCTTGCTTTGTGACTATCTTCTCTCTAATTTGGGAGTCCTAGTTATGCTTCATGATCAAGTGTTCTTTTGCTGCTATGTAAACCTGTTTTGTCAGAGGAGGAATCGGAGATCTTGCTTATGGGAAGAAGGGAGAAAGGGCTATAGGGCTCAGCCAGCAGAGCTCTATGATGTGCTCAGTAGAAGAAACCTCCTAATGTGAAGAAAGGGGAGGAAGAGAGATGAAAAAAAATTTTGTATTAATAGAAAAAAACATTTATTGCTACTTCACACTTAAAGCTTTACATTCGTATTTAATCTTCACCATAACCCTATGATGGGTGCATATTATACAGATTTTTTTTTCAAATGAGGCTCAATGTACACAACTGAAAAAACTTCAAGTCTGAATCCAAAGCCAGGTAACTTCTGCTACAGTTGTCCCTTGTGTATCCGTGAGGTTCCTTGATCCCCCAAAGATACCAAAAATACAGGGATGTTCAAGTCCTTCATATAAAATGGCTTAGTATTTGTATATAACCTACGCACACCCTCCCATATACTTTAGATCGTCTCTAGACTACTTCTAATACCTAATATAAGAGGAATGCCATGTATATAGTTGTTATAAAGTATCATTTAGGAAATAACAAAAAAGTCTTTACATATTCTGCACAGATGCAACCATTCATTTTTTTTCCCGAATATTCCCAATGGTTGATTGAATCCACATATGTGGAGCATCAACTGTGTACTGTTTTCTGTGCTTCATTTCATTCCTTAAAACCAAAATAAAGAGCCTCCCAATGAGAGAAGGATGTGAGAGCACCACAGGCAAGTCAGTTTTCAAGCAACAACACTCAAATTTCTATTGACATTACTATTTTTTTTGCAAGTAATAAAAGCAAGTGCTCAGTGAATATGCCTATAAGTCCTTAATTTCATGAATTATCAGAATTCATTCTTTTTGGGGAAGTGAGATAGGAGGTCAAGTAACTTTATATAACTACTATTTCACTAAATAGAATTCTCATTTTTGTGTGAATTAAGAATTGATTAGAAGCCTGCCTGGCCCAGATCAACTGGGAGCTGGAGTGACTTACCAACTCGGGGAAAGGGTGAGTGAGAGACTTCCACATCCCTACTGTAAAACTGTGGAATCTGGGCTGTTGGAGAACACCTTGACCCTCCCAACCCCTGAAACTAACAGGGAGCTGCAGGGATGTCACGGAATGAAACTGCTCCAAGAAGGGATCTTGCAGTGAGCCCCATACCTTTTCTGAGACCTAAGCAGTTATGAAAAGGAACCATTTCCAAATCTAGCCTGTAGCAGACTACACACTATCCTTAGGACCCAGTGGTGCCAGGACTGAGGCATTACAGAAACTCGGGCTGTTGCTGATGCAACTTGGGAGTGAGCTGGGAGTGCCTTCTCACCTGGCGTAGGAAGTGAGCAAGGTGTGCACTGCAGCTGCTGCTGCCAGGAAGTGGGCAACCCCAGGATGGAGATTAGGATATGAACAGGGTGTGAGTTGCCTTTGGGACTTGCTCTTACGACCAAGAAGGTGTAAGCTAGGCATAGGCTTTCACTGCTGGAGGGGCCAGCCCCACTAAGACTGGGGTATGAGTGGGGGTTGCATGTTTCTCACCCATTGGCCCAGACTATGACCACCCAGGCAAGTCCTCAGTGCAGCTGCTACTGTCTCTTTACCAAGCAGAACACTCCACCTGAGGCCTGGGGATTGTCCACCCATGCCCATCATGGCTGGTTGCTGCTGTCACCATTAGGGAACCGGAGCACAAGCCTGCCCAGCTCATTTTGCCCTCCCCCCATCCAAGATAGAGCACATAGCCTGGGGATGTGGGGATTGCCCAACCAATCCACCACCTCATGTAACTCAGCACTCCTACAGGCCTGAGGTTGGGCCTTAACTCACAGCCTGTACCTCCTCAGCTGGTATATACCTGCAAGCACCAACTGTGGACCTGGAGACAGGCCCGCCCAGCCCATCACAGCTACTGCCAATATCAATGCACACAGATTAGGACCCAGAGAAATCATCTTGCCATGGCTACTGCTATTGCCCATGCCACAGCAGCTATCTAGGAGCCTGAGAACCCCTCTACCCCTGCCACTACTGGCATCTGAGCAAGCCACCTTGAGGCCCAAGAATCAGGCCACCAGTAACAACCAACATAGGTTCTCGGGTACATCATCTTGAAGCGCAAAGATAGGCATGCTCAGCCCACCACTGTCACCACTGGGGCCTTAAGACTGGCCTACCTGGCATCTTAGTCCCCAGTACAACTTCACTGTATCCTCCACTAATAACTACACCCTAACCAATTGCGGAAATCGCAGAAACCAATAACACTGTTTACAGCTAAAGAAATCATATGGAGACTACCTACTGCATGTACCCAGAATCAAAGTTGAAGTGCCTTACTCAACCAACATCATAGATACATCTTCAGGAAAAATTCTCCCATATGAAAGTAAATTTAAAAATAGGAAGAAGTGACTATTAAACCAGATGCACAGATATTAATGCAAGGACACAGACACAAAGCAAGAAAATACAACATCCCCAGAAGAACACAGTAATTCTCCAGCAAAAGATCTTCATCTAAAGGAAATATTTGAAATTCCAGATAAAGAATTCAAAATATTGATTTTAAAGCAGATCAGTGAGATATGAGAGCATTCTGACAAATAATACAAGGAAATTAGAAAAACAATTCAGAATATGAACAACTTTTCAAAAAGATATTTGAAAAAAGAACCCAATAGAAATTCTAGAAGTGGCAGGGTGCAGTGGCTCATGCCTGTAATCCAGCACTTTGGAAGGCTGAGACGGATGGATCACTTGAGGCCAGGAGTTCAAGACCAGCTTGGCCAAATGGTGAAACCCTGTCTCTACAAAAACTACAAAAATTAGCCGGGCATGGTGGCGTATACCTGTGGTGCCAGCTGTTTGGGAGGCTGAGGCAGGAGAATCTCTTGAACCTGAGAGGCAGGGTTTCAGTGAGCCAATATCATGCCACTACACTCCAGCTTGGGTGACAGAGCAAGACTGTCTCTGCATCCCCACTCACCCTCAAAAAAAAAAAAAAAATTCTAGAAGAATTCATTAAAGGAAATAGAAAATACATTTGAAAGCTTCAACAATAGACTAGACTAGTCAGAAGAAGAAAATTCTAAGACTTGAAGACAGGTCTTTTGAAACAATCTAGCCAGACAATAATGAAGAAAAAATAGGAAAGAATGAGCAAAGCCTTAGTTACATTTTGGAAAAAAGTGGTCAAATATTTAAATTATTGGTATCCCCAAGGGAAAAGGAACAAAATATTAGAAAACATATTTATAGTTTGTGTTTATTGTTTCATATATTATCTTTATTTAACAAGATAATATATGAAAACCTGCTGGATCTAGCAAGAGATTTAGATATTCAGATACAGGAGGCTCAGTAATCCCTGGACTGAACAAGGCAAAAAGGTCTCTACAATACATTACAGCCAGACTAAAGTCAAAGATAAACAGCAAGTTCTAAAAGCAGCAAGGGAAAAGTGCCTAGTCACTTATAAAAGAAATCCCATCAGAGTAACAGTGAATTTCTCAATAAAAACCTTTCAGGCCAGAAGAGAATGGGACGATATATTCAAAGTGCTGAAAGAAAAAAAAAAACAACCTGCCAGACAATACTATACCTAGCAAAATATCTTTTATAAAGTTTTTCCAGACAGGCAAATGCTGAGGAATATTTTACCACTAGAATAGTTCTACAAAAAATGCTTAAGGGAGTCCTAAACCTAAGAGCAAAAGGACATTTACCATCATATAAACACATGAAAGTGTAAAACCTACTGGTAAAGAAATCACACAAAGGAGGAAGAGAAAGGACTCAAATGGTACCACTACAGAAATCCACCAGGATCACAATAACAATAAGAGAAAAAGACAGGAATGAAAAATATACAAAACAACCAGAAAATAATTAGCAATATGATAGGAACAATACTTCCCATATCAATAATAATCTTTAATATAAATAGATTAAATTGTCCACTTAAATGTTGTAGAATGGCTGAATGGATTTTTTAAAAACCATGATCCAACTATATGCTTCTTACAAAAAATTCACCTATAAAGACATATAGATAAAAAGCAAAGGGATAGAAAGTTATTCTGTGCAAAATGAAACTGAAAGCAGGAGTAGCTATACTTACATCAGATAAAACAGATTAAGTCAAGAACAGTTTTTTCTTTTTTAAATTTTTATTTTACTTTAATTTCTGTGATACATGTGCAGAACATGCAGGTTTGCCACATAGGTACCCATGTGCCACAGTGGTCTGCCACACGCATCAACCCGTCACCTAGATATTAAGCCCCACATGCATTAGGCATTTGTCTCAATGCTCTTCCTCACCCCGCCCCCTGACTGGCCCCAGTGTGTGATGTTCCCCTCCCTGTGTCCATGTGTTCTCATTGTTCAGCTCTCACTTATGAGTGAGAGCAGGTGGTGTTTGGTTTTCTGTTCCTGTGTTAGTTTGCTGAGAATGATGGTTTCCAGCTTCATCCATGTCCCTACAAAGGACATGAACTCATCCTTTTTCATGGCTGCATAGTATTACATGGTGGATATGTGCCACATTTTCTTTATCCAGTCTATCACTGATGGGCATTTGGGTTGATTCCAAGTCTTTGCTATTGTAAATAGTGCTGCAATAAACATACGTGTGCATATGTCTTTATAGTGGAATGATTATATTCCTTATGACTAGTAATGGGATTGCTGGGTCAAATGGTATTTCTGGTTCTAGATCCTTCAGGAATCGCCACAGTTTTCCACAATGGTTGAACTAATTTACATTCCCACCAACAGTGTAAAAGTGTTCCTATTTCTCCATAGCCTTGCCAGCATCTGTTGTTTCCTGACTTTTTAATAATTGCCATTCTAACTGGCATGAGATGATATCTCATTGTGGTTTTGATTTGTATTCAATAACAGGTTTTTTTTAAAGCTTTATATATCAATAAAGGATCAGTTCAGTGACAGAACACATAACAATTCTACATATATATGCACCCAACACTGGAGCACCCAGATTCATAAAGCAAATATTACTACATCTACAGGAACAGATAGACTGCAATATATTAATACTGGGTTACTTCAACATTCCATTCTCAGCATTAGACAGATCATTTAGACAGAAAATCAACAAACATTGAGTTTAAACTGGATTTCAGACCAAATGGACCTAACAGACATTTAGAGAACATTCTATTCAACAACTGTGGAATACACATTCTTTTTATCAGCAAATGGACCATTTTTCAAGATAGACCATATGTTAGGCTGCAAACCAAGTCTCAACAAATGTCAAAAAATCAAAATCATATCAAGTATCTTCTCAGACCACAATGGGATACAACTAGAAATCAATACTAAAAACTTTGAAAGCTATAGTTATAAAATTAACATGCTTCTGAAGAAATTAAAATGCAAATTACATTTTTTGACACAAATGAAAATGGAAACACAATATACCAAAACTTGTGGGATACAGCAAAAGCAGTACTAAGAGGGAAGTTTATATCAGTAAATGTCTATATCAAGAGTAGAAAGATTACAAATTAACAATCTCACAGTGTACCTCAAAGAACTAGAAAAGCAAGAACAAATCAAACCCAGAATTAGCAGAAGAAAAGAAATAATAAAAATCAGAGAAGAACTAAATGAAGTCTAGACTGAGAAAAGTACAAAGGATCAACAAAACAAAAAGTTGCTTCTTCAAAAAGATAAACAAAATTGATAAACTGCCAGGTAGACTAACCAAGAAGCGTAGATCCAAATACGATCAGATGAAAAAGGAGACATTACAACTGATAACACAGAAATACAAACACAAACATTTATCGGAGACTATTACAAACAACTATATACAACAAACTGGAAAATCTAAATGAAATGAGTAAGTTCTTAGAAACATTCATCTTATTAAGATTGAATCAAAAAGAAATAGAAAACCTGAACAGATCAACAATGAGTAGTAAAATTGAATCAGTAATAACAAGTCTCCTGAATGGATCCTTAGCCAAATTCTACCAAATGTACAAAAATCACTACTACCAATGTTTCTGAAACTATTCCAAAAAATTAAAGGTGAGAGAATTCTAACTCATTCAACAAGGCCAGCATCACCCTGATGCCAAAAATCAGACAAGGATACGAGGAAAAAGAAAACAGGGCCAATATCTCTGATGAATATAGATGGCAAAAATCATCAACAAAATACTAGCAAATGAAATCCAACAGCAGAACAAAACGATAATACACCACAACCAAGTGAGATTTATCCCAGGGATGCAAGGATTGCTCAATATATGTAAATCAATAAACATGGTATATCGACAAAAAATGAAGGATAAAAACCATATGATTTTCTTAATAGATGCAGAAAAAGCATTTGATAAAATTCAACAATTCATGATGAAAACTCAAACTGGACATAGAACACACCTAAAAACAATAAAGGCCACATATGACAAACACATAGCTAACATCATACCCAATTGGCAAAAGTTGAAAGCCTTTACTAAGAACTGGAACAAGGCAAAAATGACCACTTTTACCCTTTTATTCAACTTCATACTGGAAGTGTTCCCTGAGCAATCAGGAAGGAGAAAAGGCATCCAAATTTGCAAAGAGGAAGTCAAATTGTTCTTCTTTGCTAATGGGATGATCTTATATCTAGACAAACCTAGAGACTCCATGAAAAAAACTCTTAGATCGGACAAATGAATTAAAGTTGCAGGACACAAAATTAGGATACAAAAATCAGTAGCATTTCTATTCACTAATCATGTAGCTGAGAAAGAAATCCCATTTACAATAGATAAGCGCTCCCCCTCCCCCACCAAAAAAAAACCCTAGGAATAAATTTAACCAAGGAGGTAAAAGATCTCTACAAGGAAAAGAACAAAACGTTGATGAAAGAAACTGAAGGCAACACAAATAGAAAAGTATCCATGCTCATGGGTTGGAAAAATTAATATTAAAATGACCACATTGGCCATGGCAATCTATAGATTCAACACGATTCCTATCAAAATACCATTTTATTTCTTTACAGAATTAGAAAAATACTAACATATATATGAAACCCAAAGAGCCTAAATAGCCAAAGCAATCCTGAGCAAAAAGAACAAAGCTGGAAGCACCATGTTACCTAACTTCAAAATATATTACAAGTAACCAAAACAGTATGGTACTGGTTAAAAAAAAAATATATATATATGTGTATATATATATACATATATATATATACGTATATATATATATACATATATATATACACGTATATATATATATATATATGTGTGTGTATATATATATATGTATATATATATATAGACTAGTGGACCAGAATAGAGAATCCAGCAATAAAGCCACATATTTATAGTCAACTGTTTTTTGACAAAGCTGACAAGAACTTACAATAGAAAAAGGACACCCTATTCAATAAATGGTGCTGGAAAAATTGTACAGCCACATGCAGAAGAATGAAACTAGACCCGATCTCTCACCATATACAAAAATCAACTCAAGATGGATTAAAGATGTAAATGTAAAACCTAAAACTGTGAAAACAATAGAAAGAAAACCTAGAGAAAACATTCCTGGATATTGGTCAAAGCAAAGAATTTATGACTAAGACTTCAAAAGCATAGCCAACAAAGACAAAAATAGCCAAATGAGACTATATTAAACTAAAAAGCTGCTGCATAGCAAAGGAAACAATGAACAGAGTGAGAGAACAACTTGTTTTAAATGAGAGAAAATATTTGCAAACTGTTCATCTGACAGGGGACTAATATCAGAATGTAGAAGGAACAGGAAAAAAGCACAAATCTTTTTAAAAAGTAGGCAAAGTAAGTGAATAGACATTTCTCAAAAGAAGATGTACAGATGGCAAACAGGTTTATAATCAGTAATAATCAGAATGATACAATCTATACTGATATAGATTATTACTGATTATTTGCCATTTGTATGGCAAACAGGCTTATGATCAGTAATAATCAGTAATGTATTTCAGTAATAATCAGAGAAATGTAAATCATATCCACAATGAGATATCATCTTATTGCCATTCATAATAGCTATTAGTAAAACAAAACAAAACAAAATAAACACATGTTGGCAAGGATGCAGAAAAAAGGGAACTCTTTTTTTTTTTTTTTTTTTTTTTTTTTGAGATGGAGTCTCGCTCTCGCCCAGGCTGGAGTGCAGTGGCTCGATCTCGGCTCACTGCAATCTCTGCCTCCGGAGTTCATGCCATTCTCCTGCCTCAGCCTCCCGAGTAACTGGGACTACAGGGGCCCGCTACCACGCCTGGCTAATTTTTTTTTGTATTTTTAATATAGACAGGGTTTCACTGTGTGAGCCAGGATGGTCTCGATCTCCTGACCTCGTGATCCGCCCACCTCGGCCTCCCAAAGTGCTGGGATTACAGGCATGAGCCACCGCGCCCGGCCAAGGGAACTCTTTTTACATTGTTTGTGGGAATGTAAATTTTACAGCCACTATAGAAGACAGTATAGAAATTTCTTAAAAAACTAAGAATAGAACTATCATTCAATCCAGCAATCCTACTACGACCTAAAGGGAAAGATGTCAGTACATCAAAGGGATCTCTGCACTGCATATTTATGGCAGCACTATTCACAACAGTAAAGACATGGGATAACCTATATGTCCATCAGTGGATGAATAGATAAAGAAAATGTGGTTTCTACACATAATGGAGCAACCACAGAAAAGAACGAAATCTTGTCACTTGCAGCAACGTAGATGACACTGAGGGGTCATTATTTTAAGTGAAATAAGCCAGGCATAAGACAAATATCATATGTTATATGTGGGTTATCTGTGGGAGCTAAAAAATTTGATCACACGGAGGTAGAGAGTGGAAAGACAGATAACAGAGACTGGGAAGGGTGACTGTGGGGAGAGGAGAGAATGAAGGGAACTGGGTTAAAGTATACAAATATATAGTAAGATAGAATAAAGTCAATATTTGGCCATGTGCAGTGGTGCAAACCTATAATCCCAGCACTTTGGGAGGCTGAGGTGGGCGGATCACCTGAAGTCAGGAGTTTGAGACCAGCCTGGCTAGGTGAAACCCTGACTCTACTAAAAATACAAAAAATTAGCCAGGCGTGGTGGCGTGCACCTGTAGTCCCAGCTACTTGGGAGGCTGAGGTGGGAGAATCACTTGAACCCAGGAGGTGGAGGTTGCAGTGACCTGAGATTGTGCCACTGTACTCCAGCTTGGGCGACAGAGTGGAGTCTTGACTCCATCTCCGAAAAAAAGTTAATAGAGTAGGGTGACTATACTTAAGAAAAATGTTGTACTTGGTGATGGATACCCTAAATACCTTGACTTCATCACTATGCATATAATATATATGTATACATATATATTATATATGTATATATAGTATATATATAGTATATATATGTGTGTGTATATATATATATGTAACAAACTTTCTCACATACCTCATACATTTGTGCCAAAAAAAACCTCATTAGGGAGTAAAATGCCAAATTGAAACAGCATAAAAAGAAATCCCTCCAAAAAACTATATTTGTTGAGTATATATGTGAGGGAAAGTGTGGCTCTTTTAAAGAGTGAATGTTGGATGAGAAAACCAAGGAAGTTTGTGAGAAACTACCTGGTTAGAGAGAATTTAGGCAGGTAGCCTCTAATATATGGGAACAAAAGCATCTTCGTTCTTTGAAACAATTCTCCTAGTAAAACCAAAATAACATAAATGAGTTAATTCTAAGCATCTTTTGTGAACACTTTTTCATTCTTTCAACAACTGTGAGTGTATTGGGGGAGGGGGGCAATGGGGGTGGGGAAGATAAAGTCCCTGACGCCTTACGGATAAGTTGGGTGATTGAAGTTAATAAACAAGTGTCTTCATGAAACAAGCACTTCCCTCAAATCAATTAAGGGAAGAAAAGATGCTTCCCCACACCCTTTTTTCTTTTTTTGATACTCGCCTCCAGATGGCCTTTAAACCAACAAAATCAATCTAAAATTCCCCACACTCTACGGATTAGGTGCCTTGTTGAAAAATGACTTTTCTCGCTAAGTCTGGCTCTTACACAGCCGATGAGTGCTGGGCAGTGGAATCAGGCAGGACTCAAAGATAAGCTAGAATTACCCATAGTGGAAGGATTTTTATGATAAACCAACTGAAAAAAAGTGAGGAAGAAACGGGTGGTACTGTGTGACAGGGCAGCTGTGTGTGCCTACAAGAAAAGGTTTGGCCTTGTTATGTCTTTCCAGGAGAGGCAAGGGGCCAATAAAGCTTTGTGAATGCTGGCTCATCTGTCATTTCCAGCTGTTTCCCCTGTTCAAGTCCACCTGCAGGCTCAGAAGCAGCAGGCCTTCCCACACGTTCATTTATGGTGTGCTAGCATCACCAGCCTCCACTAGTAGAGATCCTAGCAGAATGGGGCTCTAGCAGGAAAGGCTTTTGAGCTTGTGGAGTCTAAAATTCTCCCTGCCCTGGGCAGTGGAGACTTGCAAATGTGGAGTGGGAGGTTCCCAAGGTTCAGCCAGATGATGGATGGTGAAATGAGGGTTGACAATGTGCTCAGAGGGTTGAAATTAAAACAAAAGCCAAGTCATTAGATCATTGTGTTTTAACAGTGATGTTGTGGCTTCTCTTAATATCCTGGCTTGCAGAGTCCTGGAGGAATCTCCCAGTCAATAAGCTCAGAGGTTACTAAATGGTAGTCATTTCCTGGGTTGCACTATTTGAATCAGATTTGGCCCAGGCTGAACAGAGAGAAATGTGAGAAAGGGAATTCCTTTACTTCATGCATGATGAAAATGATTTCTCTGCCAATTTGGGAAGGAATGGAGGGCTGGAAGATTCCCACAACTATTGTTTAGCATCTTGTGGTTCTAGGAAGTGTTTCAGCTGGAGTGCACTGATATTATATATGGGATGATTCACATGGCAGAGAATGGGTAGAGATGAGGATGATTTAGCCTCAAGCTCCTTGAAGCCATGTGGGACTAGATGAGGACAAGTATATTTGTCTGATACCTTCCAGGCCTCCTCTCCCCATTCCTCCAGCCTACCACCCTGCCTTTCTGATGTACAGGAAGAAGTATCTTCCCTTAAGAAGAGTAGGCAAGAAGTGGAAGGTGAGAGTCTGAAAACAGAGTTGGCCTTAGTTCTAAGCAATATGAATTCAACCTTAGTGCACCTGCTATATCACTGAAACCCTTCACAAAACACTGGAGGGGGCAATCTAAGATTAGAGGTGCTTTACTCTCTATCTGATTTACACTGTCTACACATGCAAAGTGAATACACTAACAAGTTAGTTGGAAGGAAAAGTGAGTGAATATCTACACCATTTAACCAGAGAAATACTTCGGCCTTAATTATTTGGGTATTATCTTAGATATAGTTTAACATAAGACTAACTATCTATCTTAAAAGTGTCTTTAAAAATTATTTTTTATTCCCTTTTCTTCATTGAGGTGGCAGTCATTCAAGCACTAAAAAAACTTCAGGAAGACAACACTTAGAGTGCATTAAATAAATATAAATTTTATTAAAAACACTCACATAGCATTATCAGGAATGATATAATAATAAACAGCTTTCAAATAACCTGCATTCATAACATTACAATACTTACAGTATTTATAACCATCCTCAGATCTTATAAACCAAACATCTCATGAAAATGAAATGAAACTAGTTTTTAAAAAAGCATAGAAAAATGCACACAGAAGTTATCTTAGTGTCAAACTGCAAAAGTTTCCTACACAAGTTAACCACTAGCTTCAGAAGTGAACTGTACATCACTGTGCGTCAATCAAGATGAAAAATTCATTCAAGTAAAGTTGACACCACTCAGAAGCATTTTCAAGTATGGCTATATAGTCAACCTGATATTCCTATATTAGCAAATTGTAGATCTGCTTTCCATTCATTCTAACTGAGGCAGGTTTTATATTTACAATTATAGATCTGATATTTACAATATGCCACTCAATTTCTTCTCTTCCTTATGTAAACTCTCCCCAACCCCCCAAACTATACTTCCTGTTCTTGTTGGCCAGCAGTTTAACAAATGACAGTAGGTGACACAGAAATCAAATATTAAGAATGGATGATCAAAATCACCAATGCACATGTAGTAATCAAATGTTTGGGGCTAGATATTATGGTATACAAAAAACATTAAAATCATGTGGTTTGTAAGCAAAGCAAACATTTTTGGAAATGTTTGCAAATTGGACACAACCACAAATTCAAGAAATTTTTTAAAAAGACAAAAGCCAGCTTACAAAGATTTGACCAATAAAACCCAAAGGCCTCCTCTGATTAAGAATTTATTTTAAATACTAGTAAGCAAAAATGTATTTAGGCCAAAATGTAATTGTACAATCTGTTGCACACCATACCTGTAGGTGTTTGCCTGTTTAAGGGAAGTCCACATGGAGTATGTACCTTCAGTGATTACAGGATCAAAAAAACTTCATTTAGAGAGTTACAAGTAAGTCTCTGGCCAACAGCCACTTGCCAAACTCCTGCCTTACAATTTTTCCCTTTATCAACTCAGTGCATTCTATTTTCATGTAATTTTTTTTTCCTGCTTGAAACAGTCAAAAGATTCCTCAAACTTTTAAAATGCTTTTCTTTACAATAAAAAGAGCCAACAGATTTACAAAATTAGTTTTAGTTACATCAGCACATGTACAAGTAAAATAGAAGGGATTCAAAATAAAAGGGTTAAATCCCTGACAAAGAATATATTTATTAACCTACAACAATTTTACATAAACACAGGTGACATGTTGGCATAGGGAGAGCATGAGCTGAAATATCCCTGAATTTTTAGAACAAAAAGGTTGAAGTTCAAGTTATACTTGCTAAGAAATCAAGTATTGAAAAAAGGTATGCTTTTTTTTTTAACAATAAAAAAAAGGACTTGGAAAAAAATGATGGTACACAATGCTTTCACTCTCAGTTCAATATCCTATTGCCAAACTAGTGTTGAGGTATATGACAAGTAGGAACATCACTCAAACATTTAATGAATTCTTAGCTCACATTATGATATATTTGTAGCAGGCTGAGTAGCACCATCATGATGTGAATTCTGCTTCAAACTCATATATATATATATATATATATATATATATATGTATATATTTAATTTTTTTACAGTACTAAAATACTAAAGCATTGCATTAAAAAAGTTTTGTTTACAATTTAATTTACTATACAACTCTTTCACTTCTTTATACAAATTAATGATTTAAAACCACCACAGCAAACCAGCTGCCTGTTTTTGTTTCTTTTTAACTGACAGATTCACATGGAACTAACCCTGTTTATTCATCTTATGCAGGCATCAGTCTGCTCAATCCTCTTGTTAAAGAGGACACTTAAGCTAAGAAATGACAACGTCACAATGTACATAATTATCAACACAAAGGCAGACTGCCATTCAGTTCTCTGAAGAGCCTATGATCCATAAAATAGCATAGGCTTCAGTGAACTAGCTTTGTTGAGTCTGCAGCATGCAGCTAATTATTACCTGCAGTTAATAGAAAATTCTTAAAACTGTACATTTTTGAGCAATGAACTTGTCATACAATTTTGTATAAAACTGTTTTACAGTATAGCATGTGAGATGAGCACCAGAAAACATGTTTTGTGGACTAACGTATTCCCTTGAATCCAGTAAGCCCCATGGTGGATTTAACTGGCTGTGTTAAAAATGGACACAATTGCTCATCAGCAGATGCATGGCTAAAAGCAAAAATATTTTAAAAGCTTTCTTTGTTTCCTTAAAAAAATCAACTTTGCATTCTAAAATGAAAGTAAACTTGTTTTTTAAACATCTCAGTACCTTAGCATTGTTCAAGTTGTCAAAGCTTAGGTAGACAAAGTGCTTCTAAAACACCATTTAAAATATTTATACATATACATGTGTGTGCACATATACATGTTTGTGTATATATGTACATATATACGTTTATTGTCCTACAAGGACTTCACTGGATGAGCAAAATCCAGAGGCCTTTAAAATGTCCACATTTTAAAAACTAAGCTTGTGTAAGAATAGGTAATTATGATAAAAACTTGAATGAAAAGGTACCCCTATTATTCAAGGGCACTGGAGTACACTGATAGCATCTTGATGATATAAAGGCATTAAATTTTTAGCTATTAAAGACACCATTTTCTTAGCACCATTTCTTAGAACATCCAAACAAATTCAGTGTTTTCCTGCTATTCATGTTTCCTGTAGCTATTTTGATAAATAAAAGTTAAGATTACAGTAAAAACTGCATTTCAAAAAGCCATAATTCCAGTATTTCAGTACATCATATATTCAGCACCAGATGGTATTTTAAGATTCCTGTCACTGTAATACTACAGTACTTGTTTGATTTGTGTTCCATGACTATGCAAACTTGATATTATTAAAAGTGGTCACAGATGTGTAGAGTTGTAAGCGGGGGGGGGGGATCACATTTACATATCATCTCGTCCAATAATAGAACCAGTGTTTAAAAATGTAAATTGCGGAACACTTTCTTCCCCACCTTCTTTTTGCATAGAATGCTTTGGTCTTTTCCTAGATGCCATCTGTGACCACTTGGGAGCCAGTGAAAATTAAGTGCTATGGTAAGATAACCTCTTTTGTTGCTGGTGAGCTGAGGTTTTTCCCACCACATTTGTCATGAATACTGTGACCTTTCCCCACTGCCCACGTCATGAGAACTATACTACTGACAGGTTGGTTGTGGTCTTTTCAAGTGAGGTAACCAACAAAAGGGGGTGATATCATATATATCTGTTGTAAGGCCCTGTGACCCGAGTGAAGGCATATGGAGATGTAGTTACTGTGGAGTCTGTGGTCACGGACATGGTCCTTTCGGCAAGAGACTTGATGAAACGCAGGTAAGTGGGCTCTGAAGTTTCATGTGGCTCAGCAGGCTCCCGTTTCACTTTTTTGCCATGGGATTTCTGAGGCACATAGTCTGGGCCATACTTTTCACACTCTTCCTCTTTCTCACGGGCTTTTTCAGCCATTTTGGCTTCCCAAAGAGCCAAGCCATGTTTTGGCTCATTCATGCTCTTATGCTGGTAAAAGACGAGGGAGATCCTGGTGGGGTGATTCCTATTGGGATTCTTTAAAGGGGTTGTGGCATGCAGCTCACGCTTTGCACACTCAATGAGAATTGACCCATGAGTTGGAGCCACGGCCACTCCCCCAATGTCAGGATCCAGAAAGCTCTGCTCGCTGTCTGACCAGACCTCATCGTTGTCCTCTGCACCAGAAGCCACACCCTGGACTAGTGCCAATGGCTGCTTTTCCTGACCATTAGCATCACTTAATTTGTGTAAGCCTCCTTGGACACAAGCAGTTCTATCATGGTTAAGAGCTGGAAGCATCTTTGATAACCCATTAGCTGTGTGGGAAAGCATGTCATTCTCCTTGTTTTGGAGATGCAGGGCATGAAGAGAGCTGTTGAACATGCCCGGAGCTGCACTGTAGTTATGGATTATGTGAGAAGGTGAATGATGTTCACCATTTTTATAGTCCATGTTTGGATTGCTCAGATTGGGTGGTAATCTAGAGGTGGCTCCCATGAAGTGGCCATCCATCTCATGAGTGGGATAAGGAGGCAATTTCCCTACATGATGTACATTTGGTCTAATGGTACAACTGCTGAAACCATCTCCCTGCATATTTTGGTTTCCATAACCTAAGTATTTAGATGTAAAACTCTGGCTATTTCCAAACCTTGGCTGGTAAAGTGTATGGATGGGTGGTAGACTGAGCTTAGACAGAGGGTCTTGGCTTGGATACCTATACAGATCCATCGGCTGAGACTGGGGAGAATAGGAACCCAGATATGGGGAGCAGTTGTCCACTGATAGGTTTCCATTGCATTGATATGATGGATATTGGGTATTCTGATTCAAAAGCCCAGGGTAAGGGTTCATGGGATTAGAAGAATTCAAATATGAACCTGCAGCTTGAGATGAGGTGGAATAGAAGTTCATAGGGCTGGTGCTTCCATAGATATCTGAAGTGTGTGAAGAGTTTGGATAAGGACTAACTGGATTGGGCCGTCTCATGTATGGATTGGTGGATCCAGAAGCAGAATAAGAGTTGACAGACTCTGTCTGAGGGTGATGTGGCTGCTGCTGCTGGGGTCTCTGCTGCTGCTGGGGCTGTGGTGGCTGCTTCTGTAGAGGCTGGGGCTGCTGGGACTGCTGCATGACTGGTCCTGAAAGTCGCAAAAGTTCTGTGGACAGGGTAAGAGAGAACAGAAACAGGTATCTTTGATGTTGATGATTATTTTATGAAGGCTAGTGAGGATACTTAAATGTAGGTAAGAAACTCCACTAGTGATATACGACACCCATTAAGCAAAGATAAGAGCAAAGTCAGGGTTCTGATCATTGTCCAGCACAATTTTTTGTCTAAGGCATTAGAAATACAAAACTTAGTGAAAAAAAAAATGTAATAAACATCCAAAGCCATTCCATTGAGAGCAAAATGTTCTTTGGAACTTCTGAACATGCCTCTGCTTGAAGTGCCTCCCTTTTCCTCCCTCTCTCCCTATCCTTCCTTGGTGTAGTCATCCCTTCCTCAAGGGACCGCTTTGACCTCATCTTCTAGTGCTTTTGTAATACTCAACTGCAAAGATAGATCTGATAAAGCAATACTCACAATGTATTATAGTTATGTTTTTAGCCCTCTCTTCACCCCCACTGGTAAGTAAATTCCTAAATGGGAAGGAAAATGTTTTATTTTACTTACTTCTTCATTGCCTGGCATGCAATGGAATTTGCTAAATAATTAAAATAAGATTTATTATGTAAGATTCGGGAATGTTGTGAAAAAAAAGAATGACACGTATTTAAACACAAAAAGCATCTTATATAATCAACAAGTGCTACTTTATAAGCAGGCTTTCCAGAAAGGAAGTTAACACAGTTGTAGATAACACTTTAAAGAAACTTTCAGCTTTGTAAATGAAACTTTTAAAAGTCATACTTCTGTTTTGACCTCACTTTAAAAAGTCATATGAGTTAAGAACAAATAGATGAAACTGCAATGGCAGTTCTGAGAACAGAAGGGATTATTACCTGCAGAAGCCAGTTAAAAGGGAGCAGAGACAAGGTTCTATCTAATTATATTTCACAGCTAACCTAAGTGAACAGTATTTACTTAGTGTTAAGTCAACCAGTCAATAAACACTTATCAAGCATCTTTAGCATATTCTAAATTATTTAACTTAGTTCCTCTGAGCTTGGAAATGAATCAGTAGAGAAATTTGACTTCATGAAGCAGCAAAGATGGCTAGTTTTAAGCAAACTGGTTTGCTTTTGTTAATGGCCAGGCCAATACCATCCCAAATTTTGGATTTTTTTTCTTTTTACAAACTGCAGACATAAAGCAGGAGGCTATGGAAAGACAATAACTTAGTATTCATGAATAATGTTCTATTGTTATTACTACAGCTGTAATCTATTTTGATGGGTAAAAGTTTTGTAGCATAATCTACATGTAGAACCCCTCCTAAACCACAGACTCAACATGTCTAAGGAAAAATGTTTCATTCTCCCCTCTCTCTCTCTCAATCATATTTTCAAACTTACTTATTTCAATAAATAGTACTGTTTTAGAAACCTAAAACAGTAGGTTAAGTTTAGGTTTAAAACTTTGGGGTCATCTTTAAACTTTTCTTCTCTTTCATTCCAGTGTTTTGTCACCAATGTATTTTCTTTTTCCCATTTTGGAAGAGCTCATTTGCATCATTTTGCTATATCTTTGCTACTAACCAACAAAATTCAAGGTCTTGTTACCTCAGTTCTGGTTTACTGTGTTTATCTCCAAACTATTAGCTCCTCTACTAATTTGGCCTACTGCCAAATTACAATGAATTTCATCGTATCACTTACCTGTTAAAAAAAGTTGCTGTTTATTATAGAATAAAATCCAGACTTTTCCATGTTTTCCATGTTGATGGTGCAATATCTCATTACCATCTCTGAGAACAAAGCCTGGCCCTTGCTACTTTAGAGAAGACTCTGGCACAGAACTAAGACCATGATTGATATAACTTTCCAAAATTAACAATGTTCATTTTACAATAAGAGCACATGGACACATGGTGGGGGAGTGGGGACAACACACACTGGCGCCTATTGGTAGGGGTGCATCAGGAAGATGCTGGGCTTAATACCTAGGTAATGGGTTGATCTGTGCAGCAAATCACCATGGCACATGTTTACCTGTATAACAAACCTGCACATCCTGCATGTGTACCCCAGAACTTACAAGTTGATGGGGGCAAAACCAAAATAATTTTCATTTTTAATATACCACACAACACATTTATCTACAAATGCTTTACATTAAATTTACCTGCCAACTGTTTAGCCTGGCTTGCGTTTTCAGTTTGTTTTGTACGTGATGGGGCTGACTTTTCCTTTTCATTTTTATTTGAGCTGTTCTCCAGGGAGGAAAGCTTTTCAGCTGCAGCTTTCTTGGCTTCTAGTTTCCTTTGTCGGCAAGTCTTGACTGGCTCTGCTAACATCCTGACTTTTCGCCGAAAAGAACTCAGTACCTGAATGGCACCACTCCGTTTTTTCTCCTCCTGAGCTTCCACACTCCCAAACTCATCCACGTCAGAGACTTTGTATAAAGGCAGAACGTGAAGCTGCTCATCCTCAGGTTTTCCTCCAAATTCTCGATTGTCTTCTCTAGTGAGAGTGCATACCTGGTAGGGAAGTAAGACATTACAGCCTCAACTACAGGTCCCAAAGAAAACGTGTGTGTGTGTGTGTATCTTTCTCCTCTCAGTATTCAGATTTGTGTTGGTGGCCTAGTTGATCCAGATCAGTGACATATATATTACCATAAAACCATCCTACCTGTTATTAATGAAAATAGCAACAAAATGGTACAGGGAGATAAGACAAATTGACATTGCCCACCCACCCTTTCTCTGAGTCTATCAGGAACAGTTAGCTGTGGTGACCCTTGTTCTTCACATATGTTTCTGTCTATGGGAAGAAGCAACACTCCCCCAAAATGAAGCACTCTCTTGCTTTTCACACTTCAAAAATAGATGTGCTAGATGTGAAGCCTCTTCAAAAACAGGCTAAAAGTTTTTTCTACGAAATGACTTCCTCTGTTTTTGGTAGTATCACATTTGCCTCATCTCATACTTCTGAACACAAATTTCATGTCTTTTCACATACCTGACACCTAACTCTCTCTGTTTAAGAAATTTCCATAAGATAACTGAAGTAAAAATATAAAAAATGAAAAGGTAAAGATTTGGCTGATACAGGTAATATGCAACTTAATACTATTTTCACTCTCTTGTCTCTCCTCCTTTGTACTCTGTCAAACCTAACTTTCTCTTTTCTTCATTTCTTTTCTGAAATATGACCATATAAGTGGGTACTCTGAAAAGGGTAAGGGGTGGAGGGAGGAAAGCTACCTCTGTTGCTTTGATAATTAAATGGTACTTTTTGCTTTAGTTACTACAATTACACTAGCTTTGGTAAAAGATTATTTGTGGTTTTTAAATACTAACTTTTTAGTATTTAGTGTTTTTGATCAATGGAGACAATGTGATCTAATGTGATCTAAAATAAAATTAGAAGATATTCTTGAGAGAAATGTGATCACAATGGACTGACTTTAGAAATAACTTCAACATGAGATGGTATTAATGAGCCTGTCACTTTCTGCACAGAAGTCTTCAAATTCATGTCTCTGAGCACCTTGTTACTTTTCCCATACATATTTAACCCTATTCAGTTCTTATCTAGTGCTCCTTTCCATTTTACTTCACAGAACCCATGCTCTATCAGAGGCAAATTCTTCTTGATTCTAAACATCCTTCTCATCATCTTACTCTCTGTCACCTTCCTGGAATGAAACATGGTTATATTAGGATGCACTATAGCCCCAGTTATCATTTACTACTTCTGCTTTTCAGAAACTAGCATAGCCTCCTAATAATGAGCAGGTGCTGAGTACATGATTAGTGATGATTTTAGATGTTGGGGTGGTTGGTAGGCCTTGTGTTTGTTCTTCTGGATCAGAAGTTAGGAAACCAGAACCTACGGCTAATGTGCCTCACAGCTTGTGTTTGTATGGCCAGTAAACTAAGAATGGTTTTTACATTTTCAAGGAGTTTTTAAAAAACAAAATAAACAAAAAAACCCCACCAAACAATGTGACAGAAATCCTATGTGGCCTGCAGTCCCTAAAATATTTACCATCTTGCCCTTTATAGAGAAGAGTTTTCCAATCTCTGATCTAGAACATTAAATTAATATCTTCTCTGCTTCTCAACAAAAACTTCACACCAGCTTCTTCAAATTACTTCAGCTATCATCTAATACCTCCATGAATGCTTTTCTGCCCTAGAATATGACTTTAATTCCTGATATCTGTTTCCATATTCTCACTGACCATCTTCTTCAACTACACCTACATCCATGTTGATAATTCATTAGGTTGATTGATTCATAGTTTTTTCAACAGAATATTTTGTTCTTTATCTCTACTCTGGGTCACCCCTTTACATGCAAAATTATACCCTGAACCCTTTGTTGGTATAGAACATATATATATATATATATATATATAACATGTATCTATTTTCCCCTCACCACTGCCTCCAATTACAAGACCGATCCATTTTACCCACTGTAATATGTAGTCAGGCTCTTTTGCACTGTGAATCTTTTACAATAGGTTACCACAGTTACTGTGACAATGATGATGTGTTTCTCATTTATGCTTCTCTCTCTGTAAGGTGAATATGCTTCTCTCTCTGTAAGGTGAATGGCTTGTATTTGGCTTTTTGCTTAACTGATTACAATCTACCAGGTAACTGGCACTGAATTTTGAGATTTTCCTGGAAGTTAACTGTAACTGGCAATGCATAGTCACTGGTTTAGATTAACACCAAGGATTTCCATGATTCTCATGTGCTTGTCAACACAATTGACAGGAAACTAATGTGCCAACCTATCATGAGAGTGCTAGTTATGCCAAAGCAGGTCACTTTGCAACAGGAATTCATTCATGAAAATATTGCTGTCCAGTGAAACCTGCAGACAACATATTACTCTAACCGAATGCTACTAAATTCCAGTGTTCTGCTCCTCAACATGAGATGCTGCTGATATGGTCTGGCTGTGTCCCTACCTAAATCTCATCTTGAATTGTAGCTCCCAAAATTCCCATGTGTTTTGGGAAGGACCCAGTGGGAGGTAATTGAATCATGGGGGCAGATCTTTCCCATGCTGTTCTCAGGAGAGTAAGTCTCATGAGATCTGATGATTTTATAAAGGGGAGTTCCCCTGCACATGTTCTCTTGCCTGCCGCCATGTAAGATGTGACTTTGCTCCTCATTTGCCTTCAGCTATGATTGTGAGGCCTCCACAGCCATGTGGAACTGTGAGTCAATTAAATCTCTTTCCTTTATAAATTACCCAGTCTTGCATATGTCTTTATTAGCAGTGTGAGAACAGACTCAACAGCTGCTAAGCTGTCCTCAGCCCAACTTACCAATGTGCTGCCATTCTGCATGTTGTGCAAGTCTCTGTGGGCATGAGCACAGAAGTCCAAACATGCAGTGACCCCTGAGAATGGACGGCCTTCCTTCAGACCCAGACGGCACTCTGGTGCTCTGTGTTCATATTCAATCTGAAAAATAAAAGTGTGTGTGAATGCGAAAGTAGTTAGTTTTACTCTTACACCGAAAACTCACTAGTATTTAGACCATTTAGAACTTTAAAAAAATGTTTTGAACTTAAATATATATCCAGAAACAAAATGGAATGACACAAAATAGAGCAAATATCTTGACATGGTAAAATTTTTATTTTATAGTGTTATTGAGGCCATAAAGTATGCTATTTGAGTTTTGATATATATTTGTCACAACCAAAATAAAGTACATATTCATTACTCTTAAAAATTTCCTCATGCCCCTGTATAATTCATGCTTCCTGCTTTGTTCTCAGACAACTACTAATCTATCACTACAGATTTTCATTTTCTAGAATTTCATATAAATGGATTTATTTGGAGTTAATTTTTATAAATGGTGTGAAATTAAGGGTCAAGATTACCTTTTTTCCCTTATGGCTTTCCAACTGTTCAGATACTACTGGATAAAATGGTTATCCCTTCCCAATTGAATCATCTTTGTTAAAAATCAATTGACCATATTATATATGTTGGGTCTACTTAAGGATTCTCTATTCTGATCCACTTGTGTATAATGGTGTGTATGTAGGTATGTCAATATCAAACTTTTTAAAAATTTTATTTATTTATTGAGACAGAGTCCCACTCTGTCACCCAGGCTGGAGTGCAGTGGCACGATCTGGGCTCACTGCAACCTCTGCCTCCTGGATTCAAGCGATTCTCAGGCCTCAACCTCCCAAGCAGCTGGGACTATAAGCACGCGCCACCATGCCCCAGTAATTTTTTGTATTTTTATTAGAGATAGAGTTTTGCCATGTTGGCCAGGCTGGTCTCAAAACTCCTGGCCTCAAGTGATCCACCCACCTCGGCCTCCGAAAGTGCTGGAATTACAGGCGTGAGCCACTGCGCCTGGGCAATATCAAACTGTCTTGACAGACAGTAGCAATTATAGATTTCAGTAAATCTGAAAACCATGCAATATATAGTCTCAAATTCTGCCCTTATTTTAAAATATTATTTGACTATTCCAAGTCCTTTGCATTTCCAAGTATATATATTTTACAGCCATCTTGTCCAATTCTTTCAAAAAACCTGCTGGGGTTTTGAAACATCATGTATTGAACATATTGATTAGTTTGGGGAGAACTGACATCTTAATAATATTTAGTCTTTTGATCCATTAACATAGTGTATCTCTCCAGTTACTGAAGTTTTCTATAATTTATCTCAGCAATGTTTTAGTTTCCAGTATATAATCTTATACATTTTTGTCAAATGTATGTCTAAGAATTTTATATTTTGATGCTATTTTAATGGTTTATTTTGATTTATTTATTGCTAGTATATAAAAATACACTTGAATTTTGTATTTCACAACTTTGCTAAATTCATATATTAATTTCATTTTCTGGTAGATTTTTTGAGACTTCTTATGTAGACAAACATGTCATCTGCAAATAAGTACAGTTTTATTTTTTCCTACCCAATCTTGACTGCTTTATTTATTGCCTTACTGCACTTTCTAAAATTTACAGTTTGATGTTGAATAGAAGCAGTTGGTTAAAAATGGACATTGTTGTCTTGTTCCTTATCTTAGGGGTCAAGTATTAGTCTTTCACCACTAAGTATAGCATTAGCTTTTGGCTTTCCATTTATGTATTTAATAGGTTGAGAAAGTTTCCTTTTATGAATGTTGAATATTATCAAATGGTTTTTCTGTACCTACTGCAATAATCATATTTTTTCCTGTTATGTCTTTTCAACATCATTTTTTATGTTAAAAATATCTTTTTAATTTATTTGTATCTTTATATTTAAAGTGGTTTTCTTGGTTTTTGCTTTTTTTTCAATATCACAAGCTCTGCCTTATAATTAGGGGTGTTAAAACCATTTACATTTAATGTGGTTGTTGATACAGTTGGGTTTAAATAAACCATCTTGCTATTTGTTTTATTTTTATATTTATCTTTTTTTGGTCCTATATATTTTTAAAAACATTTTTGGATTGATTTCATTTTTCTGTCTTTACTGGCTGATTAGCTATATACTTTTTTTTTTTTTTTTAGTGGTTTAAGGTACACAGTGTACTCTAACGTCTCACAGTTTACAGCCAAGTAATATACCCAGTCCACATATCGTATAAGTACTTTACAATAATATACTTTCAATTCCTCAGCCTCTGTGCTACTTCTACGTGTTATAAACCTCATAATACATTGTTAATATATTTTTAAGATAGCAAGTTATCATTTTTTTAAAAGTCTTTTAACCATGTTTACTATTTTTGATACTGTTCATTTCATTATGTTGATCTGGATTTCTGTCTGGTATCATGTTCTTTCTTCCTGAAGGATTTCGTTTAACATTTTTAAAGTGCTAGTTTGTTGGTGGTGAATTCTTTCAGCTTTTGTATGTATGTCTGAAAAAATATTCTTTATTTTGCTGTCTTTTTTGAGAGTTGTTTTCATTGGTTATATATTTCTGGGTGGAGAGTCTTTTTTCTTTTAGTATGTTAAAGATGTTTCTCTTACATCTTCTCTCTTGCCTTTTTCTGAATGAAGTCTCCTGTCTTATTTTTTCCCACCTAGTGTAATATGTCCTTTTTTCTCCATTTGCCTTTCTGAGTTTCTCTTTATCACAGATTGTAAGCAAGTTGATTATAAATTTTTGATAGTCTTTTTTTATGTCTTTGTTTTTTAATCTGGGGTTTGCTGAGCTGCTGAGATCTGTGGGTTCACAGTTTTGAACAAATCTGAAAAAAATTTGGCCATTGTTTCTTTAAATATTTTTCTGTCTCCCACCTCCTTCTGGTACTCCAATTACACATATATTAGTGTAACAATATTGGCTAATAGGTCTTTTATATATTCATTTTTTTCAGTTTTTTCTTTATACTGAAAAATTTCTATTACTATGTCTTCAAGTTCCTTAATCTGTTAATTCCGCCTAGTGTATTTTTAATCTAGATATATATTTTTCACTTCTAGAAGGTCATTGTAGGGTATTTTAATATCTTCTGATCTTTCCTTATCACTCTCATGCTTTCCTCTGGCATTTTAACATATGAAATATGATAGCCATTTTAATGAACTTATTTACATATTGTATCACATATGTCAGTTCTGGGACTATTTTTATTGATTGATTTCTGCCTGTTCCCCAGTAAAGGTTATATTTTCTTTTTTCTTTGTATGCCTTGTATTTTCTGATGGAATGCTAGACTATAAATTTTACCTTGTTGGTAGATTTTTTTTTTAATTTTTGTACTGTGATGCAGTTAAATTACTTAGAATCAGTTTGGCCCTTCTATGTTTTCATTTTAAGCATTTTTAGATGAGGTCAGAACTGCCAAATTTACTTCTACTACCAAGGCAATACAATTATGAATAGTATTATGAAGTCTTCTCCGTCTGGCTGGTATGATCAAGAACTATTCCAGGTCCTGTGTGAGATCAAGGGATTATTCTGCCTGCTTCTTCTGATGGTTCTTTCCCTACCTAGCCTTGGCAGTTTTTTCACATGCATGTGCTGTTTAATACTCAGCTGAAGACTGGATCAGAACCCTCTGCAGGTCTCTGGAGCTTTTCTCAATAACACTCTCTCCTCTCTGATATTCTGAATAGTGAACTCTCGTCACCTTGGCCTCTCCAAATTTTGAACTTTGTCTCCTTAATACAGAGATAAGGCTGGGTGTGTTTGGGTTCCTACTGGCTACACTGGAGCCTAATACTCTCTTCAGGAAGTAAACTGGGGTATTTATAGGTTCACCTTTTTACTTCCTTTCTCTCTGGTGCCACTGTCTCTTGAATTTCTTATTCTATGTCTAAAAACCATTGTTTCATATATTTTGTCAGTTTTTTCTTAAATGTGTAACGGCATATGTAGTCTCTGTTTACTCCATCATGGCTAGAAGATGAACTTGCATTAGGATAAAAGTTTGTGGTGGCTTCATATTATTTACTGTTGGATTCATATATGTATTTGTCTATCTAACCTCATAAAACTTTGGCCAAAGGAAAATGAAGGTACCAACTACTCTTTAACATAGATGTGTGCTTTGTGGCCGTTCAGTTCATGCTGTGGTCTAGTTAGCTTTATTCTGTTTCTTGAACAAAAACAGATATACAATCAGCTAGAAATTACACTTATGCCATCTCCTAAAAAATACCATGCAGGATTTTGTGAATGAATTACTGGAAATCCATCTAAATGTCTGGAAGACAATTCTAAATGCATAACTTTCTCATGGTCTAAGGTTGTGCTGTTCACTATGGTAACCATTATCCACATGTGGCTGTTTGTGTTAATTTTTACATTAATTTAAACTCAATTACACTAGCCACGTATCAACTGTTAAATAATAACCACATGTGGCTAGTGCCTATTACACTGAACAGCATAAATAGAGAATATTTCCATCTTCATAGAAAGCTCTCTTAGAAGCATTTGTCTAAAATGTCATCTTCATGTATGATAAATAGCACACGATTTTGAGATTGACACCTGCTATTTCAGGTCTACTGTTAAATTGTAAGGCAGGCATAGAAAAGACAGAGCCAAATATATGTCTACTGGATAGACACGAAGAAAGGACATTTAAGTTGAGAAAACTGAAGCTCTAATTCCATGGGACTGACAGAAGAGATGCTGTGGAGAGCCAACTAAACTTTAGCAATAAGACTTCATGAAATCAAGGAATAAAGCAAGGAAGAATATTCAGATGTGAGAAATAGAGATACGACACTCAGTTGGGGAAAGGAGGTAAAGATCAAATAGTAGGTTTTATGACAGCATCTATAACATCAAATGGTCTTCCCGTGTACTGTGTGGAAACATCACATGGCTATTATTTTGATCTCTAAAGCATATTAACATACATGGATGAATATTACCAATAGTACCTACCATGCAATATAAAAATATTTTATCCATTCAGAAGCATCTCATCCATTTACAACTATTAATTGACTTAATTTATCTAGACATTACATCAACACATTTTCATATATAAATATTAAAACTTGAACATATTTGATGGCTTCATATTTTGGGTACTTAAGTTTTAGGAAATGTATAAAATAGTTTCAAGTATGAGACGGTCCATAATAAGAATCAAGGGAGCAAAAAGAACATCAATGCTTTGTTATTCTGCCTCAAGTAAAGCCATTTGATTAACAGCACCTATTAAAAATTCATTTAATAGAAAATGACCCAACTTTAAATCTAGCAACATAGACTCATTCATTTATTTATTTTTATAGCTTGATTTATTTCAGAAGTTCTTGCTGAGAATTAAACTTTTACGACAGTATCAAAGCACTCCTTATACTTTGTGATACTAGCTAAACAAAATAACAGTATTAATCCAACTATTAATAGTGTTTAAAAACTTTTCATAGATATTCATACACATTTCTAAAAACATAATTTGACATAAAATAACTTACAAATAGACCATCGTTTAATTTGCCTCTATTGTTCGAACCAAAAAAAAAAAAAAATGTTTGGGACGTTAAAGTCCACAGTGGAAAAGAAGAGTAGCTAAATCATTTTAGGATTAGTCCCTTGTCCATGTCTGCTGTGTAAACTAATCTAATCCCACGAGAGTCTTTAATATTATCAAGTAAATGACAGAGCACCCATCCCAGAGCCCCATACCTATTGCTCCTGTATACTCTGCTCTGGGTGTCTTCTCATCATTCCAGCTTTCCTCCATCCATCCATCTCCCTCTTTCACTTTTCCTACTACATTTCTTCTACTCCCTCCCCCAGTTCTTACTTCATTGGCTTCTCTTCCTCCACTCATGCCTAAAATGATTGATGGCTCCAGAATCCCATCATCAGCCCTTTGTCCTCTTTATAATCTCTACTTTGAAAACCTCCTTTCATTCCTATGTATTCAACTTTAAGTCCTGCCAGCATTCTGACTCTCAAATCTACAGTGCTAGCCTGAATTTTTCTCCTGATTCTCCATCTAATTAACCTAGAAGCCTAGCATGTCCAAAATTTTGATATCTTCTCCCCATCCCAAAACTTACTATTTCTTACCAATTTCTGATACTAGTTAATAGAACTACCTGTCCAAACTGGAAATTTGTTGTATCTCCAAATTCTTTTCTCATCCATACATCTAGTCACCAAGTTCTCTAAGCTCCACCTTAGTTAGTGTACATACTTAATTCCTGCCATTTCTTTAGGTCCTTAAAATCTCTTGCCCAATGATTGCAATAGCTTTCTTCTCTCTCTAATCTTACATAGATTTAAGTTATATTTCCCTTACTTGGCTTTTAAGTAAATTTTTCAAAATACGAATTACATCACTTTACCCTTCCATCCCCAACACACACTTGAAACAGCCCAATGGTTACCTACAGAATAAAGTTCAAAGATCTTTATTTAGCGTCTAAGGCTGCTTGTGACATCTAGTCTACTTTTGGGTTTTGTTTTTAAATTTTTTTAGAAATGTGCACATTCTTCTATTCCAGCTGGAACTGTGTAATTCTAAAATTGCTATTTATTTTATATGTCTCTGTCTCCACTAAAGAAGGAATTCTTTTGTTTTTTGCTTTTTTTTTAGAATCTGGGTCATCTTTGTCACCCAGGATGGAGCACAGTGATGCAATCATGGCTCACCGCAGCCTCAGACTCCTGGTCTCCTGGGTAGCTGGGATTACAGGCATAAACTACCGCACCCAGTTAAAGATGAATTTTTTTTTTTTTTTGAGATGGAGTTTCGCTCTTGTTGCCTAGGCTGGAGTGCAATGGTTTGACTTCGGCTCACTGCAACCTCCACCTCCCAGGTTCAAGCTATTCTCCTGCCTTAGCCTTCCGAGTAGCTGGGATTACAGGTGCCTGCCACCACACCCAGCTAATTTTGTATTTTTAGTAGAGACAGGGTTTCTCCATGTTGATCAGGCTGGTCTAGAACTCCTGACCTCAGGTGATCCACCTGCCTTGGCCTCCCAAAGTGTTGGGATTAAAGGTGTGAGCCACCGTACCCAGCAAAGACGGAATTCTTAAAGACAGACAGAGATGGCACTGCTCACCTTTATGTTCCCAGTGACTAAACACAGTGTTTAGTTTGTAATAGACTTTCACTTAATGCTTTTGTTGTTGATGTTACTGAAACAGTGAAGATTTTAGTTTTTTGCCTTCATGATGAGAGATTTCTGACCAAATCATCTACCTGTCTTAACTAGCTATAGTTTAGAATACACATGTAAAATAGAAAAAAAAAATGTTTTTGCTTGGTGTATGAAGTCAAGGTCAAACAAAAAAGGAAGATCAGCAAAATCTGACACATCTGGACCGAAATATATATACTTACAATGTTAGTATATGCATAGCTTTATGTGAATATTTGTAAGTCTATAAATTCTTATGAATACTCATTTATACTTATAGACTTGCAGTAAAAATAGGTAGTTAGAACCTATAGCTTGGGCCACATAATTTTGATGTAATCTCCATAGTCTGTTTACAGAAACAAAATTATTCATATGAGAACAAGATTAGTAGATAGAACAGCCTGTGACTTTTAGAAGCGCATGTCTTTACAGCTAAAAGACAAAAAAAATGTACTTTTGTATGGTATAATTTTTATATACTCGAAACTGAACACTGCAGTGGTTTCAACAATTAAGAGGAAAAGTTAGAATAATATTTAAAAATCATTGTTTCAAAAATATTTTTGGACATAGGTCATTAGTAACAAGTAAGTTGTTACAATTGCTGCCAATGATTATTTAAACTTACCTGATTATTATATGCATCAGGTGCAAGTTTCTTATATGTTGGTGCCATAAGAGTGGACAGGTTTTGCAAATGAGACTCCAGTTTCTCTTCCTGTATAAAGTGAATAATTCTACATATTAAATTCTAAGTCCATTTTCTCTATGTAAAAGAGACTATCAGTTAGATTATTCCCCTTACATTTTGAATCCCAAACACAATATATGGTGCCTTTATTACTAAATAAAGCATCTTTAAAACATGACTATCATTTAATTTCATATGTGCTAGTAAATATCTAGCTATTTGTTTTTTTCATAAGATTGATTTTCTAACTGCATGCAGATATTTTGCATTTTATACACACAAGCCTGTGCCAGGAGTAGGGTTAGGGGAATTAAGCCGTATGGTCTTAAAGAGGTCACATTTTTTAGCTACCAAGGAAGATGAACTATTAAAAGAACTTCTTTAGCTTAATTTGTCTATTTCTAATCTTTACATTTTATGTTTATAAAGATAGTATTTAAATAATTTGGAATGATCTCTCCATAGAGCAACTAAAATTTACTGGACACTTCAAATATGGATAAAATGCTTCAGAACTAGAATGCAGGATACATGAAAACCTTTGCAGAATTTACTTGAAAGGGGAAATGCTCAGTTACACCCCCACCTGCCCTGCTCATGAAGAACAGATTTTCCAAGTAATATACTGTTAAAAAATGGTAGGTGATCATATTTAGCTGCTCCATTTATACTTAGAAGTCTTCATTTCAGATTGATATTTCTCTAAAAAAAAAAAGTTGTGAGACATAACCACCTGGCAGAGATGTAAATTTTAGAAGGTGAGGAGGTTTCTGAACAGAGCTCTCCTACCCAACAGAGGCAATAAGTTACTTGGTATCCTCTGGATTTGGTTTACATGAAACCTCGTGAAAGTGATAAACATTTATCACTTGATAAAACAGTGGTTAAAAAAAAAGTTATCTGTAGAAAATTAAAATGACAGCAAGCAAAATCAGTACTTTTCATTAAGTTATTAATATTCATATTCTTGTCTTATGAAATGATGTCTCGCACATTTAAGTAAACTTTAATTATTGAAAACATCCTTTAAAAAACTTATACTGTGATTTCAGGAGTTTTTGCACTTGCTTTATTAACTGTGACTATAATAGTAAGTGAAAGCTTAATAAGGTTAACAAATTCTTCATTTAAAGGGACTCATCAATGTTATAATATCTATAGTATGGAAATATTTTAATTGTATTCGAAATTCAAAAGATAATTGTAAGTGTATAGAATGACTGAAAATGTGGTCATAGCTAAATGCTAAATATACTGAGGTTTTCTCATCATTCAATTAGTACGGAGACAGTCCCTGACCTATAATGGCTTCGTTTTTTTTTTACTTTAGGATGGGTTTATTGGGGGTATTAAATGGATTTTCATTTTACAACGGATTTATAGGAATGTAGTCTCCTCATAAGTCAAGAAGTATCTATACTCTAGACTACATGCCACCCAAAAGTTGTTAAATTTATCAATTTGCAAATTATAAGAAATACGTATTCTACAGACAAGACAAAAACCAATGACTTCAGTGAGAAATTAGTGTCCATTTATTTCCATTACAGAGTTATATTAAAATCTAAATGTTTTAGTTACTTAAATGCATTCATTACAGTGACTTTATTAAATGCATTCATTACAGTGACTTTAAATTATTTGAATCTCATTGCACATAAATGTGACTAAAAATGGTCTTTTCTGAATGTAGTACTTATGTAACTTCCATAATTCAGAGTCAAAATATGAAAAACATCACCAATTCTCATTTAGTTTTAACAATGAAGTGACACCCCTTTAAAACTTTGGAATTAACATAAAAGACCAAAGAGGAAGTTTTTGTTGCTCAAATTTTATCTATTATTTTGGCATAATATGATTATTATGCCAACTTAAAAAATAGTGTGTATCTACAGTTTGGGAAAAACTTTGATTAATAAGAGCTTACCAAGATATGTCATATTGTTCACTTCATCTAAGCTAATGAATTCTCTATGAAAAATAAAGCGATTATACATCAGGAAGTAAACAAACCTCTTTTGGGTCATCCCCAAGCAGCTTAAACTTCCTTGGGATCTTGCTTCTGGCAAACTTACATCCATTGTAGTACATGCTCCATGAACAACCAAAAGAGAAGGAGGCACCACAGGTTTCTGGATCCAGCCCCTGACAGGCGCAAGTTCTCCTGAAAAATCAAAAGACCAAATTCATTGCTATGGATAGCATTATATAGGCTGTGCAGCTGATATTATAGGTGTCTATATGCAAAATGAGTTTGAAAAGAAGTCTAATCTAACTCTGTATTAAGCTGTGGCATAACCACACACAGAACTATTTCAATTGACTTTTAAACAATTTTATTGCAATGTAATACACATACAGAAAAGTGCACATAATTTTACAGTTTACAAATGGAAAATACCCAGTTAAGTAGAACCCACACTAAGAAACAAAATATTTACTATCCCCTGGAATTTCCCCTCATTTTGCCTTTCAGTCACTCACTGTCTGTCTCCCTAACAGTAACTTCTCTAAGAATATAGTAGTTCTGCCTATTTTTATGTTAATAATGCTTTCTTTTTTACAGATGGGGTCTTGCTATGTTGCTCAGGTTGAACCTGAACTTCTGGGCTCAAGTGATCTTCCCGCCTCAGCCTCCCAAATAGCTGGAACTATAGGTGTGTGCCACCATCAGTAGCTTGTTTTGCCTACTTTTATACTTGATATATACATAGGTATATGGAATTATATAATATAAGCTTATTTGTGTGTGCTTTTTCCATTATGTTTGGGATATCCATCCAAATCACTGCATGTAGTTGTACTTTATTCATTTTCATTGAGTACCATATTCCATCTTATAAAAATGTGATGAATTATTCTACCATTGATGGGCATTTGAGTGCTAGGTCCTAGTTTCTGGCTAAAATATAGTATTACAGCTTTATAGCCCTAGTTTGATACATTCTAATGACAATAAACAAACATACAAGTAAGCAAAGAGAGATAAAACAACTTACAAGAAAAAATATTCAGGTAGCACTGTAAATTATTTTTAAATTAATGTATGTATATTGTGATATAAGTAAATAATTGTTAATATCAAAAACCAAGAATTTCAGTGTACAAGAGAAGCAGAACAAAAGATAATAATACTCTGTCAACTATGAATAGGAAAAATCAGTATGAATTAATGATTTGAGTTAATCTCAGATTTTCTTTCTAAAAAATAATTACTTCATGTATTTGCCCATTAAAAAAGCCTAAAAGTAATGACACCTCCATAGCAGGGAGCACATCTAGACACTGATTGTGATCTCTAAATATAATTTCCCATCAAAATCTCTGAAATTTGAGAAGTAAAGATTCTTGCCATGCATTTATTCTATCATTCTTACAAACTATATTAAATGGTAACTAACGGTTGATGAGGAAAAGTCCTGTAAAGTATTCCAGCTAATAAATGCAAAAGGAATTTTACAATTAGAAATGATCACTTTACACATGTCAGCAAAAATGGCAGAATAAGGATCTCTGAAAATTTTATCCTCCATAAAAGCAATAAAAGTACTGATAAATATTGTCAGAATCAGCTTTTTCAGATCTGGAAATTAGCAAAAAGCTTGCAGCAATATAGGGAGAATTTGTTCAAGGGAAAAAAAGACAGGATTTCAGTGAGAAGAGTGAGCTCTGTGGTATTTTAACTTTCCCCACAGCTCTATGGTAGCCTTCAAATCAAAACAGCCCACATTTATTATGAAAAGCAGCAGCCAGGCTGCCACTAGAGGAGGCCAGATTGGTTGGATATACTCTAGACTGGTTGGATATACTCTAAAGTCCCATTCACAGAGACCTTACATTATTTGACCTGTTTGGTAGTTTCCTGGAAGATCCCACTAGTAAGGTTATCTTTACTTTATCTAACTTGGAGTTCACCTAGTGTGAACCACCTTTTCCACAGAGGCATTTGTCAAATAATCATAGGCAGCTGTTGAATATTGTCACTGACTCAGGTGTAGCTAATAACTGGAGCAAAACATAAGATAACTAAAAAAGCTTAAAAGTAAATTACCTGGGAAATGAGATGATCCACAGGAGGCTTTGAAAATATATTCCTGGGAATTTAGAAAGCCACATGCAACTGTAGGGCCCACAAAAGACCTCAGAAAGCCCTAAACTCTCACCACAGTCTAACCTTGAGACTCTGCACAAGCAGGGAATAAAGGCTAATCCAGAGCTGCAAATAGCCTGGCTGAGTGTTGAATGCATGCCCCAACACACATACAGACCCCTTTGTCAAAGACTGACTTATTGATCTCAGGCACCTAAGGAATTCTGTCTAATCCTTAGCTGACCTCTAAGTTAACCAAGCAAAGACTTCGATGGCTATCTATGAGAAACAATACAAACTTTATAGGAGTAGTTAAAAAGAAATAAACAACAACCACCAGAAACAGTAACATATTCTGGGCAGGGGGTAGAATCTGATTTTCAGATTTACCAGATTATATTATTTTATTTATTTTTATTTTTGTAGAGACAGGGTCTCACTATGCTGCCCAGGCTAGTCTTGAACTCCTGGGCTTAAGTGATGCTCCTGCTTTGGCCTCTCAACGTGCTGGGATTACAGGCACGAGCCACTGCTCTCAGCCATTACATTAGTTTAAAATGTCTAAACAATTAAGAGAAACAGAAACAAAGTATGGCCCCTATAAAGTAGTCAATAGAGGCTATTCCTGAAAAAGTCCAGATGTTAGGCCACTGGACAAAGACTTTAAGTCAGCTATTTCATGTATGCCCAAATAATGAAAGAAAACTGTATTTAAATAACTAAAGTAAGACTACAGCATTTTATTAAATACATGAGATAAACTCAAGAAAAAGATATTATTAAATAGAATTCTAAAGCTGAAAGTGTAATAACTGCAGTAAAAATTAGAGGGGTTCAATAGCAGAGTTGAAAAGGAGGGGAAAAAGGGACTTGAAGATAAGTCAATTGAGATTATTCAGTCTGAAAAATGAAAACATAAACAGAACCTCAGAGATCTGTGGAAGACCATAAAGCATACCAACATAGACATAATGCAGGTCCCCAAAGTAGAGGATGAAGAATAAAGAATAGGAAGAATATTTGAAAAATAATGGCCGAAAACTTCTCAAATTTGATGAACAACATCAATCTACATGTCCAAGAAGCTCAACTAACTCCATGTAACATAAACCCAAAGATATGCATACATATAAACATCATAACCAAACTGCTGAAAGCCAACACAAGAAAATCATGAAAACTGTATGATTATCATGTATGCAGGATTCCCAATAAGATTAATAGCTGATCTCTGATCAGAAACAATGAAGACCAGAAGGCAGTAGAATGACATAGAACCACAAGAAAAAGACTGCCAACCAAGAATTCTGTATTTTGCAAAACTATCTTTCAGAAATGTATTATATAATAAATTAGGACATTCTCTGATAAATAAGAGTTTATTGTTTTCAGGCATGTCCTACAAAAAATACTAAATGTATACTTCAGGCTGAAAGGAAAGGACACTAGACAGTACCTCAAATACACCTAAGAACTTAAAGAGCACCAGTAAAGATAATTACATAGGTAAATATGAAATCATATATGTATTTTTTTGTAACTATTTTTCTCATATTTGATTTAAATGACAATATCAATCTGATTTAAAAGAAAAAACATAATCTGTGTTAATGGGCATAAAATAAAATGTAATTTGTATAATAGCACAGAGTAAAAAGAGGGAATGTAGCTATATGGGAACAAAGTTTCCTTATATTGTAATGAAATTGGTATTACTTCAGACTAGCTGTTATAAGTTAGTTGTAATCCCCAGGGAAACCATTAAGAACATCAAAAAATTTAGTAAAAGACAAGGGAATTAAAACAGTACACTAGAAAATATCTATTGAACACAAAAAAAGACAAGATACAGACAAAATGGCAGACAAATCCTACCTTATCAATAATTATGTTAAATGTATATAAATTGAAAAATTAAAAGGCAAAGACTAGCAATATCAATTTTTAAAAAGATTTAACTATACGATATCTACAAGATATACACATTTTATAATAAAAAGTTCAAGCCATTAAAATGATGTAACAAATGTAAACATACATGTAATAAGCAACAGAGCACCAAAATACATGAAGCAAAAAATGGCAGAATTAAAGGAATAAATAGATAATTTACTAATCCACTTTCAATAATGGCTAAAAGTAGATAGAAGATTAAAAAGAAAACAGAAGTTGTAAAAAACACTATAAACCAACTAGGTCTAACAGACATCTATAAAACATGCCACCCACCAACAGCTGAATATACACATTCTTCTCAAGCACACGTGAAACATTCTCCAGGATGGACTGTATGTCAAGTTATAAAACAAGTCTAAATAAATGTAACACTGCAAAAATTGTGCAAAGTGTGTTTTCTGATAAAATTATACATGAATAACAAGCAAATTTGGGTAATAGGTAAAAATATACTCCTATACAGTCAGGAATCAAAAAAACATGATAGAAATTAGAAAATACCTTGTTGTAAATGAAAACTCGACATACTCATATTTTATTGGATGGAGCTAAAGCAGAGCTAGAGAACAAACTTCTAGAAAAACACAAACTACTAAAATTGACTGAAGAAGAAATAGAAAATCTGAATATACCTACAACAGGTTAAAAGATGTAATCAAGACTACTTAGATCTGTCAGAGAAATGAGGTCACAGGGAAAATCACTGCCCTCACAACCAAGGAAGCAGATGGATAAAAAGAATTACAGCTTACTGGAGCAGAAACCTCTGTAGGAACCAGTGTTGGGATAGGAAAATCTGAAATATAATTGATGAATTGCTGGAGGTTCAGTGTGAACAACTCCAAAGGCATCCAGTCATAATAGGTTCCTCACAGTTTTGTGAGTTTTCTACATTCAGGAGCCAGATGAGGTTCTCACAATGAATACTAGAGAAAAATCCCTTCATGCTTCCATAGGAGGAGGGGAAAACAATTTTTGAAAATGCCATATACCATTCTATTGTTCCTAAAAAGTTCTGCCATCAGGCTAGGTGTGATGGCTCATGCCTGCAATCCCATCACTCTTTGGAGGCTGAGGCAGGCAGATTGCTTGAGTCCAGGAGTTCAAGACCACACTGGGCAACATAGGAAAACTCCATCTCTAATAATAATAAAAAAATTAGCCAGGCATGGTGGCATGTGCCTGTAGTCCGAGCTACTTGGGAGGCTGAGGTGGGTAAATCACTTGAGCCCAGGAAGTCAAGGCTGCAGTGAGCTGAGATCATACTACTGCACTCCAGCCTGGGCAACCAGAGTGAGACCCTGTCTCAAAAACAAAGGATAATAAAGAAATATTATGAACAAATGTGCCCACACATTTAATAATCAAGGTGAAATGGACCAATTCCTTGAAGGACACAACTACCAATATTTATGCAAAATAATAATCTAAATAGGCCTATATCTATGAAAGAAATTGAATCAGCAATAACTTTTCAAAACAAAGTACCAGACACAGATGGTTCATTCTGATTTCTACCAAAGTTTTAAGGAAGAAATTATATGAATTCTCTACAATCTCAATTAAGACAGAAGCAGAGAAAATACTTCATAACTTATTCTATGAGGGCAGCATTACCTTAATACCAACACCAAAGTCTTTACAATAAAAGATAACTACAGACTAATAGCAACCATGACCATGAATGCATTCATAAATAATGTATCACAACCATGTGGGATTTGCTCCAGGTATGCCAGTCTAGTTCAAAATTTGAAAATCAATTAATGTAATCCATTTCGTTAATAAGCTAAAGAAAAATCATATGGTAATATCAATAGGTGGAAAAAAAGTATTTACAAAATCCAACACTGATTAATGATTTTCAAAAGCCTCTCAGTAAACTAGGAAAAGAGGGGAACTACCTGAACCTGATAAAGAATATATACAAAACCATACAGCTAACATATTTAATGTAAATAAAGAATATCTACAAAACCATAGAGCTAACATAAAATTGAAGATTTCCTGCTGAGATCAGGAACAAGGCAAGTATGTTGCCTCTCACCAATGCCTTTCAACATCATACTGGAAATGCTAGCTAATACATTAAGACAAGAAAATAAAAGGTATACAGATTAGAAAGAAGTTGTCTTTGCTAGATGACATGATCACCTAGAAAATATGAAAGAATGACCAAAAAAAAAAAAACTGGATCTAAAGTGATTATATAACATGGTTGCAGGAAACAAGTTTAATATACAAAAGTTGATCACTTTTCTGCATACCAGCAATGTACAAGCAGAATCTGAGATAAAAATACATTACCATTAGCACCCCCCCAAATGAAATATTTATGTATAAATCTAATATGTACATGGTCTATATGGGGAAAATGCAAAATTCTAATGAAGGATATCCAAGAAAGAGATGTTCCATGTTCATGGATAGGAAGATGTGTATTGTCAAGATGGCAGTATTTCTAACTCAATCTAGAAATGCAGTGCAATCTATCAAAATTCCTGCAAGATTTTGAGGATACTGACAAAGTAATTTTAAAGTTTATATCAAGAGGCAAAAGACCAATAAATGACTGTATATATAGCCTTTTCAGACTGCTTTTTTTACTTAGTAATAGGCAAAAGAATAGCCAACTCAATACTGAAGGAGAAAAACAATGTCAGAGGACTGACACTACATGATTGCAAGACTTACTCTAAAGCCTAAGTTAACAAGATAGTGTGGTATTGGTGAAAGTCTAGACAAATATATCAATGGAACAGAATAAAGAGTCCAGAAACAGACCACTTAATTATAATCAACTGATCTTTGACAAAGTAGCAAAGGTAATACAATAAAGCAAAGATAGTCTTTAAGAAATGGTACGGGAACAACTGGACAACTCCACATGCAAACAAGTGAATCTATACATAGTCTTTATAGCTTTTGCAAAATTAATGCAAAATGGGTCACAGCCCTAAATGTAAAATGCAGAACTATAAAATTTCTGGAAGATAACACAGAACATATAGATGACCTTGGTGTTGACTTTTTAGATACAATACCAAAAACATTATTCATGAATTAACTGATAACCTAGACTTCATTAAAATTAAAACTTTCTGTTTGTTCTGCAAATGGCACTGTCAAGTGAATGAAAAAATAAGACACAGACTGAGAAAAAATATTTCTTACTCTTACTGTCAATCAAGCTACTGTGCTCTGTGTTATTTACTCAAAGGAGCTGAAAACTTTTGTCCACACAAAAACCTACATACTTTTATAACAGCTTTATTCATAATTGTCAAAACTTGGAAGCAACTAAGATGTCTTTCACTATGTGAATGGATAAATCAACTGTGATAAACCAGACAATGGAATATTATTCAATGCTGAAAAGAAATGAACGATCATGACATGGTGGAAAATTTAAAAGCTTATTACTAAGTGACAAAAACCAGTCTGAAAAGGCTCCATATACTGTATCATTCCAACTATATGACATTCTGGAATAGGCAAAATTATTGAGATAAAAAGATCATTGGTTGCTAAGGGTTAGTGGGGTAGGAGAGAAAAATAGGTAGGGTACAGAGGACTTTTAAGGCAGTGAAATTACTCTGAATGATACTGTAATGGTGAATGAGTATCATTAAACATGGATCCAGACTCACAGAATACATAACACCAAAGGTGAACTCTAAACTATGAACTTTCATCGACAATTGTCAATGCAGGTTCATTGACTGCAACAAATGTACCATTCTGGTAAAGGATGTTGATAATGAGGGAGGCTATGCACATACAGGGGCAGCATGTACTTAAGGAAGCTCTGTGCCTTTCATTCAATGTGCTTTTACCCTAAAATTGCTTTAAAAATAATCTATTTTAAAAATGTTTAAAAATTCCCACAAAGGAAAGCCCAGGGGTAGAGAATTTCCTCAAACATTTAAAAAAGAGTTAAACCAATCCTTTGTAAACTCTTCCAAAAGATAGAGAAGGGAACATTTCCCAATGCATTTTGTGAACTCAGAATTACTCTGACACCAAAACCAAAGATATCACAAGAGAACTAAAGATCAGTATACCTTATCAACAGAGATGCGAAAGTCCTCAATGAAATACCTGCAAACAGACTCCAGCAATATATAAAAAGTAATACACACTGAGGCCAAGTGGGATTTATTCCAGAAATATAATGTTAATCTAATGTATAAAAATGAATCAATATAATATACCATATTAATAGAATAAAGGAGAAGAACGCATGATCATTTCATTAGATGTAGCCACAGCATTTGAGAAAAGTTCAACACCCTTTCGTGATAAAATTATTCAACAAACTAGCAACAGAAGGGAACTTCTGAACTTGACACAGTCTTTTTTTAAACAAAACCTACAACTAGTATCATACTTAATGGTGAAAAACTAAAAATTTCTTTCTAAAATGAATAAGACAAGGATGTTTGCAGTTGTTAATTGTACCTGACATTTTCTGGAAGTTCTAACTGGGTAATCAGGCAAGAAAAAAACATAAAGCCACCCAGATTGGAAGTGAAGAAACAAAACTATCTCTACTTGTAGATGACATAATCTTGTATGCAGCAAATCCTAAGGAATCTACCAAAAAAAGTTAGTGCTAATAAGCTAGTTCAGCAAGTTGGTAGGATATGAGACCAATATATAAAAATGAAATTTATGACCATATATTATCAACAAAAAATTTGATTTTGCAATAGGATAAAAAAAATACATAGAAAAAATTTTAACAGAAGTACAGGCCAGGCGTGGTGGCTCATGCCTGTAATCCCAGTACTTTGGGAGGCCAAGGCAGTCAGGTCACTTGAGGCCAGGTGTTTGAGACCAGCCTGGCCAACATGGTGAAACCCTGTCTCCACCAAAAACACAAAACAATTAGCCAGGCATGGTGGCGCGCACCTGTAGTTCCAGCTGAGGCAGGAGAATCACTTGAACCCGGAGGTGGAGGTTGCAGTGAGCTGAGATGGCAGCACTGCACTCTGGACTGGGCAGCAGAGCAAGACTCTGTCTTAAAAAAAATAAAAAGTGCAGGACTTTGTACATGTTTCATCCAAAACATTACTGAAAGAAATTTAAGAATAAATGGAAAAATAGCCTGTGTTCATAAATTGGAAGCTTTAATGTTAAGATATCAATACTCTCCAAATTGACCAACAGATTCAACAGAACCCCAGTCAAAGTCCCAGAAGGGGGTTGGATGTGGTGGCTCATGCCTGTAACCCCAGCTCTCTGGGAAGCCTAGGAGGGAGGATCTCTTTAGCCAGGAGTTCAAAACCAGCTTGGGTAATATAGTAAGACTCCAGCTCCACCAAAAAAAAAAAAAAAAAAAAAAAAAAAAAAATCCAGAAAGGAAACGGAGAAGCTGATCTTAAAATGCATATGGAAACCCAAGAAACATGGTAGGCAAAAGTACAAAGTTGGAAGACTTACCTGTCTTGATTTCAAAATTTACTACAAAACTACAGGAATCAGCACAGTGTGGTACTGGCATAAGAAAAGTCATGCAGATTAACAGAATTAAGAGTCCAGAAATAAACCCATACATCTTGGTCAGTTAATTGAAAAAAAACAGTCTTTTAACAAATGGTGCTGAGAAAACTGGACAGCTACTTGCAAAGGAATGAAGTTGGACTCTTATCTCTCACCATCAAATTAACTCAACATTAATTAAAAATCTAAATGTAAGAACTAAAGTTATAATACTCTGAGAAGAAAGCATAGGTGTAAATCTTTCAGATCTTGAATGAGGCAATGATTTCTTAAATATGACCCCAAATGCACAAGCTGCCAATTAAAAAGAAATTGAGTTTCATCAAAATCAATTTAAAACTTTTGTACTTTAAGGACATTATCAAAGTGAAGCGACAACCTGTGGGATAGGAGAAAATATCTGCAAACCAGGCATTTGACAAAGTTCAAGTATCAACATAACATATTCTTACAACTCTAAAAATAATACAATTAAAAACATATAAGTAGACTTTTCTCAAAAAAATACATGGTCAATACACACGTGAAAAGATGCCCAATATCAGCCATTAGGAAAATGCAAATCAAAATCACGAGATAAACTTCATACCCACTTGGATGGTTACAATTAAAAAGACAATAACATTTTCTTGAGGATGTGGAGATACACTGGAACCTTCATACATTGTTGGCAGAAATGTAAAAGCATAAAGCTACTTTGGAAAACAGTTTGGCAGTTCTTCAAAAAGTTAAACATAAAGTTACCATATTACTAACAATGTCACTCCTAGGTGTATATCCCAAGGTAACTGAAAACATGTTCACACAAAAACTTGTACACCGATGTTCATTGCAGCATAATTTATAATCGCCAAAAAGTAGAAACGATCCAAATGTCAATTAACTAATAAATGGAAAAAGAAAATGTGGCTGGGCACAGTGGCTCATGCTTGTAATCCCAGCACTTTAGGAGGCTAAGGTAGAAGGATCACTTGAGGCTGAGTTTGAGACCAGCCTAGCCAACATGGTGAAACCCTGTCTCTACTAAAAATACAAAAATTAGCTGGGTGTGGTGGTGCACAACTGTAATCCCAACTACTTGGGGGCTGAGGCATGAGAATCACTTGAACCCGGGAGACAGAGGTTGCAGTGAGCTGAGGTTGCACCATTGCACCCTAGCCTGGGCAACAGAGCGAGACTCTGTCTCAAAAAATGTGGTGTGAATATATACGTGGACAAAAAAAAAAAAAAGAAAAAGAAAAAAGGTACTTTTTTTTTTTAATAAAATGAATGAGACTTGAAAACATTGAGGTACATGAAAGAAGCCAGAGAGAAAGGCCAAATACATGATTTCACTAATACAAAATGCCCAGAATAGGTAAATCCAGAGAAACTGAATGTTTATTTGTGGTTGCCACTTAGAGGAAGGAAGAAGGGGAGAAGGGGAAGTGACTGCCTAATAAATACAGGGTTTCCTTCTGGGAATGATGAAAACGTTCTGAAACTAGGTAGAGGTGACATTTGCATAGCTTTGTGAATGTACTGAAACAACTGAATTGTATACTTTAAAAGGGTAAATTTTATGGTATGTGAATTATATCTCAATTAGAAAAAAACATGGGGGAATAACTTAAAGTTGATTTTCTAATAAAGTGGCTACTAAAAGGTATATTTATTTTGATAGGGGTCTTTCAAATATTGTTAGAATTAGCACATGACAGTCATTTTAATATGACTTGAAATTTGGCTCATGGTAAATGATATAAAGGGCAAATATTAAAATGTCATCTATATAACAGATTTCTGCAAAAATTCTTAACCTTTGATTTACTATTTGGACTTCTAATTGTAAAATATTTTTAAAGTAAAAATTAGGTCAGTTATTCAAATGTATACAGCATAGAAAAAATAGCAAAATAATTTAACTTTATATAACTAAATTTACACAACATCAAGTGAGAGAAAACTGTCAACTTGAAAACAAAATAATAGAAACAGGCAATGATCATCAATTGATGTGAAACTATCTGGTGAAAGTTTGATGAAGAACATAATGATGGATCAGGCTGACAACTAAACATGCTAAACACTCTTAATATCACTAAAATGGGAAACAAACAGACATTATGTGTCTCCTGATGTATATAAATAAGATGATTTTAGCACTACTTATGAAGTGTTTTTGCCAATGTATACTATACATGCACACATACTTATATTACTTAAAAATCAGCTGGGCGTGATAGCTCATGCCTGTAATCCCAGCACTTTGGGAGGCCAAGGTGGGCGGATCACTTGAGGCCAGGAGTTCCAGACCAGCCTGGCCAACATGGCGAAACCCCGTCTCTACTAAAAGTACAAAAATCAGCAGGATGAGGTGGCACATGCTTGCAGTCCCAGTTACTCAGGAGGCTGAGGCATGAGAATAGCTTGAACCTGGGAGGTGGAGGTTGCAGTGAGCTGAGATTGGGCCACTGCACTCCAGCCTAAGCGACAGAGCGAGAGCCTGTCTCAAAAAAAAAAAAAAAAAAAAAAAAAGAAAAGAAAAAGAACCAGTCAAACTACCAGTCCACAGAAGATACTGGGGATAGAGGAATAGGTTAAAGTAAACAAAAGAACCAAGATGAAATCGGCCAAATCCAGAATGTGGGGAATTTTACAGAGAAAATCACAGTTTCTTTAAAAAACAAATTCAAATTCATAAAGAAAGGGGAAGGGCTATTATAAATAAAAAGAGGCTTGTGAATCACAGAATTTATCTTCTAAATGGAGAGAATTTTATGAGAGGAAGTTTTATTTAATAGCTATCCCAGACAATGGACATGAACTGGGATCACACTACTCAGAAGTGTCAATCATGTGGAAGGGCTTTCTTTTTCTCATTATCATTTTTGTTTATGTGTGTGTTTTCTGAAATAGAATCTAATCAGATAATTTGAACAAACACAGTCTAAATATTAAATGATAAAGTCTTTACCTGTTAGAAATACATCCTGAAATGTTAACAGGTAAGATGGTAAGTTATCTGTCTTCTGCTTTCAAACACTAGTGGGAGTGGATGTGGGAAAAATATATGAAAAAATATTGATAAAATGTTGATAAATATTGATGCTGTGTGATGGGTCCATGGAATTCATTATATTGCACTTTTCCTTTTATGTTTGACAATTTTTATAATATAAAGTTCCTTGAAATGTTTAACATCACCCACCATGGCAGAAGGCATTTCTGGCTTTGATTTCCTTATGATGACAGATACACTCCCACAACTCTTACTTGCCAAAAAAATACTGGTTAGACTTAGTCATAAAATGGAAATCTCAAAGGGAAATCTTTAAAGAAGAAACAGCTGGTTTGGCTCAAAGGAAATGTAAAAATCAGTTTTTACTTTCCTACTGAAAGATGCACTCAGAGTTCTTTTCTGAACTCACAGTGGGTGGTTTGGAGCATGTGGACACAGGGATTTGTAAGAACTCAGTGATGAGGTTCACACAGCTTTGAACATAAAACTGAGTCCGCAGCCCCAATTTGAGATTATTCTATTCTCTGTTCTTGGCAAAAAGTTGTAATTTTCATTTCTGCCAGCCATAAAATAAAATCTATTTATGGGGTAGAAGAAACTTCAAAAGCTATTTCTGAGTAAAGTCTGTATTGACATTGGATACGTGTCTATTTTAATCATGTATTTAAGTATTAAAATTTTTTATTTTGGAGAATTGCTCTAAGTATGCATAAGCATAGCTTAAGCATTATCTAAATGATTATTCATCTTTACCTTGAAACTAGACAAAAAGCAAAAGTGTACAGCTGTGCTTTTAAATTGTCTTCATATTTGAAGCATGTCTTTTAATAGTTTTGTATCTGCCTGACATTTAGAGCAGTTAAACTAACAAACTACAAGCTTTCTGAGACTCTGGTCCAACTATTTTTCATGGTTTTCAAATGCAAAATAATAAAAGTTCTTCATGTAATTTTTTATATGTCAGATTCCATTTCAGGCATTGGCATTTATAAGAATTATGGAAAAGCTGGCTGGGCATGGTGGCCTACACCTGTAATCCCAGCACTTTGGGAGGCCAGGGTGGGTGGGTTACCTGAAGCCAGGAGTTCGAGATCAATCTGGCCAACATGGTGAAACCCTGTCTCTACTAAAAATACAAAAATGAGCCGGGTGGGTGCCTGTAATTCTAGCTACTCGGGAGGCTGTGGCATGAGAATCACTTGAACCCGGGAGGTGGAGGTTGTGGTGAGCTGAGAAAAATATTAGAGATCTATGTTAATGAAAATTAAATTCATTACAATGAATGAAATATAGTTTCCAGGAAACTTCAAGAAAATCAAACATTTTGCAATAGGACTATTTTTGAAAAGAAATTTTAAAACTATCATTTTCACAAGAGGTTCTTCAGTGATTTAGAATCTCAAACCGTCAAGTCTAAGAGATATTATGCTTTAAAGACAATGCAGTATTACTGAGTTCTTGAAAGAAATGCTATTACCAATATGAGCACAAGTTGCCTTAATTTTTAATTTTTTTTCTAATTAAAGGCACCTACATACATTTTTAAAAATTTTTCTTCAGAAAGAGCAAGAGGAGTCAGGGTAGATTAAAAAAATATTTCAGGCTGGGCACAGTGGCTCATGCCTGTAATCCCAGCACTCTGGGAGGCCGAGGCGGGCGGATCACCCGAGGTCAGGAGTTCCAGACCAGCCTGATCAACATGGAGAAACCCTGTCTCTACTAAAAATACAAAATTAGCTGGGTGTGGTAGTGCATGCCTGTAATCCCAGCTATTCGGGAGGCTGAGGCAGGAGAATTGCTTGAACCCAGGAGATGGAGGTTGCAGTGAGCCGAGATCGCACCATTGCACTCCAGCCTGGGTGACAGAGTGAAACTCTGTCTTAAAAAAAAAAAAAAAATTTATGCTTAAAGTAGTCCATCATAAGTTTATAAGTTACATGTTATGAATCAGCAATTTCTACCTTCCAATTAATCATTTGTAAAAGTGGTCAGGTACACACCATAAAATTTTTGGATCATAATTATCATAGAAAGTCAAGTCACACTTTCATATAGAAAGAGTAACTTTTCTAAAGAGATTATTTATAATTGATTTGTCTCCCCACAACCCAGAGAGAGAAACTGTGTTAACATAAATTTAGTAAAACCATGCTAGTTAGAGTTTTAAACAGCAAAGGACAAATTTGGCTAGCTGTTGCAATGAGCAGTATGAGCATTTCTTATAAGCTCAGCAAATGATTCTATAGTTTGGTGGATGCAGAGAAAAAGACACTAAAGGAAATAGTGCAAAATTAAAATTATTTTAAAACCAATCGTGGGCAAAATAACTTGTAAGATTTCTGGCCAGGCGCGGCGGCTCATGCCTGTAAGGCACTTTGGGAGGCCGAGGTGGGCAATCACCTGAGGTCGGGAGTTCGAGACCAGCCTGACCAACATGGAGAAACCCTGTCTCTACTAAAAATACAAAATTAGCCGGGTGTGGTGGCACATGCCTGTAATCCCAGCTACTAGGGAGGCTGAGGCAGGAGAATCTCTTGAACCTGGGAGGTGGAGGTCGCGGTGAACCAAGATCGCGCCATTGCACTCCAGCCTGGGCAACAAGAGCGAAACTCCATCTCAAAAAAAAAAAAAAAAAAAAAAAAAACATTTCTGTGTAGCACCGTGAACATTCATCTATTCTTTTAGTGTTATACAGGATTATCAGCACAGTAGAGGAATATTAAAAATGAGGCTTTTTCCAACTGAAGGTTTAGACTTCATGCAAAGTGGATGGTGTTTAAAACAAAACATTAGCAACTGGATGCACTAAATATATTTAAGTGCATACTCTTGCAGTTCTATTCTAAATTCTTATATTCCTGGAAAATAATATATATCCATATCCAGTAATTTGCTGATCATTTAGCAGCAGTAAAAGTAGAAGCAGTTTTGATTACTATTGTGGAAATAATGAATAGTTTGAATGAAAGTAAAAATCAGTTCTATTTCTACAGAACTTCTAGGCTTTGTATTTTGTTTTTGCTACATACATATGGAAGGTATTTGACCTGGGAATCCCAAAGTTTCTCATTAGACTTACTTTCTGTTTCAGATACTGCAACATGGAAGTGGAGTCAATACATACTAATATAGTGGCCAGGCACACAGGAGCCGTCACTTGTAGCATGTGAGCACATAAACAATTTCAAGTTTATGGTATAACTGAGGCCATGTGGTTACAGACACTCTGACTGCTCCTAATTAATGGCTAAACTGTACAATTCAGATAATGAAATCATCTCAAGTTATTCACATTAGCAAATACAACTTCTTATCGCATGACTGCCAAACAGGCATTTTGATGCCCATTTTATAAATGTAAAAGTGCACGCTGAACTCTCTTCCTTTCAACCAAAGATTGGGCTTTCCTATCAGTGGCCGCAAAGAGGGGAGAGGCCCTGGGCTTCACTTACTCTTCATTCAAGGCACACCGGCGATTGGTGAGCGTGCCGTATTTCCTCAGCGTCTCGGTAAGCTCCGAGTAGAGTTTGTCAGCCAGAGACAGCGGGATTCCTTCCCACACCAGGATGAGAATCACAATCACTGCAGCCTCACAGGTGTGGCCAGCTCGCTCCCGCACCAAACACAGTAGCTTCTCTTCACTGCTGCTTCTGCGAACCACCTGCGTGGATCACCATTCCATCCCAAACACCCCCCACCCCAACCAAAACAAAACAAGGGTCACTTGCAGCAGATAAGGGCACTTATGTATGTATATTTTATCATGTTTAGATCACAATTAGGGCAACATTTATCAGCATGTCCAATGTGCCTTTTGCTGCCCATCTATAAAAAGTGGGCTTTGACCCTAGTATCAGAACAAGGAGAGATGCAAAACTACTCCTTAATGTTTAGCAGACTATACCCAGTACAGTGGGGACAATTAAATGCTACCTGCATTAAAACCAGAGCTAGATGAAAGATACATAAGTCTTAGTTCAAGGTTTTCATAAATGACAATATAAAGATTAACTGAAGGTATTTAAAAGTTTAAGGACAACTTCACATTCTAAGAAGGATTATACATTTAGCAGGCACTAGAATGGACCTCTTCCTCATCACTAAATTATTTCAATTAAATACAATTTGTTGATTTTAGAACTAATCTGCCTCTTCTTAAGAGATAACACATGATAAAAAATACAGGTAATGTTCTTTTTAACTGGCATGAGTCTTTGATCTGGGTAACCCAATTCTCAGGGTCAGATTTACAAATCAAAATGCCCAAGATTTAAGACCAAAGGCTTTATCAAGTCACACTTACCCACTTAGCAATAGGACATCCCTGAGAACTTTTGCCTTCTTTACCAGTATAGATGACTCTTTCAATCCTAATAGCTTTACCCTTCTGTCCAAACCTTAAAGAAACCCACAGAAACACACACACATACAATTAGCAAATGAATTCAAGAGGCAATCAAAATATTTGAACATTTGAGCATAACTTTATTCTATGACCACATCCTGAGAAATGAACGGTTTATTATTTTTTAAACAGGTCTACGCCAAGCAAACTGGATAATGGTTTTTAAGCCTTGTTTTTCCTCAATATCAAAATGTACAGATAATTGTAATGAACTATTTTGTAAATTACATGTGGGTGAAAATGGGAAAGCTCATTTCGATATAAAATTTCACAAAGCACAAAATTCAGGTTAGTTTGCTAAGTTCAGTCTTCTAAAACATAAACTATTTTTTCCCTTACTAAATTTAGCTATTTTAAAACTTGGGGAGTCATAATAGATTTTAGTTAGAACTGTTCCTCCAAGAATGTCTCACAATTTAGAAAAGGAGGCTGGCAAATAGTTAGTATCCAGCCACATGGAAAATATGGAATAGTCCTAGAAATAGACTATATCTTCCCTTATGACCAAAGCACCACCTACTGCTTGTTTAAAAAACAAAACAAAAAAACAACAAAAAAAAGGCACTTAGGGAAATTCACTATTTCTGCCAGGCCACTAGATGATTATTTAGTGAACTTCTACATGCTAATTTAGAAATGAATAATTTGGAAATGGAGCAAGAATGATACTGAATATGTCCTAGCTGCCCCAATGTATCCTAAGTACTTTAATAATAATACTGCCTACCTCTTAATGAAAAGGCACCCTAGAAGAAGAACAGCTCAGAGCTGTATAAATTTATATGAAAGGCCTTCTCTGCATTATCTCGCTCATAAGAGTCTTCTACATGCAGGAGTAAAGGCAAGTACTTGTATACCTGTGATTGATAGCGAAAAAAAAAAAAAAAGGCAGCTGTAAATAGTATGTTTCTCTTTCTATTCAACATATCACACTTGCTCTCTTTTTATGGTAAAAGAAAACTTAGAGATAAGTACTCATTTGCAACACTAGGTGAATTTAATTCAGTGGTTCTTTTCTTATACCACACTTTACCAGTCTTTCTGCTTTGACACTTTATTATCAGGTGGGAAAGCCAGAGTGGGACCTCTCGTTGGAGCCTGTGCCAGTACCTTGTGGCTGGCAGCCTGGCTGGCCGATTCCTGTTCATGCCTGGGTTTTCTGGCATCCATCGCAAAGTGGGCAGCCTGTGCCAGCTAGCAGACTATTAGTCCTGTCAAATATTGTGACTCTCTGGTGAATAGCACAGTGTGTAGTGTTGGCAACCCTAGAATAGCTAAGCCTACTAATAATTACTCAATTTACAATTGTTTACTGCTTTGTGTGTGAAGGCTGGAAAAATTCTGACATATACAAAAGGATAAACGTTAATCTGCCCTGTGCCTTTGCGTTAATTACCTTTCTTCCATGATTTCTCTAATAGCTGCCACATTAGGACCTGCTCCTAGATGGGTATAAAAAGGACCTTCATCTTTTTCAATAATTTGCTCTGTTGAGATAATAGAAGATTATTATTTTAGACCTCAATTATACTAAATATAAAGGCTACATCCACAAAGCTTAACCCCCAACTACACATTAAGGGCTCTAAAAGTGACTTTAAAATTTTTTTTTCTTTAAAATGAGTAGATTGATGGACTGATCTATTAGAAAATGTGCCACATAATTAAGTATATGTACATGCTGGTTGTTGGATAAAAATATATTACATTTCAGATATGGGATAAAAAATTATTTTAAACCAAATAAATGAAACTAAACAAAGAATACAGTGAGGGAATTAGAATGTATTATATGTAGTATCAACTACAATCCAATTTTTTGAGCTGGAAAAAAAAAACATTTAAAGCTAACTGGAAGCCTACCTATTACTTGGATTTTAAAAGATTAAAAATAAAATTTCCTGCTCTATCCCACCCCCAGAATATTGCTTGGTTTATTGTCAAGGATACCCCTTTTTCTTCCTACTTCCCTATAACATTTAATTGCTGTTTTGCAAATAAGAATAGTCAATCCAGACCCATATTAGTATGTACTTTAGAACAATTTATGATGAGAGAAAATCCTGGAGAGTCAGGCAAAAAGAAGGGGCTGTTGCAAACCAACAAAGATGGAAAAGTGGGAAGATAGGGGTGGGTGATAAGAGAAGAGTGAAGACGATTACAACTTACCAAATATTATCTATGAGATGTGTGGTGTTTTAGCCCAGTGAGGCAACTTAATAACCACACGCAAAGAGGGACAGTAGGAGTCCTCCCTCCATCCTTCTACACAGTGTGGGGTATCTCATTGCAAGAGGGAAAACATGGCACGGGTAGGTCATTAGCCACACTAATTTAACATTTGTCTTTTCAAATGTCTTTGACTAAATCTATGCTGCATAGCTATAATTAAGATCTTCATCTCTATCCACGTATATATCTACATCCATCAGCAAAAATATTTCACTATTCCTACAGACCTATTACATATCCTGAATTTTAACAAAAAGCTTTTTTTAAAAATACAGGCATACCTCGTTTTATTGTGCTTTGTTCTTTTGTGAGTCACAGTTACTGTGACTTTTACAAACTGAAGGTTTGTGGCAATCCCACGTGTTAAGTATGTCTATCAGTGTCATTTTTTTCAACAGCATGTGCTCACTTCATGTCTCTGTATCACATTTTGGTAATTCTCACAGTATTTTAAAGTTTATTATTATTTATGTTATGGCGATCTGTGATCAGTGATCTTTGATGTTACTATTCTAATTTTTGGGGGGTGCCACAAACCGTACCCATAATCTGGTAAATGGTGCAAACATAATCTGATAAATGTTGTGTGCATTCTGCCTGCTCTATCAACCAGCCGTTTGGGCTCTCTCCCTCTCCCTGGGCCTCTCTATTCCCTAAAACACAACAATATTGAAATTAGGCCAATTAATAACCCTACAGTGGCCTCTAAGTGTTCAAGTGAAAGGAAGAGTTGTATGCCTGCCACTTTAAATCAAAAGCTAGATATGACGAGCTAAGTGAGGAAGGCATGTCAAAAGCCAAGACAGGCTGAAAGCTAGGCCTTGCATGCCAGTTAGCCAAGTTGTGAATGTAAAGGAAAAATTCTTGAAGGAAATTACTCCAGTGAACACATGAAAGGTAAGAAAGCAAAACGGCCTTATTGCTGATATGGAGAGCGCTTTAGTGGTCTGGATAGAAGATCACGTCAGCCACAACATTCCTTAAGCCAAAGCTTAATCCAGAGCAAGGCCTTGACTCCCTTCAGTTCTATGAAGAGAATGAGGAAGCTGCAGAAGAGAAGTTGGAAGCTAGCAGAAGTTGGTTTATAAAGTTTAAGAAGCGCAGCTGTCTCTATAACATAAAAGGACAAGGTGAGGCAGCAAGTGCTGATGTAGAAGCTGCAGCAAGTTATGCAGAAGATCTAGCTAAGATCACTGATGAAGGTGGCTGTACTAAACAGCCTACTATTGAAACAAGGTGCCATCTAAGACTTTCATAGATAGAAGTCAATGCCTTGCTTCAAAGGACAGGCTGACTCTCTTGTTACAGGCTAATGCAGTTGATGATTTTAAGTTGAAGCCCATACTCATTTACCATTCTGAAAATTCCAAGGCCCTTAAGAATTATGCTAAGTGTACCCTGCTTGTGTAGAGTAATGGAACAACAAAGTCTGGATGATAACACATCTTTTTACAACATAGTTTACTGAATATTTTAAGCCCAGTGTTGAGACTTACTGCTAAAAAACAAAAAAAAAAAACAAAAAACAAAACCAAAACCTCCTTTCAAAATATTACTGCTCAAGGCACCTAGTCACCCAAGAGCTCCGATGGAGATGCACAAGATTAATGCTGTTTTCGTGCCTGTTAATACAACATTGATTCTGCAGCCTATGGATTAAGGAGTACTTTTGACTTTCAAGTCTTATCATTTAAGAAATATATTGTTAGTCTACAGCTGCCAAGATAGTCTTCTGATGGATCCGGGCAAAGTACATTGAAAGCCTTCTGGAAAGGTATCACCATTTAGAAGTTATTAAGAACATTCATAATTCATGGGAGGGGGTCAATATATCAACATTAACAGGAGTTTAGAAGTTGATTCCAACCCTCATGGATTACTTTGAGGAGTTCAAGACTTCCGTGGAGAGGTCACTGCAGATGAGGGAGATGTAGCAAGAGAACCAGAATTAGAAGTAGAGCCTGAAGATGGGGCTGAGTTACTGCAATGTCATGAAAAAACTTGATAAGAAGTTGCTTCTTATGGATGAACAAAGAATGTTTGAGATGGAATATACTTCCAATGAAGATGCTGTAAACTGCTGAAATGACAACAAAGGATTCAGAAAATTACAAAAACTTAGTTGATAAAGCAGCAGCACAGTTTGAGAGGACTGAGTCCAATTTTCAAAGAAATTCTGCTGTGGGTTAAATGCTATCAAACAGCATTGCATGCTACAGAGAAATCTTTTGTGAATGGAAAAATCAATTGATACAGCACTTCACTGTTGTCTTATTTTAAGAAATTGCCACACACACAGCCATCCCAGCAACCTTCAGCAACTACCACCATGATCAGTCCACAGCGATCAATACTGAAGCACGACCCTCCACCAGCAAAAAGATTAGCACTCACTAAAGGCCCAGATAATTGTTGGCATTTTTTTAACAATAAATTATTTTTAAAGTATATATTTTTTAGACACAATGCTATTGCACACTTAGTATGTTACAGTATAGTATATAAATAACTTTTACATACAGTGAGAAACCAAAAAGTCCTTACAACTTGCTTTATTGTAATATTCATTTTATTGTGGTATGGAGCCAAACCCACAATATCTCTGAGGTATGCCTGTATCATATTTTTTAATCAAAAAGATGAAATTTTAGAGAAAAGGGAATCAAAATGAATATAAATCACAACATTCCAAATGTATAAATGGAGAAAAGGAAACTTTAGGAGCACTAAGAGTGTCAGCATTATCATTTCCCCCAACTCATGAAGACTGAAGATAATAATTTCCCTATTAGCCAGAAATCTTGTGAAACTAATATATTTTACCTTGAATTAAAAAATATTTAAAGTTCGTACATTAGACTGCCTATGGTCGTTATTTTCTCATTTTAATAGATTGTTTTTTTGCTGCCTAGCTGTCTCTCCAGGAGATAATATACAAAGAGCTAAATAGGCGAATTGATCTAAAACAGATACATTCAAATTTTACAGGATCTGAAGAGAGGGAAAAATAAACATGCACGATTATTTAATTCTTTTGGAAAAACTGCATGTAAGTGAAGTTCTCTTTCACAAGACACAAGCATCGGTAACTTGACAAAAAATGTAAGCTTCAGATTTTTATGAGCCTTTACAAATTGCTGCCAGACTCAAGATTTAAAAAAAGAAGGAAAATCCCATATCTGAAGATAAATTTGCTAATTCTGGATAAACGCCATGTGTCTCAGTACATTTCTGGCACTTACCTACACATCTGCAAGATGGGAAATCATATTGAGTCTTGACAGGTGTATCCAATAAATTTTTTATAGGAGTATCTAGTAATTTGGAAGGTGACTCTATAAAATTATTGAGAACAGAAGCAGCTGTTCTTTTGGTTGGTGTCTTTTCTGAAGAAGTTGTTTGCTGCTCTAAAGCTGGGGTGTGGCTATCAAGTTCTGCAGCAGTGGTTTGTCTAGTCAAAACTGTGACTGGCCCTGACATTTCAACTTTTACTTGCTTCTGTGATTTGAGAGTAAGAGCCTTATGGTCAAATAACGACTTGGCGTGAAACTGCTTCAGATGCTGCTCCATGGTCTCAATGATGCTCTTTTGCTGCACATTATCACAGCTTGCAGGTGGATTCTCTTGCTTAGTTACCTTTTTCCATGTTTTGTTTTCTGGTGGTGCTGTGTGCATACAGGCATGTGGCTTGCATCCAGGTTCCACCTTAATTGGCCTGTGCATCTGACTATGGCAAGACTCAGTTTGGGGTTGCTGTGTTTGCTGCTGTTCTTGCTTCTGTAAGAGATGCCACCTTAGAGCAGCATGCTTTTGAGTGTCCTTCTGGGGAGGGGTCTGAGTGTGACTTCCTCCCTGGTCAGGCACAGGAAAAACATTTGCATGGTTATGTATCAAGTACCTTTGCTGAGCAAGTTGCGCAGCTTGTTGACCAGACATATCTTGGTTTCTATTTTTATATCCCTGTAGAACTGAAGCTTGTTGTGACTTCTGCTCCTGTTCTTGAAAGCACCTGTGAAGAAGATCTTGCTTTGGGATCACATTATTTGGAAAATATTGCATGTGATGCAAGTTTTGGGTCTTGTTTCCTGCAAAAAGTTCAGGATGTGTAGTCTGTTCTTTATTCTCTGAAACTAGGTGTGTATTGTTTGAACAAGAAACCTGTATTTTGCATGCACTTGATTTCATGGTCTGACTATAAGGGGAATTTCTACGATTTATATTCTGTACTTCCTCCAGTCCCATTTGGACATTATGAGTCTCGAACTCGCTTGATTTTGAATACTGATTTTCACCATGAAAACATTCTTCCACTTTAGTCTGGCCAAAGAATGATCCTTCTCTTTGCTGATCATTGTTGCTTTGGGGGTGAGGAAAAGTCTGGAGTATTTCCTCTTTATTCTTTATTTGTAATTTTTGCTGCTGTTGCTGGTTTTGAGGGAGATGTGAACTCTGGGATGGTTGTGTTTGTGCTGCCTGTTTATGAGGCTTATGTTGCAAAAGGTGTGAGTTTGAAAATGGCTCAGTCTCTGAAGCCTGTTGATTCAAGTGCTGTTTCAACACTGGGGACATAAGTTTTTCAGTTTGGGAATCTGCTCTTTGTTGAAAATGAAATCTAGTGCCACACAGTGACTGCACATGAGCTTTTGGTAAATGGTCTGTTTTGGAGAAGTGCACCTGGTGTGAGGGTTTTTGGAACTGGAGATGTTGGTCCACTGTACCTTGGGACTGCCCTTGATTCATTTCAACTTGGTACATTTGTGACTTGTGCTCCAGCTGTGTTGTTTTCTGGGTGTAAGCTTGCCTTGGGAGCCCCCCAGGCATGTTGGAATTTCCAGTGTATTGTTTGGAGGTCATTTGATTGGAGAGATTGGGTTGATACTGAAGAATTGATGGCAGTGATGCCTCATTACGTTTTAGATGGGATTCCGCTTGGTGAAAACGAGGGGCCTTCAATTCAATCCATCCTGGTTTCAGATAGTGCTGTGTTGGGGGCACAAGATCTCGTGTTTGCTCCTTGTCTCGACCCTTCAGAATCTCTTGCTCTTTGTTTCTCATCAACTGCTGGCAGTTGTCCTGTAGCTCTCCACTGCTACCAAAAATTGGTGGGTTATGCTTGAGGTGTTCTGACATTGGTCTTGTTTTCTCAGAACACAATGGAACAGTCATTGTCCCTGCAGTCTGTATGTCATTCCTGTTCACACAATTATTCTGAGGCCTTTCAGAAAGCATCGGAGAAGGGCTGCATACATGTGTAGATGGATTAGGACTCTGGGAAGGTGGTGCCTCAGGTTTACCCTCTATTTTCACTTCCCTTAAAAGTGTTGTGTTACTTTGGTTGGGGTAGTGGTGGTGTTCTTCTAAAACTCCACCATTCAGAGTGCTTTTTCCTTCTGAAGGAAGCTGAGGAACCTGTGGAAGAGGAGGAGGGGGAGAAAGAAGCAATTGTGATGGTGGTGGTGGTGTGGTAGTGGCAGAAAAGGAATCCTTAGTGAACACTGAGCTTTGCTTGAAGTAAGCACCATTCATTTCATTTTGTTTTAAATACCGTTCAGAGCTGCCACCAGGAGCTTGCAAATTGCTGCTGGAACCTGAACAGAATTCTTCACCAGACGCTAGCTTTGTGGTTCCCTGGATGTTATTTTCTGCAGGAGATGGGCATATCTCAAAAACTGATTTTTGTTGTTGTAGTTGTTCTGGTTTCTGAAAGGAACAGGTATTTAGCATTGCAGCTAGTTTACTGGCATTATCAGCATCATCAGCATCACAGGCCTCACTCACCACTGCAGCTGGCTTTGGAGGCAGCTCAGAGTTAGAGGTCTGTGCGGAATTGATCTGCCCTGAGGTATGCGATGGGTGAGTGATCTCACAGGACAACTCATTAGTAGCCTGACTGTTAATGGCATTTATGTGAGATGTGGTTTTCTGCACCGCAATGGAAACACAATCTGGATAATATTGAGACAGTGTTTTTTCCAGGAGTTCACCATGTGTGTGTTCCACGGAAGAGGCAGAAACTGTAGCACCATTAGGCATTAGCACTGCCTTGTTTTTAAGTAATACAATGTTCTTGTCATGGTAATTAGCACTTTTCCCCTCCTGCTCATTCAGAATCTGAAGCTCTGGATTTTCAGGCCCACTGCAGTTATGTGTTGAAAAACTGGTGAAATCTTTAACTGCATTTTCTTGGGCTACAGAACTCACAGATTCTTTCTTATCACTCAAATCGGAGACATTTGGTTGACTGCTTTCACCTGGATTTCTTTCTTGGCTTACCCCGAAGTTACGTCTTTCTCCATTAGCCTTTTGGTCTTGTTTCAATTTCTTGATCTGAAGGAGCCCAGAGAGAGAAGGTTCACTAACTGTGCGTTTTATTCCTCCATTTTGCAAACACTTGGAATACCCTCTACTTTCTTGTGTAAAGTCAGGACTCACACGACTATTCTGGCTTCCCTTCATACAGGGTATTCCATAATAACTTTTGAAAGAGTGCCACTTGGTGTCTCCATTTACTTCTGGATGAGCTCTCTCAGGCAGTGGGCTTCCATTCTGGAGCTTTGTAGCCAGAGGTTCTGTCTGGCAAATGGGAGGTGATGGTATCAGGAATGGACTTAGTCTGTTGCCCTCAACATGGTTGGTTCTATCCTGTTCCATCAGGCTTGCTTCGGGGCCATCCACAAGGCTGCCCTCTAGTTGAATTCTAAAGAGCATGGAAACAAAAATTAAAATGTGTTTATTTCTATCTATCTATCTATCTATCTATAAAAATACTAATATATCTTAAGGAATAATTGTGGATAAATATCGGAATACCTAGACATAGCAAACTGATATTTATTTTCATGTTTCATAGTGACAACTGACAGCTACTCAGGAAATAAACATTCTTGTCTTCATAGCAACTCTAAAATATTTATGGTCATGGAGAACAAGGGTGATCAAAATTACCAGCTAATGTGGGAAGTTCATACTCTTAGTTACTAGCATCAATTTCATTCCTAAATAATTTTTTGCCAAAATGCTAAAAACAATTGAAAAATATCCCCTTTATTTTCTCTAGCACTTCATTTACCTAATCACTTGCTAAGTTCTATCAACTGTACTTCCTATATATTCCTTTAATCATCTTGACTGCCACTTCATAGCTCAGATCTTCTCTTTATCACTGTGCCTCCTCCTGATCTACTGCAGTAGCTTTTTTTTTTTTTTTTTTGAGATGGAGTCTCACTCTCTTGCCCAGGCTGGAGTGCAGCGGCACAATCTTGGCTCACTGCAACCTCTGCCTCCCAGGTTCAAGCAATTCTCCTGCCTCAGCCTCCCAAGTAGCTGAGATTACAGGTGCCTGCTACCATGCCTAGCTAATTTTTGTATTTTTAGTAGAGATGGGGTTTTACTATGTTGGCCAGGCTGGTCTTGAACTCCTGACCTCAGGTGATCTGCCTGCCTTGGCCTCCCAAAGTGCTGGGATTACAGGTGTGAGCCACCGCACCCCACCTGCAGTAGCTTTTTAAAAGGGTTCTCCTCCCCTAGCCCCGTCTGCCCTTCCCCTCCAGCCCTTTAAGGTTCCCTTTGTTATCAAAAGGAAGATTGTAAAATGCAAATCTGATGTCATATTCTCTTTAACACACTGGCTTAAACTTGCCTGCATGGTTCTCAAACTATTTCATCCAAATACACCTGAGAGATAAGGCACACTCCCTTCAGTGTTATCAATATTCCAGGTGACAGAATAGGGGTGATGAAAAGTGTACTTTATGAAAAACCCTTTCTAGGTGATTCTATGTTTTTCTCTAGAGGGGCTGGCTGCCCAAATCTTTTGAGAATTTCTGTTTAAATGTTTTCTTCCCCCCGCATACAGGCTGTTTTTTCTGTCCTCCTACTCTCTCTTACAGTTTATACTCCAACAATAACAACAGCTTATAAATATCCAAACATAGTAAGCTGTTTCAGAGCTTCATGCCTTTGGTTTTCTGTCTGCCTAGAATGCCTTCTTAATCCCCTTATTTGCCCAATGACTCTAAACCTGCCTCAGATATCATCTTCCCTAGGATTCCATCTTTGACTCTCTAAAAGAATTAATCATTCCTGCAGAGAAAAGGGAACACTTATCCCCTTATTGCTTGTGGGAATGTAAACTAGTTCAGCTGTTGTGGAAAGCAGTGCGGTAATTTCAGAGGACTTAGAATTGCCATCTGACCGAGCAATCCCATTATTCGGCATATTACCCAAAGGGATATAAATCATTCTACCATAAAGGCATATTGCACACGTATGTTCATCACAGCACTATTAATGATAGCGAAGACATGGAATCAACCTAAATGTCCGTAAGTAGTAGACTGGATAAAGAAAGTGTTACATATACACCATGGAATACTACACAGCCATAAAGAAACACAAAATCGTGTTCTGTGCAGCAACATGGATGGAGCTGGAGGCCATTATCCTAAACAAACTAACAAAGGAACAGAAAAATACCACATGTTCTCTTAAGTGGCAGCTAAACAGCAAGAACACATGGACACAAAGAGGGGGAACAACAGACAGCAGGGATACTTTGAGGATGGGAGAAGGGAGAGGATCAAAAAACTACCTATTAAGTACTACGCTTATTACCTGGGTGACAAAATAGTCTGTACACCAAACCCCCAAGGCATGCAATTCACCTATATAACCTGCACTTGTACCCTTGAATCTGATTGCATTCATTCGAACATTTTTGAGAGTAGTACTAACGAAGATTTCAGAGTCCCAATAATAGAGAAAGCCAGAAGAAATGGCACTAAAAAAATTAATCCATTGTATAAGGTGTCTGCTTTATTTTCCCACAGTCTTTCTCATTACATTTATTTTAAAGATATAAGTAGAAAAAGAAAGACTATTTTCTTTTTGGGCGAAAAACAACTCTATTAAAACAGCTATTTCTTGATAAACAAGAAAAATGAAATAGAATAAGAATATAGATGTTGAAAGCAACGCTAAAGTTATTGTTTACAGATAAAAAGATTATATACTGGTCAACCTAGAGAATCAAGTAAAAAATGGTTACAGTTTGTGAGAATTCAGCAAAGTAGCTGAAGAAAAATTTATAGCCTTGATTTATAAGAGCATCAACCAGTCAGAAGTTTTACTGGAATAAAATACTGTAGTTATAATAGAAGAAATTAATACACTAGGAATAAGTTTTTAAAATGTGGAAGACCTATTTTAATATAACTTTAAAACTATACTAATATATAAGTACAAAAACAAAACAAGGGAAAAGCTATAATATGTTCTTAGATAGTTGTCAAATTATTCACTTAATATACTCTTACTAAAAGTACTTGCAGAATATTTTGAGGAATTAAGGAAGTTGACTCCAAAGTTCATTTGGAAAAATAAACAAATTGGGTAGCCAGGAATATTCTGAAAAAGAATTGTATGGGGCCTAGTAGCCAAATTAAAAGATATTTAAAAGCAACAAAGCTACTATACTTAAAATAGTTTGTGTTTGCACATATAATATTAATATGATCAATGGAATAAAACAGAATGTTCAAAAATAGACCCAAACCACAGAAATATGCTACAAGATAAGGATGGGATTTCAAAGACATACTTGATATTAGAACAACTGGGTAATCTCCTGAAAAAATGATAAAGTGGGATCATTCCCTTACACTTTAAGATAAATTCTAGATGAATTTAATATTTGAATACAGGAAATAAAACCCCCCCAAAAGTTAAAAACAATCTGAGAAAACTTAAAAAAATCTAATGACTGGCTAAGCTCTTTTTTTGTGAAACAAAATCTAGAAGTCATAAAAGATGGGAAAGTTTGCTAAAATTTATATGTGCCAAAATAAACATGTAAAAAGAGTTAAAAGTTGTATAAAACTTTTCTTAACATATAGGACGCCTACAAATAAATGAATAACCACATACTAAAAAATGGACAAGGGACATGGACAGTTCATAGAAAATGAAATGTGAATGGCTCTTAAGTATTTAAGAAGATATCTACTATTGCTCATAAAAAGAAATGCAAATTAAAACTGCAACAAGGTACAGTTTTTTTCTCTTCTCCAATTAGTGAAGATCAGTAAGCTTGATACTATACTATGTTTGGCAAGCATGTGGGAAAACAGATACTCTCTCATGTGGCTTTTGAGAGTCAAAACTGCCACAAATATCATGTAGGATGACAATTTGGCAATATGTATAAAATTTCAGAAACACTTTCCTTGACCCTTTTAAGAATTTATCTGACAGGCTGGGTGTGGTAGCTCACGCCTATAATCCCAGCACTTTGGGAAGCTAAGGCCAGTGGATCACCTGAGGCCAGGAGTTCTAGACCAACCTGGCCAACATGGTGAAATCCCGTCTCTCCTAAAAAGATACAAAAATTAGCAGGGCATGGTGGTAGGCACCTGTAATCCCAGTTACTTGGGAGGCTGAGGAAGAAGAATCACCTGAACCCAGGAGGTGGACACTGCAGTGAGGTGAGATTGTGATGCTGCACTCCAGCCTGGGTGACAGAGTGAGACACTGTCTCAAAAAATATATATATATATATCTGACAAATATGCTCATATATACATTAAATGATGTAGGCACAATCTTTTGCAGTAATAAAAGGTTAGAAACAACCTACATCAATAAGGGTTATGTTAAATAATTTATGGTACAGCCACACAATATAATACCATGTAGCTATTAAAATTAGTATCTCTATATTTTCAGATGGAAGTATCTCCCAGTAATTAAATGGAATAAAGGAAGCTACACAACAGTTTATATAAGAATGCTACAACCTATACCTTTGTAAAATAAAAAAAAATCATCTCTGGAGAATATATAATGAACTGGCCATAATAATTTGCCTCCAGGAAAAGGAATGGGGCAGCTGGAGAAAAGCACTGGGAGGGGGATTACTTTTAACTATTCCTTTTTTTTTTTTTTAAATAACTTCCAAGCATGTGTATTACTTAATAAATAAAATAAAAGGCCAGGCACGGTGGCTCACGCCTGTAGTCCCAGCACTTTGGGAGGCTGAGGCAGGCAGATCACGAGGTCAAGAGATCGAGACCATCTTGGCCAACGTGGTCAAACACCGCCACTACTAAAAATACAAAAAGTAGCTGGGCATGGTGGCGCATGCCTGTAGTCCCAGTTACTTGGGAGGCTGAGGCAGGAGAATCATTTGAACCCAGGAGGCGGAGGTTGCAGTGAGCCGAGATCGCGCCACTGCACTCCAGCCTGGCAACAGAGCGAGACTCTGTCTCAAAAAAATAAAGTTATAACTCATATTGGACAAAGAAAACAAAGTGATGTTTTTATTTCTGCTAGATTTACTTCCTTCCATACATTAAGAGATGGTCTAGATATACATCATCCAACAGTGACTAGTCACATATAGCTATTGAGCCCTTAAAATGTGTCTAGTCCAAATTGAGATGTGGTATCTATGAAAACATTTAGTTTGGATTTCAAAGATTTAGTGTTAAAAAAACACAAAAATACTCAAAAAATATTTAATACATGTTGAACTATTTTAAATGTATTGGGTTAAATCAAACGTATCATCAATTTGTTTCTTTTTCACTTGTTTTAATGTGAGTACTAGAAAATGTAAAATTCCATGTGGCTTACATTATGTTTCTATTGAACAAGTAGAAAATTTGGGTGAGACAATGGCTTTTAATCATCAATAACACCTAATAAAGAAACTTTAGGTTTTAAAATCATGAAAATTGATTTGTAGTCTTTGATATGAGAGGCTTCTCCAAAATCAGGACACTATCACTTTTCAAAAATTAAGGAGCATAGACATAAATCTAAATAAATCCTGCAGAAAGAAAGTCAATTACCTGTCCAGATACTACCAAAAAAAGGCACTTTTCTTTTGGTAACTGTAAAACACCAATTCATATACAGAGCAATCAAAAGGTATTTACATGTATATACATGTGTACATTTATGATAAATTATATAAAATTTGTAGGATCTGTACATAATACATGTTTTTCTACTTTCTAAGGTATAAAATATTTTAAGCATTTAATATATTATCTTTTATTATAATCCATTCCACATAATTTTGGACATTCTTTAAAGTGTCAAGGGCAAATCCTTTGAGTATAATAATAGCTACTAAGAAATGAAGGTGACTAAAAAAGAAATGTATTTCAATATGGAGTTTTAAACACAATGGCCATTTTTAAACATTATACAGAACTATTTTGTCTGTGACAGCAAGTCCTTTATACAACCATTTGTGTGAAAAGTTTAATGGTTAACTTTTTCACAAGAAGGGCAGGAAAGTTATATGTTAGAATGAGGAAAATTTGTTATTGGTCTTTAAATCTTATTTCAGGAAATTTAAACTAATAAACTGCCATTTTAGAAGGAGAAAAATGCAATATTTTCTTTTACTTTAATATGTGCTAAATCACACTTTTTATATACATACCCTGGAATATTATGATCCAGTAACCCACTTGCACAGTACTCTTTCAAGCTCTTAGTGCTTGCATACTGATGTTGATAAAGTATTATTTTGCTTAATAAAAGAGAAGGAAATGAGACCTATGCATTTTGCTCATTGTAGAAATACTGAAAAAGCTTTCATGCTGTAGTTTTTATGGGGTCATTTACACAGTGTTTTCAAGCTTGCATAAAAAGTCTACATGAAGTCAATAATTTTTGCGTAAGATAAAAAAATCTTCAAAGATGAATTTTTGTAGATATTGACCTGCTATTCACCTGCTATTCAGTGAAAGTAGAGTTAATGAATTTTTTTTATGAATTTAAATGATTGCAAAGAAAAGTTTTTCAAAGTTAAACTGTTTTTCAGATAAATATAAATTTTTGCTATGGAGATTATTTGTGTGATTTTTGCTTCTCAGAGACTAAGAACAAAAATATAATTTTAATTCATATCTGCTCTTATAAATGACTCATCAGAAATATTTTGAATTATCATGATTGATTTTTTAGTTGAAATTAAACATCCTTCTATTTTTTCTTACACCAGAGAACACAAAATTAATATGGTATACAATATTAAGATACTGCTCTATTGTGCAACTAAATATTCAAACACCTTGCTATTGAAGGTCTACACATTGTAATTCACTGTATGCAAAAGAGTCCATGCCAAATAAGATTCTACCTATAAAAATCATTCCCTAGATGGAAACAATTCTTATTTTAGAATGAGAAGCAACTTTACAAGAGGATGGCAATGTCTTTCCTAAGAGGATGCTGGCCAATCAAAATTAAGGCCTTTTTTGGGGTTGTTAAACTGGTTACGAAGTTTATATACAAGAACAGAGACAGAAGAACCTTTGGGAAAACCTGGAGTGACTAATTGTTTACCCAGGGATGATTTTCATGATGTCAATACTTCACTCATTGCATTTAGTTAAAATTTAAGAATGAATACAGTTTTTAACATATTCCTCAGGAGATGCTCTTATGGGTTATAGCTGGCATCATGTTATCAACCTACAGCTCATGCAATTCCTGAAAGTTTCACAATGTGCTCTTGAGAACTGGTTCTAAGCACTGTTAGAGCTACCAAAATATTAAAAAATTATATTACTCTTTTTTCCTCCTTTTGAAAAAATGAAAATTCCCTGAGATCAAATACATGCCATATTATTTTGGCATCTTTATTTCCAGAATTCTGGACAAAGAGATCTTGCTTCTGGAATGACTAAATAGCATTTTAACCTTTTGAAAGGTATGTTAGGCTGTTTTTGAGTTGCTATAAAGAAATAGCTGTCTGGGTAATTTATAAGAAAATAGGTTTAATTGGCTCATGGTTCTGCAGGCTGTATAGGAGGCAAAGCACTGGCATCTGCTTTGGGTGAGGCCTTACAAAACTTATAATCATGGCAGAAAGCAAAAGGGGAGCAGGCATCTAACATGGCTGGAGTGGGAGAAAAAGAGAGAGGAAGAGGGAGGAAGAGGGAGGGAAGGACAGAGGGAGGGAAGGAGAGAGGGAGGGAAGGAGACAGGGAGGGGGACGTGCCACACACCCTTAACCAGATCTCTTGAGAACTCACTATCAGGAGGACAGCACCATGCCATGAGGGATCTGCCCCAATAATCCAAACACTTCCCACCAGGCCCCCACCTCCAACACTGGGGATTATATTTCAACAGGAGATTTAGAGGAGCCAACAACCAAACCATATCACACGGCTAAGAAATTCTAAGGTGACACTCAAATATAAGTAATAATATGTAACAATGGTCCTAACAATGTATAAACATTTCAGAGTAGCAGCAAGGATCTAGTACCATTTTCTCATTTTAAAGATGTGAAAACTGAGGAATCTGCCCATGGTGAAGCACCAAAACAGAGGCTCCCACAGGGACTAGGCCTAAGCACTCTGGCAGCTCTCTAAAGCTCTTCCCACCACACAATACTAAGACAAGTGCATAATTAAAGGAGTAAGTTTTGTTATTAAATTCACATTTAGCCAACAATTTAAGCTTTTTTTTTAAGGTTTAGGATTAAAAAACAAGTATTTTGGCTACGTATCTGTAGGTCTGTAATTATTAAGATGATTAAGGGCATTTTGCATGTCTTTTGCCAACAAATCATTTCTTTATGTGGTTTGGGATAGAATAAAAAAGAAAACGTAAACTTTTAGGACATGGAATTTGAAGCTGCCACAGAGTTATTCTGATCCCTTCTTTGCCACCTTCCCAGATTATCTTTGCAATGCTGGACTGCTGATGATTTTTCTCTAGAATATTTGAGGATGATTTATGAATCTCCCCTGATAATGTCACTCAGAGAATTGGAGCTCAAGACACATTAGTTCATTTATTTTTTCAGTCCTGCTGCACTGAGTTGAATCCTCACTCAGTGCAGTTGCCATGGCATGGAGCTAACACAAAGATGCAAACATCCTCTACTGCCCTGAACTGTGGTTATGTTGAGGCAATGAGACTACTGAAGTGCCATGGGAATACAGGAGAGGGGAAGACTAGAGCTCTTGTCCCTGTCAATGTGGGCATATCAGCCACCCAAGTCACTCTTGTAAAATTTAACTTCATTTCTTCTTGCCGTAGTATGAGAGAAAAACACTAAGTCAAAGGTAAAAGGCTGACAACGAATGTTCATCAAAGCTACCTACAACATTGCTGAGGGAGGAGAACCAGTGACCTAAGGAGAAATGTGCATCAGTAGTCAGCAAGTACAGAGAACACCACATAAAAAACTCATAGAGCGCAATTTCAAAAAAACTAGTGAGAAGGCAAATGAGTTGTAGAAGCTCTTCTGATTATTGAACCCTTAACCTAGGAAAATACATGGCATGTTTATCTGCTTCACTATAAACTTATCTTTGCTTATCAAAATATAACACATAGCTCATTATTCAAATCACACACACACACACACACACACACGATTTTTTACTATATGGTGCAGCATGAGATTTCTTCATAGGTTTACCAAAAAGGCAACAAAGTGAATTAAACTTTAAGAATGAACAAAACATAATGCTAAAGTTATAAGAACTTTGGTATTTTTTTAAGTCTAAAAAGGCAGTTTTAGAAATTATCATTTGCCTAAATGACAGACTAATTAAATTACAATTTTAAAAGGTTATAATTTAGATCCCACTAGTCATATTATGTATGTCTATCCTTTTATTCCAATAATCTAATGTTCTTTGTAATGCATGGGCTTCCAAGGAACCAAAAAGAATATTTCTATTTACTATAAATACCACCATTTTTTTCAGAAATTCTAAAGGTCAAATTATAACCAGGCAATTTAACATAAATAGAAACATGCAACAATTATATGGCCACTCAATAATTTCAGCTAATGCCCCAGAATAAATTTTCATAAGCTACGAGACAGAGAGAGAGAGAGAGAGAGAGAGAGAGAGAGAGAGAGAGAGACTGGCTGATATGTCAATTATGTTAACCTTTATCTTCTATGTCAGAGGCATGTATTAATGAAGCATGTTTATCTCAGTTGAAAATACTGGCCTTTTGACTACTAGCTAACATTTTGGTTTCCTAAGACCAAAACAGGTTTTAGCCACAGCAGTTTTCCTTTGATTTTGTTCCTTCTCCCGCCTCTCTGAAAATAATTTATTATAAATTCTAGTCGCATTGGCAGCATCTGTGAAACAATTACTGCATCTAGGACTGACTCTGCAGTCTAATCCATCATAATTATGACAGGCCTCTTTGAAGATGCTATGATGCATGACTTAAAAATAGCACATTAGTGTGCAAATGGATCAGCATCTCATTTCACCAATATGCATTTAGGACTGTAATTTTGCTCCATACCATTTGACTCTTCGGATTACTCAAGAATGGTAGCTGTATCTCTCACCACATAAAGCTGTAGATATGCTCAAATTTGTGAAGAGGGCTTGATTTTGTTTTTGTTTTATTTTTTGGTTTATTGCTTTTCTAGGTGGGGGTATATCTTTTATTGCTCTAAGAAAAAATACACATCATTTAAATTTTATGTCAGCTTTTTTTCAAGGGGACAAAAGAGTCAATTTATAGATTTGTATAGTTGCCATACTATAAGGTAGTAAATTATTTTTTTCCATAAAATAAGTTTTGCATGTCCTAATACTACAAGTATATATAAATTACTCTACCATCATGAATCCTGTTTATTTATACATTCAGATTACTGAGGGTAAATACTTCAGACTGCTTGCTTATGGGAACTATATCTGCTAAAGGCACTGTGTTTCAGGATCAAACTTACGGGAATCACTGTGTATCTCTCTGTCACTTCCACTGACAGGCTTCACCTCTATTAGTAATTCAGAGTGTTAGGAATTAAATATTTATTGACATGAAAAACACTGAGTAAAGATGATGTATATGGCCACACCTCCTGCATAGATGGCATTATTCTCCAAAACTATTTTGGATTCTTCCTATCAACATGGGACATAGCTTGTGTCAATTATACACTTATTTCAAGATGTGTGCAATGCTATGGACTTCATTATTGTCTACTAAATTTCCCTCTGTATAGTGTTCTAAAATCCCGAGCAAAATGTTAGTTTAAATTCTTATCTTCTGTATCTATTAAGTTCTCTCCATTTCGTTTGACTTTAAAATTACTATGTAATATTGGTATGGTTGCCAAGTCTCACTCTTGAGGTAAAGAAAGTGTTTTTTATAGGGCATTTCTTATAAAATTAAAAACTATTCTTCGTTAATTTAAAGTTAACATTATTTAATATTTAAATATTAAAGCTAAAATTTTAAAAACATAATCCAAAACATATATTTTTCAACAGCAAAATTAATGTAAGCAAGCCACATGTTAGACCTGGAATATAATGTTTCCTATATGGATTAAGTATGGAGAATATAAGGTGAATTAATATTTTTAAGGCAAAGCTAACTTTTTATTTCTCATTCTGTAAGAACTTTCTATCTAAATATTTAAAAATCTGTGAAGATGTACTTCACATCTCTTGAAAAAGGACTGCTGAGCATGGTCCTGGTGCTGGTACCAAAACAGAGATATAGATCAATGGAACAGAACAGAGCCCTCAGAAATAAGGCCACATATCTACAACTATCTGATCTTTGACAAACCTGAGAAAAACAAGAAATGGGGAAAGGATTCCCTATTTAATAAATGGTGCTGGGAAAACTGGCTAGCCATATGTGGAAAGCTGAAACTGGATCCCTTCCTTACACCTTATACAAAAATCAATTCAAGATGGATTAAAGACTTAAACGTTAGACCTAAAACCATAAAAACCCTAGAAGAAAACCTAGGCAACACCATTCACGACATAGGCACGGGCAAGGACTTCATGTCTAAAACACCAAAAGCAATGGCAACAAAAGCCAAAATTGACAAATGGGATCTAATTAAACTAAAGAGCTTCTGCACAGCAAAAGGAACTACCATCAGAGTGAACAGGCAACCCACAAAATGGCAGAAAATTTTCGCAACCTACTCATCTGACAAAGGGCTAATATCCAGAATCTACAAAGAACTCAAACAAATTTACAAGAAAAAAACAAACAATCCCATCAAAAAGTGGGCGAAGCACATGAACAGACACTTCTCAAAAGAAGACATTTATGCAGCCAAAAGACACATGAAAAAATGCTCACCATCACTGGCCATCAGAGAAATGAAAATCAAAACCACAATGAGATATCATCTCACACCAGTTAGAATGGCGATCATTAAAAAGTGAGGACACAACAAGTGCTGGAGAGGATGTGGAGAAATAGGAACACTTTTACGCTGTTGGTGGGACTGTAAACTAGTTCAACCATTGTGGAAGTCAGTGTGGCGATTCCTCAGGGATCTAGAACTAGAAATACCATTTGACTGAGCCATCCCATTACTGGGTTTATACCCAAAGGACTATAAATCATGCTGCTATAAAGACACATGCACACGTATGTTTATTGCGGCACTATTCACAATAGCAAAGACTTGGAACCAACCCTAATGTCCAACAATGATAGACTGGATTAAGAAAATGTGGCACATATACACCATGGAATACTATGCAGCCATAAAAAATGATGAGTTCATGTCCTTTGTAGGGACATGGATGAAATTGGAAATCATCATTCTCAGTAAACTATCACAAGAACAAAAAACCAAACACCGCATATTCTCACTCATAGGTGGGAATTGAACAATGAGAACACATGGACACAGGAAGGGGAACATCACACTCTGGGGACTGTTGTGGGGTGGGGGGACGGGGGAGGGATAGCATTGGGAGATACACCTAATGCTAGATGACGAGTTAGTGGGTGCAGCGCACCAGCATGGCACATGTATACATATGTAACTAACCTGCACATTGTGCCCATGTACCCTAAAACTTAAAGTATAATAATAAAAAAATAAAAAATAAAAAAAAAGAAAAAGGACTGCTGAACACACAAATATGTCAAAGTCCTCAGAGAAAGTTCCTCCATTTCTGAAAAGGTGTTAATTGGACAAGTAGCTGCACATACACATACAGCGTGTGCACTGCTCCTAATCTAAATCATGTGCATAGGAGGTTTTGTCAGGTTTTTCATAATCCTCAGTAGGGCCTATTTAATTCCCATGTTTAAAGTTTTAAAATCTGTTTCTTAAAATGGCAGTATAAACAAAATTTAATAATATATAGATTATTTGAGGGAGAAAAATTCAGAGGAATGCCATTGAAGATGAGAGGCAGATTAACTCAGAGATAGAGATCTGCATTTAAGATCTGGAGACACCTGCCAGTTTAGTATAAATCTGCTTTCAGTTTGCAACCCAAGTTAACCAACCAGTTTCTTATTGGTAAAATGAGCATGATCTTTTGTCAATTCTCTATTATCCACTTATCTGTTAATCCTGGAATTGTTTTTTGAATTTGGGCTTATTCCTGGCCTTTCTCCAAGTCTCACCAAACTAGTGTGTACTGAAGGAAACGATAATAATAATAATAAAGATAAACATAATTAGAAATGTACTGTGTCACAAATATTTGTTTCTCATAAATTATTTTAAAAATCTATATTTTTCTATTTCAGTTGACTCCCATTATTAGAATGGATAATTGTGAGCTGGTTGTCCTTACTGGAACACTGTCTAGGATACATTTATATTATCCAATGCTTGAAACTTTCAATTAAATAAAAGTGTACTTAGAAAAATTGCAGAAGTTGTTTAGGCTTGGTCATGCTCTAAGAATCTGTCCAGGGCAAGGATGCCCCAGCAGAAAGAGACTGTGGGGTGGACTCAGCAGGCAAAGCTGAAGTAGCTATGGTGATAGAAGAAATAAGGACAGATCTCTCCTATCAGGGTACTGTGCAGTGAGAGCCCTTGTAGGCCTCTCTAAAGAACGCTCCATATATGTCAAGAAAGCCAGTATTCGGATGCCTGCCTCACAGAGGGCGTCCAATAGCCAGTCAATGCCAGGCAGAAAAATAGCAACATCCAAAGTCCTCCAGTCTTGTTCAGGTGCTTAAGGAGCCCTGAGCTCCTTTTCATCCTTCCTCAGTCCTGCCCAATCTCCTAGGCACTGGTGCTCACGGTAGAGGGGGAGGGGAGGTATCAGGAGTGAGGCTCCCCTACTTTCAACTCCAAGGGTTGGAGCCAGTGTTTAAGTTTGTGCTGGGAGAAGAACACTGACTCAGGCTTGAGTTGGGAGTTTTAAAATGAATAGGACTGAGTTTGAAAGACAAATAAAATTGTTCTAATAACCAAAAGGTGCTGTAAAAATTATGTTACCTGGTCAAGAAGACATTAATGGCTGAATGGGGTGAAGGAGACTATAATAGTATATATGAGGGGCAATTGTAGAAAAAAAATACTTTCATTTTTATATACGGAGGTATGATTTTTCCAATAGAACCATTACATAAGGCCAACAAATGGGTTCTAATAATATATAAGAACTTTATGTAATTTCTAGGAGGGCTCATAATCATTCAGTGTAGTTATATAATGACACTGGTAGAGTTATAAAAATAATCTGTCAAGGTATTCATTCTTTCATGCAACGAATATTTATTGAACATATTCTATGTGTCAGGCACTCTAGTAGTCACCAGTAACACACCACTGAACAAAAGAGATAAATACTCCTGTCTTCTTGGACCTGATATTCTAATGAGGAGAAAAACAATAAACACAATAAGAAAGTAAATTATGTGGTGTGGTAAGAAAATGTTGAGTGCTAAGGGAAAAACAAAGAAATAATAGGGCAGCTAACGAGGAATCAAGAGTATCGGGGAGTGGTTGCCCTATTAAATACTATATAATGAGGGTAAATCTCATTAAGATAGTGAGATCTGAACAAAGTCTTAAAGTCGAGTTATATAATAAACATCTAATTCACCAAGATGATCTTAATCAATGCATAATTCTTTACTGTTTGATACATTGTCTCATATCTTCAGCCCTAAAATCAAGAATGGCAAAACAAAAAACAAACAAACAAAACCCCACAAAGCTATCAAAAGGTAGAAATTAACTATATTAGAGTTGGTCAACTAAATTGTCACATCCCCAGGGGACTCTACAATATTAATGTGAAACAAACATGACATACCTAGCATTTTATTTAAAAACTCTGTACCAGGAATCCTTGTAACACAAGCATTTTGGCAATTATGTACTGTACTGTATCCCTAAAATCTGCTCCTTCTCAAAAATATTTTGTTCCCTACCATTGCCTCAAAAGGCATGCCATCTATGTTTTGGAGAAGTTTTGTACAGACTTGAATAAATTCGTTTTCCTATTGATCTAGTCTTAATCAACTGGTTACCATAACAATCTGGTCATTTTTATTCTTCCTATTTTGGAACAACTAGCAATGATCATGTTTTAGTTAATTTGTAGGATATTACGGTTATTTTTGAGAGTAAGATGAAGATCTTCTTAAAGATTAATAATGGAGATGCCATTAAACCAACTGCACATCCATGAGCTATCAATTTAAGAAATTTCAATATGTATCAGTTCTAATGAAAAGCTGCCAACATTATTTCATAACATAAACAAAATAACCAGTCTATCAGAAGAAAGAGTAATACAGATGCTTTAAAAGAGTATCATATAACCATGTGTTCATCAGAAAAATACATCAATGTTCCCATACATGATGAAGATTACTCTAATTTTCTTTGATCTGAAAAGCTCTGATAAATAGGTTAAGATCGCCTAAAATTATATAGCATGTTTTAGATTATCAAAATAGTAATAGACTATATATATAATATAGACATTATATATATTTTTTCATTACAAAAGGTTCTTCTGGAAACATAATTTATGGGATCCAGAAGTTGCATAAAATATGGTCTCTATCTTTAAGAATCTTTAATTATTTAACTGAGAAGACAAGACATATACCTACAGGACATAGACACAGTCAGAACAAGAATGCTGAGTTTTGGTTCTAAATGTGGGTTTGTGAGCAAGTCACAACCACCCCACATCTCAATTTTTAAAAATTTATAATACGAGGGGAATGAACATGATTACATCTAAGGTCATCTTGTGTTCTAAAATGCTATGATTCTCTAAAACTGGCAATGATAAATATCTACTGGGGCTTCAATTAAATAACTCATCACGAAGACCACTTTCGGTTTGAAGGGTGTAATTTTTACCTCATTTTACACATAAGTAAACAAGCTAAAAGAACGAAACGGCATGGCATAGCCGACATGAGGAAGAAGTAGATATAAAATGCAGCCTTGTCCAACTTCTGAGCCAAACTATGAATAGATGGAGATGATCTGTTCAGGACAAAGAGGTAGATTTGGTGCTCCTTATCAGTACTGTCCTTGGAAAAGAAACACTGGATTGGCCAATATGATCACATCACTAGGAACATAAATTCTTCTATGGGGCAGGATGATTAAAAAGCTTTCTTCATTGAGGTCTAGAAAATAAATATTCCTAAGACTCTTCATCTTCAAGAATCACTGGGTGCCCTTAAAGCAAGTACCCTGGACAGTGGACATAAATAATATTTTGAAAATTAAAAATCAGAATTCTTGATTATTAATTGATAAACTTACAATTTTGTTTAAACATCAATCTCATGTGAGTTTAATTAAAACAACTCAATTTCCTTCACTCGAGTCAACTCTGCGGGAGAGATAAAATTGGGTTTCTGAATTTTTGACATTAAGAAGCAGGTCCTAGGCAATGGTGTCCACCCTAAAATGATGTCTTCTTGATGTCTCTACCATGTCTCTTTATAAGTGCAGTATTAATAAACTAGAGATGTGTCCTAATGTGTAGGTACCTGAACACACATGTACACCAACACCATTGAAACAGATTCTTATCATATGTGATATCTATCTATGGGACTGGTTCTTTGGGATATTAACGTGTAATTTTAAAAAAGGAGAACCAGCCTGAGAAAAAATAAAGTTCTGTGCTCAAGCAAGAAAACTTATTTTTTTTCTAATTTAAAACTTTCTTTAATGCATGGCCTCAAAGTCTTTAATATGATGATAGGATGTCTGGAAAGGTGCTGTGTGGCATTTCCTGGACATAATGAAACACAGGATCATTGTTTATGGAGCACCCTGAATAAACAGTATTTCCATGGAATAGCATACTTTGGAAAACCCTAATTCAGATGTAGTATATGATATCTTATGTAATTTTAATCTGTGCATAGATCTTGAGGCACTGATGAGAACCTGTGGACTAGGAGAGTATAAATTCATAAAACCACTCAGATGTAGAGTTCTGAGTTCATTTTCAAGAGCAAAGGACACATACCTATGCAAGTTTTGCTTTAGCTTCAAATTTAACTTGTAAAAACTAAACTATCTTCTTCCAGTTATATTGCTGTTCTAATGATTCACGCTCTTCACCTGTACTTTGCCCAAATACAAAATCATAACTTTTTTTTTTCACCATGAGCTAAACAGACCATCCAAGTTATGCCTTTGAAATGAAGAGAAAGGTCTGTTCATAGGATATAATTTGGTTGATTGTTATTTTAGTGTTGCATAGTGCTGACATGTATCTTCATAGAGAATGCAGGGAGGGGCAAGAACAAAGAAAGAACACACAAAAAAATTGTAAACTCAAAAAATCTAAACATTTAGGACAAACAAAAAATACACTTCCACGTATGTATTGAAAATAACATTTGAATTCAAAATAAGACTTAACTACCTGCAAAGAAATTTCCATATAACCTTAACATTACCTAGGAAATATCATAAATTCACATCACGCTGTATGATGCATTTAAGATTGATGTGACCAACAGTTTGTCCAACAGACTTAGCTATACATCTGTTATCACGATTATAACTAAATCCGCTAAAAGATGAATTAGCTTTTTGTTTGAAAACAGCTTCAAATTAATTAGTGAATGATCCAAGTTTATGGCATTTTTCATAGAACAAAAACAGGATTGTAGAGGAAAACATCTAGGAAATATCATATAAATGTTCTGCTTTAACCTGTGGCAAATCATTACTTTTAAAGTTTATATTTGAATATAATATATAAATGTAAATCAGAAGCAATAAACACTTCAAATATCACCAACAACCTAAAAGTTGTAGCTTACCCCCTTTCCCCTCTATCGTATCCATCTTTTAGGAGTATAAAAAATCTGATTTTAGTTGCCATCTTATAAACATAATACCATAAAATAAGTCCACCAGTTAAGACAAGCACTGAATTACGATGAAGAAAAAGAGCATTTCAGATTAACTCACAAAGATTATAGAACTGTTATTACCAGAAGCACCAACAATTCCATGAAAGAACTTTGATTAAAATTCAAAGCAATATTTTAACTCTCCTCCCCCCGACCTGTTTCAAAGAAGTACTATGAAATAAACATGTATAAAACATTCCTTTTGTTTTAGTCAGCGTGGCTTTAAAAATACTCATTTGTACTCTATGTCTCCTCTTCTACCTCCCCCAGAAATACTAGCCAAACTCCAAGTATACTAGCTCTAATATTCACAGCATGGAAATGTTTTACATTGTCTTCTAAAGACCCACAGTTAGTAATCAAGATCATAAAATATTTTGAAGCTGAATTAACTTTATTTAAGGGGAGAACAAAGAGTAGAAGGAAATGGTGGTTGATCTCTTAATAGAAAAGGTACTTTAGTCACACATGGAGAAAATAGAACTCTGAGTTGTCAGACATGTCTCTTCAAAGGTATTGACTTACAGTTAAAATGTTACTCAGGCCGACCATTTATGGTATCGTATAAAAATTCTACACTGCTCTGCTAAAAAAGGTTATGGTTTAGAACCCCAGAAATGAGTTGGCATTCTGGTTGAAATCAAAGCAAACTCTTTCCCATGTTTCAATGTTCTCTTTGTGGTAAGATGTAGCATGAAGAGATGGTAAAATCACTGCAGATAAGGGGGAAAAAAAAACTGGCTGATCTCATCTGTACTGCAGTTATTGCTTTGAGATGATGCTGAAGACTGCATTATTGAAGCAGTGCTGGGAAAAATGTTGTATTCCTTTCTGTTTCTTTTTTCAAAATACTTTCAAAACTCTAAATCTTTTCTCAGAGGCATTTCTAACTCTGGAAGCCCACACAGCTACCAATCTTATAAACATTTACAAGTATTTCATCTCTAATTTAAATTTTAAATAAAATTATAATGTGCTGAATAATAATTCAGGCTTTTTGGTAATAAATATAAGTCAAATGTCACAAAGTTTAAAAAGCTCTTTCACTGATTTTCTAGAACATTATTTCATGGTCTGACAAGTGATTGTAAGATGTTATTACAGAGAGACACTGAAATAACCTATTCTTTTTAGTTTAAATGCTACTCAGTTGAAGAAAATTAGATTTTATAAAAAGGTCTCATGTAGCATTTTCTGGAAAAAAGCATCATATTCTTATCACTGCCTATGGCTGTGTAGGAAAAAACCTCTCCAAAATGCATTTTTCCTCTGCTCTCACATCACAACAATATTCAAAACAGAAAACTTCTCTCTTGTGACCAAATGTGTGAGGGTTTCTCCCCAATAACAAGCAGCAGACACTAGCTGGGTGTCCTCCAATTTAATTCCCGGAGACAGTGTCAGACCCCGTAGATTAAACGCTCAGTTCCCAAGATGCTCCTGCCACAGACACAAGTCACAAATCCAGGCCTCCAGAACTTCTGACCAACCAGCTTCGAGTTGGGGTTCCCACAACACCCTCTTTGGGTTCAATACGTTTGGTCAAGCAGCTCACATAACTCAAGAAACACTTACTTATATTTGCTGGTTTATCAAAGGATACAGATGAAGAGATGCTTAGGGTGAAGTATAAGGAAAGTGCACGGAGCTTCTAAGTCCTCCCTGGATGAGCCACCTTCCAGGAACCTCCACTGGTTCAGCTATCCAGAAGCTCCCCAGACTCAATCCTCCTGAGTTTTTATGGAGGCTTCATGATCATCAGCATTCCTTTCCCCAGTGCAAAGGGTGGGACCTTCTCTGGGGTTTTAAGACTCAAAATCAGAAGGGTGGGGAAGATTAGAATCTCCCTCAGGGTTGGGTGTGGTGGTTTGAGCCAAGGTGGGTGGATCACTTGAGCCCAGGAGCTGGAGGCCAGACTGGGCAACATGGCGAAACCTCTCTACAAAAAAAAAAAAAAAAAAAAAAATGCCAGGTGTGGTGGCATGTGCCTGTAGTCCCAGGTACTTGGGAGGCTGAGATGGGAGGATTGCTTGAACCTAGGAGGCTGAGGCTGCGGTGAGCTATGATCACACCACTGCACTCCAGCCTGGGTGACACAGGGAAGTCTTGTCTCAAAAAAAAAAAAAAAAAAAAAAATCTCCCTCGGGGGACAAGTGAAAGGAAGGCAGGAGAGATTCTGTTTTCTAAGGCCTGCCCCGAGGTCCAACACACCCCACATTCTAACAAAAGACTGTAAAAAGGGATATTGGAGCTATGAACCAGAAACCATGGACAAAAACCAATATATATCGTAACATGACAATGGCAAACTTTTGTCCTAGCACTTTATGAGGCCAAGGCAGGTGGATCACTTGAGGCCAGGAGTTGGAGACCAGCCTGGCCAACATGGTGAAACCTTGTTTCTACTAAAAGTTAGCCAGGCATGGTGGCATGGTGGTATAGTCCCAGCTACTCGGGAGTCTGAGACAGGAGAATCACTTGAACCCAGCAGCAGAGGTTGCAGTGAGCAGAGATTGCACCACTGTACTCCACCCTGGGCGACAGAGGGAGACTCTGCCTTAAAAAAACGTAGCTCAACTCATTACTTATTGAGCCTGTGAGCAGAGTACTGTACTAGGTGCCATGGGAAACAGAATGACAATTGGTCATAGTTCTCTCTGAGAGCTTTTATCTAATTTAGAAGCAGATCATAGAGTTAAAATAAATGCCATCAGACATGCAACTATGGAGACTCATAGGAAGGTGGGTCATCCAAATGAAGGGCTTTTGGTAGTGTGCTTTAGGAATTTTTAGAATGTCTTCACTTGCAGTGAAAGAAGAACATCCTAGGTAAAGGGAAATGCTTGAGAAAATTTGTAGAAAGACTTAAAACACAGAAAAATATCTTAAAATAGCAGGAAGTCCATTTGGTCAAGCATAGGTATATGTAACATCTTACAATGAGAAGAATACAGATGTGGTAGAAATTAGTGTGTCATTTTGAATAAGGCTACTTTTGACGATCATTACAAGCTTTGAAGCATAATCCTGTAAGTTTCAAACTCAATTTGATTAAAATTGGCTAAAGAAATTTTAGTATGCTTCCTCTCAATTTTTCCTCTTCTGCATATTTGAAAAGCTGTGAATTTTTCCAAATTCTGCCTTTATGACTTAGAATAACAAAAGAACTATACTGACGTGTCAAACTTCAGCAGGTTATATCATTATGCTTATAAATATTGAGTTACAGCCCTAGAAAATAGTCACTATTAGCTATTTCATAATGCACCTGTATATTTCTATGTCAGAAAAAGAATTGAGGAGTTAAGATTTAAACTCAAGCTTGTAAAACTAGTTTATGCACTTAAAAAGAAGTAGATGAGCAGATGCATTTGTAAAATAAAACTCCAATGGAGTCTTTTGGTGGGTGGGTGGGGGAATGGGGAAAATTAATTTTTTTTTTTCCTCTGAGACAGATTCTCACTCTGTCGACCAGGCTAGAGTGCAGTGGCACAATCTCAGCTCACTGCAACCTCCGCCTCCTGGGTTCAAGTGATTCTCCTGCCTCAGCCATCCAAGTATCTGGGACTACAGGCACGTGCCACCATGCCTGGCTAGTTTTTGTATTTTTAGTAGAGACAGGGTTTCACCATGTTGGCCAGGCTGGTTTTGAACTCCTGACTTCAGGTGATCCACCCGCCTCAGCCTCCCAAAGTGCTGGGATTACAGGCGTGAGCTACCGCACCTGGCTGGAAATTAATATTTTTTAATCATGAAAAAAATAGAAAATTAAAAGAGACTAATATCATTAATTCAATTTTTAATTTCATTTAAACCAGAAAGGACAGTCCTAGAAAATATAGACCAGCCATACACAATTTGAAAATTTTGGGACTCTCAAATTTGATTTAGTATGCATAAATGATTTTACTCTAGTTTAAGGCATGTATATATGTGTGTATACCCACAAATAAAGGCAAATACAGGTGAATAATCTATTATAACTCTGTTAAGTTGCCAGTCATTATATGTAAATATTATTGACTACATTAAAAACAAATCAACACCTGAAACTAACATGAGCTTATTATTTTATTAGTTGGGTTTCTGTAATTAAATGTAGTGTTCTGAAAGTCTGCTGGACCTCAATCTGAAAGGTACACTGAGTAATCTTTATAGATCATTTGGCAAAGCAGAACATTAAGAAGATAAAGAGGAGGTATTCATTACAACTATGGGTAACCTGGACTTCTCAACCATCTGACTAGATAAAAACTGCATGGCTTGAACATTTGGAATTTCTCATGTTTCAGGACAGATAAAGTGCTGACATGGGAAGAGTTACTTTATCCTCAAACTCAATTTCCCTTGAAGCTACCAAAGGAATAATCAAGGTGAGAATATGTTTCTATTGTTACCCTGCTTATTCACGCCTCATTCCTACATTGGCATACTGTTATATGCAGGGTGAATATGAGGTGGCCATAAGGAATCTCAATGACTTAAGTTACAGTAAGTAGTCTTTGCAGTCAGATAGATCTCCATTTAAATCCATATTCTTCTGTTTACTGTGTGATCCTGATGGAGCCTTTGTTTTTTAATCTAGTGACAACATTAACACTAAAAGGATTAAATGAGAAGTATTAAATGAGATATGTGAAAGACAAATGGGATGACTATTCCCCAAACAGGCATGCATCTTCTGCCTCTATGCCTCTATGCCTCCATTTACTCCTTCATACAGAATTTCCCTATCTTTCACGGCTCAATTAAAAATTCACCTCCACCTTACAGCCTTTCTTGTTCTCTTTCAGCCAGCTGCAGTGCCCTCTTCTGAACTATCCTTTCATTTAGACCTGTGTTAGGACACTCTCACTTTAGGGACACCTTGTTCTTAGTTTTCCTCTATCTCTCATTGCTCCTTCTTAATGGCCCTCCTCTGCCTCGGCTTATTCCCTAAATGCTGGTCACCTCAGGGGGCTGGACTGGACCCTCTTCTCTTCAACATTCTTTCATCTATTTATTTATTTATCTTTAACATATTGTTCTAGGTTCTAGGGATGTAGGGATGAACAAGATAGTCTGGATTCCTTCACCAGTGAAGTTTATCTAGACAAACAAGTAGCCAAATAAACAAACAATTTCAGACTGATGAGTGCTATGAGGGAAATAAATCTGAGTGATGAGATAAAGAGGACTAAAACAGGACTATTTAGATAGAGCAGGTAAGGAAAGACTCTCTTGATTTGCTGATATCTATCTGAACTGAATGAAAAAGCCAATGATAGAATGACCTGGAAGAATGATTCAGCTAGAGGGAACAAAAGTACAAAAGGCACTGAAGCATAAATTAGCATGATATAGCTGAGGAGAAGAGAAACTGGTCTAGTTAGTTCTCAGTGAACAAGAGGAGTGTTTTGAGGTGCGGCTAGAAGTATGTAAAGGCCATGGAGGAGTAAAGTGTTAAGATTATTATTTAAATCCAGTGGGAAGCCATAGGTGCATTATATATAAAGCAGTGACATGAACTGATTTAGACCTTTAAAAGATCACTCTGGTAGCTGTATAGACAATGAATTAAAAGTATAAAACATAGATACATGAAGTTTAGAGACCGCAGTAATACAAGAGAAAGGATAGAATGTCCTGAACTAGAGAATAGCAGTGGCAGAGAAATGGATAAATTTAGGACACATTTTGAAGGCAGAAACAGAACAACTTGGTAATGGATTAGATGTGAGAAAGTACATGAAAGGAATGAAAGCAAGATAATGCCTAGAGTTTTGTCTTGAGCTAAAAGGTTGATGATGGTGCTATTTGTTAGGATGGGTAAATGGGAACAATATGACTGACAGAAAAATTAAGGCTTCTATTTCGAATAAGCTCAGTTTGAGATGTACATTATCATTAAAGTGGGTATATTAGGCAGGCAGTTGAGTGTACAAGTCAGGAAATCAGCAAGGGGTCTAAGCTGGAGAAAATTGTGAACTGTGTTAACCTACCAATGGTATTTAATGCCCCATGACTAGATAAGATCATCCCAAGTAAGAGTACAGTTGGAGAAGCCAGCCTGAGATTGGGGCCTTAAAAACACCAGAATTTTGACATTGTAAAGAGAATGAAAAGTCAACAAGGTGACCCAAGAGATGGCCAGGAAGATATTGAGATAACAATTTACTGAATGACCTATTTTATTCCCATGAACTCAAGTAGCAATTCAATCTCAGATCTATACTTCTAACCTTCAGCAGAGTTCACAATTTGGATTTTCAATCGTCTCCTAGTCATCTGTACCTGTATGTCCCATAGGCACTTCAAACTCTACTTATCCAAAATGGAATTCATTCTTTCACTCCAAACCTGTCATCTACATTCCCCATCAGTGTGAGGGGTACTATCATCCACGCAGTTACTTAAGAAGAAACCATGGATGTTTAATTCTTTCTTCCCGTTTAAAAAATAACCTATCGGTTCTATGTTCTTATTGTCTGTAGAACCCACAAATTATCCATGTCCTTACTTTTACTACCATGGCTCATGCTGTCACCATCTCATTGCTGGATAACCGCAACAGCCTATTGAATGAACTTCTTGTCTCTAAGCCTTGCTCATCTTCTACCTATTCATACTGAAGCCCAATGCTGAACACCATCTCTTCCACACTTACTTATCACCCTTCAGTAGATCTTCACACCTCTATACTAATTCTGTTTAAAATAATTCTTTCATGGCTACCTACAACATTTCTTAATTTTCTTAAACACGTCCTCTTATAAAAGCATCTTCACCAAGGAAGAGTAAAATTATGTATTTTAGCCCATTCAGAAACATACACACAAAAAATTAGAGAAATCTGTTGTCAGATTTCTGTTTTGTTCCCATTGTGACAAACCAACTTGGTATATGTACTGTTTTAGTTAAAAGAAAGTTGTTGGAAGCACATTACATCAGCCACTGACCTATATCAAGAGGTGTAGAACATTTTGATCTCTAGTCTAGAAGTCAACCCCACTGACTACTTAACATAAAGATCCAAAGTTGGTGAGCTCTGAGTCCAGGCTCATCCAGAGCATCTCAGTCAACACTGGAACTGAAATTTCAGATTTCCTCCCTATTTGGATGGAAATTCATTTTGATATAGAAAATGTTATTGCGCTTGAGTCATCTTAGAACAAATTCAAACTTCAAATACTGTTAATCAGATGTGACCTTAAACGTTATTAATCAGACTCAAACTTAGTGAGCCTGGTTGAATAACTCACAGCTGGAATACACACCAAAAGTGAATGGATAAAAAAATTTTCACGCAGACATTTATACCAGTGTATTCAGTTTTGCTAGAAGTGCCCCTCGCTCAAACATATATATATATATATATATATATATATATATATATATATATATATATACCATGCCTTGAGGCATCTATTTCATTTCTGATGTGCAAATTGTATCTTATTAAATGCCAAACTTAATTCTACTGGCATGCGCTTTGTGTTCCAGCAGATGTTAAAATTTAATAGCCTTGTCTCTTTATCCTTGTTTCACTCTAAAACACTTATCACTTTGAATTTGAGATTGTTTGCTGACAGTTCGTTCTTTGGGGGAAGAAGACTGTTTTAATTGGTACCAAGTTTCCTGCTGTTTCCTTTTGTTATGGCAGGTTACCACGTCAAAAAGCAGGAAGACACAAAAGAACAGAATTCACGCTAAATTAATCCTAAACTTTGAGATTAATTGGAAACACTGACTACTCACCACTGTGCCTTTATCCACTCCTATTTTACTCTTCTTCATGCTATAAGCTAGTAAGTAAAGCTGCGCATGCTCAGCAACTTTTTGATGACTGGAAAAGATTCAAGAAGTATAAACTGATTAAATGGCAAAGACGCCTAATTAAATTTTTTAACTTGTTGTACATAAAAATCAATCAAGTCTCTATCCCTTATACTTAAAGGCAAGAAAAATAATTAGATGATGAAAATAAATGAGAAAGCTACAGTTTCCTAGTTTGAGATATTGATCCTTCAGATAACTCAAAATGTAATTCAGAGGAGTATGTTGGGGAGTCCTGCTCAATGCTAGCCATTTGGGTTGTTTACAAATGAATGTTTGCTACCAGTTCCCACCAAAACAGAGAAGCCAGCTTGAGAATGGGGCCTTAAAAGCACAAATTTAGAGACTGTAAAGAGAATGAAAAGTTAGCAAGGTGACCCAAGATAAGTTGGCCTAAGATGAGAGCCTTAAAAACATGAGAATTTAGAGATTGTAAAGAGAATGAAAAGTTGGCAAGGTGACCCAAGAGATGGCCAGGAAGATATTGAGATAACCATTTGCAGAATGACCTATTTTATTCCCATGAACTCAAGTAGCAATTTAATCTCAGATCTGTACTTCTAATCTTCAGCAGAGTTCACAATTTGGATTTTCAATTGTCTCCTAGTCATCTGTACCTGTATGTCCCATAGGCACTTCAAATTCAACTTATCCAAAATGGAATTCACTGTCTTTCACTCCAAACCTGTCATCTATACTCCCCATTGGTGTGAGGGATACTATCATCCCCCCAGTTACTTAAGAAGAAACCATGGATGTTTAATTCTTTCTTCCCTTTTAAAAAATAACCTATCAATCACCAAGTATTGATTCTATCTTCTTATCGTCTGTAGGACATATGAAAGCATATGAAAATATTCTAAATCAGAAGAGTGATAAAGTTAAATTTGGTTCCTAGAGCTGTGAACTTTATTTGTTCTGCTAATGCCTAACTGCATAATGAATGACTTCCACAGCAGTATAGGTTAACAAGGAAATCGCTAAACTCTTTTCACATCCGAAATCATACAGGTACAGAGCTGCCATTGTGACCAGTCTTTCCAGTTCCTTTTATGATCCCTTAAATACAGACACTGAAATGGAAGCCATAGCCAAAACAAGCAGAAAGGGCTTTCCACTTGTCTTTTAAAACTCCCTCCTCCTTTCTCCTTCAATGTATATCCCAAAGAAACTATGCAATAAAACTCTTGTTTAAAATCTGTTGGCTATTCTGAAAGGACTTCAAATCATAGCAAATTCAATTTTCTACATTTCCAGTTTGAGTTATTCACTTTAGTCTCCCTTTGTACTTCAAAAGGAGAGTTCTCATGCTTAAGGTTTTCATGTTTGTGCTAAAGCAATTTCTTGTGAAATTAAGTTCATTATCCAAACTAAAAACTCACAAGATAGTAAATCTTTGTCTTAATTTCCCCGTATACTTACAATATTAGTCCCTAAGATTTGAGATCTTTTTGAGAATCTTATAAAAGCAACTGGTCAGTCACCTCTTCTAGTAAAATTTATGTAAAATTTTCAGTGAGCTCATACATTTCCATATATTAATGTTTGGAATCTTTATCAGTTAAAGTTTTTTATATCTCTGAAGCTTCACTTGAAGAGTTCAACTCGAATTTGAAATGTAAAAACAAGTTTACTCCAAACTTGTTTTATATGACTTGGCTTATTTTTGTTCTTGCGAGACTGGCTGATAATTTATTCTCTCTTCTTGAAAGCCTGCTTGCTATTTTAAATTTCCTTGAAAGCAGTATCCAATATTAAAGGCATTTAAGAAGCTTATTTCCATCATGTTCATGAACAAAATCAGGCTGGAGGACTTGTAGACTAGCAGGAGCATATGAGCAGATATCTAAGCCCTCTTTCCAGTAAATGATTTAAACAGTCAAAGAAAAACAAAAATTAGAAAAGATCCCCCATTAGCACTAAAATACCATGGAATAGTGCCAGCTGAGAGGCAGAGAGTTTAAAGAATTTCTAGAGAAAATGCAGATGAATCCACATTAAAAGTCATCACTAAGAGCCCAATCCCAGTCCCTCTTTTAAAGTCAGTTGTGGAGTGCTACAGAAAATAAGCAGACTGCTCCATCATCTCTTATTTGGAGGGCATGGGCTGTGATAGACAAAACTAACAGGACAAAGGTAGACTGCAGTTGAAGCCCTCCACGTTTGTACCATTTGAGGGAGACAAAGAAACACTAAACAGAAACTCAACAGTAGGTCACTGTCTGAGTTACATACCTGTGTAGCAGGCTCACCCTGACATAAGGAAGCTGTCTTCCCAACCAAAAGGTCCCCAGCATCAAGGACTAAAGGCGAAGGAGGCTTTAGGAAACATGGGTATGTCTTACTTAATCACAAAGCAGCCAAAGGCAGCGAAGCTGGGGAAAGGAAATATATACAAACTCAGCAAACAGAATGCTTATGGGCAGCAGGACCCTGGCGTCACTCATGAGGAAAGGGAGAGGTCCCAGTGGGATAGAGCTGTTCCCCAACCAGATGGGCTGAAGCACTAACAAAGAAAATCAGACATTACCAAACTATAAATCTGAACTAGAGGCCAAGACAAGTAAAAGAGAAATACAAAGGGTGTGGGTTGTGGGGTGGGCATGACCTGATCTTTTAAGCAGTATTTTCAATAGAAAAAAGTTTGTCAGTGATAACGTTCTAAATGCTCCATTAAGATAATGTTTTCGGCTGGGTGTGGTGGCTCACGCCTGTAATCCTAGCACTTTAGGAGGCTGAAGCAGGTGGATCACCTGAGGTTGGGAGTTTGAGACCGGCCTGACCAACATGGAGAAACTCCGTCTCTACTAAAAATAGAAAAAAATTAGCCAGGAGTGGTGGTGCATGCCTATAATCCCAGCTACTCGGGAGGCTGAGGCAGGAGAATCTCTTGAAACCGGGAGGCGGAGGTTGCAGTGAGCTGAGATCCTGCCATTGCACTCCAGCCTAGGCAACAAGAGTGAAAAACTCAAAAAAAAGAAAAATAAAAAAGACAATGTTTTGAATACTCTGAGAAAATTATATTATAATTTTGTGGGTACAGATAAATCAGCTCTCCTTCAAGAATGTGTGAATAGGAGAACAAATCAGAATAGTACCTATTGGGTTGGGGGGGACTTCAACTAAAAGACAAAAATAAACATGTTACTTAATAGTAGAAGAACACACTTTCAGAAATGATTTGCTTACTGTTCTAGAAATAAATCTTAGACCTCATGTGCCTTATCCTGACAAAGAAAATTTTCTTAGGTATTCATTGAAACAACAGATAAATGATTAACTTGGAAAACAGGCTAAAATTAAGAAGTTAAGGAAAATATTGTTAGGTGACATAATTCCACAACAAAATATAAAGAAGTATTAGAACAAGTAAAAAACAGAATACTGCAAATAATAAAGCTAGTCAAGTGGAGAATAAGTTGAGATTTTTATTCCTTTCTTTTCCTAAATAACTCTTTGTTCAAAGAAAGCAAAGCTTTGAAATAAGGAATTTCTGAAAATAATTGTAATATGTAAGCACCTCTCAAAATGCATTGGCTATAGCTATAGTATAACTAGAGTCTTAAAACTCTTTTATTGACAAAACAAAACAAAATAAAAACAATTAAGTATTCCAAATCACTAATTTAGGAAAACAAAGCAAATTTAAGCAAAGAAAGGAAAAGTAATTTTTAAAAATAAGAGAATTAGTTAATAACAAAATATATATAGTAGGCTTAATAAATCTAAGAGTAGGTTCCTTGGAAAATAATCTAGTGAATAGCAAAACTAAGGCAATTTTAAAAAAATACATACACTAACTTAGTGTACACAGAGGTGCTGTACCTACAGATACAGAGAATATTTACGTAGTAAAATGCCATGTATTTTAAACCAATAAATTAGAAAACCTAGAGTGCATGGTGTTCCAGGGAAATATATACTGCTAAAGTCATCTCAAGAGGAGACACAGAGCCTAAATAAACTTATACCTATTGAAAATATTCTTTAAACTTTTCAAATTATCCTGCAATTATACCCAGAGCCCATTGTGCCACAGATATTCTTTTCAATTTTCCAAGAAACGTAACTCTTAATGTCATTTAAATTTTATAAAGCAAAGAAAAAGAAGGGAAAACTAACAGTTTTCTCCATTGGTAAATTATTCTTAGTTGAGAATACTTTTTCTATCAACTGTAGGCCTGATATTACATGATGTCTAATATTTTTAGGCAATAGTAGCTCACTATTCATTTAAATATCTATTAAGTACCTCATATGCACTAAGGATTCAAGATTCTTGTCCTTGAGGAAGAGAGATGCTTAAAACATTTTAAGAAAACAATGTAATTAGTTTTCTAATGTATGTATGTATGTGTGTGTGTGTGTGTGTGTGTGTGTGTGTGTGTATATATTTTTTTTTTTTTTGGTTTGTTTTTGTTTTTTGAGACGGAGTCTCACTCCGTCGCCCAGGCTGGAATGCAGTGACGCGAACTCAACTCACTGCAACCTCGCCTCCCGGGTTCAAGAGATTCTCCTGCCTCAGCCTCCTGAGTAGCTGGGATTACAGGCACTTGCCACTACGCCTGGCTAATTTTTGTATTTTTAGTAGAGAGGGTTTCGCCATATTGGCTAGGCTGGTCTCAAACTCCTGACCTCAGGTAATCTACCCGCCTTGGCCTCCCAAAGTGCTGCGATTACAGGCATGAGCCACTGCACTTGGCCAGTTTTCTAATAGATTATACATAACATCCTTTAGAAACATTAAAAAACAGGGGTGGGAGGAGACTAAATTTGCCTCGAAGAGTTTGGGATGACTTCACAGAGGCTGTAGATTCCTTATTATAATTAAACAAAAATTATTTAAATATTTCCCAAGACATTTCCTCAAGGTTGTTAATAACGGCCCTGATTTGTCTTGGTATTACCTACCGTATGGCAGCATTGTGCTATGTTAAGAGTTTAGGTAGATGTGTTTCCCAAAGCCAGGCACTCCCTTCTGTGTAATGTAATGTATTGGTATACAAAACGTAATGTATTGTATACAAAGCCAGGCACTCCCTTCTGTGTAATGTAATGTATTGGTATACAAAATGTAATGTATTGTATACAAAGCCAGGCACTCCCTTCTGTGTAATGTAATGTATTGGTATACAAAATGTAATGTATTGTATACAAAGACCTTTGTCTGACACAAAGCACATTCAATTCCCAAGTGATTACAGTACTGTTTAGAACATTTTTAAAAAAGAAAACATGACTTTTTTTCCCAGTAAATACATAGCTTAAAACCCTCTCCTACTACTACTTCCTTTTCCAACTTTTGGTGCTTTGTTTATTCTAATGTAATTATATAGGCCAAATATGAGTCCACATGGTCAATGTAGGAATGGAAGCAGCTCTTAGTAAAGCATAATCATATGGTGCTCTTTTACTTTTCTCCCAAATCTTACGTAAAAATGTCTTAAAGGAACCAATTTGAAATTGATAGCCCTTTCCAACTCTCTTAGTCACTAATTGAATGACAATCATTATTCATCCATCACACATTTATTAATTACCTACCATGTGCCAAGCACAGTGTTAGGAATCAAAATAAGAATAAGAGACAAATCCAAGTACTCCAGTCTTTCCAGTGACATTTCTTAAGACATTTAAAAATATTTGGTCAGGTATCCAATTATATTTGATACCTTATTACTCATACTCTGCCCTGTTCCAGGAAATGTTTATATTTCCTGTTTTTATTTTGCCTGATGTATAGTTAACAGCCATTTCATGTTTTCACAATGAAATCTTTATAACATAGTGCATCCACTACTTTGTTGACAGCAATTCTATTACAAAACTATGGAAAGAGTGGTACTTTCTTTTCATTAAATTATAAATAATAAAAGGCAAGCCAGATATGAAAAGTAGGCATATGTTGCAAAATGAGGGCTCACTGTGGCCACTGAAGTTATGATGTTACTAAAAATACTAAGTGTCATTTAGAAGAGACCAAAAAATGACTGCCTTTAAGGAAAACAGAATTTCAGAGAAGAAAAATAATCACCAATGTATTCAAGAGCAATGAGTAATTTAAAACTGTTTCCTGTATTTGTTCAATAAAAATTTAATAAGTTATGAAAAAGATCAAAAAATAAATTTGCGAATTACAGATTTTTTAGGGTAGTATGTAGTAGTGGGAAGCGACCTAGGATTTAGAGGACCTGAAGCGTGAACCCAGCCTCTAGAAATTCGCTGCTTCACTTTACAGCAGTCATCTCACATCTCAGAGGCTCAGGCTTTTCAAAGGTGAGGGCTAGAAAAAAAGAGAACTAATTTGACATTCACATTATTTTCAGCATCAGTTATTCATTAACTAAGATAAATATATGTTATTTATCCACAGTTTTTGTAAGCCTTCTATAATAAGTTAAAGTATATTTAAGTATATTTGTAACTCAGGGAACTACTTAATTGTATATATATCTGTGTTCACAATATGTCAAGGATTAGGAAGAAGATGAGGATGGGTCTTACCTCTAAAAATATGCATAAATTTCCAAGGACATAAAAACCTGGAAGACAGAAGTTGGTAATCTAAAGATTCCGGAGGGGCTGGGTGTGGCAGCTCATTCCCATAATTCCAGCACTTTGGGAAGCCGAGGCAGGTGGATTGCTTGAGGCCAGGAGTTTGCGAACAGCCTGGGCAACATGGCAAAACCCTGTCTCTACAAAAAATACAAAAAATTAGCCAGGGGTGGTGGCATGCCCCTGTGGTCTCAGCTACTCTGGAAGCTGAGGTGGGAGGATCACCTGAGCCTGGGAAGTTGAGGCTGCAGTGAGCCTCAATCAGGCCACTGCACCGCAGTCTGGGCAACAGGAGTGAAACCCTGTCTGAAAAAAAAAAAAAAAAAAAAAAAAAAGGTCCTGGATGAAGATGTTCTGTTAATGATACCATTTTAACTGTATTGGCACTAATTGAATTCTAGCCTCAACTTGGTAACCTTCTATTACTTTATACTTTGCTTAGTACAATCTATAATTAGCAGTCCTTAAAACCCCTCAGTAAGGTTAAGTTTAAAAAAACACAACTCTCACAAATAAGCAATACTTCCACTTGTGGAACTGTTTGATTTAAATGTTAGCAACTGATAATTTTATTTATTAGAAGCTACAGTAATTGAGCACTGAAATGGGAACAAAAACAAGCATAGCACAAATGCACCCCCTATTGTATTATTTACTATCATACATGAAAATAAAGTTATACTTTCCTTAAACTTTTTAGGAAACACCTTGCATTAGAGCAACTAAAATATATAAGCGTGAACCACTCCAATAGAAAACAATTCCTAAATTACACATTTGTGGGGGAAGTGATGCCTTTTTTTTGAAGAAGAGATAATTTTGTTTAATAGGTTAATTTATCCAGCTTTAAAAAATGTATCAAGTATAACATTTCTAAATTGAACTCTTGATTTACAAGTATTTAATGATTCAGACAGATAATTAAAGGGAATTCTCAGTCCTCAAGGGGTTGAAGGATTCAACAACATGGATTTCAACCGTGGTATTATCAAGTAACTCAAGATGTAATAATCTCAAGAACATAAATTTAAAACTTGAATATAAAACAAGACATAAGCACTCCAGTGAAGTCAATCTTTTTTCTCATTTTGATTAAAAGTATGACCTGGGGCCAGGTGTGGTGGCTCAAGCCTGTAATCCCAGCACTTTGGGAGGCTGAGGCGGGCAGATCATGAAGTCAAGAGATAGAGACCATCCTGGCCAACATGGTGAAACCCCATCTTTACTAAAAATACAAAAATTAGCTGGGCATGGTGGTGTGTGCCTGTAGTCCCAGCTACTCAGGAGGCTGAGGCAGAAGAATTGCTTGAACCCGGAATGTGGAGGTTGCAATGAGCCAAGATTGTATCACCACACTCCAGACTGGTGACAGCGTGAGACTCCATCTCCAAAAAAACAAAAACAAAAACAAAAACAAAAACAAAACAAACAAAAAAAAACAGTGTGACCTGGGAGTTAAAATTAAACATATGCTTATATCAGATCCAGTTCATAGCAAAAATTCACAAATGGGATCTAATTAAACTAAAGACATTCTTCATAGCAAAATAAACTATCAACAGAGAAAACAGACAACCTACAGAATGGGAGAAAAATTTTGCAATTTATGTATCTGACAATAGTATCCAGCATCTATAAGGATCTTAAATTTACAGGAAAAACAAACAAACAAACAAACATCCCCATTGAAAAAGTGGGCAAAGGACATGAACAGACACTTTACAAAAGAAGACATACATGCGGCCAACAAACATATGAAATAAAGCTCAACATCACTGATCATTAGAGAAATGCAAATCAAAACCACAATGAGATACCATCTCACACCAGTCAGGACGGCTATTATTAAAAAGTCAAAAAATAACACGTTAGTGAGGTTGCGGAGAAAAAGGAACACTTATATGCTATTGGTGGGAATGTAAATTAGTTCAACCATTGTGGAAGACAGTGTAGCGATTCCTCAAAGACCTCAAGACAGAAATACTATTCAACCCAGCAACCCCACTACTGGGTATATACCAAAGGAAAAAAAAATTATTCTATTATAAAGACACATGCACACATATTTTCACTGCAGTCCTATTCACAATAGCAAAGACATGGAATCAACCTAAATGCCCACCAATAATAGACTGGATAAAAAAAAACTGTGTTATATATACACCATGGAATAACATGCAGCCATATAAGAGAATAAGATCATGTTTTTTGCATGGACATGGATGGAGCTGGAGGCCATTATCCATAGCAAACTAACATAGGAACAGAAAACCAAATACTGCATGTTCTCACTTATAAGTGGGAGCTAAATGATGAGGACATATGGACACAGAGGGGAACAACACACACCGGGGCCTATCAGAGGGTGGAGGGTGGGAGGAGGGAGAGGATCAGGAAAAATAACTAATGGGTACTAGGCTTAATACCTGGGTGATGAAATAACCTGTACAACAAACTCCCATGACCCAAGGTTGCCTATGCAACAAACCTGCACGTGTACTCCTGAACTTAAGGAAAAAAGTTAAAAAGAAATAAGCCACTTGATGGTATGGAAAAAGATTTCCATAAATTTCCTTAAAGGAGGGACTTGAAGAAACAAGATGGAAATTAATAAATTGTAAGTTAAAATCTCCAACATTTATTTAGAAAATCACAGTCACAAAGTGAAGGATAGTAGAGATTCATTCATCAGCTGCTTGCCTGAAAAAAAGACAAAAACCTTTGCGGACTAACTTCAATGTGATTAAATCGTACGCTCTTACTATCAAAAAAGCAAGTGTGCTTTGAGACTGTATTAATAGATGTGCAGTATCCAGGCAATTAGAAGAGAGCCCTATAAGGATGTAATCATGTTTAAGATACCAAACACCAAACTTTAATATTTAAGGGACCAGTAAGTTATAAATGAATCCAACATTCTTTAATAAAGAGTAGAAGACCTAGAGTGACAGATTCTTGCTCAACTTGCTCTCAAACTTCTCTTTCTACAGTAAAACATTTATGTTCATCAATACTATTGGAATTAGAACACTAAACATATCCCTAAAGTTTCCAAATAGCTAAAACCTCACAACTCTCAACTGCAACACATTTAATTTTGGTAGGACACTTTAGTGAAAAAAAAATGTAAGTATCAAATGTTCTGCAAGTGTTAATTATAATTAAGTATCTCTGAGGTTCAAGCTCTAATATAGTGTAACTTCGCAAATGAGACTATCATGTTTTGACACTTGAAGTTCTGACTACTCGACTCCCACACTGATGTACCAGATCAGTGAGTTCCCAAATATTACCACAAGTATCCAATTAGGTGCTAGACTAGTCCTCTTAGGAATGCAGTAAAGAAGGTTCCTGCATGGTATGGAAAGGGAATGTTCATTTTTTCAGCCTACAAGGCATATTTTTTCCAGATGATAATAATAGCAATTTTGTAAACATTCTGATTCTCATAAATTTAGAAAACATTTTCTTGCCCTTATTTTCTGGCTACTGCTTCTTTCTCCATAACTTCCTTCTGTCTCCTTTAACTGGTCTCAAATATTTGATGTTAGCATTTTATAACATATTTTAGTTTCTGACTTAGGTTAATTAAGAGAAATATCTTCCATATCATTATCAAAAGCTAAGTTTTAAAAAATATATTTTGATAGTTTTCCTTTTCATAGGACAATGACACCTTCGTTAAATCAAAAAGCATTTATTTATGTATTTTATTTATTTATTTATTTATTGAGACAGAGTTTCACTCTTGTTGCTCAGGCTGGAGTGCAACGGCACGATCTCGGCTCACTGCAACCTCCACCTCCTGAGTTCAAGCGATTCCCCTGCCTCAGCCTCCCGAGTAGCTGGTATTATAGGCATGCACCACCACCCCCAGCTAATTTTGCATTTTTAGTAGAGATGGGGTTTCACCATACTGGTCAGGCTGGTCTCAAACTCTTGACCTCAGGTGATCCACCCGCCTCGGCCTCCCAAATTGCTGGGATTACAGGAGTGAGCTACCTCACCTGGCCCAAAAAACATTTATTAAATACTTACTATGTAGGCATTCAGAGATGCTTTTCTACGTTGCTACTCTAGGAAGACTTACTAATAAAATAAACATCATAGTAATTCTAATTTTTCAAATGTCTAAAAGGTGACTCACTTTCAAAAAATAAAACTTTTGGAAAAACAGAAAGGGACAATTAAAATATAAATTAAAAAACAAAACTACTCTTCCTTGCCTTACTCTGAAAGTGAGTAAAGGGAAAAACCTTTCAGAGACCATCTGGTTTTATATTTCATTAGTGAATATATGATTTTATTTTGTTCTAAATGAAATACACTTGAAATGCCTAAATATTTAATTCTACATTTGATGTGGGAAGTGTATTTACTTTCCTCTATAGCTATGGATATTAAGAATCACTTTTTACTCTTTGGTCAGGGAACCTAAAGCTTAGAAGTCTTTCCTAAAATGCTCTCTAGAGATCTACAGTATTAGTTTTTCCCTGCAAGCCTGCATCCATTCTCAGCCACATCACAAAGCACCTGGACAGCACTCTCAAACATATGGCCTCCTACAAGAGCCTACATTCTAAAGTCCACTGACCACTTTCTGCTTCTCTGACAGTGAAAAACAGAACACAACCAAAAACTGCTGGATAAGAAAATCTATAATCAATGATAAACTTCTCATAATTTTCAAAATATTTTCTGTATTCATGTATTTCTCACTAAGGTCTTGAGCATGTTTAGTCATCAGAAATTATCACCTAATAGACATCAAATATCATTCACAACAGCTCTCAAACTTCTCTTTCTACAGTGAAACATTTATATTCATCAATACTATTAGAATTAGAACACTAAACATATCCCTAAAGTCTCTAAATAGCTAAAACCTCACAAATCTCAACTGCAACACATTTAATTTTGATAGGATACTTTAGTGAAAAAAATGTAGGTATCAAATGTTCCACAAGTGTTGCTTATAATTAAGTATCTCTGAGGTTCAAGCTCCGATATAATGTAACTTTGCAAATGAGATTATCATGTTTTGACACTTGAAGTTCCAACTACTCGACTCCCACACCTCTTCCCTCCACTTAGTGGGCAAGTGCTGTATCTATTTTAAGAAGTAGGAAGAAGTTGCCAGTAGGGGGAGAGGGAAATAAAACATATGAAAAAGATCACAAAGTCAACCTCTTCTTTTAAATTGTATGATTGAATGCCTACTATGTAACCAGATACTGTGTAAAATATTAGTAATAAGAAGACAAGATGCAGCCTTTGCCCTAGGAATTTCAGAATCTGCAAAGGAGACAAGCATAAACAAATGACTACAGTAAGTAGGATGTTTGAGGAACAACAGTGCCACAACAAATATGAAGCTTCCCTTATGAGAAATCTGAGCTGTGTAGTTAAGAGAAAAGGGAAGTTCATCAGGAGAGGAACAGCGGTACAAAGGTTCAGTGTGTAAAATACGATGTCACGGTAAAGATTTACAAATCTGAAGGGACAATATAGTAAGGAGGAATTTGAAGAGTAACCAGGAGCCAGATCAGGAATATCAAGCATAGAGTTTGATCTACTTTCTGTAGGCTGATGGTTTTCTGTACTGAGTTCTTCAGATTCCTGGGTTCACAGAGCTATTCAGGGCCACTCTGAAAAGGGGATAAGTAGGTGTCCCCAAGAATTCTACATCACATCTATTTTTGCATTAACCAAATAAACTCCATTCTAATTGCAAAAACTTCAAGTGGTGAGGTGGGGAGGGGGAAGCTTCCACTCCTTTAATAAAGTCTGAAATGGGTATCCATAAAAGAAAGGATATTAAGAAGGGGTATAGATGGTCAGATTTGCACTTAAGAATGGGCATACAGAGGTACTTTGAACTGATCATCAGAAAAAAAAAAAAGAACAGAGGCAGAGGGAACAATTAGGAAATAATTTATGGAAGTGGTGAGATGACTCTGAAGAATGAAAAGAATGGATATGTCTAAACTGTGTTTTGGGGTAGAGGTGGAAAAATATGGTAGAAGTTCTTGGTCTACAGGTTGAATGCTCTCAATGCAATAGGAAGCAAGCTGGTGAGCAGGACTTAAGGAAGGGTATTGTGTGTGAGTGTGCACAAGTATGTGCACGTGTACAAGTGGGGGTAGGAGTCAAGATCTTGAGAAGATGGTCAAAATATTTTAAGAAAAGTCCCCAAGACTCCTACCAAGATTCAAGGACTATACGTGTCCTTGGTTGAGAATTACAAAATTGCTACGCACATAGACAACATTATAGTCAGCCCCCCATGGGTATTCATGGATTCCAGCATCTGTGGATTCAATCAATCACAGATCAAAATACTCAGAAAAAAAATGGATTGCTGTGTTTGTAATGAACATGTACAGATTAATTTTCTTGTCACTATTCCCTAAACAATACAGTGTAATAACTACTTACATAGCATGGACATTGTAGTATTATAAATAATCGAGAGATGATTCGAAGTATATGGGAGGGTATATGTAAATCATGTGCAAATACTGCACTATTTTATATAAGAGACTTGAGGATCCACAGATTTTGATATCCATGGGGGGTCCTGGAACCAATCTCCCACAGATACTGAAGGACAACTGTAATTATATGATCATAGATTCTTCTAGAACATCATTACTTGTTTTTCTAGTCTTTCAATATTAAATGAGCTAAGAAAATCCATACTATTTTCACATTTTGAGAAAAATGTCTGGTCAGATTAACATCTGTAAAGATGAATAAACGTTTTTAGTGCCTGTATTTACATTGCAATTTTCTTTCAGAATACAAACTGTTTTCACTAAGACTCTTCCATTTCTACTTAAAAGATCCTGAGATCAACAGAGGCAGCTGATATTTCACCTTTTGATGAGGAAACTGAAACACAAGAATAGTGAAAATGACTTTCATAAGGTGCAGTCTATTTTAGCATGCTTTACTTGTTCTAAAATCAAAGGACACATCATATGTGGATATGCATTAAATGCAAAAAATGCTATACAGCTATTTGTGAATTTAGGGATTGCCAAGGTTGTCAGATAAATGCCACAAGAAGGTCAACAGTCTTGTTTAATTCAGTCTCTTGGGACACAGAGACTACTGATACCACTCTGGGCCTTAATATATATGCAAGACACCATGTATAAGAGTGGTTTTGCTTTCACATAGTTGAGTTATGACTTGTATCATACCATGTGGCATGTGTAATGGAGAGAGTAAAGAAGTGTATAAAGAATTGTAAAGCTACTGTAAATACATGTCTGCTCACTTGCTAGGTAATTATATTTTATTAGAATAAAAAACAACTGATAAGTAGTAGAAAAATTGAAGAGTACAGTTTGAAGAGCACTGTATTATGATCTCTAAGGTCTATTTTTTCTTTTATAATCCTGTGACTCAAAGAATAAACTGCTCAGGCTTGCTAGAACAATGACTATGGATTTTAGTTCATAAGAATGACCTGTAAGGAAGTAACAATGAAGTCTTAAAGTCTAAGTATTGGCTTAAATTTGAAGAGAAATCAGTAGCCAGATCAGGAAAATCAAGCAAAGAGTGTGATTTATTTCCTGTAGGGTGATGGTTTTTTGGGCCAATAAGAAAAGCTATTTTTCTTCTGAAAGATAAACAGAAAAATAGTACAACAGTAGAAATATCATTCCTCCTTATACTACTGAAAAGATAAAAAGATAACATTGTAAATCAGGAAACTTCAACAATGACTAAAGGTGGGAGAAAGTGATTAATTAAATCAAGAAGACTGAAGCTTCTAAACAAGTTAGATCTGTTTCATGAGAAAGGGTAAAATGTGTATGTTAATTAGAAAAATGGCTACAAGAGAGTGCTAACAGGCAAGTCAAACCTTCTAATCCTATTCTCCACAAGCAAGCCAGCAAAATACAAACCACTAATACTTTTTTATTATTTTTTTATTAGCAGGAGGAGAGTCTCAGTATGGAGACCTGGGCTAGACCAAGTTAGATACTAGCTAGAGGCATGGCTATAAAGTCATGTAACATCTCTGGGTATCCTTTTTCCTTCCACAAAATGAACTAATTGGACTAGCTGATGTCTAATGGTTCCAAATCAATAATTTTTTGATTCTCTGTCTCTCCAACTTATTATAAAAATACAAAATTTGGATAGCAAACAACTTTTGTACTATGTTAGTATTACACGGATTTAATGCATAGTAAAAACAGCTCTTAGAAACTTAATTCAGCCTATATGACAAATATCAAATGAACTTTAGTTGCCTTAAGAATATCTGCATCTGATTGTCTTAACTGACTCATGCTGAATTCAAACTCATATGTCCCAACTTCCCTATTTCTTTTAATACCAACACGTAATTAATCATTTTGAAAATTTTAGAGAAATCTTTGACTCCTCTCTTTTATCTCTTACGTGCAGTCAGCAAATAAATCCTCATGATTTTTCCTTAAAATATATAAAATCTATCTTCCCTTCTCTCTTAACAAAATCCATTTTCAATTTATCTCCTAAATTACTCCAACTACTGCCTCCATTTCCTTATTTGTTTAAATTTGTAAAAATAATGATATAGCTAAATACAAGAATTCACCTTTCTACTCATCTGCTCTAATTATTCCCCAATATTTTCAGGATAGCATGCAATAATCTTTAGCTTGACTTTAGGATTTTACTAAATTTGGCCTTACCCTGCTTTCCCATCTTCTCTCTATTTGCCAACATGAACTTTATACAAGGTCGCCTTTTTCCTGCTTCCCACTTGCCCTCTGCCTGGCCCATTCCTGCCCTAAAGGCCAACATTCTTATTTCACTCCATTTCATGCTGTTTCCCCTCCACTTCTCTCCACTGGGATGTCATTCTTTGTTATCGATCCCAATTCTTCCTGTCCTTCAGGATCCAGGCCATGCCCTGTCACCTTCCTTTGTGAAGCCTCCTCTGTTATAGTCCAGATGGACCTTGCTATTCAACTTCCAAAGTTCTTGTCCATATCACTTACTTAAGTGTATGTGTAAATATTTACTGATGTATAAGATACTGTGATTCTTTTTAAATCACTCTGCATAAAACCTTTTACTACTCCAGGTCTTTTGGCTGTTCTCCACTACCTGCAATTCCTTCAGATAACTTCATGGCTTGTTTTTATATCTTTATCAGATTTTTATTTAAGACATAATCTTCTCTTGAAGCTGCCTTACTTGACTACTATATCTTCAATTACTACCTAACCCTGCCACTCAATTTCCTTTTTCTGCTTTACATTTTTAAAACTTAGCACTTCTTGGTATTTACTATATTATACATTTTATTTTGTATGTGTCTGTCTCTTACTCTAATGGATTCTAAGCTCAACAAGGGAAGAGATTTTTGCCTCTTACTCATTAATGCCACTCTAGTTCCTAGAAGAGTGCCTGGTATTTGGCAGGTGCTCAAGAAATATTTTTGAATGAATTCATATTTCAAAAACTAAAAGCAACATTAATAAAAGTGGTTAATAATAAAACAAATACCAATATAAAATTGAGAACTTACTATATGTTGGGCAATGTACAGGTAATGCATAAAATAATCCTGTTATTATCTATTATTACCTACTTTCTTCTTTGCCATTTAAAGCAGGGCTTACAGAGGTTAAATAATTTTCCCAAGAACACATTCCTAATAAATGTACTAAAAATAAACTCTAGGCTTATTTGCTATTGAAAATATGTCAAGGGCTGAGCTTATCCAACTGTAAAAAATTAAATGCAAAACAAGATTTTTGAGGAGATATGAGGGAAGAACTCCTCAGAGAGCTACCTGTAAAACCTTTTCCCTCAATGGCTAATATTTTAATTTGTTGTCTTCGTTTTTTTTTTAAGTTATCTTATAATTTTCCATAAACTTCTGCACTTTATTCCTTACCCAGGCTTAACGTTCAAGAAGAGAAAATCTTCTGACTAATGTTATGACTTCATTAAGGAGGAAAATTCCATCTTAAAAATGCGCTCTCAGTTCTCATGTAAAAGACAAGAGCAGAATGAGTAGTCACAGTTCTCACAGAGTGAGGTAAAGCAATCATCAAGGGAGGAGGGGAAAAGTAAAGAATGCTTTATTCATAATTACCTAAGATTTTCCAGCATGAGAGGGGAAAGAGGAAGTCTATTTTCAGTGACAATGATTACTCTAAAAATATTAACATGCAAGGGGAAAATTTTCATTCTGAGAGTTACTACTATACTGAGTTCTCTTTCCCTCACAGAGTGACTTAAAATTCCCAAGGTAGAGAGGTAATCTAGACAGATGCGCTTGCCCTGTGTCTTGAAAATGGCAACATCCAGGAATCATGGGAGTTCAACTGAGGACACACTGGAAAGGATTTCTCAGCACCAGAACAGTCTCTGAGAAGTATCAAGTGGCAGAGTGGATACTTATATCCTCAGGTGTCTGCAGTAAGGCAGAGATTAGAGCTATACAGGCTTATTAGAAGATTTGTTATGCTGAATGCATAAACAAGATTTAGTGAAACTGAAGCTGAATTACCTACTAAAAGGATTATAGACAAAAAAAAAGCCTAATTCTTCCTTTTTTCTATCTAATCCAGAGTCTCTCCTGCAATGTCTCTATAATTTTAACTGTCTTATATAGTTCAGGCAAAATTATATATTGTAGAATTCATTCTCATCTTCATCTTAAACATTTTAGACAAAAATATATTAGTTCCCTACTTCTATACATGCATATATGAGAAAATGGTCTGACAACCCTTAGGTTGGGACACTCAGCAGGTCATGGCATTCAGAGCAAATTGATTTTTATTAAGATAATTATAAGAACATGATTAAAAAAGTATTTTGTATCTCCCTCTTTCTTTTGTATTTTCAGAAAATCATATGAACTGGGCCTGGGGGCATGCACCTGTAATCCCAGCTCCTTAAGAGGCTAAGGCAGGATGATGGCTTGAACCCAGGAGTTTCAGAGCAGCCTGGGCAACATAGCCAGACTCTGTCTCTATCCATTAAAAACAAACCGTATGTAAAATCACATAGCTGCTCCTGAGATCTGCCATTCCATAATTTAGTTCTCTGCTAGTTCTATGGCACCAAATTGTCACAAGACTGACTAGCCAGGTGCAGGAGGTACTCACTTTTCAGATCAGCAAGTAACCACAAATACCATTTATTTGGTCCTTAACAAGATTGAGACGAAGTGGCTACAAGTGAAGCAAAATGGAGGCGATAAATACTCTAACAACTGGTTATAGATATCACATTTTCTTATGTTTATAGTTACATTTGAATAATCCTTACCTCTTTTTAAAAACTCCATAGACATTGAGAATTGATAAAAATCTATCTTTCTCCAGAAAAATACAGCTATACATAAGTCAGTACACAACTTTAGTAAATTCACAAATCTTAACAATCTAATCCATGTGTCCTAAGCATAGACAATAAAGAAAAGTATTTGAGAGGGTGCAGGGTAACTTGAAGTTGAAGTTTGGGAGAGAGATTACCATTACATTAGGAATAAATTCATACTTGACAAACAAGTGTCAACTGTCTCCACTGTCTTACCAGCAGCTCAGTCCCTTACTGCTCTTCCTGGATCATGTCCTATTGGCTGCTGCTGAGCCCATCTCCTGCTTCCAAGCGTTGTAACTCAACAGGAGCAAAGGCAAGTAAACAATCTTGAGAGGGTGTGCTGCTGAATGTTTGCCAGCCTAGAGAAGACAGAGTTTGAACATTTTTAAGTTAGCAAAAAGGAACAGGGTATATACACCTGATATAAAGAGTTTAAAAGGTTTTGGATACCTATAATTGGATATTTCCATTACAGTGTGGCTGTTAAAAAACTTAGAGAATCTTTCTCAAAGCAATGACACTCTCAAATGTACCATAATAACAATTCTAATATCTGTAGAACACTTTGCCATGCCCAAAGCATCTTTAGTCTTCACATCTTCACCGCAATAATCAATGAGGCTTAAGAGCCAGTGGCTTATATTACTTCATCTGTTGAATCCAGTGGTTCACAGTGTGGCTTACAAGAGTATCACCTAGGTAAGAAGTTGAGGATTTTGCTCAGAGATTCTGACTTGTTGAGCTAAGAGGAAACTTTATTCTCCAGGTGACTGTAAGATGAAGTCAGGATTGAGAATCATTAAGTCCCTGTACTTCATGAGATGTGGCACTAACTAAACTCATAAATAGCAAGCATTCATTCAGTATATGCCATGTCAAGGTAACATGCTAAGTGCTATGGAAAAGGTAAAACATTATAACATGTGGTCTCTGTGCTCAAGGGTTTTAATTTAGCTGGAGAGACTGGACATATACTTTAAAAGGACCACCTAATAAGATACCTACTTTAAAAACATAACCCAAGTAAGACTTAATTGGTCAAAGATGTAGTAAAAATATTGGGTGCTACAAATAAGTGGAGATGACATGCACTGATAAAAGGGAGTAGGTTAAAAACATGAGAGAAGTCCACAGAGTTCCAAGGGCAGAGAGAAAAGAGGAATGGGGAGAAAGCGTTGTTTTGAGGCACAGATACAGCTGCAGCAAATTGGAGGAGATTAAAAAGCTCTCTCTGACTGAAGAGTGTCTACAAAGGAGCACAAGAAGACTTTGGAAAGACCGATTTGAAACAGAATCTAAAGAGTTTTGATAAAATGGCTAAAGGAGTTGGTCCATTGTCCTGAATATATGGAAACAGTATTGGAATATCCTGAAATAGTATCTGGAATAGTATCAGAAGCAGTTGAAGCTCAGGTTCCCGGGGTTCTTGGTAAATGCCAGACACTATGCTAGATGCACTACATATGTTACCTCATTTAACACTCAAAAAAATCTGGTAAGATCATTATTATTATCATTATCATCATTATTATTATTCCCATTTTACAGAGTAAGAAGGGAGGTCTCTTAATTTTTTCTCAAAGTCACATGCCTAGAAATAGTAAGCTGAGACTGGGACACGTTGCTTCTTTAGAAACATGGCATCATAAAAGCCATACGTTAAAATTTAAGGGGTGTTTTGAGATATAATTCACATACCATAAAATACATCCTTGTAAAGTATATGAGTCAGTGGGTTTTAGTATATTAAAAAAAATTATGCCACTCTCACCTATCATTACTATCAAATTCTACAATATTTTCATCACTCTGTCCCCCTCGCCCCAAAAAACCCAGTACCCATTAGGAGCCAGTTTTCATTCATTCCTCCCCCGGGCCTTGGTGACCACTAATCAACTTTCAGTCTTTATGGGTTTTCCTATTTTGAACGACTTTATATATATAAAACCATACAAAATTTGGCCTTTTACGTCTGGTTTCTTTCACTTAGTGTAATGTTTTTAAGGTGCATCTGTATTGCAGCATGTGTCTGTACTTTATTCCTTTGTATGACTAATATTCTACTGTTTTGATATGCCATGTTTCCTTTAGCTATCAATGATGAACTTTTGGGTTACTTCCACTTTTAGCCTCATAAATAATGCTTCTTTGGATATTCATTTCAAACTTTTTAATTGTGATAAAATGTATGTAACAAAGTTTGCCATTCAAACCATATTTAAGTATACTATTCTGTGGCATTAAGTACATTCACATTGCTGTGCAACCATCACTGCCACCCATCTCCAGAACTTTTTCATCTTCCTAAACAGAAATTCTATACTCATTAAACAATAACTTCCCATTTGCTCCTCCTCCCAGCCCCTGGCAATCATTATTCTACTGTATGCCTCTATTAATTTGACTATTCTAAGTACCTCATGTAAGTGGAATCATAATATTTTTCTTTGTGTGATTGGCTTATTCCACTTAGTAGAATGTATACAAGATCCATTTATTTTCTAGCATGTGTCAGAATTTTCTTCCTCTTTAAGGTTGAATAATAGTCCATTGTATGTCTATACCACATTCTGTTTATCCATTCATCCATCTGTAGGCATTTGGGTTGCTTCTACCTTTAGGCTATTGTGAATAATGCTGCAACAAACATGGATATACAATGTTTATAAGTTTTTGTATGGGCATATGTTTTCAATTCTCTTGAGAGTGGAATCCCTAAGAGCGAAACTACTGGGTCTTATGGTAGTTCCATGCTTAATCTTTTGATGAACTGCCAAACTGTTTTGCAAAGTGGCTGCACCTTTTTACATTCCACTAGCAATGTGTCAGGGTTCCAATTTTTCCATATCCGCACTAACACCTGTTATTGTATGTTTTAAAAATTATATCCATCCCAGTGAGTGTGAAGTGGTAGAAGATTTAGGTGTTATAAATAATCATATGCAAGATATTGGCTTATTGCAGTACTCAAGTATAAGCAATAGTTGGAATGAGAGGGTGGCAGAATAAATGAAATAAAATGATCAAACAGAAATATTACTGATAAAGAAATGAATGGCATTTAGTAACATTTTAAATGTAAGAAGAAAAAAGAAATTCAATTATAGTGATAAAGCTTTTGAGTTTGGTTGTCTGAAAGAATGATGCTACTAATGAGATAAATAGATAATTCTAGAAAGGAATCTGAAATGACAAATTCTTGACATGATGCATTTGAAAAAACTTATGTATTCCAAATAAATATTCATCAGGCAGGTGAAGTACAGGAGGTCAGGGTTGGAGTCAATAGGCTATTTCATTTTTCTTTTTAAAGAAATGATCAAAGAAACATTATTAAGATTAGAAGAGGGTTATTGCCTGTATATGATTAGACTCTTAAATCTGAGTTCAGCAACTGACAAACCAAATACTGAGGAAGGCAGAGGAGTTTTTACCTTCTGTTTTCTGTTTAAAATAGTAAAACAAAACTTAAAAAGTAAAAAATATAACTTTATTAAGCTTTATAGAACTTGTTTTTATCAGAATTTGAGTTGGTATCACATTTTTAACTATACCAAGGTGGTGCTTGTGGTTCTTGGAATGGTGTGAGCAGTTCTAGGGGGATTTCCCTCTCTGAGCTGGCACAAGATTGGGAGTCCTGGAGGACATGAGTGTCACTACCAGCAGTTATCTGGTTGACTGGGAATCAAGCTGGCAAACTATCAAGGAGAAACCATGAATTCTAGTTTTATATGCCCAAAACAGTCCCCTTTAGTAAAAAGAGGTGATCCCCAACAAATAGAATAGTCTCTTGCTAGAATATAGTTCCTCAGTAGCCAATAATTCTGGCTTTGTTCAGCTTTGCAAAGTCTCCAATATGATAATATTCTGATAAATACAGTGATGACTCACAGGCTTATATACATGTTTTGAAAGAGAAGCTTAATGATGCTATTTTGGATCATGAAGCCAGGCCGCGGTGGCTCATGCCTGCAATCCCAGCACTTTGGGAGGCCAAGGTGGGTGGATCACTTGAGGTCAGGAGTTTGAGACCTGCCTAGACAACATGATGAAACCCCGTCTCTACTAAAAATATAAAAATTATCCAGGCATGGTGGTGCAAGCCTGTAGTCCCAGCTACTGGGGAGGCTGAGGCGGGAGAATCGCCTCCAGGAGGCGGAGGTTGCAATAAGCTGAGATCGCACCACTGCACTCCAGCCTGGGTGACAGAGTGAGACTCCATCTCAAAAAAAAAAAAAAAAAAAAGAAAATGCAAAATACAGTCAGCTTATACACTGAGTTTTCCTTCTGCCATGATACATTGAGAGTTATAAAAAAATCACTTAGAAGATAAAACGGAACAAACATATGAAGGGTAGTGCTGAAGACAGAGGTTAAGATAAGGGCCATGAAGGGGGTTAAAGAAAAATCTAAGCCGATGAGCACATTTAAATGTTCTCATTCCCACACACATATCTACTGTTGTTTTTGTTTTTTTGTTTGTTTTCTTGAGACAGGGTCTTGCTCTGTCACCCAGGCTCAAGTGCAGTGGCACGATCTCGGCTCACTGCAGCACTGACCTCCCAGACTCAAGCTATCCTTCCATCTCAGTCTCCCAAGTGGCTAGGACTACAGGCATGTACCACCACACCCAGCACATTTTTTGTTTATTTTTTGTAGAGATGAGGTCTCACTATGTTGCCCAGGCAGGTCTCAAACTCCTAACCTCAAGTGATCCACCTGCGTCAACCTTCCAAAGTGCTGGGATTACAGGTGTGAGCCACCACGCCCAGCCATATCTACATTTTTAATTGAATAAAATACACTTCACCATCAAAGTTGCAATCATTTTGAGCATAATATCATTCCTAAACATATTTTCCTTTGTTCCCTAAATTGAAGCCTATTCTATTTTATCTTTATAAACTATTCACTGTTCTATTTTTATTTTTTATTTTTTAGAGACAGAGTCTTGCTCTGTAGCCCAGGCTGGAGTGCAGTGGTGCGATCTTGGCTCACTGCAAGCTCCGCCTCCCCGGTTCACGCCATTCTCCTGCCTCAGCCTCCTGAGTAGCTGGGATTACAGGCGCATGCCCCCACGCCTGGCTAATTTTTGTATTTTTAGTAGAGACGGGATTTCACCGTGTTAGCCAGGATGGTCTCGATCTCCTGACCTCGTGATCCGCATACCTCGGCCTCCGAAAGTGCTGGGATTACAGGCATGAGCCACTGCGCCTGGTCTCACTGTGTTTTAGAAAGGTATTATCTACTTTATCTGCAATATTTTCCAAATAGATTTAGAAAAAAAAGACAATAAAAATAGCTAAAATTTATTGAATGGATTCTAAGTCATCTAATTTTCAAAATACTATCAGTTGTTTACCTTAGCACACCCTTTGTGGGTGGCAGGGCCTCCAGAGCCTGTGCTCTTATTCAACATGCTTCATGGCCTCCACAAGCTTGTAGGAGATTCAGTGAAACATTTCATTTTGGGGAAAGGTAAATAATTCTACATTTCAAAGCCTAGAGACAGACAAGTTTTCGTTCAAAAATGAAGGAAAAAAAAAAACCTCTTCTCTAAAAACCAGTCACTCTACCTATAAACATGAATATATCATTACAAGCTAGGCACCTTATATAAGAATCCTCCATTTGGGGTTTAAATGCATTTTCCTTTCAAGAGATAGATCCACCATTGATCAAACATCATCAAACACTTCCGTTACAAAAAAGGGACTTTGTTTATCATGCTGAATTTAGTCCTTCCCTTCCCTTTGTGATATTAGTACACCTTCATGGCATGTTTCTTCAAAGCCCCAGTAATAGATGTTTCCTTCCTGTTGAAATGCTGCTTTGGCTGCTTCTGTGCTTGATGTGGTTCTCCTCCAGGTTTAAATGGGATGAGACTGGAGTTCACTAATCAGCACGTTACTCACCTCAGCAGGATATGCCCACAAAGTGTTTCTCCTATTCTTATACACATGAGTACACACATAAATACACACACACACACACACACCTCTCTGCAAGTAAATGATTCCAACTGTACAGTGCCTAAAGGGAAGTGCTATTTCAGAATGTCAGCTACTTGGCAGTGATGGCTATTCTCCTGTTAATGCTTTAAAAAACCACTACAGTAGTCAAAGTTTTAAGAAGAAAATTAAAGACCTTAAATGTATTCACTTCCTGCTCCTCCTAACATAGACAAAGTGGTGACTCCCAGTAAAGAACTCAGTGTTTGCAGAACAAATTCCATGAAGATAAAAACAAGCATACACCATATGAGGTTGTTTCTAATTAACAGTCTTTATATAACTACGATAGCCAAACAAGGCTGAAATATCAACCACCAGTTATAAACAATTTAACATAGTATTTCCATTATACAAAGTGATTATTTAAGAACCAAACACTGGAACATGAGAGGTACAGGTATAAATTCACAAGGCATTGTGTATAGATTATCAGATCAATTTATATAGTTTCCGAAAATAAAAAGAAGTTATGAGGGAATATTTTTTAAAATAATAGATATTTTTAAAAACCAAGATGGAAAACATTTCAGAAGAAAATACCCTATAAACATCACACAGAAAATGCAAAAAAAAATTCTGCATCTGAAACACAAACTTTTCACGACATTCTGACACTGGCTAATACTTGACCTCACTGGTCAGAGACTGGGCCAATGAAGGATGTGCTCAAAATCTTAACTTTGAAAAGCCTCTTAAGGGTATGGTTTATTTTTCATCCACTAAAATAGAAAATATAATTCTCTACAATAGACTTACCATTCCTAACATCCAGGCATTTTAGAGATCCCCGCTAGAAATTTCAAGTAGTATAGGAGAAGAAAGGAGTGAAAGGGGAAGAAAGGGGCAAAGAAAGGTAACTTGCATTGATTTTGATGCTTTAATAGTCATTTTCTTTTTCTTCACACAAGGAACTTCAGGTATTTGTGATTGTATTTGCGCGGCTGACTACAGGGCAATAATTCTATTGGGAGCTAGGTTTTTAGCTGAATCTCAGAATGTCTCTCCTGTAACTTCCATAAACCCACAGGCAAACTAAGGGGGTAGGCTGTAGAAGAGATAACAAAGTATAAATTAATCTTGGGTTCTAATTCTGACTCTAATCCTCCATAAATTCATGATCTTGAGCCGATCACTTAGGGAAACTGAGGACTAGAGAGCCTATAAGATGTTAAATTGTATTATTTCTGTTCCAACCCAGCTTTAAGGTTTTATGATTCCATGATTTAGATACTATCGAATTTGAGATAAAAAATATATATAGGAAAAAGAGTTATTGAAATGAATAGGTATAAAAACACAAGCAAAATTATATTAATGGAATTATTCTAAGTCTACTTGTGTGATATTAAGTTTATAAAAGGATATCCCTTACATTGTAATATATAACTATAATTGATAGCCACAATACTTATTATTGATTCCAAAGCAATTTTTACAATATATATTCTATTCCTTATATTTAGTAATTTAATATTACAAAATGATGTAATGGTTTCTGGGGAGTAATGAGTCTACTACCATGGTTCTCTTAGACTGAACTGCTAATTGCATCCATTTAAAACAGCCACAGATTGAGGATCAATAAACTGGTAGACTTTAAGTGCTTTTTAAAAACTGCTTCCAATCTATAGCATTAACCCAGATATTTTAAAAATGATTTTATTTTTCGTATTTTGGGGGGATAAGTATTAGGTATACATGAACCCTACCTTACAATTTCTTCAAAATGGATGGAAAGAATGAATTTTTAAATCACTTATGTCATAAATTATTTATAGCCCAAATATCTTCATCTAAGGATGCTTTAAGTCATATGACCTATATGAGCTAAGGTTTAAAGACATTACATTAATATCATGAATATAAACATCAAAGGATCAATTATAAAAATTCTAATGCTTAATGGGATGGCAAACTACAAAATAAAATTTTACACTATAGTATAAAGCTGCTGACATTTGATCAGTCACTATTTTTAAAAAAATTCCTTCAGTAACAATATTCTCTAATGTTCATTCTAAAAATTGAAACAAGGAAATTTTTATCTAATCTATTTCTAATAGAAAGGCAAATAAAAAATACTTTTTTAAAGATTTCAAAACGTATAGGAAAACTCTGCAGTTATGTTTACCTGGTTTGTTAAAAACAAACTATGCATTCTGCAAAATTGCAAGTGTCTACTTTTATCATAAGGTAATCTTAAAAGTAGTTTAGTAAACATCAAGTTACGACAAGTAGACGTCTCCCTTACCACACAGGAGTGATAATCAAAATATTTAACAGCTCATATGTCCAGGCATGAGACATAGTGCTGGAGGAGGATCCTAGAGGAACCTACATGCCATTTATTATTCTAGCTGCAGGATGGTGGGTAGACCCAGGGAGTAATGGGGAAGGAGCTATAGTGGCTTAGGGTAGCAGAATTACTAGCTACCTTGGAAATCTTTCAGTAACCATCAGCACAGCCACACTCATGTGCACCTGCTGCCTATCAGCTCTGGTTGTTTGCATGATTCTTAAATAAGGGATAAAAAAGTATTAAGCAACTGTTACAAGTCTTTGCAAATTACCATTTGTCACTGGAAAAAAATGTAACTATTAACTTTGGTTGTAGCCAGAGAACAAATGATAGGGAAAATTTGATAAAAGAAATAAAAATTTAAAGATGCAATATTTAAAAATGTTTTCGAATTATACATAAAATTACATAAAATATTTTCATAATATTAAAATTATATAAAAATGAAAGTATGAGGTTGAACTTTCAAGTAATAACCGAGATAACAGAATTTAAATACACTCCTCCCTAAATAAAGAAAGTAGTATAAAAAGCTATAAATTCAATCATACTTAAGGTTGGAGGGTAATATAAGTGAATCAGAAATCCAAATGAGTATTTTTATAACAAATTGTGACATAGTATTTTTCATCAAAGTAACTCATTATCACATTAAACTGGATTTTCACATCTTCGATTTCCTAGAAGGGGCTACACTATTGCTACTTACAAGTTGATTGCCTATGAATAAGCATATCATAATGCTCAAGAAATAGCATAAGTAAAAAATATTTGGGGCAGGGGTTACAGATGTAGGAGATTGTACAGAATTACACATTTTAAAGAAGTTTTAAACCATTTTTTATTTGCTAGATTTTCTAAGTGAAATATCTGAATCTAAAGAAAGAAGGAATTTGTTGTTGATTGTCCTGTGTTAAAAGGGATTAAAGTCGCTTAGCAACCTCTGTGTTGTAGAAACCAAGATAAAAGAAGAGTCGGTTGTCTATCACCAGCTCTTCTAAGATGGAAGAGTGCAAGTAAATAGAAAAGCACTATTTCTGCAGTGGTGCTTTGACATACATTCTTCATCACATGACAAAATAAAAATCATCAAGAAATTCCCAGGAAAAGGAAAATCCTCAAAAAGCATATTGTGACTAAATGGAGAATTTACAAACCACTACTATACAGACACACACAAAGACAAACACACACAATAACAAAAGACATGGCCAAGGAGTATATAGATCGTAGCTGAGAAAGGTAGACTGCATAGTAGAAACTTTGTTACAAAGGATTTAAAATATTCTAGATAGAAATATAAATGAGCATAAGAGTGATGATTTACAGAATCAGAGACTATTTTTAAACTTGGTTTTATAGAGGCAAACAAGGAATGAAGATTAAACTAGGACAGTACATAATTAGGGAAGGCAACTTCACATGGAGGGATATATTTGAGGATTTGAGTTAAAAGAAAGATAAAAGGGCCAGATGCAGTGCCTCACGCCTGTAATTCCAGCACTTTGGGAGGCTGCGGTGGGTGGATCACCTGAGGTCAGGAGTTCAAGACCAGTCTGGCCAACATCGTGAAACCCTGTCTCTACTAAAAATACAGAATTAGCCAGGTGTGGTGGCACATGCCTGTAATTCTAGCTACCCGGCAGGCTGAGGCAGGAGAATCGCTTGAACTCAGGAGGTGGAGGTTGCAGTGAGGCAAGATCGTGCTTCTGCATCCCAGCCTGGGCAACAGAGTGAGACTGTCTCCAAGAAAAAAAAAAAAATGATAAAATGGCAATATCAATTAGAACGTGAAATACTGTTTGTGACCATGGAGATCATGGAGAATATTTACGTTTTAGAAAGGTTTTTTAAGTGTCATGAGATTCTAAATGCAGTAAATAAGCTCTGAAATAAACATAATTTTGCTTCCTGGTAAAACAAAAAAAGATAAAACTTAAAAGAACTCAATAATTATAGAACACAATTGTATATATTTTATCTATCTACAACAGCCGAGAAGCACAGGCATGTAATAATTTGTATTTTCCTCCATGTATTAATGACTGAGATTTTGGAATATGAGGAAGTATTTTTAGACTAGGAATGAATCAAATCACCATTTTAATGTTATCACTGAGCAAAGTGGAGTTTGGCAAAAAGAAGCCACTGACTCTGCATTTAGAGAAGCTTGTCTGAAAAGTCCTTTATGCCAAGTTGACTCAGGTTCATAGGCCATGAGAAATCAATACTGAAAGTTTTGTCATTGATTTTGGATGAGAAACAAAGTGAAGGCTGGAACATCTAATTCCTTACACTTGAAGATGTGAAAGTGTCATTTCTATGATAGGTCAACAGCCAGCTGACCAGAAAGGCATAACTACTGTAACCTCCAAGAAAAAAAACAGTGAAAGAAGGGAGACAGACAAATGAACAACCCTTAGTAGGCACATTTTATTTCAGCTCAGTAGCCATTAAAAACCAGATACTCTGCATGCTAGAAAAACTTTCCTCTTGGGCATGACAAGTAATACTCCAGAACCTAATAGTGGGATAAACTTAATCATGCCTCACTAGGAATGCAGCTGCTTTAGAGGATCTCACTGTAGATAGTCTTCCAGTGGGATGTCAATCTTCCCTCAAACATGTGCCACTGAAATGACTTAATACTCTAGTGGTTTATGCCAGGTCAGGGTACACAGGTCACCTAGAGAGCCATGAATGAAGTCATGCATTATCAGAAAGCAGGTCAGAGGTGACACAAATCATCTAAGTGTAACAGCTGACTACAAATTACTTTCTATTATAAGCACTCATTTCCCAAATGAAGAGGATATTTTTCATTTTTTGAGGATAGATGGTGAAAAAAATCCTCACATAAAATGAAACAAGATTTTTTATCTTGAATAGTTTGAGAAAAAGGATGGAGTCTGTCTGTAGGTACATGAATTTGCCTTGTAGGCTTTGCAGTATCATTGGCATTGAATGAAGGCAACTGAATTATGCCCATGGACACTCATGGATATCCCCCATCACCTCCCCTATTTCTTTTAATGAAAGATTTGTGTTGATTCTTCATTGCAAACAAGGTTGTGGGTCAATTAAGGAGGAGACAAAGTTATTTTTCCTAACCAGAAATTGGAAAATGGAGGTCAAAAAGACAACTTGAAATGAAACACTATAGCACCCCATAAAAGAAAAGACATAGTTTTATCACTGATATGGTTAGGCTTTGTGTCCCCACCCAAATCTCATCTTGAATTATAATCCCCATAATCTCCATAATACCCATGTGTCAAGGCAGAGACCAGGTGGAAGTAATTGGATCATGGGGGCAGTTGCCCCCATGCTGTTCTCATCATAGGGAGTGAGTTCTCATGAGATCTGATGGTTTTATAAGTGTTTGGTAGTTGCTTCTGCGTTCATTTCTCCTTCCTGCCACTTTGTGAAGTCACCTGCCATGACTGTTAAGTTTCCTGAGACCTCCCCAGCCATGCTAAACTGTGAGTCAATTAAATCTCTTTCCTTTATAAATTACTCAGTCTCAGGCAGTACTTTATAGCAGTATGAAAATGAACTGATACATTCAACTAGTTTATTTTCTTTTTTATTAACATTTTTTCAGATTGCCTAAATTTATTTTATTATTATTATACTTTAAGTTTTAGGGTACATGTGCATTAAATTTTTTAACATTAATAAACTTTACAGTAAAATTGATTCACAGTAAAACAGTAGAAAGTTCCCATATACCCCTGTCCCCACAGACCCACAACCTTCCCCATTATCAACATCCCATACCAGAGTGGTATATTTGTTACAACTGATAAACCTACATTGATGCATTTTGATACCCAAACCCCATAGTTTACATTAGGGTTCACTATTGGTGGTTACATCCTACGTGTTTGGACAAATGTATAATGACATGGATCCACCACTATAGTATTACATAGATTCATTTCACTGCACTAAAAATTTGCCTATACATTCCTCCCTCTGGAAAACACTGCTCTTTTTACTGTCTCCATAATTTTGGCTTTTCCGGAATGTCATATAGTTGGAATCATACAGTATTTAGCCTTTTCGGATTAGCTTCTTTCACTTTATAATATGCATTTAAGTTTCATCCATGTCGTTTTATGATGTGATAGCTCATTTCTTAGTGCTGAATAATATTCTTACATCTGGATGTACCACAGTTTATCCACTCAAATATTAAAGGATATCTTGATTGCACCCAAGTTTTGGCAATTATGTAAAGCTGTTAAACAATGTGTGCAGGTTTTTATGTGGAGATAAGTTTTGTTTGTTTGTTTTTGTTTTTGCTTTTTTTTTTGAGATGGAGTTTTGCTCTGTCACTCAGGCTGGAGTGCAATGGCATGATCTCAGCTCACTGCAACCTCCGCCTCCTGGGCTCAAGTGATTCTCCTGCCTCAGCCTCCCTAGTAGCTGAGATTACAGGCGCACACTGCCACACCCAGCTACTTTTTTGTATCTTTAGTAGAGCTGGGGTTTCACCATGGGATTTCACCAGGCTGGTCTTGAACTCCTGACCTCAAATGATCCACCTGCCTGGGCCTCCCAAAGTGCTGCAATTACAGGCGTGAGCTACTGTGCCCGGCCAGGACATAAGTTTTCAAGTCCATACCAAGGAGCGCTATTGCTGAATCATATGGGAAGAGTATGTTTATTTTGTAAGAAACTGCCAAACTGTCTTCCAAAGTGACTATGCCATTTTGAATTCTTACCAGCAATGAATGAAGGTTCCTGTTGCTCCACATTCTCACCAGCACTTGGTTTCATCAGTGTTCTGACTTCAGCCATTCTAACAGGTATGTAGCGGTATCTCATTGTTGTTTTAATTTTCAATACCCTAATGACTATGATGTTTAACATCTTTTCCTATGCTTTCTTGACACTTGTGTATCTTCTTTGGTGAGTTGTCTGTTCAGGTTTTTTGCTCATTTTTTAAGTTGAGTTGTTCATTTTCAAACTGTTGAGTTGTAAGAGTTGTTTGCACATTGTGAACAATAGTCCTTTATGAGAAGTATCTTTTGCAAATAATTTTTCCATCTGTGGCTTGTCTTCTCATTCTCTTAATATTGTCTTTCACAGAGCAGAAGTTTTAAATTTTAGTTAAGTCCAGCTTGTCAATCATTTCCTTCATGTATCGTGCCTTTGGAGCTGTATCTAAAAAATGCCACTGCCATACCAAAGTCATCTAGGATTTTTCCTGTGTTATCTTCTGGGAGTTTTATAGTTCTGCATTTTACATTTAGGTCTATGATTCAAGTTAATTTTTGCAAAGGGTATAAGATCTGTGTTTACACTCAATTTGGATTTAAAAAATTTTTGTTGTTGTATGTTAATGTGTAGTTTTTCCAGCATTATTTGTTGAAAAGACCATCTTTGCTCCATTGTATTGCCTTTGCTCCCTTGTCAAAGATCATTTGATTATATTTACATGGGTTTGTTTGGGCTCTTTATTCTATTCCATTGGTCTATTTGAATATTCTTTCACCAGTACCCACTACATTGATTATCTGAGCTTTATAGTAAGCTTTAAAGCCAGGTAGTGTCAGTCCTCTGACTTTGTTGTTCTCCTCAAATACTGAGTTGGCTATTCTGCTCTTTTGCCTCTCCATATAAACTTTAGAATCCTTTTGTTGATATCCATAAAATATCGTGCTGTGTTTTTTAATGGCATTGCACTGAATCTATAGATCAAGTTGGGAAGAACTGACATCTTGACAATGAACATGTAACATCTCTTCATTATTTAGTTCACTGGTATTTTTCATTACACTTTTGTAGTTTTCTTCATATAGATCATGTACATATTCTGTTAGATTTATACAAAAGTATTTCATTTCTTGGGGTGCTAATGTAAATGGTAATGTGTTTTTAATTCAAATTACACTTGTTTATTGCTGGTATACAGGAAAGTGATTGGCTTTCTTTATATTAAGTTTGTATTCTGTAACCTTACAATAATCATTTATTAGTTCCAGTTTTCTTTTTTCTGATCCTTTGGATATTCCATATAAACAACTGTCATCCGTGAACAAAGACAGTTTGATTTCTTCCTCCGGAATCTGTATGCTTTTCATTTTCTTTCCTTTGTCTTATTGCATTAGGTAGCACTTCCAGTAGGAAACAAAGTGGTAAGAGGAGACACCTTTGTCTTGTTCTTGATCTTAGCAGGAAAGCTTTGAGTTTCTAAAAATTAAGTATGATGTAAACTGTAGGTTTTTTGTGTATTTTCTTTATCAAGTTGGGGAATACTACTATATCCCTAATTTTATTTTCCTTATGTGGATCTGAGTTTCTAACCTGTATCATTTTACCTCTCTCTAAAGAACTTTAAACATTTTTTGCAAGGGTGGTCCACTGGCAACAAATTCCTGAAATTTTTGTTTCTTTAAGACAGACTTTATTTCTTAACTTCTGAAGGACAATTTTGCAAGGTCCAGAATCGTACACTGCCGGATTTTTCTTTCAACATCTTAAATGTCTCACTCTACTCTCTTATTTGTATGGTTTATGAGGATATGTCAGATAAAATTTATTATTTTTGCTCCTCTATAGGTGTTTTTTCCTTCTGGATTCTTTCGATATTTTTTTAATCTTTGATTTTCTGAAGTTTGAATATAATATGCCCATGAGTAGTTTTGGGACATTTATCCTGCTTGGTGTTCTTTGAGCTCTCTGGAGAAGTAGTTTGGTGTCTGACATTAATTGGGGGAGATTTTCACACACTATTTCTTCAAATATTGCATCTAATCCTTTCTTTCTTTTTCTAGTATGCCCATTGCACGTACATTATACCTTTTGTAGTTCTCCTGCAGTTCTTGAATAATCTCTTCTGTTTTTTTCACAGTCTTTTTTCTCTTTGCATTTTAGTTTTGAAGTTCCTATTATCATATCCTTAACTTCAAAGATTTTTTCCTCGGCTATGTTCAATCTACTTATGAGCCTATCAAAGACATTTTAATCATTTCTGTACACTATGCTTGATACTTGGCATTTCTCTTTGGTTCTTTCCTAAAATTTCCGTCTCTATATTTACATTATCCATCTGTTCTTGTATGTCATTTTTTTAATCCCTCACCATATTAACCATAGTTTTTTATAAAGTTTCTGGTCTGATAATTCCAATGTCACTGCCATATTTGACTCTGCTTCTGATGCTTATTCAGTGTCTTCAAACTGCATTTCCTGCCTTTTAGCATGCCTTATAATTTTTTGGTTGAATGACAGACATGATATACTCAGTAAAAGAAACTGCTGCAAATAGGCTTTTAGTAATATGATAGTAAAAGGTGTGGGAAAGGGAAGCATTCTGTAGCCTTATAATTTGGTCTCCCTCTTTGGTGAAACTGTACCCATGGACTATGAACTTCACCAGTTTTCTCAGTTCCCCTAGGCCCCCTAACGTGGACAGGATGGTTTGAGTTGTCCAGAGTTATATATTTTCCTTTCCCTATGTGGAAAGCTAAAAGGGGGCTGAACTTAGGTATTTCCCTTCCCTTTGGGAGGTTACACTCTTATAAAATCCCAAAAGTTTAGGCTCTGGTAAAATAGTTTCACTTGAGAGCAGGCTTGAGTCCAACAAAATGCTCTGACATATTTCAAGATGGTTCCTTTTCTTCTCCCCTTAGGGAATTTTCTCCAGTAGTCACTGTGAACACTCCTGGAGGTTAAACTCACAAAAGTACAGGCCCTTCCGTAAGTGAGTCCTCCTGGAGTTTTTAACCCTCAGACTTGCCACACTGAACAACCGCCCACACTGAACAATTTTTCAATTACAGTTCATGTTTTCCTACCTGGCACCGGTTCCCACAAAAATTTTCCTTGTAGGTTTTTGCCCCACTAAGTTGTGATTCTTTCTATCTACCTGTCTGCTTCTCTAATATTTGATGCAGTGGTTTGCCCTATAATCTCATTTTTCTGACAGATCTAAGAAGATTCGTTAATTTTCCAATTCATTCAGCTTTTTACTTGTTGTGTTTTTAAAGAGTTTTTTGTTTTGTTTTGTTTTTTACTTTTTAACCATATGTCATCCCAGAAAAATATCGATCTTCTATTCCAAATAAATCTTAGGAAATACTAGTGGCAAGAAAATCTGTGATCATAGTCTACTTCTCAAAAAGGGTTGTTTTGCAATGTACAAATACATTTCTTTAGAAGAATGCAGTGATAAAATATCTTTTAAGATCTATCAAATTAAGGGATAGGCTTATCAAATTCATACATGTATTTGCTCTTTTCTAACTCTCTCTGATACCCCTAAAATTTTACTTATATATGAACAGTATAGCTATAGAACAAATTGAGGCTTTGGGTAGAAATATAATTAGCATACTAAGCTCATGTTTCTAATTGTTTTGTTAATATATATGTTGATAGGGACAGCTATGGTCCTTTGAAGTCATTGCTACCTACTCTTTTAAGAAATACATACATCATTTTTGCATGCATGGGTAAAATATATATTTCCTCACATATATCTACCTAAGTCAATATTTTATTAAACTGAAGTCTTAAAGAAGTCTCAAGATTTTTCTCAACCAATATTAATCTCCATTAGATTATAATCTTGTTTATATGTCACTTTGTTAACAGGAATTCTAAGAATATGAGCCTAATTTTATAAATGTTTTAATTTACCATGTAATAAATATTTGAATAAATGGGTTCCTGGCCTGCATTTGCTGAGTAGTAGAGAAAACAAATCAGCAAACCCCTTTTTTCCTCATGTCATCACCTTTGCATTCTTGTAGCAAATTATGTCATTTTCAAAACTAGAATTTCTTTATTTCCTTTATTGACTAAAATGACTCATTCTTCTCTGCAGTTTTTTAGTAAGATTGAGTCTTTTTTGTTTGTTTGAGAGAGAGTCTCCCTCTTTTGCCCAGGCTGGAGTGCAGTGGTGCAATCTTGGCTCACTGCAACCTCCACCTCCTGGGTTCAATCGATTCTCCTGCCTCAGCCTCCCAAGTAGCTGGGACTACGGGAGCACACCACCATGCCGGGCTAGTTTTGTTTTTTTTTTTTTTTGTATTTTTAGTAGAGACGGGTTTTCACCATATTGGCCAGGCTGGTCTCAAACTCCTGAGCTCGTGATCTGCCCACCTCGGCCTCCCAAAGTGCCGGGATCACAGGCGTGAGCCACCACACCCAACCAAGATTGAGTTGGAACTTATCGTTTTGGTAACTGGCACACAGCAGATGGAAATTTTATGCACATTTTCCTCTTAGAAACTAAGGATAGGTAAACTTTTTATCCTTTGTGTTGGCATGCAAGAATAAATTTCCTCTTAAGAAGAAAATTTATATTGTTGAGAGGTCTGAGAAGCAAATACTTTTTCATATTTTCTATTCTCTAAAGGGATATTTAAAATTTGGTTTATAAAAATAAAACTAATTTGCTTTCTGCTCTGAAAAATAGTATCATTGTATAATAAGAGAGTAGCAGCATAGCCAACTTGGAAAAAGCTGTTAATTGCCCATATCAATTTCATTACCAAAAATATGTCATCTACTAGAATACTTCTGATGAATACTCTTTCCTCACTGAAAGATTTTCTTTTTAAGTTGCTTAAAGAGTTAATCAGTTAATCAGTTTCAAGTTGTAAGACCATTAGTATTCTCATTATATGACAAACATTACAGAAAGTATACAAACAATCTGCAAGAAACCTTGAATTCAACTTTCATAGTTCTGAAATGTTTCTCATAAACATACAGGCATTTGAATGGAACACTATTTTTTTCATTGAAAAAAATTAACAAGGTCACTTACAAAATGCAATGTAACAAATACCGTTGACCTTAAAATACAGGTTTGAACTGCATGGACTGCTTATATGTGAATTTTCTTCCACTTCTGCCACCCCTGGAACAGCAAGACCAACCCATCCTTTTCCTCCTCTTCTTCAGCATACTCAAGGTGAAGACAACAAAGGATGAAGATCTTTATGATGATCTACTTCCATTTAATAAATAGTAAATATATTTTCTTTACCTTACGATTTTCTTAATAACAGTTTCTTTTCTCTAGCTTAGTTTATTGTAAGAATATAGTACACAATACATATCATAGAAAATATGTGTTAGTCAACTGTGTGTGTTATCAGCAGGGCCTCCAGACAACAGCAGGCTATTAGTAGTTAAGTTTTTGGGGAGTCAAAAATTACATGTGGATTTTTGACAGTGCAGGGGGTTGGTGCTCTTAACCTCCATGTTATTCAAGGGTCAACTGTATTTATTTAAGGTCTGTGATGCATTGCAAATAGACACACACACACGCATCCCTACTTTGCTGAGCTCAAAGTTCAGTGAAATTTCACAGAATGTTATCTTGCCCAGGTCCTTCATTTTATAGATGAAGAAACAGTAGGCTTTCTCCCCAGTACCACATGAAAAACCAAGGATATAATCTAAAGACAACCTTGACTTTTTGCTATACCAAATATATACCAATTCTATCTTACCTGTCTGAGAAATGCATGCTATGGACATATGAAGGTGATGATAAATCTTGGAAGATTAGGAAATAGGCTTCCAAAGCAGATAAAGGCAGGCATATGAAAATGAATAATGCAATCTGGAAGAAAGAGAATAGTCTGTTTCTGTAGGTTTACCCACAGCTATTTTAAATTTGTTGCTTCACCTTCTTCACCATCCCAGGTACTATATTGTACATTCCACTGTAAATGAGCAAACATTACACTGGCAGCAGGGACCAGCATCCTTTATCAAGAGGCAGTTGTAGCTCAAGAGTTGCATCTTGGTAGCATCAATACAGAATTTAAGGATTACAGAAGATATCTCAGTAAGTTACACTACTGGTTTGAAGAAAACTGTTTTGACCTCTAATTTTTTCTCTTATTCTAATCTTCCTGTCATTTTTTAAAGAACAAAAGATGGCCTGTGTTATCTTATTTGGTTATATGATTACATATTATTATGATCAATAACATATATTAAAACTTATTAATCAATGCTTCTTTAATTTCAGAAAGTTCTCTATACTTGGA